>NC_000023.11:111837542-112462542 GCF_000001405.40 Homo sapiens
GTAAGTGTTTGTTGATTTCCTGACAGACAATAAGGCCACAAACTAGGGCAAATATGTAATCAATATGTTGGTAGAGTCTTAGTTAATTGGTTGCTTCTCCTGAATAGATGTTACCTTCACCTCTACCCCTACAACAATTAAAATTGCAATGGCTTATGCTTGAGGATAGAGTTTATTGCTAGTTGTTCCACTGACAGATACAAACGTTCCCTAAAAGTAAAAGTCTGAGCATTTAAAATCTTCGCTCAGCCAGGCATGGTGGCTCATGCCTATAATCCCAGAGCTTTGGGAGGCAATATTGGAAGGATTACTTGAACCCACGAGTTTGAGACCAGCCTGAGCAACATAACAAAGCCCCGTTATCAAAAAAAAAAAAAAAAAAAGCCAGGTATGGTGGCATGTGCCTGTAGTCTCAGCTACGTGGGAGGCTGAGGTGGGAGGATTGCTTGAGCCCAGGAATTTGAGGCTGCGGTGAGCTATGATCATGCCACTGCACTCCAGCCTGGGTGACAGGGCTAGACCCTGTCTCTCTCTACATATGAGTAAATAAATAAATAATAAACAAACAAAGAATGCATGCATAAATAAATAAATAAATCTGCCTTCAACTCTGCTGATATTCTAGTCAGGGAAACGTTATGGATAAAATTGTACAACAGGGGAAAATGGGGAGGGATAGGAAAGATCATTCCTCCGTTTTGGTGGTTGGTAGTGAGAATGTCCTCAACATGTTCCTCAAAATATTACAGTGTGGTCCGGTCATCAGGAGAAGCTGGCCTGCTGAAAAGCATGCCCAGGTAAAATGAGGGACTGTCATGTGAGGTGGAAAAGAATATTCTGGTGAGACATCTGCTGGAGGTTCTGTGGCTTCTAGACTCGGTTTAATACACAGGGAAAGGGCCACCACTGGTGGTGGTGGGGGTGTACTACTTGGTGCTGGGTCTATAATAAAGTCATCACAGGGATGGAAAGACTTGTTGACAAACCATGGAATCTTAATAACAAAGGACTATCTTTTCAATTTTAAAGAGGGATTATTTTAGAAAAAAGCAACTAGTCCATTTTTATTTAGCAGAGAGTAAACAAACATATGGAACTTGCTAGCTCAAGAAGAGGCATAGACTGAAGATACAAAGATTCAAGAAAACTTGATATTAAATGCACAGAAGACAAATCCATAACAGGTGGTTAAGGGAGAACTTGCACATGTTGGGAGCCATCCACAAATAGATCACAAAGCTAAGAGGGGTAAAGTAGAACAGAGATGGGAACTCAGTCCTCTGAATATTTGCCGAAAGTCTCATCTTTGAGATGAGGAATTACCCTTTCAAAAAGTAGAAAGAGTATGGAGAGGATTTACTTCTCTGGACCTAATTCAGACCAACAAAGAAGAACTAGAGGGTGAACTCGAAGTTAAAGGCTTGTTGGGAGAAAGCAGGGACATCATCCTATATTTCCCAAGTTGTATGTTGATAGCCTAAATGGAGCAAAAGCTGTAATCCCAACACAGGTGACCCTTTGGTATCACCCTTACCCATTCCACAGTTCCCTGGACCTGCTATTTCTCATTCCACTATGCCTTTGACAAGCTCCTGTCTCTGGATAGGATACCCTCACCTTGCCCCAACCTCTAGCTTCTACTTCTTTCCTTTCTCCTTTTCTGTCTAATTCTTGTTTGACCTTTGAGGCTCAGTTGAAGCCCCACCTCCTCTAGAAGCCTGCCCCAACTCCTTTCCTACAAGGCTGGGTTAGATGCTCCTCTTTTTTGCTCCCATAGCACCCAAGCCTTGTTCCATAAATGCACAAATCACACTGTAGAGGCAATAGAGGAGAGTGCCTAAGCGAGAACTTTAGACCCCGCCATTTATTAAATGACATTGGGAAAGTTACATAGCCTCTTTCAACTTCAAGTTTTCCTCATCTCAAAAATGATTCTTGGTAAGATAAATACTAATTGCTAACATTTATTGTGCTCTTACTATATGCCAAGCATTGTGCTAAGTGCTTTGCATATACAGTTGTCCCTCGATATCTGCAAAGGGTTGGTTCCAGGACCTCCTACAGATACCCAAATCCATGGGTGCTCAAGTTCCTTATATAAAATGGCATAGTGTTTATGTATAACGTAAGCACATATCCTCCCATATACTTTTTCATTTTTATTTTTATATTTATTTATTTATTTATTTTTAGAGAAAATATCTCACTCTGTTGTCCAGGCTGGAGTGTGGTGGCACAATTATTGCTCGCTGCAGTTTTGAACTCCTGGGCTCAAGTGACCCTCCTGCCTCAGTCTCCTGAGTAGGTAGGACTATAGGCATGCATCACCACACCCAGCTAATTTTTTTCAAAATGCGGTGGCTCACACCTACAATCCCAGCACTTTGGGAGGCCAAGTTGGGTGGATCACGAGGTCAGGAGATCGAGACCATCCTGGCTAACACGGTGAAACCCCATCTCTACTAAAAATACAAAAAATTAGCCGGGCATGGTGGCGGGCGCCTGTAGTCCCAGCTACTCGGGAGGTTGAGGCAGGAGAATGGTGTGAACCCGGGAGGTGGAGCTTGCAGTGAGCCGAGATCGTGCCACTGCACTGCAGCCTGGGTGACAGAGCGAGACTCCGTCTCAAACAAAAACAAAAACAAAAACAAAAGAACAATTTTTGGAGAGACAGGTGTCTTGCTATATTGCCCATGCTTGTCTTGAACTCCTAGCCTCAAGTGATCCTCCTGCTTCAGCCTCCCAAAGTGTTGGAATTACAGGCATGAACCACCATGCCTGGCCCATTCCATATACTTTATATCATCTCTAGATTACTTATGATAGCTAATACAATGAGAATGCCATGTAAATGGCTATATTTATATTTATAGCATGTAAATGCTATATTGTATTATTTAGAGAATAATGACAGGAAAAAAAGTCTGTACATATTCAGTACAGATGCAACCATTCATTTTTTAAAAAATATTTTTGATCCACGGATGATTGAATCCATGGATGCAAAAGACATAGATATGAAGGGTTGACTATATTATATTTGGCTATACGTCTATAAAGTAGAGACTATTGTTCTTCTATTTTTCAGATGAGATACTGAGGCACAGAGTGGTCACACAGGCAGGCAGTATCAGAGGTAGAGTTTGTACCCAGCTCTTTTGACTCTGAAGCCCACACACATAGCCTTATAACTGTATCACCTAAGATACTGCATGTAAAGTGCTCAGCACTTTAAAGTACTTTGCATATGGTAAGCATTAATAATAGCAGCTATTCTAATTGTTCATTTGCGTTCCCCATTAGACTATGAACTTCTTAAAGATAAGGATTCCATCTTCCTTGGTATCCTCATTGCCTGGTACATAGGAATTGTTGAAGAAATGTTTATTGAAGGAGTCTATAAAAGATGACAGGAGAAACACATAACCAAGAAAAGTACAAACGAGTAGCAGCATCCTGTGATAATAGCATCAGGAAGGATATGGACTGGAATTAGGAGGAAAAGCCAGAGATAACCAATAAGAACCTTTATGACCTGACCAGAACAAAAAGAAGAGTGTTTGATGGGAACTACGTGTGTATCCATGTTAACAAGATAGGAAAATATTGGCTGAATGATGGGTGGAGAAATCACCACTGATTAAGTAGAAGTAGCTGCAAATGAATGGTAATAGCCTTGAAGGAGGTCACAGTGGCCTGCTAGGTCATGGCTCTGTCCTTTTTCGCTTTTCGTGTGTTCATGATTATTGCAGCTGTATACAACAAATCTTACGTACCTTTACAAAACCAGTCTTACACCTGTATCCCTAGGTAAAAGTACAGACTGGAGCTTGTATGCCTAGATTGAAATCCTGTCTTTGCTACTTACCATCTATGCAACTCGGGACAGCCTGATTAACTGCGTTGTACTCTAGTTTCCCTATCTGTAAAATGGATAATAACAACACTGTCTACCTGATAGCATGGCAGTGAGGATTACATGAGTTAATTCACGAAAAGCTGATTTGTAATAGTGCCTGTTCCTAGCACGCAGTAAATATTGATTATTTTCATTATTATTATTAAACGTTCCACCTTGTTATTTTACATTCCTTTGTCTTTATAGATTATTATTCATTTGAATGTCTAATTGTACATAGTTGCAATCATAGTTTATACAATCTCTGGTGTTTGTTTGTTTGTTCTTGAGACAGAGTCTCCATGCGATGCCCAGGCTGGAGTGCAATGGCACAATCTCAGCTCACTGCAATCTCCACTTCCCGGGTTCAAGTGATTCTCCTGCCCCAGCCTCCTGAGTAGCTGGGATTACAGGTTCATGCCACCATGCCTGGCTAATTTTTGTATTTTTAATAGAGACGGGATTTCGCCATGTTGGCCAGGCTGGTCTCAAACTCCTTACCTTAGGTGATCCACCTGCCTCGGCCTCCCAAGGTGTTGAGATTACAGGCATGAGACACCACGCCCAGCCTGGGATTGATCTATTGATCTATCTATAGCTCTATCTATCTATCTATCTATCTATCTATCTATCTATCTATGTGTGTGTGTATATATGTATGTGTGTATATATATATATTTTATATATATATGTATATATATATATATGTATATTTTAGATGGAGTCTCGCTCTGTTGCCCAGGCTGGAGTGAAATGGAGCCATCTTGGCTCACTGCAGTCTCTGGCTCCCGGGTTCAAGCGATTCTCCTGCCCCAGCCTCCCAAGTAGCTGGGATTACAGGTGCCCACCACCACACCTGGCTGATTTTTGTATTTTTAGTAGAGACGGGGTTTCCTCATGTTGGCCAGGCTGGCCTCGAACTCCTGACCTCAAGTGATCTGCCCGGTTTAGCCTCCCAAAGTGCTGGGATTACAGGCATGAGCCACAGCGCCCAGCCCACTTTCTGTAATTTTTAAAAATTTACACATTTTGGGTTTAGAAACTTTTTTATGTATATACAGAGTCTTCATGTGTATCATTTTAATAGCTGCCCAATATTCCACCCAGCAAATACCAAGCCTGCCTGACAGTTTTTTCAACGCTTTGGATGGAAATCGATGGCATGCTTCTTAGATCTTCAGATGACACAAGACTAGAGGGAAAGCTAATAAACTGGATGACAGGATAAAGACTCAGAAAGACTTCAACACCTTGGAGCAAGGGGCTGGAACTAATAAGATGAAATATATAGGGATCAATGTAGAGCTTTGCTCTTGGGCCAAGTGCCCAAGTACAGGATGAGAGAGGTAGGAGAAAGGCCAAGGGTTTTTGCTGAAAGCAAGCTCAAAGTGGATCAGTAGAGTGACAGAGTTGGCCAGATACTCCAGTCATCCTGGGGGGGCAGGGTGGGCAGAAGCAGAAGTAGATTATCTATAATTAAAGACAAGATTACTCTTAGGCCCATGTATGTTGCTGCAAATGGCTTGCACATAAAACTGGTGAAATCTGAATGAGGCCACTGGATTTTATCAGTGTTGATTTCCTGGTTGTGATAATGTACTACAGCTATGCAAGATGTTATGCCTGGGAAAAATGGGTGAAGGATTTACAGATTTCTTTCTCTATTATTTCTTCCGATTACAATGTAACTACAATTATCTCCAAATAAAAAGCTTAAAAAGATAGGATTGCTTTTGGACGTCATCTTTGTCTTTTCACTCAATTGTTCAGTAGCCATGTTGAGCACCTTTATATCTTAGGCCCCTCTATGGCAGATGCAAAGCTTACTAAGATGGGAGTCTCAGTCTGGTGGGAGAGAGAGGCACAGATGTCTGAAATACAACAGTTTATGTAACATAATGGAGATGTGTTTAGAATGCCATGGGAAACATGCATTCTAGAAGAAGCCTGCAGCTGAGAGTGGGGTTAGAGTGGATAAGAAAGGCTTTAGAGCAGGTAGCCCTTTGGCAGCAGTTGGAAAGATGGGTATGAGTTTGCCAGGCTGGCTAGGTGAGGATGGGTATTCCATTCAGAGGTAATGGCATGCGATGTACAAAGGTCTGAAGGGCTGAGACACTTTCCTGTAGTTGGAGAACAGCAAAATGTTGACAAAGGAGGAGAGCAGTAAAAGACTGGAGAGGCAAGAGTCAGATTACCAAGGCCCTGTGTGTTATGGTAAAGGGGCAGGATTTTATGGAGAAGATTCAGATATTCTGGCAGGCATGAAGCCAGTGGGAGCCAGGATGCAACAGGTATTTAGAAAGAAACTTCCGCACAGCAAGTAGGAGAGTGTTTGGAGAGAAGACCAGATTGGAGGCAGAGAGACCAGTCAAGAGTCTGTTGCCACAGTCCTTGGGAGAAATGATTTAGGCCTGAACCAAGACAGTGGGATGAGTGTGTGTGTGTGTGTGTGTGTGTGTGTGTGTGTGTGTGTGTGTGTATGTGAGAGAGAGAGAATGAGAGAGAGACAGAGAGAGAAAGAGAGAGAGGTATTCAAGGGATACTTCGGAAGTAGAACTGATAGGGCTGAGTGACACACTTGATGATGTGTTTCATGAGGGAAGGTGTAAGAGTCCCATATGACTCCTAGGAATCTGGTTAGTGTCATTTAATGAGATGAGGAATTAAAGGGGATATAGGTTGGAAGTGAAGATACGGAGAAAAGGAATAAGGAATTTAGTTGTGGACATCCTGTATTTGAGGGGCCTGTGAAACAGCCAGGTATATTCAGGAGGCATCAGGAGATGAGGGCTGGATCAAATTAGCTTCTTTTTCTCTCACAAGTCCTTTGTCTTCAGAATGATAATGTCTTTCTAATTGCTTCTCTTGACAGCAGGTGAAGGCCACGTATTCCCAGTATGCAATACCAAACTCAAACCCCCAGCTGTACTGTCATGTGGTTGTCAGCAAGGACAATGAGTTTCCCTTAAATTGTATGCCTGAGGAGAAGATTGTTTTTCTCTTTTTTCTTTCTTTCTTTCTTTTTTTTTTTTTTTTGGAGACGGAGTTTTGCTCTTGTTGCCCAGGCTGGAGTGGAGTGCAATGGCGTGATCTCGGCTCACTGCAACCTCTGCCTCCTGGGTTCAAGCGATTCTCCTGCCTCAGCCTCCCAAGTAGCTGGGATTACAGGCATGTGCCACCACACCCGGCTAATTGTGTATTTTTAGTAGAAACAGGGTTTCTCCATGTTGGCCAGGCTGGTCTTGAACTCCTGACCTCAGGTGATCTGCCCACCTTGGCCTCCCAAAGTGCTGGGATTATAGGTGTGGGTCACCGCGACTGGCCTGTTTTTTTCTTTTTTTATGTGGAAGAAAAGCAATGGCATCTCTGGAGAATCAGAAGGAAAAGGATAACAATAAGCAGGTACCAAACTTTCCACCAGATACATAAACAAACTATCCCCTTCTCTAAAAGCAGAATCTTTCTATCTCCCTGGCTGAGTAACGTGTATTTTAACAGGTATGATAAATGCCTGAGGCCGGGTGCAGTGGCTCAGACCTGTAATCCCAGCACTTTGGGAGGCTGAGACGGGTGGATCACCTGAGGTCAGGAGTTCGAGACCAGCCTGGGCAACATGGCAAAACCCCATCTCTACTAAAAATATAAAAACTAGCCAGGCATGGTGGTGGGCACCTATAATCCCAGCTACTCAGGAGGCTGAGGCACAAGAATCGCTTGAACCTGGGAGAGAGAGGTTGCAGTGAGCTGGGATCACGCCACTGTACTCCAGTCTGGGTGACAGAGCAAGACTCCATCTCAATAAATGAATGAATGAATGACTGAATCCCTGAGTTGAGGCCTTTAAAAGAAAACATAAATATGAGTCAACCTTCTACGGAGGAAAAAACATCAACTGATAGAGGGAAAGTTGAGGTAACATTACTGCTGATTTGGCCCCACCATGACAATGCTTCTTCACACCCCAAGATATAATTTTATGTATGACAGGTGCCCATTCTTTTCAATTGTCCCTGCTAGGCAAGTGATAGGAGCAAAATGTCAGTTGGCAACAGGGGTGTTAATAATCATTACAAACTTGCAAGGAGGCATTTCATAAATTTCCTCAGCAGAGTACACATGAAAGCATAATTGGCAAGGACCTGACCTCCTGAAAGGCACCTCTCATTCATGTATCTAATTCTGTTGAACACTTTGATGGGAACAAATGCAGTCTCCTGGTGCTCAGGCCACTACACAATTGCTCTTTATGTTGAAAACAGGTTGCTGTGAGTTCTGTCTCTAGAGTAATGCAGGAGAGGAAGCCATTCCTAGTCAACAGGCACTAGCGAGCTGATAAGCTGCTGTTATACACTCCTGGTTGGCTTAACCAAAATAGCACTATCTCTTTGTCAACCCATTTTGGACCCCTTCTCCTTGCACATTAATCTGGTTTCCACACCCAAGATTTAGCCCTGAGTTTCAGGAAGAGAGACAAGGAGCATGGCCTAGTGCAGGAGGTTTAATCATAGATTCCATTCTCCTGTCTATTAACATGCCACTGAGCTGTGGTTTGTGAGAATCCATTTTAGGAAATGCTGCTAGAGACAAATAACAAGAATCAGCTAGATAGCACTGTTTTGTTTTGTTTTGTTTTGTTTTTTTCTCTATCACTGCAACAGTCCTTTTTTTCTCTGGCCTTTGTTATGGAGCACATTTCTAGAATGTCCAAGTCCACTGAACTGTGTTGGTTTATGGCGTTATAAGGAAAAAATTGTATCTTAGTTTAATGACTAAGAATCTTGTATGATCTTGGGGTCATTGCTATGAATATCCAGTGATGAGTTGCACTCTCCCGAAGTAGGGGTGGAGATGGACAAGATGTAGAACACTGAGTTCAGGGTCAGCCCAGGACAGCTCCTAACAGCCTGACATGTACTTATTTGTTTTCTCTTGTCTATTTCCCCTGGCATTGATTTATCAGAAAATAAAAGCCGTTCTGAAGGCTTGAAGGTCCCCCAAAAAGTAGGTCTTGACAGTACTAAGCAAAGGCACAGGAGTTCCATGTGTTCAGAGGCAGTGGACTCGTGGACAGAATCATGAGTTATCTCTTGTGTCCTGAGACATTTCCAATTAGTGCTGGGTGACACTTGGCCCACCTGAAACCTTAAATTAATGTAACAGGAGAGTGGATTCTAGTCCTACCTTCAGCCTGTCCCCTCTCGAGATTACACCTATGAATGGGGGTGCATTAAGATATGTTTGCATCCTTCCTTGATTCACAATAGTAAAGTTAGCTTTGGTAGCCACTCGTTCAGAGGAATAGCTTTGCTGTTTCATTACCTTGGTGCCACATTTCGAGTGAGGAATTATCTACCTCACCCCAATTAATTCTTTTAAAAATATGTAATGCTACCAACATAGTTCAGAACCAACTCTTTAGATGACTTCCTGGGATCTCATGTGTGTGCTTGTTTCTTTCCTACCTCACCTAACTTCACTTCATCCCCTAGTACCCTGTAGCAAGAGAAGAACATTCCTCCACCTCTGACCCTTCGGGTGGATCCACAGTGAGCACTGCCTTCACAGTCAAGTGGCAGTGATGAAGCTGTAGGCTGAAAACAGGACAAAAATGGAGAAGGCGGAAAAAATGGCAAAAAAAAAAATAAATAAATAAAGGAAAGGGGATCGTCTTACGTGGAGAAGGCATTGTTCTGTTTCTCACATCGGATCCCCTTGCAGTTGTTAGGCTCATCGATAGCTCTGGTTTCATAATAGAAGTAAAGCTGGTTCAGTCCATTGGCAAAAGCTAGTAGTACCAGGCAGTAGATAAAGAGGAATTTGAGGATATCAAGCAGCATGCGTCCCAAAGAGATCTGCAGAGGTCCTAAGTGGGAGTTGGCTGTGAACAGGGATATGAGACGCAACGAACTTAAAATGTTGGATATTGCGAAGAGTGCTTCCGCAATCAGAGTCGGGTGCCACATTTCCCATTCCTCCCTTGGACGAGAACCATTATACTGAAAGAAACAACAAGTGCACAAGATGAGGGGTACAGTGAACATTTATAAAACTTTCCCTTTTTTCCTTGCTTCCATACCCAAACAAAGCCACCAAAATATGCATCAAGCATTCATTATGCAACAGGCCCCATGCATGACACTATTTGTCTTTCTTGCCCCACCCAATTAACATGTGCTGCTAACAACTCTCTTCCTCCCACTCCCATCCACGTCTATACCTGGGATGTACACATAGAAGAATAAATTTTAGATCAATCATCTGCAGCAACCACCTGTGGCTTATCAACAGACATTTTCTAACTGTGGGTTTAACAGATTGTTGGGGAGTGTCACTGAAACAGAGGCACTAGTATGCCCAAGATAGTGGGGAAAAATCACCCTGCTTCCTAAAGATTTCAAGCCAAATGTACTTCCTCAATCCCTCACTGGGCTCTGAGCACCATGGACAACGTGCTGTTACTGAAAGACAAGGAGTAGACGCAGCCTTCTCGGTATGCAGTGTTCATTCTCACTCCCTTGCTGACTGCAGTTTGGGGCTGATGGAGGATCCTTAGGGAGCCATTCACTGGAGCTTTCTGCTGAATTTTTAGCAGGCTGTAATGTATTCTACATTACTGCAAATGGCATGTCAACCTTTCAGGTAATGAATTTAGTACTGCCCCATACAGTGGTGTATGGTTGTATTTTACAGTTCATTTGACAACTCTGTAAGTTAGAATGTTCCTTTAGCACACATGAAGAACCAGGGGCTTGAAGGAGGGGAAGAACCAATATTTATTGGGTTGGTTACCCATCCCAGGTTTCCAGCCCCCGGCATATTAGGAGTAGCCTTGTAGAAAGATGACTTCATTGTGAGATCTGAGCTCCAATTTGGGCATTGTCACTTAAAACTGCCTGTATCTTTTAATTTCACCACAAAATGAGGATAATGCCTCCTACCCACTGCACATGTTTGTGATTCTGTATCCATATGCAAAAGTCTGTGTACTCCATAAGTGGAGATGTTATGGAAATACAAGGAATTACTTATTACCTTCCCAGGACAGAAGTAGATTTTGCCTGGAATTTAATTTGAAGCATATTGCCTTGAGCTCACATTTAAATATCACAATTTCTCAGGACTAAATGTAAACAACTTTCCTGAGAAAATGTTGCATTGGGGGCCAAATTATATTGTTAGCATTTCTAAAATGTGCTTCAGTTCCAACAACTGAGGAAACTGGTGCGTTTAAAATCACTTGTGTGTATCCAATATTCTTCTCTGTCAGAGGAGCTTGGAGAAACTGTGCCACATTTGTGCTTCTGCTTCGGATAGACTTTTAGGCGGCCAATCAGTTTTACGTACTCTTGGCCAAATCTTATATTTCTACATTTTTCCTCCCCCAACAAACATGCACTGCATTACTGTGAGGGGTAGGAATGGTTATGCCTGTTTTACAAATGGAGGAAGTCCAGATAGGCAGAGTGACTTGCTAAAGATCACACAGCAAGTCGGTGGCAGAGCCAGCAAGAAGTTATCCACGGGTCTCCAGACACTCAGTCTAGCACTATTTCTATTAAATGTTACTTATATGATAGTTGATATCACAGCACAGATGATAGATCAGCCTTTAAAGGTTTGAGGTATATGTGAAAGATAGTCTCTTTGCTGATAACAAAACAGACCTATGTTTTAAAACTAGAAATCAACAACTGGAACATGTATAGCTCATAATTTGGGATTTTCTCTCTCCTCATCCAGAACTGTAACCTCAGGGATGTCTGTTGCCCATGGGATGGTGAATCTGAATTTGTGGAACACTCAGAAGTGTAAAACATGATTCTCATGGCAAATCTATACTTTGAACATAGATACTTTGCACCTTTGGAGAAAGATATAGTATGTATGTGCAGGGAATAAACATGGAGCTCATCTAGCATAGAGGTTGGCAAACTTTCTGTCAAGAATCAGATAGTACATATTTTTGGCTTTGTGGGCTCTATGGTTCCCATCACAACTACCCAATGCTTCCTTTGTAATCCTAATGGAGCCCTAGACAATATACAACCACAAGGACATGGCAGAAGGCCAGGTTTGGCCCACAGACCATAGTTTGCTGACCCCTGATCTAACACAGTCGTTTTAAACTGTGTTCCTTAGAGCCTGGGGGTTCAATGGAGGCATCTCATAGCTACTGTGGGAGCCAAAGTGGAGACTTAGAAGACTCATTCTTCAAGCCAAACTCAGTCCTTTGGGCTTTTTATATATTGGATTACTGTGTGAGTTTTTGCTTAAAGATGTGGTACCATGGGAAAAAATTTTTTAAAAGGTTGAGCACCACTGATCTAGTTTAACCTACTGCTTATTTATCAGAGGCAGAATCTACAGCTCAGAAAGGTAGAGGGATTGCCCATGGTAACCCTGCTCATGAGTATCAGATTGGGAATTAAATTCAGATCTCCTGACTCTTGAGTTAGTTGTTGTTGGAGGCAAATGATTTTTCTTACATCCTTTGAAATGGAATGCAGTTAGAAAATTGGCCTCCTTGCCTTTCAAAGGATGTAAATTGCATTTTATAAACCCTAAAGCAAAATATGAAGAGGAACAGCCTAATGTGGGGACTCAATAGTAATAAGAATTTGAGGGGGGTGTTATTATGTCTTTAGCTAAGCACTGACTGAAGGAAAGGCCATAACTCAGTGGGTAGCATAGTCCAGATTTACTTGGCACACATGGAAGCGAAGCAGTGGTGGAATAGATCTAGGTGGTACTATCCTAGAAAAGCAAAGAATGGTTATACTCCATTTGTAGAATCATCTGGGGGCAATGAGGGTCAATCTTATATATATTTGTTCCTTTTGAGTACTTTGGTGTGTACCTTTTGGTACTTGCTTTAGATCATGTGAAGTGGAATAGATATTGTTGACTAATTTTGCACTCTAATAAAATAAAGGATCTTTAAAAACAGCTCATTCCTTGGTGCTTCTGTACTGCTTCAGTACAATGGTGATTGAAAACATTTCAAGGAGCCTATGTCGCAGTTCTTATGGCTTTGTGTCATAGAAGTTGGCTCAGCCTGCTTGGGGAAGGTCATCCAGCCTGGACTTCTGTGGATGGGTAGACCTGATTATCCCCATTTATAAATTCTCATTACAAATCCAAATTTTGCATGTGGCCTGTCTTGCTTTATAAATTCTTTTTTGGGAAGGACTCCAACTTCTTGGCAAAGGTCTCCTTTGAATAAAGTGTTTGCCAGTTAAGGGGCATTTACCCAGCTTAATAGAGCAGATTTATCCTTATACTTTGTGATGGAGAAGTATCTAACTCTTTGGAAGCCTCTCCAGTAAAGTTGGACAGGTTATGTGATTAGCTAATGTTGAGAATCTACAGATACGTTTTTCACATCCCCAAATGTTAATCCTTTTCTTCATCATTTATTCTAAGCTTTCCTGTTTAAACAAAACCCACCAATTTCTAGATTGATAATGTAAGGTCCCTCCAGTGTATAAATACCATTTCCAAAGGAAGAACTTTTCCCTTTACTTTACAGTGTTACTTAGTCAGCAGAGTGCCAGAATGACATGGATTTCACCCAGGCACATTAACCAGGGATTCAAACATTTTCCTCACCAGCTTTTTCTCTTAAGGAAGTTGTAAGTATGTGTTAAATGATCACCACATGTATAGGGCCTACTCTTGGGCTCTTTTCAAAAATGTTTCATGACTGCATTCAATATGCATGCTCTACATAACTCCCAAGGTCTTAAAATTTATGCAATATGCATATTAGGGATACAAAAATAAACTAAGTTGTTGGAGATTTGGGGGACAGCCATATTTCCATTCTAAAAGTCCTTAATGTGGAATTTAGTGCCAAAAAGCATGACTGACTATACAATCTTGGAGACTGAATTGTCAGCCTTTTCTCATGGAGAAGTTTAACTCAGGCTACAAGGAGGACAGCAATCCCATTATTTAATAAGCACCAGACCTGAACTCAGAGCCTCTGATTACCCAAAGTAAGATGTCAAACATGAAGCTATTTTCAGGATAATTCGAGCTGAATGTTGTGTGGGAAAAGTATTAAGGTGGTGTGTGTGTGTGTGTGTGTGTGTGTGTGTGTGTGTACATTATCTGAATTGGTAGAGAAGCACAGGTTGGGTGATACTAAAAATGCTGGATTTATAACTGCTCGAGTGATTATTCTGGTGGTGGAAGTGATGAGAAAGGAAGGGGCTATTAAAAGTCTGTGCCACCTGTAGTCAAGTTTCTGGGATTCTGCTACTTGTCATTATATGAAGAACAGTTGAGATAAATGGGAATGTTTAGCTTTGAGAAGAGACAACTCAGAGGGTTAGGGAGAGATGGCATCATATCAGAAGCACTGTTAGGAAGAAACAGTCTTGTTCTGTATGACTCCACAGGGAGGAAGAATTACTAATGATTGTGTCACAGAGAGAATAATATTAGACGTATATAAAGTAGTCCTTTTTAATGAAGTGACAAGGATTAAGAGAAGCTTTTGGAGATAGTGAATTCAGTGAATTTTCTGCCCTGGCCCCATGCAAGCATCACTGGGCCATTGTGTTGGCACGGATATCGTAGAGAGCATTTAAACACCGAAAGCTGAAGACTCTTTTACCCTGAAAGTCTCAGAAGCTAATGATTCATTTGCAAATTGTTCCATTTTCCACTTTCTTTGCTTAGGTGGACACTGCTTACAAACCACTGAAAGAATGTCTGTTTATATGGTAATTTCCCACATGGATTGAGCCATCATCATCATCACTTTTTCTCAAAACTCTTTATGCTCTCAGTGCAAAAGCTTAATGTAGCCAAAATCGCTGTGTAGGAAATATGGCAGACATTCCAATTTACCTTGACATAGGCCACAATCTTCAGGGAAATAGTTGCCAGGTAGAGGGAGTTCATTGCAAAATCCATCAGGTTCCACCAGTCATGGATGTATTCAGTAAATCCACCATCCCACATTTCCTTAATCTCACCCCAAATGAAACCTGAAGAATGGAGGAAAACAGTTTATTTCTACATAGGGTCAGCCCTGCTCATCATAGAAGGATTCCCCCCTCCAGGTGAATAAGGATGAAATTAAGGAATGAATTGGGGTCTCAGTGGAGTGAAGCCTTGAGAGACAATAATCACTTGCTTTCCTACTCCACCTCCCAGTTTTGAACTTGCCAAACCTGGTAGGCTTTTCCTGAAAATGCCCATATGTTATACTTTTCTGGGTACTACTCTTAGCATTTTTACTATAGTTACTGGAATGCTGTTGCAATTTTGGGTGCCTGATTCTACTTCCTTTCCATTTTGGAATGGGAATAATTTCATCAATAAATTAATTAGATCAGTATTATCCCATAGTCCTTAGTTTCCACTGGGTTCAGGAAAGAGAACTTCTCAATGTGTTTTGAGGTGAGCAAGCTGATCATGGATCAAATTACCAGATGTTGGGGCTAAAGCTAGGCAATGGGGCCCAAAATAATTTATAACTCATTTTTTTTTCCTTTTTTCTCTCATCATGTAGAAGTTTTGTAAAATTTTACCTGATGACATAGATGTTTCTTCTGCCTTGGAATAAAGAAAATAGTAAAAGCTGTGGCTGTGGTCTAGGGCTGCACTTTCTCAGACTTTAAAGTACATGTGAATTACCTGAGGATCATGTTAAAATTCAGATCCCGGGTGGCACCTGAGGTTCTTTGTGTCAAATAATCTCCCAGGTGGTACTGATATTGCTGGTTTGGGGACCACAGTTTGAGTAGCAAGGACTTAGAAGATGGCCATGTGTTGAAGAGTCCAGTGCAATCTAATTATGCCTGGAGACTACTGGTAGGGCTGCTTTTACCATGATGTGTGAATTTCCCAGGTTTCCCCCTTGGTTGTGAAGTCAGTGTCCAAATAGGATGTAGACCCTGAACAAGAACTGGGTCGTGTGGAGTAGCCATGAGAAATGAGCAGATTCATGTGCCCCTTGGTTATGGGAAAAGGTGCTTTGAATAGACTGATCAGCACTTGCTCTGCTTACCTTACTTGAGGCCTGTCCTGACTGATACTTGGCTTTGTCTCTAGACTAACTGACAGACAGCTTCTCTGTCCTTGAAGATATTAAGTTAGCAAAAGCAAGCCCTAGGTGTACTGCCAATCTCACCATGGACCAGTGCCCGGGACAGAAGGAACTACATTTCTGAGACTCTCAACAAAGGACTACCACACTGCATGGGGGTGGGGTGGGGGTGCCCTAGTTCAGAGCTAGTCTGACTGCCTGTTCTAGTAGTTTATTTAAACAGGACCATCAGGCAGTCTGGCCATAGGTCCTGGTCCCTTTGACTTACCTAGAACCCAAGGCAATATCATCCATTCCACGACAGTTGGGGGAGGCCCCTGTACATGAAGGTCTGTCCTGACAATGTGCTGAGAAGCCAGGAGAAGCATAAAGAGGAAGGTCAAATAGGATGCTGTGTGGCAGATAAACTTGATAAAGGGTTTCTTGATGAACAGCCCAAGGTTGCTCCTGGGTGAGATCAGGTAGGCTATAGACAGCATGGGAAACAGGAACCCAATGGTCATGCAGGTTAGAAGCTTGACTACCCAGTGTTTCCGCCGCCATCCAGGGAAGCCATCATACCACAGGGTGGCAAGCAACTGTTGGCAGTTGGGCTGAGCAACAAACTGGGAAAAGAAGAAAACAAGTTAGGCATCTGGAATGTCCAGGAGAAAGTCTACTGTCATAATACCTTTCCTAGTTTACAGTCAGCTCTGGCAAGGAGTTACATGGCCAATCCCCAGAAGAGGCCTGTTTTCTAGGTGCCTGTGAATGCATCTAACCCCGGAGACGGCTCTTCATGTCAAACTATGAAACTAGATTTTCCTTAGTGTTCATTATTTTTTAATATATTAAAACAAAATCACTCTGTCTGGTTCATGCTTTGGCATACCTTCCTATTGTCCCTCCCACCTTGTCAGAGTTGTGCTTCCTCAAACCTGGTTTTACATCAGAATCATCCAGGGAACATTAAAAAATCTAAATCCCCAGGTCCTTCCACAGACTGACTAAATGAGACTCTGGGGTGTGGATGGAGGAGAGAGTAGAGCCTGGGTAGCTGTTTTACAAACTCTCCTGGGAACTTACATGCCTTTTAGCAGAGAATCATGGAGATATTTCATTTCAAATTGATTCACATCCGCTCATTCCCTTAGTCTACGTGAGGTCATCATCAATGTGCACTCTGTTTGGGCAAACACAAACTGGCAGGGAATAAGCCCATGCCTGTAGCTAGGGTTTGAAATGAAAATGAGTTCTCTGTTATATTTTGTTTTTATTTTTCTTGATTTTGTTTTGAGCACCTCTTGGTTAGCTTGTAATGAATCAGGTTGCTACTGTGCCATCTATTTAACTCCGTCTCTAGTCTAGACATGCAAAAGGAAAAAATATTTTGGGGCTGGCATTACGATATTGTATACTAACCCAGCTGGGATTTTACTCAAAGGCAATCTACAAAGTGTCAGTGATTAATAATTAAGGAATCATCAGCATTGCAAATCATTATCCAGCTGCTACTTCCTGGTAAGTGACTCAACAGGGAGCTCAACTGTCAACTATGATTTTAAATACTGCCTACATTTGACTACCCCAGCTTCCCATGGGACAGGTTAAACAGAGCTGCACCATTTAGCTTACTAGTACAAAGGAAATAAACCTCTTTCATCATTTACCCAACACCAAAGGTAAACTTGCCTAACTTTACTGTTAGTTTATCTGTGAAGGTCACTAGTTTCCCAGCACAACCATTCTTCTTCTCCTTGAGCACACAGCTGGACTACATTACCCAGGCTCCCTTACAGTGAGGTGTGGCCACATGACTAACTTCTCACTGTGGGAAATGCTGTGTGGCACTACCAGGTCTGGCCTATAGAAGTTTCCTATGTGTGCTCCTCCATGTTCTTTTCCTTTTCTGACTGACTGGGATGTGATAACCTGGTGTGATCTAGGGGCTTCTGTCAGCCCCTGTCCCTCAATAACCATGTTAGCAGAACTAGCCTGCTGAATAAGAATACCTGTTTTGGACTGTTACGTCACGGAGAAATTTCTGTTGTGTTTGAGCCATTATATATTTTGGAGTCTAGCCTGTCCTAAAGAAGATTACTGGTATGAAACTACCAAAAATAAGCTCTAAAATGTTTTCATCCTGTGATGTCATTTCCTCCAAACATGTTCATGATCTCCATTATGTCCTCACACTTCCCTTCCACGCATTCATACACAAAAAGACAATATCCTATAGTCCCTTTCTACTCTTTTTTTTGCCACAGTAGCCTATGCCAAAGGCTGGGATGATGAAGTCCAAGAAAATACAGAAAAGTCAGAGTAAAGCAAGACCTTTGCAGTAGAAGAACTGCTGGGAGCTCAGTCTACTGAGGGAAACAGAAGCACAAAAGGAGAGTTATACAATTGTATAGTAAGGACACCGAAAACGATATGAACATGGCATAATGGGAACACAAGGGAGGGACAAATCTGGATTGCTTAGCGAAGGCTTCCTGGAGTAGGTGATACCTGACTGGAGCATTAAAAGATGTGCAACAGTTGGCTAGGTGTGGGAGAGGAAAAGAAAAGAGAGTAAACCGCCAGAGCAGAGAGGATCGCATGGCTAAGGCATAGAGGTGAAAAAGAGCCTGCCTTGTATGTGGAGGGCTACAGCAGTCAGGGTGGCTGCAGCTTAAATTGCAAGTCTGTGAATGGCAAGAGACCAGGCTGGAGAGGTAAACAGGGGTTAGAGAAGATCAAGACGATGGTCTTTGGCCATTAAAAATAGTATGGACTCAGCTGGGCACGGTGGCTCATGCCTGTAGTCCTGGAGCTTTGAGAGGCCAAGGCGGGGAGATTGCTTGACGCCAGGAATTCAAGACCAATCTTGCCAACATGGTGAAACCCGTCTCTACTAAAAATACAAAAATTGTGGGGCGTGTTGGCGTGTACCTTAATCCCAGCTACTTGGGTGGCTGAAGCAAGAGAATCGCTTGAACCCAGGAGGCAGAGGCTGCAGTGAGCAGAGATAGTGCCACTGCACTCCAGCCTGGGTAACAGAGTGAGCCCTGTCTCAAATAATAATAATAATAATAATAATAATAATAATAATAGAGGCCGAGGCGGGCAGATCACTTGAGGTCAGGAGTTTGAGGTCAGCCTGGCCAACATGATGAAATCCCGTTTCTACTAAGAATACAAAAATTAGCTGGGCATGGTGGTGTGCGCCTGTAATCTCAGCTACTCAGGAGGGTGGGGCAGGAGAATCACTTGAGGGCAGAAGGTGGAGGTTGCAGTGAGCCGAGATTGCATCACTACTGCACTCCAGGCTGGGCAGCAGAGCGAGACTCCATCTCCAAAAAAAAAAAAAAAAACCATAGGATGAACCATTTTAAGAGCAATGAGAAGCCATAAGAAGTGTGTGTGTGTGTGCGTATGTAAAGTAGTATAATAAAGCAGTTGCAACTGGCTCTGTTGTTTACTAACTGTGCAACTGAACAAGTTCTACTCTGTTTTTTAATGTCTTCCTCTAAAGAATGGAGATAATAATATCCACCTTGTAGGGTTGGTGTGAGGATTAAGATCAGTTACTACATACGAAGTGCTTAGAACTATGCCTGGCACATAGTAAGGGCTCATTAAATCTTAGCTACATATATTATTATGCATGTAAGAAAATTAGATTTAGATGTTGAAAAGATCCTTCTGGTTACTGGGTGGAGGATGGATTAGAAGCAGAGGGCAGTCAAAACTAGAGGCAGAAAGATTAGTTAGAAAACTGTTGTCAATCTTGAACAAAATGATGGTGACTTAGACTAAGGAAATGGCAGTGGAAATGGAGAGATGCGGTCAGATTTGAAATGCAGTGAGGAGGTAGAATTGGCAGGATGTGCTGATGGATGGGGAATGGAGTAATGGATGGGGTGTGGGAGGTAAAGGGGAGGGAGGCTTCTCATTCAGGTGAATTGGTGATGATAGTGCCATTAACTGACAGAGGGAACACTGAAGATGAAATAGGTTTATGGAAGTGCATGCCTTTTTAAGACTGTCAAATTAGATTTGTCTGTGAGACATCTAAATGGAGATATCCGGATTGACATCAAATACTGATGTTATGTGGCAGGGATTAGCAGATTTTTCTGTAAAGGGCCACATAGTGTGGCTTTGCAGGCCACACTGTCACTGTTGTAGCTACCCAACTCAGCTGTTGCAGTGCAAACTCAGCCATAGACAATATGTACATGAATGGGCTTAGCTGTGTGCCAATAAAACTTTATTCACACAAACAGGCAGCAAATTGTAGTTTGCCAAACTCTGTCCTATGCTACTGCATCAGCCTGAACCAAACAGACATTTGGAGCTCTTCAGCAATGGTCTTGATGACCTCATGTGACTTCCCCTTATGTATTCCCAGAAACTCCAACCCCAGAAATCACTTTCTGCTAAGGCACAAATGCAGAAGTGAAGCTTCTTTTAATGGTGGATATACCATCCAACCTTTATCTTCAATGCCTCTGCTCTGATTTTCAATTTGGCTCAAGCTGGGCAATTTTAAAGTTGGACAGGTTTTTATCTTCTATTTTTATATCTGACAGAAGTAGTGTAGGGTGGTGTGGATTCTGGCAGAACAAACTGCAATTAGAATATGATAAAGGAAATTTTTATTAAGCCACCATGTAGTATCTAATCTAAACACATTTGTGAGCTTTGAAAGCACAATCCTGATTCTGCTTGCATAGTGAAGTTCACATTTGACAGATTATTTAATCAATCTCTAGTCGATTCTAAGAACGCCTCAGAAAGAAGAATTACAGGAAAAACTGCAGAGTGCGTACCCACTAGATGCCTCATTGCACAAAAACCCGAACTGTCCAGAGCCTGGAGCAGTAGGTTTTTATTTTAATGAAGTCCAATTTGTAGTTTTTGTTGTTGTTGTAAGAATTAAGGAAAGAGGAGAAACAAGAAGGTCGGCTCGACAGTCAACAGGTTTACTTCCAACCTGGGAGGGACGTCTGATTGAGTTAGGTCAGAAGTAGCAATCTCTTACAGACTAAGAGTTTTTAAGGATTCAGGGTGGGAGAGTTATCAGAGGCTTGGACTGCTTCTGTGTCTCTTTGTTGTGCTTATCTGGGAGGGAGAGTTGTGTGTCTGTTCCCCTACATCTTTGTGCAGCTGCAGGAATATCCCTCGAGTCTGCTTTTGGCTTCCCTATCTTAGTGTACCTGAAGGGAAAGGAATGTGCTTATTAAGGGCCACTGTTTTACTGGAGCCCATTGTATGAGGGTGAAGTTTGGCAGTTACCCAAGAGACTTTCCCCTGCCTTCCTCTGTGCCCCAGCCTTCTTATCTGTGTTTTACTGTCTGCTCTTTTTTGGCTGCTTGTAGTTAGAAAAGAAGTGATTTCCTTGAAATGCATGAAGCTGGAAAGGCAGCTGGAACTTAAAGTGGCGGTGTTTGTCTGAGATGATGGTGGTCCTGCTCTGTCATTCCAGACCCTACAGTTATAAAAGGACAAGGGGCGACGTGTTCTTTCTGGCTACTTCCTGCTGATGGGGGGAGCAGAAAGTTTTTTGGTCTTGGATTGACTGCAGGAGCAACACCGTTTGTAGATGTTTTTGGATAGTTGTCTGCGAAATGGCCATGATTCTGTTGGCTTTTATGATTTCCAGCTTAAATTTTTTTTTTCATTGTTAGGACGTTTTCATTGTTAGCCCCAGAAGGGATGTTAGAGGTTGCTTTCTCAGCTCTTTAGGCTTTGACTTGAGTGTGATGTATCCAGGGGTCGATTTTGGTAATGGATATAATTTAAACTGTAGAAGATAATACAAGTTGAAAAACATTAGGCAAGACTAGAATTTAACAACAGGTGTGCTATAGTTTTTGAAACATAATTTTTACTTTTCAGTTTCCTATTTTTATTAAAAGACAAATTATGGTAGCAGTGGTCTGCTTTATTATATTTGGCTTAATTATTTGTATACAATGCACCAAGAATAATTATTTGCCACACAGGCCTTTTAAATCGGCTTTGATGGAACTCTGTTATATAGAAGGAATTTGAGATAAGACTTGTTAAAGCCAAGCCCAGCCATGTATTTGTACCATTAAATACCTATGAGTTGGGTGAATTCATTTCTTATTAAGGTTTTAAGATAACTTGGGGTTCCTGGCCTGTCAGAAAGTGACATTCTTTACTTACTACAGATCAGAAATCCTGTACAGGGACTATGTACACAAAATATGAGGCCAGTTTCCAAGGGTTTTATTCGTTCCGTAAGTCAAGTTTGATTCCTTAAAGGAGAGCACACCATTGCAGTAAAAGCCTTGGTAAAGTAACCAGTTTTTTTTTTTAATTGTGTTCTGTTAGAAAAGAAAATAGATTCTTATTGCATTGATGCAAACAACTATATCGTTGTAATTTAAGAATACCTACAACTAGTTTTTTTGTTTGTTTGTTTGTTTTTTGAGACGGAGTCTCGCTCTGTCGCCCAGGCTGGAGTGCAGGGGCGAGATCTCAGCTCACTGCAAGCTCCGCCTCCTGGGTTTACGCCATTCTCCTGCCTCGGCCTCCCGAGTAGCTGGGGCTACAGGCGCCCGCCACCACGACCGGCTAATTTTTTTGTATTTTAGTAGAGACGGGGTTTCACCGTGTTAGCCAGGATGGTCTGAATCTCCTGACCTCGTGATCCGCCCACCTCGGCCTCCCAAAGTGCTGGGATTACAGGCGTGAGCCACTACGCCTGGCCTACTTATAGCCAGTTTTTAAATTCTAGAGGAACTAGGCAGAGAGAAACAAACACGCTTTAAATTCTATTCACAGGAGTATACTTTACTTAGTTGTTAAAGCTGTAGCTAGCTTAAGACAAGTTTTCTTGACTCTGAAAAATGAGATAAAGATTAGCAGTGTTCTAAGTAAAAGGTAAAAATTGGTTTTTTTATTAGTTTATTCTATTTTATTAACCTTTGTTTTGCTTTATGTTTATAAACATTTTAGCTTTTTATGAGTTCTGTACGTTTTGTTGTTGTTATGAGTAACCTACATTTGAGAGCATTTGTTAAAGTTCCAAAGCTTGAATATAAACAATGTTTTGAAGAGAATTAAAACAAAATAACAATTGTCTGTAAATAACAAAATGTCCAGTTTGGATACAGTTAGAAACACAATTGACAAAGAAATTTGGTTATTTTTGTGGCTTACAATAACCCAACATAACAACTTTAATTGTGATTAATAGCACATATTCAGACATAAGAACCTTAGACATTCCATACAGTTTTGGAACATATGTTAATAATATTCCCTAAAATATAATGTATTAGACATTATTTTCGCAATTTTATGTTGCCAAATAATCCTGTTTACCTCTTTTTTGGATGGTTCAGGGGTCCTGTGCAGCACCCAAAAGCCAGTGGTTAGGAAAAACAACCTTGAAAGTAAAGTTTGATTTTGAGAAGGCTGTTAAATATGTTTAAAATTTAAAACCCTTGATATTATGAAATAGAACTTTAGATTATCATAAGTTGTTTTTCTGTTTGTTTGTTTTGTTTTGTTTTGCCAAAATGAGATAACAATCTGGAAAACCAAAAACCATTTATTAGCCTTTTCAATTACATGAAAATTGTGTTTAAGAGAGAAAGTTAAATTTTACCCTTGTGTTAGTTTGCTATTAATGTTAACCTTAATTTTAATGAAACCTTATAGATAATTCTGTTTAATTTTAACCAGTTTGACCATGAAGTAAGATTTTTACATACCTGTTATAACCCTTGACAAGTTTTGCTTAAGAGTAGATTAGCATTTTAAGAAAACTTTGTGGTGCTTTTATTTTAGTGTTTAATTTACAGAAAAGACATATAATATTCTTTTGAGTTTAGTTAATGTGTTTACACAGAGTTTTATTTGCAGGATTAGTTTTTATAGTGTCTTTATAATTTGCTTAAACCATCCACTTTATTTTATTTAATTTTAAGACAATTTTTTATTTTTAAGCAAAATGTACATTTTTATGCCTTCTTATAATTTTTAAGAAAAACAATTTTTAGTGTTTTTATACACCTTGCATGCAAATTCATGTTTAGCAGTTTTAATTACACGTTATAATGGTAACTTTTAGCAACTTTTAACTTTAATGTAAAACCTGTTAATTTTTTTTTGTGACTTGACACTAAAAATAATGACTTATTTTGTAATTTGGGCAAAGTAGCGCTGAAATATAATGCTTTTTTCTTTCGATTTTAAATACCTGGGTAAAATCGGAAGATGAGTACTTAGGTAGAAATAAGTAACTACTGAACCGGTGGGAGCAAAGTTTAGTTGAGCAATACTCTTTATGATACTGACAAGTGAAGCCTTATTAGTTCCAAAAGTGCTGGCTTTATTTTTATAGTCACAGAGTAGTCTAAAGGCAAGGCTTACCCAGCTCCTGGCTCCCACATGAACATTATTTATTTAGTACGCCAGATTTTTTTTCAAGGTGCACTAGCCACTGAGGATATTTTTACTGGTGGGAACTGAGATTTTCTAGATGCATAAATTAACTGCTAATGCTGGTTTATTTTAGGGACATGTTCATTGAAACAGTATTCTTACTTAGCTTGAATCCTAAATTTTGTTCCCTTATTATCTCGTTAAAGTGATGGATATGTTTGTACAATGAAGACAACTTTTTTTGCATTTTTAGGTTAGAGCTTCGGCATGGGAATTATACTTTGACACAGAAAATTAGGTCTGTAAGTGAAATATAATAAAGTGTTCTGGAAAGAAGGATACTCTGCCTTACAACCTCAAGAGAAAAATATATGGCACCAAGGCCTGATTCTTTCTTCCCTTATTGTTTTTTTATTTTCCCCAACTTTGGGAACTAAAATCTCTTCGCTTAAATGCTGAAATTATAAATTGAAACAGACTCTTGGGTTTTGTTATAAAGGCAAAGTAATAATACTTCTATGTATTTTATAGGGTTATATAGTATAATAACTGGAATCCATGGTTAGATTTGACTGAAGCTACATAGATACTAATCTGACAGACTTACTGTTGTCATATCTAAGAAATCATTGCCCAATCCAAGGTCACAAAGACTCACACCATTGTTTTCTTCTCAGAGTTTGATAGCTTTAGCTTTTATATTTAGGTATTTAATCCGTTTGCATATTTTGTGAGGTAGAGGCCCAATTGCATTCGTTTGCATGTGGATATCCATTTGTCCCGGCACTATTTTTTGAAAACACTACTATTTCCCCATTATATTGTTTTGACACCCTTGTTGAAAGTCAATTAACCATAAAGGTAAGAAAAATTTGGAGAATGTTACCATTTTAACAATATGAAGTCTCTAGTCCACGAACATGGAATATCTTTCCACTTACGTAGATCTTCTTTAGTTTCTTTGAACAGTGTTTTCTGGTTTTTTTCAGTGTACAAGTCTTACACTTCTTTTGTTCAATTTATTCCTAAGTATTTAATTGTTTTTAATGCTACTGTAAATGGAATTGTTTTCTTAATTTCATTTTTGGATTGTTCATTGCTAGTGTATAGAAACTGTCAAAAGACAAAATCTCAACAAATTTAGTTATAGATCTAATTGGCTTTTTTCATGATGTATGAATCAGGGAAGCCTCCATTCTACAAAATAGAATGAGACATTCCATTCTACTAGGCAATAGCAGAACAGTGGGTTTTGTAAGGTGGGAAAAAGGAAAGAGAACATAGGGGAAAAAAAATCGGTTAACATCAGGTTACTTTTTTTGGCAAGGGTTAAAACAGAGGCATCTTCCATATTACATGGACTCAGGTGGAGTAGAATCTCCTATTTTCAGGAAAAACTGGTCTGTTTGGGGATGTACCTGCTTTCTTAAAGTTTTAGTTTGATTATATGGCATTTAGCAGGTGATTCCATTTTGGTTTGGTCTGGTCTGTTGGGGCCTAGTATGGGAGCTCAGTCCAAAACAATGGCCTTCCATAATTTTTGTTGAACAAAACATGATTGATTTTGTATGTTATCTTGCAACCTTGCCCAACTCATTTATCAGCCCTAATAATTTTTGTTGTTGATACCTTAGGATTTTCTCTGTACAAGGTCCATGTCATCAGTGAATAGAGACAATTTTAATTCTTCCTTTCCAAACTGGAAGCCTATTATTTCTTTTTCTTACCTAATTGACCTGGCTAGAATCTTCAGTATGATGATGAATAGAAGTGCTGTCAGTGGACATCCCTGTCTTTTTCCTGATGTTAGAAGAAAAGCTTTCAAGTTTCCTATTAAGTGTGATGTCAGCTATGGGTTTTTAATAGATGGCCTTTATCAGGCTGAAGAAATTCTCTTCAATTCACAGTTTTCCATGTGTTTTTATCATGTAAGTTTGTTGAATTTTGAAAAATGCTTCTTCTGTGTCAAATGAAATGATCATGCATGGTTTTGTCTTTCCTTTCATTAATGTAATGTATTACATTAACTGATTTTTGTTATGTTGAATCACCCTCATATTCCTGGGATAAATTCTACTCAGTCATAGTGTTTAATTCTTTTTTATTATTTTTTTTGAGATGGAGTCTTGCTCTGTTGCCCAGGCTGGAGTGCAGTGGCGCGATCTCAGCTCACTGCAAGCTCCGCCTCCCAGGTTCACGCCATTCTCCTGCCTCAGCCTCCCGAGTAGCTGGGAGTACAGGTGCCTGCCACCACACCCGGCTATTTTTTTTTGTATTTTTAGTAGAGATGGGGTTTCACCATGTTAGCCAGGATGGTCTCGATCTCCTGACCTCCTGATCCGCAGGCCTCCACCTCCCAAAGTGCTGGGATTACAGGCGTGAGCCACCACACCTGGCCCATAGTGTCTAATTCGTTTTCTATGTTGCTGGATTTAGATTGCTTTTTCTTTAGCCTATTATTTGACCCAATTGTTATCTACTGCCTCAGGCAGCCTTCATATTAAACAACTGTTGCTGATTTTTTTAAACAAATGCCCCCAGGAAAAGAACTATTGGTACTGAGTCAGATCACATGAAGACCAGTCCTGGGAATTGGGCTTCTTAACGAAGTTGACTGACAGATAATGACAGTTCTCTGGGGATGGGTCTATTTGGGGTGCTCCAAACCCAGTTTGCTCCCCTTCAGTGGGTGCCAGGCTGCTGCTTTTTACAGCTACCATGGTTCCAAGGCTGTTGGTTTTCAAAGCTGCTGTTGAGCTGGGGAAAGGAAGATGGGAATTGGGCAAATTAAAATACCACAAAACTTGCTTTTCTTCGAAAACTTGGCTGTTTTACTTGAGTAAATGCTCCTCTGATCGTTGTAAACTTTTGCTTAATTTCCGGAATTGTGAAAGTTAATTTAAAAAAATTTTCAACGTCTTGTAGCTTTTGTGGAAGGGTAGATTTTCAGAACTCTGCCATTCTGGAAGTGCTTTCCCTTGTAACTTTTTAACTTTTCATGGGAAGTTATGTTGTTCTATTTGTGTGTGGGTTAGTGCAAATGATAGTCCTTGCCCAACGAATTCCCTTCCTCAGGGGCTTAAAAAGTTTAAGGAATATAGCAGCTTCTTCTTTTTTTTCTCTTTTTGAGACAGAGTACCGCTCTGTCTGGAGTGTACTGGCATGATCTCAGCTCACTGCAATCTCCACCTCCCTAGCTCACTGCAATCTCCGCCTCCCTGGCTCAAGCAATTCTCATGCCTCAGCTTCCCGAGTAGCTGGGATTACAGGTGCGTGCCACCACACCCAGGTAATTTTTGTGTTTTTAGTAGAGAGGGAGTTTTGCCATGTTACCCCCCCCAGCCTGGTCTTGAACTCCTGGGCTCAAGCAATCCATTCACCTAGATCTCCCAAAGTGCTGAGATTACTGGCATGAGTCACTGTGCCCGGCCTCTAGCAGCTTCTTTTTTTTTTTTTTTGACGGAGTCTCATTCTGTCGCCAGGCTAGAGTGCAGTGGTGTGATATCTGTTCACTGCAACCTCAGCCTCCCAGGTTCAAGCAATTCTCCTGCCTCAGCCTCCTGAGTAGCTGGGACTACAGGCGCACACCACCACGCCTGGCTAATTTTTTGTATTTTTAGTAGAGACAGGGTTTCACCATGTTGGCCAGGATGGTCTTGATCTCTTGCCCTCGTGATCTGCCCACCTTGGCCTCCCAAAGTGCTGGGATTACAGGAGTGAGCCACCGTGCCCGGCCAGCTTCTTAAAAGCTATAAGACTGAGTGTTGGTCAAGGACTGGGAGCTTGTCTTATTCTTTATTATATTCCCAACATTTTGCAAAATGCCTGGTACAAGATGAATGCTGAATAGATATTTGATGAATGAGTGATTGAATAAATAGCTCTGTGCTGGATAAATCTTGGTGGAATACTCTCTTTCCAAATTCTTCCTTCCTTAGTGTGTGAAAGGAGTCCAGTAGCTAACACAAGTCTCCTGGGAGTTGCAACTAGGAACTACTCTTAACATTGGAAGATTACATATCAAAGATTGAGCTCTTATAATGTGCCAGCAACTGTGCTGGATTTTTTATATGCATCATCTCACAGCAACGCTAATGGCAGATATAGAATTATATCATTTTACAGCTGATAGGACAGAGCCCAAGGTCACATTTCTTGGTAAATGGTGGAGCCAGGACTGGGGAACTAGCTTGGTTGATTCCATAGACCAAGCTTTCAAACACTGCACTCTCTGACAATCCATGGATGGTATGATCAGAGGCATGCAGAAAGCTAAATTTCCCAGTATCTTCCCCATTGGCCTTGCGGCCAGTGATTGAAATGCCCACATAATTTATTTCTTTGGATTAAAGCATTGAAACTATATTCATGTTTGTAGGAAGTGGTAATATACAAAACTATCAACTACCTTAACAGCTTAAAGTGGGTATATCATATTAGCCAGTTAAGGGGCCTGAAGGCTAGCAAAGCCCAGAAGTGATGGGGCCCGCCCCAGGCCAGATCTGTATGGAATCCCCCTGTTTAATCTGTCTAAATCTTTTCTTCACAAATGAGCTAGGATCCTCACTGCAGTTGTTGATTGTTTTCCCTCTTCAGTGCTTCAGTTCTGCAATACTCCCAGACAAGGGCTGAACATTATTGTATTTTTTCCTTACTGCACACAACTTTTGGAAAAGCCCTGGCTTTCTTTGACATAAAGCTGTGTTGTCAATGGAGGGGCCCAATGGCTCTTGGCCCCTCCTAGGAATATTTCTTGATAGGAAAAATGTCAGGTTCTACTGGAAAGAGACCACCCCTCTGCCAGAAAACTAGCAAAATAGCTTTGATTTCACTGCAGCAGAGTTCTGAATTTTTTCATTCAGTGAAGAGAATTATCTTCCCAGCCCCTCACCAGTCTACTGTATGTGACTTTTGTTTCTACAGCTGTCTAAAGGATCAATAGGATTTAATGCCTGATTCACATGCTTAACTCAAGGCAGAATAGAATTTGACTTGCTTACTGCAAGGGAAGTGCAAGATTAATGTGATTCAGTTTAGGCCTTTCAACAAGTATTTTGGAGTACCTGCTCTGTGCCCAGCTCCGTGTGGCCTGTGGGAGAGGGTCATCGCAAGAGAGACCAGCCATGATTCTGGCCTGCAGGAGCTCTTTTGAAGGGATACTAGCCTAACTCATGCGAAACAAGTAACAGGACAATAATGTTTGTGTTCAGACGCCCACATAAATGGTACAGATGGTAAACATGTCAGGTTCCCAGATGGTTGGCTCTCACAGACTGATTAAGGCCACTCCTCTCCAAATCAGGAGATTGTTTTGCCAAGTAAGGACATGAGAAAAGCCCACACCCCTTTGATCTCCTGTTACCACCATTTTATAAAAGAAAGGACAGAATAAAGGACAGTCATTCAATCTGGATCTATTTAGCTTTAGGAAAAGCTCACTGCTTTGTCATGAGGCACCACACTTTGGGATCTTAGAGCATTCAGAGATGGAAAAAATCAGCAGGCACTAGAGTCCTAAGAAAAGGCTGCGGTGAATAATGAAATCAGAAAATCACTTCCTTCTGGAAGCCCTCCCTGATTGCTTCAGCCAGAGGTGTGACCTCTCTCCTTGAGCTCATACCACTTTGCTTTTTCCCTGTGGTACCTCTCAGAGCCTACCTTGTGTTACATGTACTTCTATGTAGAATCAGTGACTCAGCCTTCTTAGTAGACGGTAAGCTTAGGAAGTGGAGGAACACTTCTATATATGTCATTTCTTACCCCCAAAGGTCTTTGCAGGCATTTACTGTTTTTGTTAAAGTGAAAAAATTCTTCATTCCGTCCCTGCTAAAATTTACACCTGAATGTTTAACGCCTAGTGGGCATTTCTCTTCGGCCGCTAAAACATATTTCAAACACATAATCCACACACAACTCTTCCCCGCCGTAGCATCCCCAAACCCACACACACGTTTCTCTTTTCACCTTGCAGTCTATATGTCCTTAAATTATTTCTCTAATAGAAGTTTTAATAGTCATAGATAAAATGTACACAGAACCTTCTAAGTTTTGGATACTTTTAAAAGCAGTTTATATGTATTAACAAACCTAGGAAGTTTGTACTATTATTACATCCATTTTACAGATGAGAAAACTGAGGCTCAGAGAGGTTAAATAGTAATAATAACAACATCTAACATTTGAGTGACTACTGGATGTCAAACATTGTACTTAAGTGCTCATTTAAGAATAATGAGGTACAGATAGACCTCCCTGATAATTAATTGAGTCACCACTCCTTGAGGAGGCAATGAAAAAAAAGGGAAAGTCCCCTCATAGAAGCAGAGGATCTGGTCGTGGGGATGGGCTTTTGAGAAATAAGCCAGGCTGTGAGGTAGAGAAAAGCCACAGCAGTAAGCTTCCAGTGGCTCCATTAGGAATGGACAATGGTCAGAGGAGAAATATCTTTGTTACCCTGCTCAGTCCACCCTGTTCCCTGCTGGGAAAGCTATCAGCAAGAAAAGCATTAGGATAAAAACAAGTCAGTTTCACAGTTAAGTCACCTAACTGGTTATTTTCAGATTATTTTAAGTTTTTAGGTGTGTACAAAAAAGTGCAATAGGTGAGACTGAAAGAAAAGTCACCTTGACACATGTTTAATATTCAGAGGTTTATAAAGCAGTATAGGTCTGTGGTTCTCTAAAGTAATTGGCAATGAGTTATGTTCCCATGTTTCCTAAAAGAAATCAGCTGACTTTGAGCTGGGAGACTTACAGCTGTAAACACTTCTTCCTTTAGTCCATTTAGAGGAAAAGAAAATTTGAAGGGTGAGAATGAGTCGTCCCCTATACCAGAGGAGAAGGTGAGGATCAGGAAGAAACAGCAGTTACTGGCTATAGTAAGATCTGAGGTAAGGGCCTTTCTGGGAGGTTTGAAAAAGTCTACTGATCTTTTAAGAACTGCATCCTACTCCCTTCAGTGAATGGCTGCACATAGAAATGGGCCCAATGTGTACTGTGTTAGATTTCAGTTCTTCAGAAGATAGTCCGGTTGTGTGTTAAGGATGTGTTTAAAAACCCGCCTCTACAGGAATGACCCTCAAGAGAATGAGTTTTGTTTTTAGTTGCCAATCAAGCTGGGCTCTGAAGAGGAGAAAAACGCCCAAAAGGGGAAATCAGTGGCAATGCAAAAGTTCCCGAAGAGGAAGAAATGTTCAAGCACCTTTCTTCCCTCACCATTGTAGTGAGCTTGCTGAGTCATACTTTCATTAAGCAGTGCAGCATTTTTTTTTTTTTTTTGTAAACCACTGCAGCAGACATTTGAGATCAAGAAATAGGTTTTGACAAAAGTTTAGGTCCAGATAATGATTGGAAATAGCCCCTACCTTTTACATGTACTCTCTGTCTAGCACAGTTTAATATTTAATCACTCAGATCACTAATCCATGGCTAGTTTTATTTTTTAAAAAGAAGATATGTTCTTACCCAAGGATTACTGAGACATTTTGTTCTAAGCTGGCTCTGTTGTTGCAATTAGCTAGCAGACTTAGTTCCCAAGCTGGGCTGCCAATATCAATGGCAACACAGGTGCAGACTCACAAAATCAGTCAACTGGAAGCCCTATCTTTCATTTCAAACTAGGGCTAAGCCTCACTACTTAGAACTAAATGGAGGAAGGTGAGGCTAGGTTGAAGGAGGAGGTTGAAAACTGTTTTAGAACGCATATTTTTTTAAAGTATAATTTTCCATTTGCAAGTGCATACAGCAGTCAGAATTAGCCCAATGGGGTTTCCTGGCAGATGTTATAATTCTGTGTTGGCGGTGATGGACTCTAAAAAGAACTAGTGCAACAGAATTAAGACTAATGCAATGGCTTATCCTAGCCATGAGATGGCAGCAGAGGGTGGTAGGAGCTCACTGCCTACTACAGAGGAGAGTTCTGGAAGTAAAGGGGAGTCTGTGTTGGAAAGCTTCTTACCAGGAAGGAAGAAAGTGACATAGCATGTCAGAGCAATTGAACAGGAGAGGCTGGAAACTCACTAAAGCCAAGTAAGAAATCATAGAAAGTGTGGTTAGGTCAGCTGTGGGTTGCAGTCCTACTAGTTTAAATCAGGACACTAGAGGGGAAATACCTTGAAGAATAAATATATCAAAGCAGAAAGCATGCTAATGACCTATGAAAGACAGCAGAGGGGAAATCTAATGAAAGCTCAAGAGGCAAGGCATTGTGATGGGATAATTCTTTGAGAGGTTGTTGCTCTTTGGGAGCTGAGTCCCCATGAAGTACCAAGCCCAGTGCTGGGAGGATGCTATAGGTCCAGTGGTCCACAATCCCTTTTACAAAACTCTTGGGGACAGATTTGTTTTGGAATTCTAAATTTGTCAGATTTTAGAACAGTAATATGCTGTCTATGCCATATATTAGATAACACTCCCAGTGAGGTTTCAGGCAGCACCCATAATTAGAGTTCCAAAATTTAGCAAATAAAAATACAGGATGCCCAATTAAATTTGAATTTCAGCTAAACAGCAAAAATGTTTTAGTATAACTAAATGCCCCTTATAATTTTGGGACATGCTTATACAAAAACATTATTCATTATTTATCTGAAATTTAAATTTAACTATGTCCTATGTTTTATCTGGCAACCCTACTATAATCAAACACAATAAATTTTCAGCAGTGAAACCTGGGCATGCTTAGATGCAATGGGATAAATAAACACCATAAATTGCCTCCCATCAGTGCATGTCAGGTTTTGCTGCCATATGAGAGGTTTGATAGGGAATTTATTTTTAAAAACTTTGGTTTTCAGAACTTGGTGGGCTTGGTGATCATGATATCTCCCCTGCCAGGTGAGTATTGCTCACCTGCCAGGTGGGTTTTGGAATTTTGGACCTGTAATTGTCCAATAAATGTTTTTAAAGTGAGAAATCCACAATGAGATATGTTCATACCTTCAGTGTGTCCAGTTTTTAAGGGTCAAGGTCCCTCATTTTTTTTCTTTCAAGACACAGGATGTGGTCAGGTACTGCAGATCCTGAAGGGTTGGGGTATGTGGAAGACAAAGTGAGGTATACTCAAGTAGTTTTTACATTTATAGGAAAGCTTGGCTGGAGGGTTTAATGACCTGCTGTGGGCTGCCCACTTCCTTTCAAATCTTCAGGATGAAATCAGAATGAAGGAGGTGGAGGAGACTTAATCCCTAGCTATACCAAAGAACACATTTTGAAAATGTATACTGTACATTGAACTCTGACTCTGGCTTGGTCTCTCATTTGTGGAGTGGGACTTGGGGCAAGCTTTTGTGTTTGGTCTTTATCTATGTAATGGTGGTGTTGCCTATGCCTGTCTTCCTCACAGGACTGTTGTGAAGATCAAATGCATCAGGGATGGGAAAGTGCTTTGAAACATTCTCAACACCAAATAGATGGAAGCAGGCATTTTCATGCATTTTTTTTTTTATCATAACAGGATAATGTGGGCTGCATGCTCAAAGATGTTTCTAATAAGGTAGTGTGGTAGGGTTAGGAGATTGGTCTCTGCAGTCAGACAGACTGACCTGGGGTTCACATTCCAGCCCCACCACTCCCTGGCTGGATTACCTTGGGCAAGTTACTTAACCTCTCCAGCCCTCAGTTTCCTCATCGGCAAAATGAGGATTACAATAGTAACTCATGGCATGAGGTCATTATGAGGATTAAGAGAGTTAATTAAATGCCTGGCAACTAGGAAGCCAGTGTTATTATTTTTCATGATGGATTACTATAGGAACTAAACAAGAAAGCACTCAATAAATGTTAGTTCTTTTCATCATTATGACTTACGAGATGTAGAATTGTCACTTCTGGATATGTAGTCTTGAAGTGACTGTATATGTGATTTGACACACTCTATGTGCTATGGTTTGGGCATGGTTTGTTTGTCCCCACTAAAACTAATTTTGAATTTGATCCCCAGTGTGGTGGTATTGGGAGGTAGGGCCTAGTGAAAGGTGTTTGGGTCATGAGGGTGTAATCCCTTATGAATGGCTGTTCTTGCAGGAGTGAGTTCTCATTCCTGTAAGACTGTATTAGTTCTCGCAGGGATGGATTTGTTTCCTTGAAAGTGAGTTGTGATAAGGCCAGGATGCCCCTCAGGCTTTCCTTTCCTCACACCTGTCTGCTTTGACTTTGACCTTCTCTGCCATGTTGTGACACAGCACAAATGCCCTCTCCAGAAACCAGGGCCATGCCCTTGAACTTCTCAGCCTGCAGAACTGTGAGCTAAATAAACCTCTATTCTTTATAAATAACCCAGTCTCAGCTATTTTTTATTAGCAACACAGAATGAACTAGAATACCTAGTTCATGCCTAGACAGAGTTTGCATGCATCAGCACTGTTTCCATTATTTGTTCCTCTGAATGTTTTGAGGGTATGTTCTGTCATGCCAATTACTGGCTTAGAATTCTGGAAAGGAGACTGATAGTGGTGGTAGTAGGCGGTAGGGATGGTGAGGTAGGGGAGGAATAACGTGTTGGAGAAATACATCCAATTGCAGTCAGTATGGTCCTCATTGTATAGTCAGATCCTACAAATAAGTCTAACAAATTCCAGAGTGAACAAACTGAATTGTTATACAAGACACATTTTAGAGGGTTGGAGACAACTTGGTAGATAAAAGAGAGAATTTTTCATTGAGAAAGATTGGCAAGTCAGGATTGCAGGAGGTATGGCTTTTTCAGGGCTGACTGACAAGTTGAGGTATCTTAGGGTATTTTTCAAAGCTGAGATGGAAGATTGCCTAAGCATGGTTTTGATTCAAAGCAAAAAGCTTACCTTCAGAGGACATGAACAGACACTTCTCAAAAGAAAACATACAAGTGGCCAATAAACATATGAAAAAAAAATGCTCAACATCACTAATCATCAGAGAAATGCAAATCAAAGCCACAATGAAATACCATCTCATACCAGTCAGAATGGCGATTATTAAAAAGTCAAAAAGCAACAGATGTTGGTGAGGCTGTGGAGAGAAGTGAAGACACACACTATTGGTGGGAATACAAATTAGTTCAGCCACTGTGGAAAGCAGTTTGGAGATTTCTTAAAGAACATAAAATAGAGCTACCATTTGACCAAGCAATCCCACTACTGGGTGTATACCCAAAGGAAAATAATTCATTCTATCAAAAAGATACCTATACCTGCATATTAATTGCAGTGCTGTTCACAATAGCAAAGACATGGAATCAACCCAAGTGCCCATCAGCAGTGGATTGGATAAAGAAAATGTGATACATAGACACCATAAAATACTTTGCCATAAAGATGAATGAAATGTCCTCTGCAGCAACATGGATGGAGCTGGAGGTAATTCCTAAGCAAACTAACGCAGGAACAGAAAACCAAATACCACATGTTCTCACTTATGAGTGGGAGCTAAACATCGAATACACATTAATGTAAAGATGGGAACAATAGACACTGGGAATCACTAGATAGGGGAGAAATGGGGGCTTAGGCTGAAGGACCACCTGTTGGGTATTATGTTTACTGCCTGGGTGATGGGATCATTGAGACCCCTAGCCTCAGCACTGAGCAATTTACCCATGTAACAAACCTACACGTGTGCCCTTTAATAAAATTTGAAGCTGGGTGTGATGGCTCATGTCTGTAATCCCAGCACTTTGGGAGGCTAACGCGGGTGGATTACCTGAGGTCAGGAGTTTGAGAGCAGCCTGGCCAACATAGTGAAACCCCGTCTCTACTAAAAATACAAAACATTAGCTGGGTGTGGTGGTGAGTGCCTGTAATCCCAGCTACTAGGGAGGCTGAGACAGGAGAATTGCTTGAACCCAGGAGGCGGAGGTTGCAGTGAGCCGAGATCGCACCATTGCGCTGCAGCCTGGGCAACAAGAGCAAAATTTCGTCTCCAAATAAATAAATAAAAAAAATTTGAAATAAAAAAGCAAAAAAAAAACTTGCTCAAAATGGCTTTTACCAGGTGATTATTCAGGAACATGGCCTAAAGACATGAATGCATCTTGGCTCCTGTGTGCTTAATGTAACCAGGAACAGTGTGTCCTGTTCTTCCCTGCCCCTGCAACCATCCACCACACTCCTACACCTTTCTTGCCCTCACCACACATTCTGTCTTTCTCTGGTAGAGAAAGGAAGGATCCTCAATGCTCGGATGGCTTTTAAGAAGTCATTTTCCATCTGTTTCCAGGTAAGACCACCCCAAATGTAGCCAGCTCAATTAAGCCAGCAACATTCACTGAGCACCTACTCTGTGCCAGGCCCCATGCCAAGTACTTGGGACACAGGCATGACTTCAGTGGTGAGAATCTCATTCCTGAAGGGAACACCTAACAGATAATAACAAAATCAGATTCCTGTTCTACCATGATAGGGTTCCCAGTGCCTGACAAAAGCTATAATGAAGTCAAGAGACTTTCTTGCTAATGACTGCAACAGGAAACTAAACTCACAAGAGAACACAGTTCATGTAGCTGAAGGGAGAATCAAATTAGCTGGAATCCCGAGAGAGTAATTATTTCTGTGGAGTATCAAGACCGTAGGGGCCCTGGTAGCTTGATTTTAAAGAGAGTTGTAATTATTCTAATCCATGTCCTTTCTCCTTCCTTCTAGGGACCAGCATGTGGTGGGCTTTTAATAAAATGACTGTCTGAGAAGTTGACTATGTGCCAGACATGCCTTTAATCCTTAATCCTCATGATGACTCTATGAGGGTGGTATTGTTGCTGTTCTACCGCTGAAGAAACTGAGACACAGAGAGACTAAATGTTTTGTCTAGTAAGTGGTGAGAGCCAGGTTTTGAACCCAGGTCTATCTGAGTACACCACTAGTGCTCTAACTTGAGGTGATCAAACTATAGCCTCTGGGCTAAATCTAGCCCATTGCCTGCTTTTGTAAATGAAGTTTTATAGGAATACAGCCACATTCATTTGTTTATGTATTACCTGTGGTTGCTTTTATGCAGAGTTGAGTAATTACAACAGAGACCATAAGGTCAACAGTGTCTAAAATATTTGCTATGGGCCCTCTATAGAAAGAGTTCTGGGCCCTGCTGTAACCATAATACTACATAGTCTCTGGTATGTAGGCATTGGAGTAAGACAGACATGAGGTCCGACTCTGGCTTTGCCATTTATTAATAGTATGCCTTTGGACAAGTTCTTTTACTTCTCTGTGCCTCTGTATCCTCCTCTGTAAAATGAGAATAATAATACTGCTGATAGGGTAGCTATGAGGATTAAATGAGCTACTATTCATGAAAGGTTCTTAGCACAGTTCTGGTTGCCTGGCACATAGTAAACTCTTAAAAATGGTAGTTAAATTACTTGGAGTAGTAATGAGAACAGATAGAATGTGGCTGTGTGCCTGGCACATAGTGAATGTTCACTTAAATACCAAATACCTGTATTTGTCTGTTTCTTATTCTTGATGACATTTCTAGTGCCTTGAGTTGTTGAAGAAAAGACTGAAGTTTAGGGCCAGAGGTAGAAGTATGAGGATTAGCAGGACAGGGCAGTGAACAGGGTGGTTTTGGCCTGGAGGGGGACTGACAGCAGGGGATTCACTCTAGTATAAGCCATTAAAAGCTTTAAGCCAGAACCATATATGACCACAATGAAGTGTGTATGTGTAGGGCCCAGGAAGAAAGTCCCCAGTTCTGTGATGTTTTTCTTTTTTCTTTCTTTTTTTTTTTTTTTTTTTTTGGTGTCTTCAAAATCCTTCCCTTGTGTTGCACTTCAATGGACTCTGATTCCATTCTTTGATTAATGTGATGTTTTCTTAAAGATTGCAGTTTATGCTGACCTCCCCATTCTCCTAGTTCCTGCAGCAACTGTAGAAAAAAATAATGACTGTCAGATATACTTCTTTGTTCTTAGTTGGGCTTGGTTGATGCCTCTGATTAGATCCTCAACTCCTTTAGGGTAGCAACCATGGCTGTTCACATCTCCCAGGTTGAGGGAGAGGGAGGGTGTTAGTGCTATTAAACAAAGAAGGGATGTGTTTTTGTTTGTGGTGTGTGTGTGTGTGCATGTGTGTTTCTGACTGGGAAGTACCTAAAATGAAAGGATAATGAATTTCAGAGGCAAGGTCTTTGGGAGATAAATGAAACACAACAATGTTTCAATGTCCTATTAAGCTAGGGAGAAAAAAAAAAAAACTAGAAAAGACAAATGTGGCAAACAAAAACTGCAGGACCATAGTTGGAAGAGGTTTCTGAAGAGGTGGGAGCTATCTCTTAATTATGTAGACGGAAGAGGAGGTTACCTACCATGTGATGAAAATTCCTACCATTAGAGAGGTAAGCCTTTGGATTACAGCTCTGATGTTTCTGGTAGCCATCTTTTTCTAATATCTCTGTGAAGGTCAACCCCTGACTCCTAAGGTGAGTTGCTTCATAAACAATTTACCACTTGCAAGTCTATGAGAGAAGACAGAGGATAGGTAAGTTTTCCTGAGAGAGGAAAGGATGAGCTCTCTCTCCTCTAGGGAAAGCACTTGCCTTCTTCTCCTGGCAGTTTTTCATTTTTCATAATCTATATTGGGCACGCCGTACCCCTTATTCAAGTGGGATACATATTTCCTGTCACTGATATAAACATCGTTTATGTAAATTCTCTTTTTCCTTGCCAGTCTGAGATGGAAAGCCTATGGCTCTTGCAGCAGAGGTAATTAGGGAGTAGGGCCACAGATCAGTTAAGACCTAATGCCCTGAGGGAACCAGTGAATTCTCTCTCAAGTTTAGTTTCTGTTTAATATGACTTCCAGATGATTCTGTTTCATATGAATATCAAGGCTTTAATGAGTCTCTACCACCCAGAATTCCCTGGCAATATTTACTTTCCTTAACTGTGGTTATCATATACTTCTCTGAAGAAATGAAAAGATGCAAAACTGGAACCGACAAACTCAGTTCCTGGCTTCTCAAGGGTATGGTGGTGGTTTTTGTTTTGTTTTGATTTTCCCTTTCACTTAGAGCTCATATTAATACTCCGTGTATTTTAGTCATTCATAACAACATTTCTTAGGTGTCATATTGTGTAGTCATCATGCTCAAATGCCTGGGAGCCTGAGTTTAATGCTGTTCTCGGAGTTCATTCTGTAAAACTTCAATATTGATTAGAAAAATACTATCTATGGATGATCACATTTGTGTTTCAGAATGATCAATCTTTGCAGTTTGGAAGATGAATTGGCAAAAGGGATGGGAGTAGGGTGATAGCATGGCTGGAGGCAGGTGGACTGATTGAGTCTACTGTAATTGTATAGGTTAGAGGTAATAAAGACCTGAATTAGAGCAGTGGAAGTTGAAAGGAAGTGACGTTAAAGAAGATATTTTGGAGATAAAATTGACAATATCTAGCAATCAGTTGCATGAGTAGGTGGAAGGCAAAGAGGAGTTGAAGTTTATGCAGAAGGAGGATATCTCTGCTACAAAATGATGGAGAGGAATTAGGAGCTCATGAGGAAGAATGGGTTTGGAACAGACACTGTTGAGTTCATTTTAGTTGTGGTGACTTAGTGTTCTGGTTTGCTTGGGGTTGAGGGAATTCCGAGGACACGGAACTTTCAGTGCTAAAACTAGGTCCTGGGTAAACCTCAAGTTTAGGATATGTTGGATTTGAGGTATGTATGGATGGTGTTCAGCAGGTGATCAGGCAGGTAGTGTGGTGTGTAGGAAGGACATCAGAGTCAGAGTCAGAGGCACAGCTTGGGGAGTTGCCTATATAGAGATGATGGGTAAAACCATAGGAGTTGGTATAATAATTAAGGAAAAATGCATAGCATGAGATTGTAACTACTGCAAATCCTTTGTGGAATGAGAAGGGACATAAATGAATGAATAAAATAATTAAGAGGAAACGGTGAGAGAGAAAAAGGCAGCAGGCTGGAGGTGGTGGCACACCTACCTATGTAGGTTGGCTGTAAAAAGAAACCTGAGGCTGAGCCACGAGAGGTCAAAAGTGGACCAGAACACAATGATGATGTCATAGAAGTCAATAAAGAGCGAAATTTTTAAAAGATGAGGGTTGATGTAGATTAATATTTGAGGATAGATGATAGGTTCTGGTGATTAAGAAAAATAATTTTCTATGGAGTCCTGAAATCAGAATACAAGATACTGATAGAGAGTGGGAAGTAAAGAAGTATGGGCAGCAAGCTTAGATTCATCTTTCTGCCAGCAGTGAGGAGAAGGGAAAGAGTAGTAGCCTCCTTCAAACATCAGCTCAAGATCCAACTCTTCTTGGAAGTTTTCCTGAACTTCATATGCCTGCTGTTCTCCCCCTTCTATAATGTAAGCATATATCAAAATATCACATTGTATCCCATAAATAAATACAATTATGTCAATTAAAAATAAAATAAAATTTAAAAATGCTCCTATAATACCCAGAGGCTAGACCACACTGTAGAAAAAGAAAAAGAAAAAAAAAACTAAGTGATAAGTGATATACTGCATTATTTCCTGATTGCTTCAGTGTGATTGGCTGATCTCCCTGTTAGACTCTAAGCTTCCTTAGGGCAGAGACTATGGATTATTTAGTAAACCACAGTGCCCACAAGAAAGACCTTCAGAAATATTTGCTGGTTGTTAGGATGGAAAGATTCTTCAGGTCAGATTTTCTTAACTTGAACACTATTGGCTTTGGGAGCTGTATAATTCTTTATTCTTGGAGACTGTTCTGTGTACTGTAGGGTGTTTAGTATTTCCCCAGCCTCTACCCACTAATTGACAATGGCACCTCCCCTCAATCGTGACAACCAAAAGCCTCTCCAGACATTGCCAAATGCTCCTGATGGGCAGATGGGTGGGTGGAGGGGTGGTGGAGAGGGAAATCAGTCATGAGAACAACTGCTTTAGGTGATCTGGGCCTAGTCTGTTTATCCCTTTGTCCTTCAGCAGGGGCAATCCAAATTCTTCCTTGAGTGAGAAACACTATTACCCAGTTCACAGCCTACAGAAAGACATGTGTAACCTTCTTGGTTATTTGTTTTCAATTTTGAGACCCTTAAAGGCATTCTTTTCTTTGCTTCTCCCTGGAGTGAGTGAATGGCTCCATACTTGCACTTAAACAGCAAGTACTGAAACAATGCCAACATACTTCCCTTATGATCCGGAATATCAAAGTTAAGCTAGAAAGAGGTCTAGTTACAGCAGCGGTGTGTAATGTTTCTGCAACAATAAGGGAAGTATTTATGAATTTGTTCATACAGTGCAACTAATAGTTAATAATACTTATTCTTTTCAAAGCATCTTTCAAATATGAGATTGTAACTCTGCTGGTAGCCTCCTCAGAGACTGGCCAGAGAATGGAGACATCAGAAAAAGAGAGGGTTGTAAAAAAAAGGTAGAGAAGGTTTCAGTGCTCATTCAGAGCAGAGAACTCAGGAGACGTTGACTCTCGTTCTTCAGGTTGAACTTGAAATGTCTTCCTGAGACTTTATGTATCATCCCAATGGGGCCTGTGGTCCCAGGAAGATGTTTATTTGTTATGGTCACAGGGAATGAATGGATGTGGGTTAAGCTGAACTAGGAGTGAGAATAAGTAAAATCCCTGATCTCTCACCTTTTCCAGGCTTTGGTCCTTGCTATTGCCCTTGAATCTTCTTACTGCCCTATGGTGAAGTCCAATAAACCAGTCAGCACATCTTTATCAAGTACCTGCTAAATACTCTTAAGACACTAAAGAGTGATGCATCCAAATAAAAAGAATCGAGGTTGTGCAAGGCATAGCTCATTCTTCCTGTTTCTTAACAGAGCATGGCAATTTATTGCAGTAAGCATTTTCCATCTTTTCTCAGGTGTTGTCCCCATGACAGCCCGAGATAGGCATGATTAGTATCTATCCTCTTTTTACAGAGAAAGAAATATGAGGCTCATTCAGGTTAAATCATGCCAGGGGCATATAGCTACAAGGTGACAAGAGCTGAGATTCAAGCCCCCATCTGTTCAACTCTAAAGCCTGTGGCTCTTATCCATTGTGCTAGTGTGATTTAGGATTTACTTATCTAGTCAAGTTCCTCTTCATTTTTTTTTTTCTCAAATGGGTAAGTGATTCCACTTTATAGAAGGAAGAACCGAAGACCAAAAAATATAAATGACTTTCTCAGAATGACGTGGTAGTGGTGGTGGTGATGTTAGGAAAAATCTCTGTTTTCATATTTTTAAAATGAAGATTATATTCATTTGTTGCTGCTTTTTTTTTTTTAACCACATGGCTATTTTCCTACAGCTATTCTGTCGTTGTAGGCTTTGCCTATCACATCTGTCCTTGCCCTGTAGCATACAGATTGTTTTAATCTAGGCTTCAACTCATGGCTGTGCAGATCCTCTCCTGATTTTGTTTGTAGAATGAGAACTCCATTAGGTTAAGGGTTGTGTCTATATGTGCTTGCCATCATATTCCCAGTCTCAGGATAATATCTGGCACACAGTAGGTGATTAATAAATATTTGTGGGATGAATGAATGAATGTGTTAACTTTCTAGTTCTGGTGCCCAGATCAGTTCTTTTGACATACTGCTATACATAGCTTAATGTAAAGACTGGTTACATCCCACAGCCACAGGCCCTGTCTGGGCACTGTCCTGTGAACAGAGCTGCTTACCTGCTTTGCTCTGAATAGTACCTACAAACTTCAGTTAGTCCATGCAGGACTGATACCTAAGTCACTGTGTACTTGAAAAGGTTAATAGGACTGTACAGGCCTATGTAAGTTTAACTTATAACTTGGTACAGATGACAAAAATGATTAGTTGGGCCAAAGTGAACTCCTAATGTGCAATGAATCAAATGCATTTTACTAGGAGGTGTATGTATATACAAATACATGCTCCCAAACTAAATAATATAGCCAAGGTTGGAACCAATTACCAGTCTTTCATCACTAGGAATCCATGAAGCTAATAGACAAGAATGACTACCTATGCTCTGGTCTGGATTTATCATCCTGTTGTTGGGTCATTAACCAAGTATTTCAGTATCTTATAGCAGGCCAAGCCAGCATATATCAGACTGGCTACTTCCTCACAATGGAACTGATAACTAACTGTGGAGAGTTCATAGGTTCTACAAATGCTCAAAGTTCAGCTTGGTGAAGCTTACACTCCCGTTACTGCAATTCTAGTGCATTGGTGATCTCTCTTCTAAAATGCCAATTGCACATTGTGGGCAAAACCTGTAGATTCACCTCCTGTACTGTACTTAGGAATGCTATGTTTTTTTGTTGTTGCTGTTGTTTTGTGATTTTCTTTTGTTTATTTTATTTTATTTTATTTTATTTTATTTTATTTTATTTTATTTTTGAGACAGAATCTCACCCTGTCACCAGGCTGGAGTGTAGTGGCACAATCTCTGCTCACTGTAACCTCCACCTCCCGGGTTCAAGTGATTCTCCTGCCTCAGCTTCCCGAGTAGCTGGGACTACAGGCACGCGCCACCACACCCAGCTAACTTCTTGTATTTTTAGTAGAGATGGGGTTTCACCATGTTGGCCTGGATGGTTTCAATCCCTTGATCTCATGATCCACCTGCCTCGGCCTCCCAAAGTGTTGGGATTACAAGCGTGAGCCACTGGGCCTGGCCCGCTATGTTTTCAGTTTGTTACAAATTTGTTACCAAATGTCGGTGTCCTAGAAGAAGTTGCACAGACCATTCTGATTGGCAGAAATAAAAATATACTCCCAGGTGGAGTGTTACATACATGAGTATCCCCTGGTTTCTTGGGGGTGTCAATTCAGGGTTTGCTTGCTGTTTTATACTATAAATACATCTGGTTGCAAAGGGACTATAAGCAGTCTGTTTCCTGTCGCAGTGTGGTTAAGGTAAGTAAACTGCCAATTGCTCATTAAGGGCAAAAGCAGTAGAGTCTCCTCCCCTACTGAGGAATGCTATGTTCTAAGTTTGTTACAAACTTGTTACAAAATGCTGGTGTCCTGGAAGCAGTTGTACAGACCATTTTGATTGGCCGAGATAGAAATATACTTCTGGGTAGGGTGTTACATACAAGAGTGTTCCCTGGTTTCTTGAGGGTGTCAATTCAGGGGTTGCTTCCCGTTTTATCCTATAAATACTTCTGGCTGCAAAGAGCCTACAAGCAGTCTGTTTCCTGTTGCAGTGTGGTAAGGTAGGTAAGAAGATCTCTCTTCTAAACTGCCAATTGCACATTATGGGCAAAAGCCGTAAAGTCACCTGCTGCTGTACTGTACTCAGGAATGCTATGTTATGTTTTAAGTTTGTTACAAACTTATTACAAAATGTCAGTGTCCTGGAAGAAGTTTTACAGACCATTCTCATTGGCTGAAATAAAAATATAATTCTGGGTGGAGTGTTATATAAAAGAGTATCCCCCTGGTTTCTTGGGAGTGTCAATTCAGGGGTTGCTTCCTGTTTTATACTGTAAGTACCTCTGGCTGCAAAGAGCCTACAAGCAGTCTGTTTCCTGTTGCAGTATGGTAAGGTAGGGGTCTTGTCTCTGACTTCTTTATGACCCAGAGTACGGCCTGAAACTGCAGGATAACTGAGGTAATGGCAGATACAAACTGGAGGAGCTGAGGGCTAGAGGTAGTATATTATTGAGGTGATCCTTACGAAAGAGTAGCTGCAATTTAGCCAAGGTCTGATGACAGCTTAATCAAGACAAGGCCAAGGCCAAGGTCTGGTTAAGGCCTAGCCAGCACCTCAGCTTAGATAAGGCTTACCTGAGGCTTAAGCATAGTTAAGCTCTAGCCATGAACTTGGCCAAGACCAAAGCCTAGTTAAGGCTTGCTCAGCCCAATTAATGCCAAGGCAGCTTGGTTACAATCTCACCAGGGGCTAAGCCCACCTAAGGCCTACTCAGATATCAGTTAGGTGGAGACAGAGTCTAAGTCTAGTTAAGTCCTAGTCGGCCCAGTTAAGACCTAGTCAGAGCCGGCTGGGCGCTGTGGCTCATGCCTGTAATCCCAGCACTTTGGGAGGCCAAGGCAGGAGAGTCACCTGAGGTTAGGAGTTCAAGACCAGCCTGACTAGCATGGTGAAACCCCGTCTCTACCAAAAATAAAAAAATTAGCCAGGCATGATGGCATGCTCCTGTAATCCCAGCTACTCAGGAGGCTGAGGCAGGAGAATCGCTTGAACCTGGGAGGCGGAGGTTGCAGTGAGCCAAGATCATGCCATTGCACTCCAGCCTGGGAAACAGAGCAAGACTCTGTCTCAAAAAAAAAAAAAAAAAAAGACCTAGTCACAGCCTAAGCCTACTTCCGGTCTAGATTGCACAGTTAAATCTAGTTAGCTTGGTTAATACCTCATTAGGATATTGTTAAAGCATAGTTGTTGCCCAAGTCTAGTTTTGGTCCAGTTATAACCCAATTCAGCCCTAGGCAAGGCCTAAGCCTAATTTCGGTCTAGTCAGAGCCTAGTTAAGTTCTAGTCAGCCCAACTGGGACCTATTCAGGGCCAATGCCTAGTTAATGCCTAGTCAGCCCAGTTAAGCCCTAGCCAGAGTCTAAACCTAGTTAAGTTCCAGTCCCAGTCTACTTAAGTCCTAGCAAGATCATAAGTATAGTTTAGTCCTAGTCAGAACTTAGTTAAGACTGAGTCAAAGCCTTAGCCTAGTTAAGGCCTAGTTAGCCCAGTTAAGACCTAGCTAGAGCCTAAGCCTAATTCAGGTCTAGTTAAGCCAGTTAAAGCCTAGCCAGGGCCTAAACATAGTTAAGAGCCTGTCCGAATTTTGATAAAGTATAGCCAAGGACTAAGCCTAGTTAAAAGCTAGCTAGCTTGCTTAAGACCTCATCGGTGTATTGTTAAAGCATAACCAATGCCTAAACTTAGGTTAGGTCTAGTCAGAAGCCAGTTCAGCCCTAGCCAGGGCCTAAGCCTAATTTAGGTCTAGTCAGAGCCAGGTTAAGCCCTAGCCAGGGTCTATGCCTAATTATGTTGTAGTCCTAGTCTACTTAAGTCCTAGCAAGGTCATAAATATAGTTTAGTCCTAATCAGAACTTAGTTAAGACTTGGCCAGGACCTAAGCCTAGTTAAGATGTAATGAAGCCTAATCAAGGTATAGGCAGGGCTTCAGCCTAGTTAAGTGTGAGTCAAAGCCCAGTTATGGCCTAGCCATTACCTAACACTAGATTAGACTTTGTTAGAGCCCAGTTAAGGCCTAGTCAGGGCTTAAGCCTAATTAAGGTGAAGTCAGAGCCTAGGTAAGGCTTAAGTCTAGTTAAGTATTAGGCAGAAACTAGTTAAGGTATAGCCAGGGCTTACATTTATTTAAGGCCTGGCTAGAGTTTTATTAAGGTACAGCCACAGTGTAAGCCTAATTAAAAGCTAACTGACTTGGTTAAGGTATTATCAGAGTATTTTTAAGGACTATTCATGTCCTAAGCCTAGTTTATATTTAGTCAGAGCTAGTTAGGGGCCTAGTCAGAGCCCAGTTTAGGCCTAAATCTACTTAAGTATTTAATCAGAAACTAGTTAAGGTAGTGCCAGGCCCTAGCTTATTAAGGCGTAAACAGAGTCTTTTAAAGGTATACCCAGGGCCCAAGCCTAATTAAAGGCTAGCCATCTTGGTTAAGGCCTCATCAAAATATAGTTAAAGTGTAGCAATGGCCTGAGCCCAGTTTAAACCTAGCCATCCTAGTTAAGGCCTAACCAGGGCCAAAGCCCAGTTAAGGTTTAGTCAGAAGCCAGTTGAAGCCTAGCCAAGGACTAAGCCTGGGTAAGGTCTAGTCATAACCTAAGTTTAGATAAGGCCTAGTCAGAGTCTAGTTAAAGTAGAGCAAAGACCTGAGACTAGTTAAGAGCTAGTTAACACAATTAAGGCCTCGTCAGCCCAGTTAAAGACTAGCAAGGGCCAATATTAGTTAAGGCTTAATTAGTCCAGTTATAGCCTATCCAGTGGATAAGCCTACTTAAGTCCTAGACAAAGCATGGTTAAGGCCTATCTAGGGCATAAGTCTAGAGGAGACATAGAGTTTAGTTAAGGTATAACCTGGACCCAGTTAAGGCCTAGTCAAGGTCTAAGCCTAGAAAAGCTGTGGTCAGACTTTAGTTAAGTTCTAGCCAGAGTTTGAGCCTACTTAGGGCCTAGTCATCCTAGTTAAGATCTGGCCAGCCCAGTTAAGGCCTATCCAGGGCCAAAGCCTAGTTAAAGCTTAGTCAGAGTCTAGTTAAGGCAAATGCAGGCCTTAAGCCTTGTTAAAGCCTAGTCAACTCAGTGAAGGTGGAGCCAGGCTTATGCCTAGTTAAGTCCTAGCCACAGCCCAGTTAGCTTAGCCAGGGACTATGCCTAGTTAATATCTAATCAGTCTAGATAAGGCATTGCCAGGACCTAAGTCTAGAGAAGGCCTATTCATTTCTAATTTAATGTGTAGCAAGGGCCTGGGCCTGTTTAAGGCCTATTTAACCCAGTTAGGTCTAGAAAGGACTAAGCTTAGTTAAGTCCTAGTAAGAGTCTAGTTAAGGCAGAGCCAGGGCCTAAATCTAGTTAGGACCTAGTCATCCCAGTTAAGGTCTAGTGAGGACATTGGCCTAATTAAAGGTTGGTCAAGACTAGAGTGCCCAACTCATCCTAGTTTTCCTAAGATTTTCTATATTTAGCATTGAAAACTCTGGGTCTTGGAAAACCCCTTATTCCTGGAAAATCAGATTGGTTGGCCACTCTAATCAAAGGGTTTTTTTTTTTTTTTAAAAAAAGAAAACTTTTCTTTGTCTTGGAGTTCATGGCTTATAAAACACATTCATAACATTATCTTGTTTGATTATTATGGCATCCACTTGAGATAGGTGTCAACATCATCCTCAAAATATAAATGAATAAACTCAGGTTTAGAGAGAATAAGTACCTTCTGCAATGCCATACAATTAGTATCAGAAGTGCAGTTTAAATCTATGTTTAAACTCAAAAGCCACACTTTTTTACAAACTAAATCAATAGGGCATCTCCCCATAATTAAACATTGTCTACATCACAAAATTAATACTTGCTTATTGTCATCATCCTTATTTCTGATCAGGAAAGTGAGTCATATTGAGCTTAAGTGAACTAAGGCAAGAAAACTTTTAGACTTGAACCTAGGTTTCTCTGCCTCCAAAGCCAATATTCCCCTTAAAAATAATGTTTTTTTTCTGCCAGGCATGGTGGCTCACACCTGTAATCCCAGCACTTTGGGAGGCCAAGACGGGTGGATCACCTCAGGTCAGGGGTTCGAGAAAAGCCTGGCCAACATGGTGACACCCTGTCTCTACTAAAAATATAAAAAATAGTTGGGCATGGTGGTGGGCGCCTGTAATCCCAGCTACTCAGGAGGCTGAGGCAGGAGAATTGCTTGAACCCCGGAGGTGGAGGTTGCAGTGAGCCAAGATCATGCCATTGCACTCCAGCCTGGGCGACAAGAGTGAAACTCTGTCAATAAAATAAAATAATGTTTTTTCTTCCATCCGGCCTACTTCCTCAGTGTCAGATACTTCAGTACATACCCATGTAGCCAAGGTTGTTGTATGTTTCTTCATGTTTCAGTGATGTTTGCATCCATGTATTATCTAAAATCTGTTAAGTGTTTGGTAGATTATGCTTGCATTGACACTTCTTTTTTTTCAGCCTGAGGTTTATTTATTGAATTGTTGCATGCTGTTTCATTATGGGATATTTGTTGAGCCTTGCAGCAGAGTTGACTTAGTAGGGTCAAGCCTCAACCACTCGATTTGGCGTGATCTTGGAAAAGACAGTTCTGACAAGGGCACTGAAGACAAACCTGGTCTATTCAGTAATACTTCAGAGGGTTTCTGGATATACCCCTGGTATAATGACATTCTGGAGGCCAAAGAAAGAGATCAAGGCCTCCCTCTCTGGTACTGTGGATTCAATTGCCAGAAGGTACCGAGGACTTGGCTTGCCTTTTTCTGACTGTGCCATTTCTGTCGCCTCCTGTGAGCTTACCAGGGGTGACAGGCATCTCTATTAAAAAGCCTGTATGTAAATATAGCTGCATCTTCCACTATGTTATCCTGAGGACAAAATAGTTGCCACCCCTGCAGAATGCAGCAGCTTCTGGGTTAGATGCCAATGGTAGCAGTATGCCAAGCATGAAAGTATCTTGTTCTTCCCCTGCCAAGTAAATACCAGCTTCCTGTTTGGTGGTACATTTAAAGGGACAGTCTCCACTCTTTGCATGTGCCAGTGGCAATGGGGCAAAGCTTTCAACATGGGCAGTTAGTGGCTTAGATGGTGGCACAGTGAAAGAGGCCACTGGGATATATGTTATGTTGCAGATGCCTTTTTGGACTCTCACATCTCCCTTTATGCTATTACATTGCTTTGGAGAACTGTTTGGTTTAGTGGGTAATGCCAGAGGAAGGCAGAGCTAGTTAGGAAGAAACAAATAATTTATTCCACTAAGTAGATGGGATATTCAAATGTTGCTTTCTTTCTTTCTTGGAGAGAGTGCCATTTGGGAATCATTTTCTCTCATATTCACAAGGTGATTCCCCACATAAGCTCAGGTCTTTGATTGACTTCGCATTTGCTGGTGAAACACATTAAGCTTCAAGGCACTGGGTTAGTGGCACAAGCAGGGCATGTCCCCTTCCTAACAAAGAATCTGGAAGGTCTTTCCTCAAGGACTACAGGCTTTGCAGTATAATATTGGAGGCTACAGAAAAAGGGTACAAAACTAGGTTTCTGGTTTTACCACATTCCAGCTATGTAGAATAGCTCTTGGGTAGATCATTTTACTACTCTGGATTTTAATTTTCCTAAATGTGAAATGGAGATAAATTCTGTGTTACCCTACCCACCTCATATAGTAATTAAGATGATTAAATGGGATACCATGTGAAAGCACTAGAAACATAAAACGCTATAAAAATGTAAGGAATTATTAGTCCTTACAAATTATTAGTCAACAAATATTTACTGAATATCTTCTATGTGCTAGACACTGTTCTTGCACTTAGACAAAACAGAGATCCCTGCCTTCATGGAGCTTACATTCTAGAGAGGAAAACCAGAAAATAAATGATCATCATAATAAATAAGTAAGCTATACAATATGTGTAGAAAGTGATACGTTTCTAAGAAAAATTAAAAAGTTAGAGCGGAATAAGGAAGACTCAGGACTGCCAAGTTGGGAGGGGGAGGTTAAAATTTACAAAGGTGGTAAGTGAAATACTCATTGAGAAGGCAAGATAGAAGCAAAGAGATTGAAGAAGGTGAGGGATTTAGCTCTTTTGATATTTGAGTCAAGACCATTCCAGGCAGAATAGCCAGTATAAAGAACCTAAAGAGGAAGTGTGCTTGGTGAATTTGAGGAATGACAGACCAGAGCAGCTAGAACAGAGCAGGAGAGAGAAAAATAGAAAACGAAGTTGCAGATTATATTATGCAGGGCCATATAAACCACTATAAGGATTTGGGTTTTATGCTAAAGGAAATGCAGTTATCAGAGGGTTTTAAATGGAGGAGTGACATGATCTGACTTCCATTTTAAAGGGATCACTGTCGGTCCTGTTGAAAAAGAGACTGTAGCTGGGCGCGGTGGCTCATGCCTGTAATCCCAGAACTTTGGGAGGCCGAGGCGGGCGGATCACGAGGTCAGGAGTTCGAGACCAGCCTGGCCAACATGGTGAAACCCCGTCTCTACCAAAAAAAAAAAAAAGAAAGAAAAGAAAAAAAAAATTAGCCAGGCATGGTGGCAGGTGCCTGTAATCCCAGCTACTTGGGAGGCTGAGGCAGGAGAATGGCTTGAACGTGGGAGGTGGAGGTTGTGGTGAGCTGAGATCATGCCACTGTACTCTAGCCTGGGTGACAGAGCGAGACTCTATCTCAAAAAAAAAAAAAAAAAAAAAAAAAAGAAAGAAAAGAAAAGAAAAGAGACTGTAGTGAGGCAAGGCAAAGAGACTCCTGTCAGGAGGCTGTCAAAATAATCAAGGTGAGATGTAGATGATAGTGTGATGGTGTCTCACAATGACAAGTGATCAGATTGTGGATATGTTTTAGTGGCAGAGCCAACAGGATATCCTGGCGGATTGACTGTGGATTTTTTGGCCTGAGTAGTTAGAAGGATAGAATTACCATCTACTGAGATGGGAGGCTGTAAGGGAGTAGGTTTTGGAGAGAGTACCAAGGATTTAGTTTTGAATGTACTGTGTTGAATTTTACAGGAATCAATGTAATGAAAGTAGATAAACAAGTATGAGATTTTGGAGAAAGGCCTAAGCTGGCTAAATAAATTTGGGAGTCATCTGCCTATAGGTGTTATTTGCAGCCCATATGAGGTCACCAAGAGTGTGACTATAGATGAAGAAGAAGAGGACTTGGGGAGTGATTGGCCATGTTAAAGGCTGCTTATAGGACAAGTAAGATGAGACGGAGAGCTGATAATTGGATTTAGCAATGCAGAAGTCATTGGTGACTTTAGCAAGGGTAGTAAGGTGGAGTGGCCATAATTAAAAGTGTGTTTCAGGACATATGTATTTAACCTTGGTAATATCAGTCATAAGAGATGAGAGAGAAATTTTGTTCCCATTGAGTGAGCCTGCCTTCAGATTCCCCTGGCTCTAGCTAATATTAAAAAAGAAATCTTGTAAGAAATCCTATAAGGAAAACTCCATTTATCTTTTCACTTGAACAGCATGCTGGTTTAGTATTGGGAGGGCTCATGCCAGAGGACTGTGTTGTAACCCTGATGTGCTTTTCTGAGTGTCAAGCATATAAAGCAATGGGATTCACTCTTTACCCATGTTTAAAATGCTAACCCTTGGCTCCCTTAGAAACTTTGGGAGGTAGAGGTATGAAATCCTCAAGGGGAAAGGAAGTTCATGGCCAAGGGTAAAGCATTTTTTTTAGGATATTAGGAAATTTTTTTCTGCCTCATTTTCTTCAATTTATTCTGAGTGTATCTATCTCAGAGGTAAAAATAGAGAAGTTAGAAAGCAGCAAACCACATACTCTTGTCTTATTTTTTATTTTCATGGATCAGCATATGATCTTAAGGTGATTTTAATGTTCAGCTAGGCTTTTTGTATCTTTTCTTTTTAGTAGGGCTTTCTACTGTAGGAACACTCTGGGAACGATAGTATGTAGGGATGACAATAATGAAATGGTTGTCCTCAAGGGGACTTTTGGCCTTTGATCCACTTGGTAAGCAAACTATCATGGCTATACAGTCAGCCCTCTGTATTGTGGGTTCTGCATCCATGGAGTCAACCAACTGTGGATCAAAAATATTTTTAAAATATTGCATCTGTACTGAACATGTACAGACTTTTTATTCTTGTCATTATTCCCTAAACCAATATTGTAAAACAAACTATTTACATAGTATTTACATTGTGTAAGGTATCATAAGTTATCCAGGGATGGTTTAAAGCAAGCTTGTCCAACCTGTGGCCCAGGACAGCTTTGAATACGGCCCAACACAAATTCATAAACTTTCTTAAAATGTTATTAGATTTTTTTCACAGTTTTCTTTAGCTCATCAGCTGTCATTAGTGTTAGTGTATTTTATTTGTGGCCCAAGACAATTCTTCCAGTGTGGCCCTGGGAAGCCAAAAAACTGGATACCCAGGCTTTAAGGTATATGAGGGAGGATGTGCATAGGTTATATGCAAATACTAAACCATTTCATATCAGGGACTTAAACATCCACGGGTTTTAGTATCTGTGGAAGGTCCTGGAACCAATCCTCCTGTACACCAAGAGACAAACATTGTGTTCTTGCTGATATCTTAACACTGGTTCTTATTCTGCTAGTGATGTGGAGGTTCCCAGAGCATCATTAGTCAGACCAGGAGTCTGAAGAAGGCCAAGAATCCGAAGAATCAGGTTCTTTTTAAAATTAAATAAAAAATTTTAACTTTTATTTTAAGTTCAAGGGTACAAGTGCAGGTTTGTTACATAGGTAAACCCATGTCATGGTGGGTTTGTTTTACAGATTATTTTATCACTTAGGTATTAAGCCTAGTACCCATTAGTTGTTTCTCCTGATCCTTTCCCTCCTCCCACCCTCGACCCTCTGATAGGCCCCAGTGTGTGTTGTTCTCCTTTATGTGTCCATGTGTTTTCACCATTTAGCTCCCACATATAAGTAAGAACGTGAGGTATTCAGTTTTCTGTTCCTGTTAGTTTGCTAAGGATAATGACCTCCAGCTCAATCCATGTCCCTGCAAAGGATATGATCTTGTTTTTTATGGCTGCATAGTACTCCATGGTGTATGTGTACCACATTTTCTTTATCCAATCTACCATTGATGGGCATTTAGGTTGATTCCATGTCTTTGCTATTGTGAATAGTGCTGCAATGAACATAATGTGTGCATGTATCTTTATGATAGAAGGATTTATATTCCTTTGGGTATATACCTAGTAATGGGATGCCTGGGTCAAATGGTATTTCTGTCTTTAGGTCTTTGAGGAATTGCCACACTGTCTTCCACAATGGCTGAACTGATTTACACTCATACTAACAATATATAAGCATTTCTTTTTCTCTGCAACCTCACTAGCATCTGTTATTTTTTGACTTTTTAATAGGAGCCAAGAAATCAGGTTCTTATTCTTGCTCTGCTACTAACCAGCTGTGCAATCTTGACGAGTCAGTTACCCTCTTTGGTTCTTCATATCCTCAATTGTAAAATAGGTATAATCCTTGCTACACAGGATTATTTTGTTTATTTTATTTTTTTATTTTTGAGATGGAGTCTCACACTGTCGCCCAGGCTGGAGTGCAATGGTGCGATCTCAGCTCACTGCAACCTCCGCCTCCCGGGTTCAAGCGATTCTCCTGCCTCAGCCTCCAGAGTAGCTGAGATTACAGGCACCCACCACAACGCCCAGCTAATTTTTTGTAGTTTTGTAGTTTTGTAGAGACGGGATTTCACTATGTTGGCCAGGCTCGTCTTGAACTCCTGATCTCGTGATCTGCCTGCCTTGGCCTCCCAAGGTACTGGGATTACAGGAGTGAGCCACCGCGCTTGGCCGCTACACAGGATTATTATAAGTTAATGTATGTGAACATATTTGAGGATATAATTACCAGAAGAAGGAAACTATAAAATATTTGAATGAGTTACCAAGGGATGCTATGGAATGTTATTTTGAAATCATTAAAAACAGAAGGGCCTTTCCTTTGGTGGACAGGCATTAAGCACATTTGCAGGCAGAGGGAAGCAATCTGTAATCGGTGATCATCTTTCCATGTGGTAAAATAAACTAACCTGTTCTTTCTTGGCAAGCTGGCATTTGCCACAGAAACATAGAGGAGGCCACAACTGGTGCTTAGTCTTTCTCTTATCAAATTTCTGAGATATATTCCTGAAGTTAGGGACTAAATCCATGCTAGGATGGTATGAAGTAAAAAGTATACGAAGATGTTTGCATAATGCTCTCCTTCTTATCCAAATGATTCACAAAGGAATACTTGAAACTTTGGGTTGGTTTGGGTGAAGTCATGCTAGATATAGGATAATGGACCTTTATTATCTTGTCTCAATGACCTTGCCAATTACTTTCCAAGTGGATGTTTCTAAAGATTTAATGCTTTGAAAGAATCATTGTCACAATACGAGGTGGAGGGCATTCTCTGTGCAACTGGCAGTGTGTTGGAGGCATAGCCAATGTGTAGCCCACAATATAGTTAGCTTTCGCCAGGCCAGGAGTGGTGCATGTGAGCTGCAGCCCCACCAGAGCTCAAAGCCAGAATAAGGAAGTGCTTCAGAGGAAGTTAGACTAGGAGGATTTGCTAATCCTCAAGGATTCCCTACAGTCTTTGATTGTTCTTAGGTCTCCTGAAAGGGTCATTTGTGAACTACAGCTTCAAGACAGTCCTGTTCCCTCACATTTTTACCCAAGCTCAAAGTCATCATCTAATATTGGTTCTAACTATGAGATGAATTGTGTCTCTGGCATGTCCTTCCAATTTTTGTAATGCCTGCAGCCATCTCTTCTCCTGTCTTCCATGGGCAGCTATTCACTAGTCATGATGTACCACATACTATTTCCTAGATCCTGGAATTTCTCCAGTGCAATTATATCAGCTAGCATTTATTAGGTGCTAATTATATACCAGACACCATTTTAAATTCGTTGTGCTAACTAACTAATGTAATTCTCATAACTGTCATTATCTTCATCTTACAGATGAGGAAACTGACACAGAGTAGCTTAGCAACCTTCTAGTTAGTAAGTGGTGAAGTTGAAATTCAAATATAGGGTTTTTTTTTTTTTTTTCGGATACCAGATCCTATTCTTATAACCACTAGTATCATTTTATATCTCTCCCAAAAAGCATATACAAACAAACAACCACAACTTTTTTTCCCTCTCAGAAAGCTGAAGAAAGACTTGGAAATAGAACCCCTTTTCCTGTTACCTCCAAGTTCTGTTTTTATTTCCCTTATTGTAGACCCTGTCATCTGCGCTGTAATATTTGAAAACCAAAAAAATCTTTCTAGAAGTATTACATCTCTTTCCAGACTCTCTAAGGGCCTGGGAGCCTCTCATAGCAGCCAAGCCTCAAGGACAAGCCTGTGTAGGGTCCTACCAGGTTAAGATTGAGTGTCTATTCTCATGTTTGAACAGTGTTTTGAGGAAACACTGTATCTGTCTAGGAAAATAACCAAGATGTATTTTCAAAAGTAGTTGTATTTTTCTACTAAGTTGTTTTTCTGAAGGGTAAGCCAGTCTGTGATTTTTCTCTGCAGCAATGAACAAATTTGGAGGAGGAAAGAAATTCAGTAGAATTTGGTTTAAATTGACCATAAGGACATTTCCTACTCCCCCTTTTTTTAGTTTTAGTTTTGAATTTTTCATATATTTTCAAGAAGGGGCCATGTTTAGCTCCTCAGCTGCACAATTCTTTCCTTTCTTTCTTGATAAATTAAAGATGCTTCATGGGGATTTTTAAATGTCAGATCCTATAACAGGCAAATGCTGTATTGCACACAGTTATTTTTTTAAAGGCAAAAGTTTGTAGCTTTTTCAAAAAGAGTTTAAAGTGTAAATACTCTTTTTTATTCATTGTATTCCCATAGAGATGCTTCTGTTATGTCAAAATTGTGAACATTTGCCCTTTGTGGATAAAGTTCTCTTGATGTTTCCTCAAGGGGTGAAGAGGGTAACGAGAAGTTATATGTCTGTAGGTGTTTTTTAAAACAAGCTATATTGAATGCATGTATCCAAATGGTACTGCAGCACCGGAGAAGGGAACACTATGGAAAAAAATTTTCCTGTTTGTAAATAGGAATCTGGCACCCACCCTCACCAAAGGTGCATTTTAATCTTTCCCACATAACTGCCTCTGTTCTCCTTGGATATGAACTAATTTACCTTACCTAATACAAAGAAGCTTATCAACTATAAAGATAGACCCAGAGGATTTGGATTTCTTTGCTCCTTTTCCATCCTACTGTTAGACACTTATTGCCAGTTTTCCAGTTAGGAGCATTGCAAAATTGCCAGGTAGGACTTTCAGCTAAAAGAAAAATGGTGACTTTTGATTAGTTGTGCAGACAAAAAAAGTCCCAAGAGAGGTTAATAAAAATTCAATGGGGTCAAAGATCTCAGTTACCAGATGGATAGTATGGCCTCTGCCTCAGGGGTCTTTATGAGCTACTTGTAAGATATAGGTTATCTCATCTTGTATCAATTAAAAACTCGGCCTAGCTATCAGGGTCTCTTGCCTTAGCACTGCCATGAAGTAGAGAGCCACACAGGCCAAAGGGACACTGCCCTGCACATTCATATTTCATTCCATTTTCATTAACTTTGATGACTGGCTTGCTGAATCCTGGTAAGACTCTTATCACTGTCTTGCTGTCCTCATTAGTTTTTATAGGATGTAGGCCTAAAATTTAAAAAATAAAACTATTTTTTTTGAGGTATGGCATGCATATAGTAAATTGCGCAAATTTTAAGGGTGCATATCAATGCTTTTATTTTTTAACATATGTGATTATATCAAGATATAGAACATTACCAGCACCCCAGAAGGCTTCCTCATATCCCTTCCCAGTCAATAACCCCCTACCCAGAGGTAACCACTTTGTTCCCGTAGATTTGTGTGCCTGTTCTTGGATTTCATGTAAATGTAGTGATATGGTAGCTAATTTTATGCATCTGGTTGATTTCAACATTCTTGTGCCTGTATCTTGGTGGATATTTGTACGCTCTTTGGTTATATACTTAGGAGTAGCATTCCAGGGTCATGTGATAGAGGTATGATTGGTTTTAGTAGATACTGCCAAATAGTTTTCCAAGGTAGTTTTACCAGTTAACAATTTCACCAGCAATCTATGAGAGTTCCAGTTGTTCCATGTTTTCAGTGCTTGGTATTGTCAGTCTTTTTCATTTTAGCTCTTCTGGTGGGTTTTGCATATCTCATTGTGGTTTTAATTTGCACTTCCCTGATGAGCAATAGTGATGAACACCTATTTATATGCTTGTGAGCCATTCGGATATTCTCCTCTATGAAGTGCCAGTTCAATTCTTTTATATTTTTTAAAAATTAGATTGATTATGTTTTTCGTATTGATTTGTAGTTTAAAAAATGTATGAATGTAGTGGATAGAAGTCCTTTGTTAGATATATATTGTGAATATTTTATCCCAGTCTGTGGTTGGCTTTTTATCCTCTTAAGGTATAATTAATTAATCTTTTCTTTCATGGTTAATGTTTTTTGTCCTCTGGGAAATATTTGCCTACCTAAGGTCATGAAGAGTTTCTCTGGTGGTGTGATCTAGAAGCTTTGTTGTTTTGACTTTCATTTTTAGGCCTATGATTCATTTCAAATCATTATTAGTATTATTTTGGTATCTGGTATGAGGTAAGGGTCATGGTTCCATTGATTTATTTGTCTGTCCTTGAGCCAGTACTACGCTGTCTTAATTTCTCTAGCTCTGTAACTAGCCTTGATATCTGGTAGCATATGTCCTTCAATTTGTTCTTCCTGAAGATGTTTCACTATTACTAGCCTTTATTTATTCTTATGCATTTTAGAATCACTTTGTCCAAATTGCCCTTTGGGAGTGGTTTTGATCTTTTTGACTCATTAGTTTTCCCTTTGTCCCTCTAACTTCAAAATCTAGGTAACCTTTTAAGGTGGAGACCGGTGGCCTGTTTGGGGCAGTTCCCCTCTAGAGGGAGAATTTGTCTCTGAAGTACCAGGAGACTGCAGGAGATTTTCCTGTGCTTTTCCTACCCAGACACCAGCCCAGAACTCAGGTGACTTCAGGTAAGAAAAACTAGCCCTGCATTTTGGGCTTCTCAAGTTTCCAGCCCATTATTTTAGTGTCTCCCAATGGCCCAAAGTTATGCTCATTTCTCCTTTCCTCAGGAGAGTCCTTCTGCCTTACAGCCAAGCTTCATCTTCAACAGTGCCCAGAATTAGCAAATGCCACAGGAAAGGAAAAAAGCCCCTGATTGTCAGTTCACTTAGAAAGGGCTCTTTAATCTCGTCCTTGCTTATCCTTAAACCTATCGATTTCGCAATTTATCTTTTTTTTTTTTGGTGGGGGCGGGTGTGGTTTTTTTTGTTGTTGCAGGAGCGTTCACATCCTGTTTGGAAACAAAGTCTGCAAATTGTTTAATAGGCCGAGCCTTGATATCCGCATCCCTCTCAGCTCTATCACAGGTAAGTAGTTTATGAACATTTGGGCCAATTCAGTAGGTCAGTGGAAAGATAGGTAATGGATATATCCCTGAACCTCCCAGTCACAGATATTGGGGATTTCCTAGGGGACTGATCTGCCTAAGTCACATTCAACTTGGAATTCAGCCAGTTTCTAGGGATAGCAAATGACATTAACATTCTCAGTTCTATTCCTGCTTAGGAGAATGAGATGTCAGCTCTGGCCCTGAATAAGGCAAATTTGCTCCTGTAGTCACCTAAATTTGTGCCCTCTAGCACAGGACTTTAGAAGTCCGACCTGGGCTGACATCCAGCTCTGCATCTTTACTTATGTGATCATGGGCAAATTACTGAATCTCTCTAATCCTCAGTTTTTCCACCTATAACTTCATAGGCTGATTTTATTGTGAGGATTAAATGTACTACAGGTTGAGTATCTCTAATCTCAACATTTGAAATACTAAATGCTTCAAAATCCAAAACGTTTTGAGCACCAACATGACACCTTTGCTTTCTGATGGTTTAGCGTACACAAACTTTGTTTAGTGCACAACATTATTAAACATATTCTATAAAATTACATTCAGGCTATGTGTATAAGGTGTTTATGAAACATAAATGAATTTCATGTTTAGACTTGGGTCCCATTCCTAAGATATCTCATTATGTATATTTAAATACTTCAAAATCTGAAATCCAAAACACTTCTGGTACCAAGCATTTTGGATAAGGGATACTCAACCTGTAATATAAGAAAAGTGGGTTTTACAGTCCTTGACACACAATAGGTCTCCCATTAATGTGACAATTTATTAGAAAAATTTTTATGGGTACATCATTGCATCTGACATATGCTTTCAGAGGCTGGGGATTGTGCTTGGTTACTTTTTTGAGGGGAGTAAAATTTACATATAGTGAAATGTACAAATCTTTAGAGTACCATTCAATGAGTTTTGACACACGCATTCTCCTGTGTAACCCACAACCGTACCTAAACATGATCATTACCATCACTCTAGAAAGTTCCTTTATGCCCCTTCCCAATCAGTTCCTACTCCCATAAATGCAAGCACTATTCTGATTTCTTTCTACATAGATTATTTTGCATTTTCTAAAATTGTATATGGATGGAATCATACAGCATATAATCTTTTGTGTCTGGCTTCTTTCATTAAGTATAATGTTGATTATTCCTCCATGTTGTTGTCCCTCTCAGTAGTGCCTTTCTTTTTATTGCTTATTAGTATCACATTGTGTGAATATACCACAGTTTGCTTATTCATAATCTTCTTGATAGTTACCTGAGCTCTTTCTACTTTTTGGTGATTATGCATACAACTTCTATAGCTATTCTTGTAAAAGTCACTTTGTGAACTTTCACTTAATTTGGGTAAATACCTATGAGTAGAATTGCTGGGATATAGATAGGTGCATGATTAGTTTTATAGGAAACTGATAGATGTTTTTCCAAAAACATAATATGATTTTATGCTCCTACCAGTAGTATAAATGTGTGTGAGAATTCTGGTTCCTCTACATCTTTGTCAATATTTGATGTTGTCAGTCTTTAATTTTAGCCAATCTACTGAGTATATTGCGGTATCTTAGTGTGATGTCAATTTGCATTTCTTTGATTACTAATAATGTTGAGGATGTTTTCATGTGCTTATTAGCTCTTCATTTGAATTGTCTGTTCAGATCTTTTGGCCATTTTTAAGTTGGGTTGTTTGTCTTTTTATTATTGAGTTGTAGGGGTTCTTATATATATATATATATATATATATAGACACACACGCGTGTGTGCGCACACACACACATATATCTGACAATGAACTTTATATATTCTGGTTGAAAGTTCATTGTCAGATATATATTTTGTGAATATTTTCTCTCAGTCTCTGGGTTGCCTGTTCATTTTATTAACTGTATGATTTGATGAGTTTGTCCATTTTTGTATCCCCTGTTTCCCACATGCATGGTTGAAGCTTGATAATATTTACTGAATGAATGAGCTGAAAGTTGTTCCTCCCTCCCTCCTTCCATTATTTCTTTTTTTCAAAGACACTTACTGATTATATACTATGCTGGCAAGCACTCTTCTGTTCTTTGGGGATATAGCAGAAAACAAATCAGACAGATTTCTTAGTCTCATGACAATTACATTTTAGTCTATATGTATGTGGGGGTAAGGTGAGAGACAGAAAAACAAATAATTAAGCAAGAAAATGTGAGCTAGTTATAGATACCATCATGCAAAAATGAAATTTGTGTGTAATGGGAAAGGAATGATTAGGGGCTTTACCCAGGTTGAGGGGTAAGAAATCTGAGGAGATAATATTAAAGTAGATATCAGAATGACACGAAATCATTCCCCACTCCTCCCCCACCAAGGAGAAAGGGATCCCAGGCAGAGGATATAGCTAATAAAAAGTCCCTTAAAGTGAGTTAAGGCTAGGCATAAACTATCCAAAAGACCCCTTTAGGCTAGTTAAGGTGTCCAGAGTTGGTTGCTTTGGAAATTACCATAACTGGCATAAGCTGATGCCACACTCTTACTCTTTCTTATTATTGGAATACTTAGCAGTTTCTTCAAGTTTCTCCTTGCCCTCTCCTCACCCACTAGTTGCTAAATTCTGAGATTGAGAATAAAAAATAAAAAAAAAGCTAATACAAGGGTCAAGAAAGTTAAGGCAAGGTCACTAATTTTTTTTCCCATCAAAAGTGACTGAGTCCCCCGCCCCACAAAAAAACTCATGGGCCACATAAAGTAATAAGTAACTACATTTCTCTTATAAGAGAGCAAAATATGGAATGTTCTACCTCTCTGCTTTTTATGTTTAGGTTGTGTAATGTACAACTCAATAAATACAATAAAAATTTGATGAATCAAATATAATTTATTCCAATTTTTTTCCAGTTTTAGGAGAGAGAGACAAGAAAAGATGATGGAAAAGGTTAAGAGTAGATGGAGATAGAGAGGGTGTGAAATAGAATGAAACACATAAGTGAATAAATGGAAGCATATTGATCAAGAGGAGGAATAAAAGAGTCCCAGAGGAAGATAGAGAAGCTGAGAAAAAAAACTGGGTGAATGGGAAGTCAGAAGTTAAATAGGTTTTGTGTGAGTGTGTTCCTGTCATCTTCTTGTGCCTTTGGGCTGTATATACCATCTAGTAGTTATTGCTTCCTTTGAAAAATGTGATGGTGCTCTCTTACAATATTTAACACACATCTTTCTTCTGTGTTTTCCTTCTGATGAGCTGATGCATGTTCTAAATAAATGCCAAATTCCTTTCCTTGATTTCTCTCCATATTTTCTTACATGAGACGTTTTTCTCTTAAATCAAACAAACAGATCCTTTGAATTAATAAAACAAACTGCTCTGCCTCTAGTACCCGTTCTCCTATATTCCATATGGAAAATTGCCTCCAACAAAATCGTGCCTTCTGGTCATTATCGTTGTGACCCTTATCATCAGGACAAACCCCATGTGTACTGGTAGGATTTTGGACAAAAAAAAAATGTAGTGATCTGATAGGACTTAGGCTAAGTGGAGATACTATACAACTGAGTGGGTCAAAAAAGGCCCTGTGAAGACCAGCAAGCTGTATGTGCAAATCACAGACCATCTGGCTGATGATTTTCTGTACTCCAATAAATATTCAAGGATTATAGTCAGCTGAAAGTGAAGCCTGTGGCTTGCTGGGCCCCACTCTGGTCAGAACTGCTGAAAACTGGGCAATAATAGACTTGGTAGAATCCTAAAGGAGTTATATAGATGACTACTTCCTAAGACTTTCAACTAGGAAAAGCCTGACTGGGACTGGAGAAAGGAAGTTAGCCCAATTTACAGAATTAATAGCCAGAAATTTAACATGTAGATATACCCAAGAAAAAAACTGGTCAAAGGTATATAGCTACACTGATCAGCCATATAGACCTGGACTATTGCAGGAAAAACAATCTGGTGAAGGGAGATATGAAAATAAATTGGTGAAAGAATTTAGAAATTCTTATAAAGACATGTGTCAGCTCATTAGAACAGAAAAGCAGAATAATCTATTTGGAATGAGAGGGGAGATAATCTAGGCCCCCAAAACTAATGTAGACCCTGAAGCTTCGGGGACTTTAAGTTTCAACTCAGCTCCCTTTTCAGTTCAATTTAAGGTTGTAGGATGGGCTTGTGAAACCTCAGGGCATATGGGCATGTATGTGCCAGGTTAGCAGAGAAGAAAGAGTTAGAAAACCTGTGAATCAAATAAACAAGTGAGTAAGAAATATGAGTGATATCAAAATATTAAAAACTTCTTGCATCCTCAGCAGATTCATTTTAAGTGTGGTGGGGAGTGGTAAACCAGACAAATGTAGCAGGTAGATTATATTGAGCCAATATCTAGATTTTCAAACAAATAATATTGCCTTACACAAATATATACTTACTCAGAAAGTGGGTTTGCAAAGCCCACTAGACACGCAGATGAAAATAGTACAACCATGGCTTTAGATAAAGTTGGAAGAACTAGCTGCTAGATATGGAAGTGGGGCAGTAATAGGAAATTATCAAGGAACTAGTTTTATAACTGAAATTCTCCAAAGTTTGGCAAAATATGGAGAATATAGGACTTTCATTTACCATAAACTCCCCAGGCTGCAGGGCATCTGGAAACTTTAATGAATGGATTCCTAGAAACACAGAAAGAATTCAGCAGCACCCAGATATAAATGGCAATGAGGCAAAGGTGCTAATAATTGACAGACCCTGCGTGAGTGTATCCTTCCTCAAAAGAGATGCTCAAGAAAGACAGACAAACTACCTATACTCACTTTTCTCCCAAATCTCTTAACAAGAGATAAAGACCATGAGGTTTTCAAAGGAAAGAGAAGTAGTAGAGCCTCACAAGGCCAGCAACAAAGGAGGGGCTATAGTTAGACATATCGTTTCAACCTTAACAGCAATTCTTGATAGGGGTAACCAGTAGCCATAGCCTGTAGGATGGATAAAGGCTCAAAGATACTAATCTTTATATCTCTCTTTTTTATTATTAGGTCTGCTTTGCTGTTTTCTCTTGGCTGTGACAGTCCGCCTGATGGTCATTATAACAGCAGTTCACCATTAGTACAAACAAGAGTACCATACATAAATTCTGTGCGCGGTTTACCAACATCATCAAAAAGTTATATTGTTCTACTGTTCTCATTCTTTACTTGATCACCATCATAATCATATCAACATCCTAATTTCTGGCCTAAACCAACCACAGAACCATTGTTAGCCCCTTATACTATCCATTGTCACCAAGAGTCCATTTGCTAGAGCTTTTAGTGATATTTTATCTATTTAGAAGAGCACTGCAGCATGGATTCTGTGTTAATTCATGTACTCATTGATGGACTTGTTGCTTGTGTAGCCCAGTTAATAAGAATAGCTGATGAGCTTTTACAATTCATTCTACAAGTACAAGAAGTTCCTTATGTAGAAGAAAATGGTAGAGCAGAAGAGACTGAAGCAGATGCACCTCTTCCCGAGGAGCCTTCGCTACCTGATCTCCCTGATCTCTCAGACTTAGACTCAATACTTACACCAAGAGAGGATGAAGACCTAATATTTGATATAGATCAGGCTATGTTAGACATGGATAACTTATATGAAGATACAGTCTCTGGTATAAATGATGACTTAACAGGTGACTAAGACCCAATTTCTGCCCCCGTCCCCAGGGATGTGAAAACTGATCATTTCTCTGTTTTAATATATTCTTATTTTCTGTATATTAGCAATATGTGTTTTCTCATAGTTCTGCACATTTTCATTACTAATAACCCATATAACAAGTGAGATTTGATTTACTTCTAGCAAAAGCTGGTCTTTTTTCATCTTTGTTGTTATTCAGAAAGTTCTGTCTTTTGCCATGTAGGTCTCCCTTTACCTGTACTTACTCTCATGCTAGAATTTCTGATGATGGGAGCAAACAATAGTAAAGAAAAGAAATTCCTTGCCTAATTATGGAGTGGAGAACTGACGAACTCTATCACATCTTGGGACTAATTTCACTGCTCTCCAATGAATGCAAATGAAAAGGGGAATATCCCCCAGGGTAGCATTACAGTAAATGAATACATTCACATTAACAAGACAGTGTTGGGATACTTTTATTTGAAAGGATATAACTCCTTACTTATCCTTTAAGAAAGCATGTGTCCGACAAAAAATGCTATAGCAGACTAAGGGAGGTAATTTTAAAAGAGTACTATCTACCAGATAATAAAAGTGAAGAAAGGTTTTCAAATGACTGTTGCCAAGGAGAAAACTGAAAAAGCTGGGACCAAGAGTTCCAGTGCAGGACTGTTCTTGCAAATTCTGACCACATTGTAGCTACTTTGCACTATTATTCCCCAAATGGAAAAGGCACACTATACCAAATAATCAAAGAGAGAAGTAATAGAAGGGCTAAGCAAAGCCCTACAAGGACTATTCACCAATGGAAAGACAAACACTCACCATATTGGACTAAATATCTATGGACTAGATATAGTCCTTAGGCATCAAAGCAGGAAGATGCTACAACCCCATAATATGTGGAGCTGGCTGGACCCTTGTTTTCCTGGGTCACCTGAACAGATTGTACTGTAATGGTACCTCAGGAACTAGATAAGATATATTCCAGTGTTTGCTTTGATTCTGTAATTTTATGTGCTTAAGGATTGTTAAGATATAACCCCCGCTCCAAGGAATGGATTGTTGTATTAAGTATGTTTGCTCTATGGAGCAGAATTAGAGTTAATAGTGAAAAGAAATATTTAGGAAATAAGAAAATATTTAGGAACAAGAACTAGTGGGGACGGTGTTTTCAGGAGAGAGAAGCAAATTAATAAATTGTCAACAGTTATGCGACGGTTTATGATGGAAAGCCATGATATGGAGTTAGTTTCTAAACAGGTTTATGAACAAAGCCCTGTTTTTGTCTTCTGCAAATTAGCCAACCCTAAGATGTTGCTATAAACAGCTGGTAGGCGATTGACATAAGTCATGTATCTGAAAGCTCAATTAGATGGAGAATTATTAACTAGTTTAGTCCACTGACTGGATATCGCTGATTGAAATCCTGCATCTCCTCCAGGAGAATGGAGTGAGTGGCTGATCCTTTATGCAAATTAGCCCTTTTCTGTATCTTCTTAAGACCAGTGTTAAAGCCAATTATTATATAGCATGGCAGAAAAGAGAGGGGCTCATCATTCTGAGACAAGCTTAAAGGTGTGAAAATCAAGGAAGATAGGCTGGTAGATGGCATTAGATTAGGTAGTACAAGTTTTCATCCCTATTTGTTTGGGTTAAAATATGTGGGGAGTTGTGCCTATATAAATTCTTATGTGTGATGATTACTGCTAGTTATTATCTTATGATTGTTTACAATCTGTATTAGCTATTGATCTAAACCATTTTATTGTTTTCTTTCAAGAGATTTTAACTAATAAACTTTCATTCACAAATCAAAAAAACGTGTGGTCATCTTAAATTACCTGGTGGTGAATTTGGAGGCTACCAAATGGGCCCACAAGAACTTCACTCAACGTAAGGTAGCAGAGCATAATAAGAGAGAATGTTGTACCAGGATTCTGAAGTTATACTTCTGGCTTTGTCAGATGATCTTAAGCAAATCTCTAAACATAGTCCTTTCTCATTTGCAAAATGAGGGTTATTAATAAATTTTCTGCTTACCTTCAGTGATAATAAGGAACAAATGAAATAATAGTTTTCAAAGCCTTTGGCATGACATATCTGGCATTGAGACAGAATATATGAAATCACGACTTTTCAGGAATATCTGAAAAATGTGCATGCGTATGTTCATTGCAGCACTATTCACAATAGCAAAGACATGGAATCAACCCAAATGCCCATCAATGATAGACTGGATAAAGGAAATGTGGTACATATACACCATGGAATACTATGCAGCCATAAAAAGGAACAAGATCATGTCCTTTACAGGGACATGGATGGAGTTGGAAGCTATTACCCTCAGCAAACTAACGCAGGAACAGAAAACCAGAAGCCACATGTTCCCTCGTATAAGTGGGAGCTGAACTATGAGAACACATGGACACAGGGAGGGGAGCAACACACGCTGGGGCCTGTTGGGGGCTGGGGTGGGGAGAGAGAGCATCAAGAATGGATTCCCAGCTAATGGATGCTGGACTTAATACCTAGGTGATGGGTTGATCAGTGCAGCAAACCACCAAGGCACGTTTACCTATGTAACAAACCTGCACATCCTGCAAATGTACCCCAGAACTTAAAAAGAAAATTCACCCATCTGCAAAAAGTTTGTATGACAATACCTGAAAGTCTATTTGATATGAAATAATTATCCAATAGTTTTACACCTGTTTTCTAAGAGATAAGAGCTTTCTTATTCTACTTCATGCCAAAGTTAGAGTTTGGAATCAGCTATTGTTTCATTCTTTGGAGCTGATTTTTTTTTTTTTTAACCAAATTGAATTCTTTTGGGGAGTCTACTTGAGTTCTAGTAGGAATAATAATGAGGAAAAAACAATATGAAAAAGCCCTTCAGGAAATAATTATATTCCATTTAAGGCTAAGATTTTGTTCCTGAGGGGGTTATGTAACTCTGAACGTTATTAACCCATTGTGATCCAACTTGATTTTTATGATTTTTTTTTTACATGAAAGCTATTGTGTTTTTGTATTGACAGTCTTACCTTAATAGACTAGATGTACTTAGTGATACCTCTTGGGAATACTGCTTATATTTTTTCAGAGATCCTACTCCCTCCAGCCCATATTTAAAACTGGTTTTCTTCTGTCTATTTAACCCTCAGAAAGTTCACAAACCAACTAACCAACCAACCAACCAACCAACCAACCAACAGAAAATCCCTAAAGAAAGAAAAAATGACTTCTAGTTCCTGAAGTTAGTTATTTGTGAATTACTTGTATTGATAAATAAAACTGTCAGTTTCCAATATCACATCTCTTCAGGGTAATAAATAATCCTTGGAGGTGACTGCCATTATACTTATGAAGGTTGGAACTGCATTTTACAAGATAAGGAAAATCACTGAAGTCTTATACCTGGTCACAATTTCATCTTAAAGACCCTAGAAAAATGCTGAAGGCGGCCGGACGCGGTGGCTCACGCCTGTAATCCCAGCACTTTGGGAGGCCAAGGCAAGTGGATCACGAGGTCAGGAGATGGAGACCATCCTGGCTAACACGATGAAACCCCGTCTCTACTAAAAATACAAAAAAATTAGCTGGGCGTGGTGGCGGGCGCCTGTAGTCCCAGCTACTCAGGAGGCTGAGGCAGGAGAATGGCGTGAACCTGGGAGGCGGAGCTTGCAGTGAGCCAAGATCGTGCCACTGCACTCCAGCCTGGGCGACAGAGCGAGTCTCTGTCTCAAAAAAAAAAAAAAAAAGAAAGAAAGAAAAATACTGAAGGCATCTCAAAGATAATTTTAAGTTTACCACAAATATTCATATAAGGTGGACAAGGGGGCCACAGTTATGAAACATAACTTTAGTGTTTCAGATTCCTCTAATCAAAGATGTCATTAACAGGCCGGGCGCGGTGGCTCACGCCTATAATCCTAGCACTTTGGGAGGCCAAGACAGGCGGATTGCCTAAGCTCTGGAGTTCCAGACCAGCCTGGGCAACATGGTGAAACCCCATCTCTACTAAAATACAAAAAAATCAGCCGGCACGGTGGTAGGCACCTGTAATCCCAGCTACTCAGGAGGCTGAGGCATGAGAATAGCTTGAACCTGGGAGGTGGAGGTTGCAGTGAGCCAAGATCATGCCACTGCACTCCATCCCGGGCAACAAAGCGAAACTCTGTTTAAAAAAACAAAAAACAAAAAAAAGGTGTCATTAACAAAATCTGTTGTTGAACGCGTGTAAATACACATACCTCTGTATTATGACAGATTCTGGAAATACTGGTCATTCTAGTAACCTTATTCTTACTTAAACTTGGGGGAACACGCCTTTCTTGAAACTATAACTTCGAAGTTTTTAATGTAGGCAAACCCCCAACTTCCAGCTTTGGAAATCAGCTCTGTTGCAGCACATTTTATGAAGAAAAAAAATGTTCTGTGTGAAATACAGCTTTTAATCTCAAGTTTTAAAAAGACATGTTGTCTATTTGAAACTTAAGATGTGAATTGGCTTATCTTTGGGTCCTTATCCCAGGTGCCAGAGTTCTTGATGCTTCTCCCCCACAAACCTCGACTCATCGAGAAAAATTCCATTTGTACTGGGTATTTCTTCATTTTTTTCCCCAGTTGGAATCACAGCACACTTTAAAAGATTTAGCAAGTTGTCATCAGGTATGGCACTAGAGAGTGGAGAAGTAATGCTTCTGCTCTGTCCTATTCCTCATTACAGACATTGAGGAAGTAATCCTACCTATCCTTGAAGACAGAACCTCACAGTCCAACTGTTATTAAGCATGGAATCAAGTGGAAAAGACAACTTTTCTCTTTTAGCTCAGTTATTTCATTATCATCTAGAGGCTGTTTCTCTTTGAATAATTCTGTTCCTGGGAAATAATTCTTGTCCATTCCCCTACAGGCTTCTTTCGGGTATGAAGGTCATTTGAAAAAAAAAAAAAAAAGAAAATGTCCTTTCCATCTTGGTTTGGGGCTCCTGATATGTAACCCTCAGGGTAAATGTGTTCCACTAGATCCTGGGGTGTGACCCACTTAAGATGTTAATATGTTTTTTTCTTGATGAGTTAGCACACATAAACTATATGCCTTCAAAGAATTTGAGAAATTTTGTCTAACATGGAAAAGCTGAGTTAACTTGCCATAAACATAATGCGAGCATAGGACTGGCGCGGTGGCTCATCCCTATAATCCAAGCACTTTGGGAGGCCCAGGCAGGTGGATCACCTGAGGTCAGGAGTTTGAGACCAGCTGGCCAACATGGTAAAACCTGTCTCTACTAAAAATACAAAAATTAGCCAGGCGTGGTGGTGCATGCCTGTAGTTCCAGCTACTAAGGAGGCTGAGGTGGGAAGATTGCTTGAACCTGGGAGACGGAGGTTGCAGTGAGCCGAGATGGCACCACTGCATTCCAGCCTGGGTGACATAGTGAAACTCTGTCTCAAAAATAAAAATAAAAATAAATAATAATAATAATAATAATGGAAGCATAAAGTTAGGTTTCATTCATTTATTTGCATCGAAAGGAAAGATTGGTTTGCCTACTTTCATCCAATCCTACATGAGAAGAGTTTATACTGCAAAAATCAAGTGTATTATATAATGTGATAAAATAAAGATCAAAATCATGACTTTTTTATGCTTGTGGCCCTAAGCACTGTGTGAGTGTTTCATTTTTTTTTAAGACCAGATTTTGGATATTTACTGAACAGACTTATCAGTCTGATTCCTCAAATCAAGGACTTTTGAGAATGAAGTTCTCACAGACACTTGAATTGTTGGAACCTCAGTAGCTCACATCATTGAGCTAAATTTATATGCTAAAGTTAAAATCACAAAAACACAACCCCAAAAAGGACATTGCTGATTTGTTTAAGAAGGTGGGATTATTCAGCCTTAAACCAGACATGTGAATTGAATAGAGAGAAATTAGAGGTTGTATGCATTTGAGACTCAATGAAACCACATATTTTTAAAAAACTCTAATTCACAGATTAGGAAGGATTACAGTTTTTTTTTCTAGAAATGAAGTCACAATTCAGAAGGGATTTATAGAGTTTGATGAGTATAAATTATGTTTTACATTCCTGAAGCAATGCCTTTGGAGTGTAAACTTTAAGATATATATGATTTCTCAAGCCTGCCTTTCTAATCATCGTGGCTTAGTTTGAAGAGAAACTAATTATGTTAAAATTGATGTATGGCCATTGCTAAGATAATTTATCTTGGAAAATTTGGAGCAAAATATATAAATATAAATCTCCAAATGATTCTGAAGTCTCTGGCTATGAGGCTAAACTTTAGGCCATATTTGAGTTTCGGTGGCTCTTTGGAATTATATTCTTTATCACTATTGACATTGAAGTTGACAGTCACTCACTATCCCGGCTGTATACCTGGAGCTAGAGTTTGATGTGACCTGATTGAAATAATTCAGTCTACTAAATACCATGGTTTTCATTTATTTGATTCACAAATATCAGTGAATAGCACCAGGCCTAAAATTGTTGATCTTTGCATAAATAGAGTGCTTTTTGAATTACTTTTCAAAAAGTGATTTACTTTTGAAATTACTTTGATTACTTACTTTTGAAATTACTGCTGAATATCCATAATATTGAATAGTTAAGAGGTGCTACTTTGCCAGTGTTATGGATTAAACATAATTTAGCTGGCTGGGCATGGTGGCTCACATCTGTAATCCCAGTGCTTTGGGAGGCTGAGATGGGAAGATCACCTGAGGCCAGGAGTTTGAGGCCAGGAGTTTGAAACCAGCCTAGGCAACATAGTGAGACCTTGTCTCCAAAAATAATAAAAATAGGCTGGGTGTGGTGGCTTACGCCTGTAATCCCAGCACTTTGAGGGGCCCAGGTAGGCAGATCACTTGAGGTCAGGAGTTCAAGACCGGCCTGGCCAGCATGGCGAAACCCCGTCTCTACTAAAAATAAATAAATAAATAAATAAATTAATTAAAAAAAAAAAAAAAAAAAAACCAAAAATTTTCTGGGTGTGGTGGTGCACGCCTGTAGTCCCAACTACTATGGAGGCTGAGGCAGGAGAATCGATTGAACCCAGGAGTCGGAGGTTGCAGTAAGCTGAGATTGTGCCACGGCACTCCAGCCTGGGTGACAGAGAGAGCCTCCGTCTCAAAAATAAATAAATAAATAAATAAATAAATTAATTAATTAATTTTTTAAGTGTGTCCTTGTGAAATATGAAACTATGCTTAGATAAGTTCACTATTGAAAGTAAAATAGACACTCCAAAACTTGTGCATCTTCAAAAATGCATCCTAGTGACGATGGATGCACGATGTGAATGTACTTAATTCCACTGAACTGTAAACTTACAGGTGGTTAAAATGTGAAATTTTATATTAGGTATATCTTACCACAATAAAAAGTCCACTTCAATGTACACAGGAATGGACCCTGGAAACAATGTTGGAATCTCTGATGCTTAATCAAGAGAACAAGAAGAAATAAAACCCTGTGGCACATTCAGATTAGTGGGATGAGAGTTGAGAAAGATACGAAAATATAGTAGCATAAAGATATTGTGTAAAAACAATGATAAGAAATTATGGAATAAAGAACACAAGGGACAAAATTTCTGGACAGCAAAAGGACTAAAAGAAAGAGGAAAAAATAATGAGAAGGTTAATGAGGATTGGAGGGCAGTTAATGTAGAATCCAAAAGTGATCATATGACAAGCAGATCCCCATGAGAGTGAGAAAGTCATCACATTGGTTGTCAAATGCAACGGTAACTAAAACTGGCAAATGAAGATCATATGAGCAAGTGGAGTCAAGCCATACAACAGAAGGTGACCTACCAACACAAAAATTGATGAAATATTGCAGTGAAATTGTTTGCAAATAAATGCATTCTCAATTTTAAAGAGAACGGGGGGCCTAAAATTGTAAAGTTGATCTCATATTCAGTGGGGTGAGGACTGTAAACTTTAGTTGTATTCTGCAATTATCTATTTTTTAAAAACTATTTTATTCCCATTAACCATTCTGTCACTTGGAAGCAATTCATGTTCTACAAATATCTGTGATTTTTTTTCTCACAGTATTATAACAATTTATGTAAAGTGAAAAAACACTGAAACAATAATATACATCTTTAATGGAAATATATACATATATCAAAGTGTAGATACGGCAGACTGCTTAACACGATAACTGATACTTCACATCAACAGCAGGGCTGTGGGAGAGAGGGAGGGATAAGAGAAGGATGGGCCTTTACTATATCTATTACCTGCCATTTTACTGCACAGAATTAGACCATATACCACGAGTCCTCCATGTGTAAAAATAAAAATGAATAATTATAGCCGCTAATAGTAAATTTTTTTTTGATACACAGTCTCACTCTATCGCCCAGGCTGGAGTGCCATGGCATGATCTCGACTTATTGCAACCTCTGCCTCCCAGGTTCAAGCGATTCTCGTGTCTCAGCCTCTGGAGTAGCTGGGATTACATGCACCTGCCACCACGCCCAGCTAATTTTTGTATTTTTAGTAGAGACTGGGTTTCACCATGTTGGCCAGGCTGGTCTCGAACTCTTGACCTCAGATGATCTGCCAGCCTTGGCCTCCCAAAGTGCTGGGATTACAGGCGTGAGCCACCACACCCCGCCCAGCTAATAGTTATTGACTGCTACTGTATGCTCGGTATTTCGCTGTGCGTAAGTATATTACCTATTTTATTTTATCTTTACACTTCTCCAGGGAGGTGAGCACAACACCAGGCTTATTGAAATAACTTAAAGCAGGTAAATGGCAAAAATAAAATAAGGGGACTCATGGGTGGGCCTAACCATTTACCACTTCCTCCAGTATAGCCCTTTCGATCTCCATGTTGCTCTTTTTCATTTTTTATCCCATTCCAGGTTGCCCTGGTATTTGTTTTTTGCCTCATTTCTAAGGCGTGGTAGTTTTATTTTTGCCTGAGAAAAAGGGACCAGATAAACACACAATGACGTTTGCCTCAGAGCCTGATCCATGAAGGAATGGCACTGCCAGTTGCCCTTCAGCTGGCAGGCACCCCTCAGCTGCTTTGACTCCAGGTAGCATGGAAAAGAGATGGAAATGGACATCAAAGCACTTCTGGTGCCATGCACTGAATGTTAGCTTTTCTTATTTCCCACAATCCCCTATGAAGTGAAGAAACTATTTTCATCTCTATTTTATAAATGAGAAAACTAATGCCCTGAAAATAGGAGTGAGTTTCTTTAGGTCATACAGCTAGTGGGTTAAAATTCTATCCTCAGTTGCTCTGGCTCCATAGTCCCTGCTTTTTCCGTGGTATCATGCTGCTTCCTTAAAGGGCTAAGTTAGCCTTGTTAGGAGGCTCTCCCAAACTGTCTGATAAGTTGGCATAGAACTACACCTGTTTGATTGTAAATCTTCCCTAACTGGAAATCAAAGCCTCACCTGTGACCTGCTTGAACTGACCTCCCTCAAAGACGTGGAACCTAACATTTTGGAGGTCATACCATAGCAGATCCTGCTTCAGCCTTTCATTGACCTACAAACCTTGAGTATGACTTCATCTTTCAAATGTGTTTTTTAGCCTTCTCGCTAAGGGGCTGCCAGGGATTCAGTTGTGCCAACAATTACCAGCATCCAGGCAGCGACCCTCCTGTAATCACTGCCCACTATGTCCCCAGTATATAGGATAGGATCCTTTGTTATGTGCTCTCACAGAGCACTGTTCTTTCAGAGTACATATCTTAGTAGGTAATTATGTATTCATTAAAGTGATCATTTACTCTATATCCACCACCAGCTTGTAAGCTCCATGAAAGCAGGGTCGGTGTCTGTCTTCTGTATCGCAAACACTCCGAACAGTGCTCAGTAAGCATTTGTTAAATGCATGAATGCTTTTCCACCAAAGAATCAGATGGTTACTTATCTGGCCATAAAGAAAATACAAAAAGGTTGTCTGTGCCTCGGATAAATGGGCCTAGCTGTGAGGCCTGCCCAACCATTTGTTTGTTAGGGGGCTAAATGGTAGAAAAATGCTGATTCTTGCTCTGCTGCTCCAGACTTTGGAGGCTTTAAGCTTCCCTGAAAGCAGACATGAGCTCAGCTTACCTCTTTCTGGTGGTATTTGATTGCCACCTTCAACTTGGCCAGGTCATGGTACTTCTGAGGGTCAAGCTCTTCACTGTGGTCATCTCGATGGTTGAGGATGATCTCCAGTTCCCTGGAGCTCCGAGCTTGGTCCAGCAGGTCTTTGGCAAAGAGCTTGCACTGCTGAGAGAGCTCCTCATACTCGGCCTTGAACTCATTCTCCACCTTGCTGAGCTCCTTGAGCTCCCAGCCCAGACGGAAGGCAGTTAGGATGGGGTCCTCACTTGATAAGGCAATGAGTGAGGGGCTTGCCAGAGCCTTATAGATGTTCAGTCGGGAGCGAGAGTGGCGCAGGCTGTCTACCTCTGAACTAGACACACACTCCACACAGTTGCAGCGGATCTGGTGGGGCCGTGGGATAGTGACCCGTTTTTGGACAAGCAATTTGATGATTTCGTAGTTGTTGGTGTGGGCAGCCAGCATGATGGGAGTGATGTCCGGTGTGAATTCAGAGAACTGCGTGTCCATCATCAGAGTGGGGACCTAGGTACAAGAAATGAGAAGAATAGAAGGGCAGGATTAAAGTTTGGAGAGAGAAGCATAGGGCCTATAAAATGCTGGCGATTCAGGAATTAGAGTCTCCATTCTTGTTTCAATTCTTTTGACCTCCTAAACCTCCTTCCTTATAGCTAATGTTTGTGGGATGCTTATTGTGTGCCAGGCACTATTCTAAGCACATTACATGTCTTTACTCATTTAATCTCCACAACAACCTTGTGAGGTAAATATTCTTCCCATATGAAGAAGCTGAGACAGAGGGAGATTAAAGAACACACCTAAGGTTACAAAGTTTTTAGTCAGCAGAGCCAGGATTCAAACCCAAGCAAGACTCTAGAGCCAAGCTCTAGAGTCAAATTGTCAATTATGCAATGACAACATGCCCATTTCTGTCTGAGACATACTGGAGAATACAGAGAAGTAAAGGACATTTTTCCTGACCTCCTGGAGAATTACTTGGGTAGAGCAAACTTTCATAAAACTGGTAACAGTACATAGTATTATCTGCTCAGTTCCAAATGAGCAGTAGAGACTATATATATAACTTCAGGGGACCAAAGCCCAAGGCCAGACAGGGTTCGTCCAACTTCCTGTAGGTCCCAGGAAGGTAAAGATGATTCGTTAGGGTCAGGAAGAAGTACTCTGAAAATGAAGACTTCTCGGCTTGGGGAGGGGATACTGATAGCAACAGTACCATTGATAAAACTGCTATGTCCATGATGTAATGTTTAGTGTAAATAGCAGCTATAGGTGAAAGATGGGGGCTTCTTTGGGTATTCAGGAGCACTTCCGGGTGAGTGTGCAGAACCTGATCAATGAATTAAAAAATCTTTCGACTTTAAAATGTCTCTTGCCAGGCACAGTGGCTCACGCCTGTAATCCCAGCACTTTGGGAGGCCGAGGCGAGCGGATCATGAGGTCAAGAGATAGAGACCATCCTGGCTAACACGGTGAAACCCCGTCTCTACTAAAAATACAAAAAATTAGCCGGGCATGGTGGCGGGCGCCTGTAGTCCCAGCTACGTGGGAGCCTGAGGCAGGAGAATGGCATGAACCCAGGAGGCAGAGCTGGCAGTGAGCCGAGATCACGCCACTGCACTCCAGCCTGGGCAACAGAGCAAGACTCAGTCTCAAAAAAAAAAAAAAAAAAAAGTCTCTTTTGGGACCCAGTCTTTTCTCAGTCCAGTAGGGAAACTGAGGCAGCTTGCTAGACTCACAGAAGAGTTTAAGTGTGGTAGGATCTAGAGCTAGAGAAGGGGAGGGCTGGAATAGTCAACAGAGGCAACAGAGGCTTTAAGAGGTGGAGCCGAGTATTCAAAACATGTCTAGGATTCCAGAAAATTGGGAAATATTGATTTTTATTACACTTTAGGAAAAAAAAGTTCCAAATGTTCATTTTAACTGGGTAGGACAGACCATGGATAATTGGGAGTCTCATCGAATAGACAAATCATGGGATTTTTGTTTTGTTTTAGATTTTTTTATCTCTGTAAATGTAAGCAGAGAGACAAATCGTGTTTTAATCAATAGGTTCTTTTTACTCTCAAAACTCCTTTAAAAAATAAAACAACAACCCACAGTTACTGGCGAACTGACAAAGGGATGAGTTAACTGTTTTTCAACATCATTGCCTCCCTCCCACCTTGCACGCAGGATTCTCAAACAGGGAAGTGGCCAGAAAACATACAGTAGGAGAAAGGTGGAGGAGGAGGAGTTTGCAAGAAACCTGTTTCCTTCACTGAGTGCTTGCATCAGCCTCTGAATAGTTGAAAGATGACTGCATAATGGTCATTAATGGCTAGGATGGAGCAGCGAGTAAACACTGTTAAACATTTAGAGGGAGCAGCTACAAACAAGACAGCAGGAAGTGAGCAACTGGCTCATAAAGTAAATTGGACACAGGAAAGAGTAATCTCAGAAATTAACATAAGCTTACAGGCTAAGGAAGAAGTAGGTCTGAGTGGGTCTGGAAATGAACATAAACACTATCAGCATAAAGCCTAGAGTTGGGAGAGATGGGGAAGTGAGAAATTTGTCACAGTCTGCCCAGGAAGAAGCGAGCTCAGATGAGAAATCTGCCCTTTCTCCAGGCAGAGGCATTCCTCATCTCTGTCAGGGTCTAAAAGTGTTGAGCAGAAGGGAAGAGAGGCTAACCTGTAGCACAGGATTCCCTGGGTTCGATTATGGGTATGGGTCTGCTTCCTACCATGCTATTCCTCTTTCCTCGCTCTCTTTCTCTCTCTCTCTCTCTCTCCCCGCCACTTCCTTATTCTTTCTACTTTTCTTACTCTTTTCCTTTCTTTTCTTCTAAGGCAGTGCTGCCAGTCCTGTCCAATACACACAGCAGTACCCGTGAATAGTGTTTAGCCCCACTTGTATGATAGAGCCAAAAGGTTGTTGTTGTCTATGCCTAGAATATGAAATGCTTTCTGAAACTACTCGATTATATTGTCTAACAAGGAACTTTATTATTCTCCATTCGGCTTCCTGAGTACCTAACACCAGAGAGGAAACCTTTTAAAAAGAAAACTGGTCTACAGTGACCAACCTTGCCCTCCCGCCCAGACTGCTTTTTCTCCTCCTATCAGTGTTGTCACTCACAGGTTGCTTTCTGTGTGTATATCCTTGTGGATCCCCTGTGTGGAATGGTCTCTCGCCCCATTTCTCTGCCACTCAGGGGCCATTGCAAGTTCTGGCTTCTTCAATAGCTCCTCCTCTTAACTTTGAGCTTATCTCTTGCTGCCCGCTCAAATACTGTGGGCACAAGGTTACATGCAAGAAAATCACTTTTCTGATGCTGTCTTACATTATTCTCAAATTACTTCACACACGTACTTTTTGCCTCCTTGATAAGGTTATGAGCTCTTTGAAGGCAGAGTTGTCCTGGTCTGCTCTTGTTTCCCCTATGGCATCTAGCACAGTGCTAGACACACAGCAGGCACTCAGCAAAAATAAATTAAATTTCCTGTTTTCACATTAAGGAATTGACTCTCTTGGGCCAGGCGTGGTGGCTCATGCCTGTAATCCCAACACTTTGGGAGGCTGAGGTGAGAGGATCATCTGAGCCCAGGAGTTCAAGACCAGCCTGGGCAACATAGTGAGACTCTGTCTCTAAAAAACAAACAAACAAACAAACAAAAACATTATATTAGCTAGGTGTGATGGCAAGCACCTGTAGTCCCAGCTAGTAGGGAGGTTAAGATGGGAGGATTGCTTGAGCCTGGGAGGTCGAGGCTGCAGTGAGCTGTGATCATGCCACTGCACTCCATCCAGCCTGGGCAACAGAGTGATACCCTGTCTCCAATAAAAAAGTAAAGAAAAGAAAAGAGAAATTGACTCTATTGTTTATAAACCTGACTCCCACAATTTGGGTCAATATGAGCTAATTTCCTTGGACCTCTCCTTCCCATGTCCAGCTGAGAAGGCAGACATCCCAAGACTCCAAGAAGGGTTAGATGATTAGCTCTGCAGGGAACTACTACGAGGTCTCACAAACTTGGGACATTTCTGCCTGTATTTTTCACAATTCTATTGCTTCAAAGTGGGGACTGATCCATAGACTACGGGTTTCTTTTTATTCCTTCTACCCCTTCTGCTTTGTCCTCCTTCATCATCTTGCTGTTTTTATTCCTTCCCAGGCTGTGCAGAGACCACGGACTATCATCAGGACAGCCAAAGTAAAGGAAGAGAAAGTTCTATAATGAGGGTTAGAAGATTCTGATAATAATCTATCTAAAATGCAGGCCAAACAGGTAACAGAAATCAGGACCAGGTGTAGGTGTATACGCATAATTTGGGCGAGTGAATGATAGAAACTGGTAAACTGCAGAGACCCTCTCAAAGGGGGCAGCTACTACTCAGCTCCTGTAAATTGTCATAAACACAAGTGAGGAGCAGTGTTATAAATTTTTGAAAAGAAGCCGGAAACATGGATTTGGGGGTAGAAGCTCTTAAAGTTATAAACGTTGGCTCAAAAATTTTAAAGACAGTGTGCAGGCCAAGCAAAATACATATGTGAAACAAATTTGGCTCCAGTGAACCAGTTTGTGACCTTCGTGCTAGCACATAAGTTGTGAGACTAAAAAGAGATGGGAGAAGAAATTGGATATTTAGGCAAGGGCCAAATGATAAAAGGCCTCATATGCCATGCTAAGGAATTTATATGTTATCTGTTGACCACGGGGAACCACTGAGGGTTTTAATCAGGAGAGTGGCATAGTTGATTAGCTTGGCCACAGTGTGGGAAATGGGCAGTGGTAATCATGCTCATAAATGTTTAACAACCAGCTCTCCACAGGGGAGGAAAAAATATCCTGTTTTGTGTGTTTGCCAGTTTTTGTGGTGTAAATACTCCCACTGTGGCCAGTTTCATGCTACCAATATGACATCCTGGAACATGGAGTTGGGAAGAGGAGCAGATAACCCGCTCTCGCCAGCTGGTGCAAGCCAGCTCCAAGCACACCACCATGTGTTTCAGAATAAGACTAATTAAAAGATATCATCAGTTCAGGTGAATAGATGCAAGGATCTTAAATTAGATAGTGATTCTAGAGATAGATAAAAAATAACAAATTTAAGGCATTCATTGGATGTGTCAGGGAAGGCAGGGAGAAGAAATCAAGGGTATTGAGTCTCCATATTCCAATGCCTGGTTGAACAGTAGTGTCACTAATTGAGATAGTGCATACAGGAGCAGGTTTAAGGTTTTTAAAAGTTCAGTTTTGTGCTTGTTAACTTTGAAGTCCCTACTGGGAAAGCAGCAGGAAATTGTATAACTCCAGCATGAATCTTGAAGGAGAAGTCAGGGCTGAAAATATAGATGTGAGAGCCTTCAGCCAGCAATAGTAGTTGAAACCAAGAGTGGACAGGATCAGCCTCTGCCTGCCCTTGTTTCCTCACAAGTGGCTCCACCTATCTACTCCAAGGACTCTGTCCAGCCCCAGTTTCCAGGGCAACCAAGGCCTGAAATAAGAAGCACTCAGGAGGCCTGCCTCAGGTTCCATCATTCCAAATTCCTACTGTTGAGGCTTTTGCAATGGGACATTCTTGTTCTGTTAGTTTCTGAATTGCAGCTTCTTCTGCACCTGTGCCCTAGCTTTTAAAACAAGGCTTCACCCTTGTCTGAGTTTCTGGCCTAATATCCCAAGCCTCTTTAATGAAATGTGGCTGTGAAGAGATGAGGCTGCATCTTGAGCACCTTGATTAGATTGGGGGAGGACCCGGGGAGGAGGGAAGAGGCTGTAGACAAGGGAAAGAGGGGGCTTGTGGGTAGATCAGGGTGCCTGAAGAGATGAGGAGAGATGAGGTCCAGAGCAAAGGTTGGGGTGAGGTGGAGGTTGATCTTAGTCTGGAATAAGGATGCCTTATCCTCAGAGACTGGAGGAAAAAAGGTGAGTTGAATGGAGGTGTTAGTAGTTTGTTATTGAAGAGGGCTGGAAGCTGAAGTATTTCCCATCTAAAAATGCAGTTTTCTCATTGAAATGGGAGGTGAGATCAGATGCTTTGAGTGAGGGAGGAGAAGTTGGCAGGGTGTGTGGGGAGAGTTCAATGTATGGAAGATTTGCTAAGGGGAAAGAAAGAGGAAGACAAAGGAAAGTAAAAGGATGGCCTAGCAGTCCTGAAGTCTTGGGTAAATTAGCAGCTGTAAATTTATAATGGCAGTGATGCACAGAAGAATGTGGCTTTTTTTTTTCTCTCTAGCAGCTTTGACAGTCCAGATGTGGGGATGGAAAATTCAGGTTTTGGATAGATTCAGGATTGTGGTTTTGCCAGACGTGAGAAGAAGTTGAGGATGAAGTAGTTCAGGTGATTGCACTTGAAGACCAGATCAGATAGGTAAGGGCTAAAAGTCTGGGAGGAAATGGAGACATTGAGGGACTTGAGGTCTCTTTGAAGTGAAAAGACAGAGTAGGCAAACTGGGAGGATGGGAGACTGTGGACAGAGAGTAGGGTGCTAGTAGATATGATGTCCACAGTGGAGCAGTGCTGAATGGTGACCAGCTGTGGGTTGGTCATGGGCACAGTGGGCTGAAGTAGAGTGAATGTGGAGGTCAGTGGAGTGGGGAGGTCAAGGAGCTGATGGGTCAGGATGCTGGCTGCATTGTCCACATGGGTGGGTGCTGAAGTTGTCCAGAGTGATGACACGTATTGGGCTGAAGAGGACAGCTGTGATCTAGGGGCCAAGATAATCAGAGTACTTTGGATAGCGACTAAATCAGCAGATGATCAGGAGATGGAAAGAGGAGTGACTGTGTCCACACTATTTTGAGGAGGGCTTCTGAGAGGTGAAGCCAGCTGTACTTCCTGGGTCTAGTGGGGACTTGGAGAACTTTTCTATCTTATAAGAGGTTTGTAAAATCCACCAATCAGTGCTCTGTAAAAATGCACCAATCGGAACTCTGTAGCTAGCTAGAGGTTTGTAAAATGGACCAATCAGCAGTCTGTAAAATGGACCAATCAGCAGGACATAGGTGGGGACAAATAAGGGAATAAAAGCTGGCCACCCCAGCCAGCAGCGGCAACCCGCTCGGGTCCCCTTCCATGCTGTGGAAGCTTTGTTCTTTCACTTCTTCACAATAAATTATGCTGCTGCTCACTCTTTAGGTCTGTGCCATCTTTTAGAGCTGTAACACTCAACGCAAAGCTCCACGGCTCCATTATTGAAGTCAGTGAGACCATGAACTCACCAGAAGGAATGAATTCCAGACACACTTTCACAGTGCAATTTAAGAATATCTTGCTTGGCTTTGTCATTTACTAGCCTTTTTGTATCTCAATTCCCTTGCCTATACAATGGGAAAATGACAGCAGCTGGGCAAAATTATAAGGATTAAATGAGATTGTGTGTGTATTTTCTACATAGGGTTTAGAACAGAGTTGTCCAATCTTTTGGCTTCCCTGGCCCACATTGAAAGAAGAAGAATTGCCTTGGGCCACACATAAAATACACTAACACTAATGATAACTGATGAGCTACAAAAAAATCACCCAAAAAAATCTCATAATGTTTTAAGAAAGTTTATGAATTTGTGTTGGGCCACATTCAAAGCTGTCTTGGGCCACATGTGGCCTGCAGGTCGCAGGTTTGATAAGTTTGTTTTAGAACATACTAGGTTCTCAACAAACATGGTTCCTATCATTATAACAACAAATGTATTACAAAAGTGGCCAGGTGCTGTGGCTCAGGCCTGTAGTCCCAGCACTTTGGGAGGCCTAGGTGGGCAGATCACTTGAGGTCAGGAGTTCGAGACCAGCCTGGCCAACATGGTGAAACCCCATCTCTACTAAAAATACAAAAATTAGCTGGACATGGTGGTGCGCACCTGTAATCCCATCTACTCGGGAGGCTGAGGCAGGAGAATCACTTGAACCCGGGAGATGGAGGTTGCAGTGAGTGAAGATCGCACCACTACACTCCAGCCTGGGTGACAGAGCGAGACTCTGTCTCAACAAAACAACAAAAAAAATGTATCTTAATCAAAAGCAAACTCCCCAGCACAGTAATGGTTTAGTCTTCACCTGGGCAAAACTGTGACATATGGAAACCGTAAGAGCACCCCCCTTCAATTCTATTTTGTGTACTTTTTAATGTTCTACCTAACTTAATACAAGTTAACCCAGTGCTGTCTTGCAAGCCTCCTGTGCAGGCTTAATCAGTACTGCCTTTTATGGATTGTTCTTATATTTTAGGTTAGGTTTACTAAATTGTATCAGTTTCCCATCCAGGTCCCTGGACTTCTGGGTCCCTTTAGGTGACTGGTCTGCTATTCTTTGAAAAAAAAAATCCATACAAGTTACTAATATTGATAACAATATCTGGAGCTGTCCTGAGCGGGGGGTATTTACATTTTAACTGGTGGCACCTAGAAAGAACACCTTGGCATTAGCCAAAAAAAATGAGAATTTCAAGGAGGACTAGGCTGGTAGGGACTTAAGTTTGGTGAAGGTCTTTCTCAGGCCTCACAATCCACTGTACAGCTTGATTCCTACTCCACTTTCAGATAGAGTGGATTCTGCTACTACTGGTGGCTCTGTACATAAGGTTTCTCCTAGTAGCTATTAAGAAAAATTGTGAAAGACTTTGGATCATGAAAAAACATAAACTAGAGGTCCTGTCTAGTATATTTTCTGGATTATCCATGCCTTTGATTCTCTTTGACTTAATTTAAAACTCTATAAATTGTAATGCAACTATTTCTTATTGGGTGGAATATAATTGATTATTGCCTTGTGGATATAGACTACTTTGTATCCATTTGTGAGTTTATTTCTATGTTTCCAATAGCCTGTATCATGGGAGAGCAAACTTCTTCTGTAAAAAGCCAGACAGTAATTGATACTCTGTGGACCATACAACAAATTACATTACAATGTCGTTTCATTACAATGAAATGAAACTTTCATTTTCATTGTAAAATGAAAGCAGCCATAAGTGTAAGTGAATGGGTATGGCTGTGCTCCAATAAATTTTATTTATAAAAACAGTTGACAGGCCAGATTTGGACTGAAGGCCATAGTTTGCAGACTCTTGGCCTACCTACTGGTTCCCTCATTAATTAATGAGTTGAATAAAATCTTTGTCATGTTTACTTTAAATTTGTATGAAGATTACGATTTAACATTTTTTTTTTTTGAAATTATCTTTTAACAGCCATTTTGTGTTCAGATTGAGGTCAGGTGAAAAATTCAATTTGATTATTTATTATCAAATTTCGCCTTCTCTTTAAACTCCAAAATCATACTGAAAGATCTTGGACTTTCTGTTTAAAATCATGTTTTTTAAAAGGAAAAATAAAGATAGGGGGAGGTGAGGAAGAGGGAAGGAAATCAATAGGCCAAGAATTTAGATTTGGCTTATATTATCTATAACTGTACTTCTAAAGAAACCTGGTACATCAACCAACTCGATTGAATTTTAAAATTTGCAATGATGTGGGCTAAGGACATGGCCACTAAAGAAGTTACACTGTCTTGCCTTTCCCTGGGACTTTTCATTCAGGCCATAATGAGTTTGCTACTGGATCTGTCCAAGGATTCCTTGTAGAAAAGCTAGGATCCTGTTCAAGGATCCTTCTGGATGAATGAGCATAGGACAGAGCCACTCAGCTCAGAGCTCATCACATAAAACACTTGCAATGCAGCGAATAGATTGAGCTACAGTCAGCTTCTCTGTATTTTCAGCTAAATTCTATTGCCAGAGGACAGCCTAGAGGATAGATCATACTCCTTTTTCCCCACTGTCAGAAATGGCTAAAGCTTTTACAAGGTTATTCACCAAGGGCTCAAATGATACATTCATTTCCATTAACCTCATCACTGGACACAATCTGCTAATTGGAGTTTTTCTGAACCCTATCGTTACCCTTGGTGGAGTTTATCACAGGCTTCTGAAATTAAATCCCCCATTTGTAATTAATGGCCAGACCCTTATCAGGAGCCGCCTCATTCATACACACAATGTTGTCTGCTCACAGACCCAACCTCTCCAACTGGCACTTCCTCACACAGCTGGTCTGATAGCATCATGTTGAAAATGAACCTCCTGTCTTATGCCTGGATTTAGTGAAATTGTAATCCCTCTTTTTTCACCTTCTGTGTTCTCCTCCCTCCATCCTAACATGCCAGATAAAATCAGTGTTCAGCAGTCCAAGGAACGTGTGGAAATGAAATTTCATTTCTCTGTATTACTCAGAAGTGAAAAACACCAGCATCTAATCAGTTCACATTACCAGCTTCCTGCTCTGCCTATCTATCAGGTTAGTTAGCTAGTAGTGGTGATGTATGTGTTACTTTGGAGCAACCATTGGCATGAGATGGAAAAGTATCTGTTTCTCAGAATCTGGTAAAAACAGAAGCATCAGAGTTAGGATTTGCTGGATGATCTCAGCTTTCAAGGCCAAGGTGTATATAATTTAGATTGGAAGACTGAAATGGACAACATTTACTTGGGGATAATGTCACAGAACCCACTGGCCTTTAAAAATGTCAATATTGATACATACAGATCAATTATATATATAAAACAATAGCCAGGATTAGCCTAAGCAGCAGGGATAAAAGTAATACTAATGGCTACTGGAGGTTGAGCACTTTCCATATGCCAGGCACAAGCACAATGCTGGAGTATTTTATTTAGTCCTCACTATAGCTCTATGCTATAGGCATAATAATTACTCCCATTTTATATCTGAGGAACTCAGTCATAGAGAAGCTAAGTGTCTTGGCCCAGGTCACATAGCTAGGACGTAGAGAGCCCAGAGCTTGACCCCAGGCAGTTTGGTACCAAAGCCTCCCGTACTGTTAACCACTATACAGCTCCACCCCTAACCAGCAAAAGGCCAACAATTTGATTTATTATATCAATAAACAAATGTTAAAATCACATCACAACACTGAATATACAGACATATCTTAAGTACATATTGCAGGTTTTGTTGGATGTTAATTAACCTAATGTTCTACCTTAAACCAGACAAACATTACATAACATTGTTTAACGTTTGGCAGCCCACAAAACTATTCTTGAGTTTTCATCACATAGAGGCCCTGAAGTTTTCAAAAGATAGGAGCTAAATCTATGAGAAAAAAAATTCATGACTAATTCCATAGGTTATGAAAGTTTGTAATTTGTGAGTTTTAGTTTGATAAAACCTGGAAAGGCATTTTTGTCACAGTTTAATGAAGCATTCCATATATTTTCTTCATAAAATATGGGTTCTAATGAGTGATGGGAACCACTGATTCCAAAAGTAAGGTCCACCCTGGGATGGATATTAGAAACAAACAAACAAACAAAAAACCAAAAAAGGTAAAAGGCTCCAAGGTAGGAAGGGAATACAGAGTGGCCGGCCTTTGGAGAGACAGCCCTCCCTGAAGGCATTTTGCATGCAGTTGAGATCTGACGTTTTCCAGGAAATTGTGAAAATGATGTGATGAATCAAAAAATGAGTCAATCAGCAGATGTGGGTTATTATTGAGATGGGAAAAATGTAAGAAGCAAAGGTCTAATCAACGCGTCCCTAGCATTGCACAGAGGAAGGAAGCCGTACTCTACCAGGGTGTCCAGTTAGCTTTGTAGGTGGCCCTACTGTGGAGCTTGATACAAATAGCTTTCTAGGACAGCCATAATAGTTCTTGGTTCACTTTGTATAAATCAATGTGTGATTTTTAAATTAAATTTCTCTTGTAGATTGCTGTCCTGGAAAGAGGATGGTGACAAGCTGATTTAGAGTTTTCCACATCACTGCTTATCACATGACTAGTGTGAGATTGGATATCATGATAAAGGTTTCTGGACAGGGCTGAGAACCCAGATATAGAGACAGTATCATTGGAGGGCCAGGGTAACCAGATTACTAGTAAGTATATTATAGGACTCAATATAAATAAACACTTCTTATTTTATATTTTTTCTAATGGGTACTGATATTGATAAGAGCACATTTGCCAGCAAAACAAAATCAGAATGAATAAAGAAGAGGAGTTGAGACCTTGGGTGACAAAAATGAACTCAGTTGGGTCTAAGAGTGCAAAAGAAAAGTTACAAAAGGGCAGTTCTGACCTTCACTCACAAAAGCAGTGTGGGCTGCGCCTGAATAAAGAAAAAGGCCTGAAAGTAGCCTCACGGTAAGGAGAGGCCTTTAAAAAAAAAAAAGAGGTAAAAAGGAAACCAGATCAGAAATCTAGAAGCAAAATTCATGTTACATAACATCAAAAGCATTCCCTTTCCCCACCATGATTTTCATTCCATGCTCCGTATACCTGTCAAATGCTGTTTGTTTGGTTGCTTTGTTCATATGTAGCCATCTGACTGTAAGGTTACATGATACAATTGGAGGATAAGGGTTGAAAGAAGAGATTTTGTCACATTCATTAAACAATTATTGAGTCTCACATTCTTTCTCTCAGTTATCCACACCTGAGGCAGGCCAGGCAGCTGACGCTGGTCTCCAGAGGTAGAATACTGTTGCTGACCTGTTGGCAGTTGCCCTAAATGTAAGCATAGTCCTCCAGAGCAGCAGGAGTTAATTCCTCTTCCTGTGGCTATCCTTGATCTTTTCAGGAAATAAACATTAAAGGGTCCTTTACTATCTTTCAAACCTCTGATAGTGGAAAAGCATCTGCAGGGTTAAATTTTGCATTTTCAGCCTTGCTGATTGCTGTCACATAGAGGCATTTATCATGTAGTTAGACAAAGCACAGGAGAAAGTAAGGGACAATTATGTAGGACAGTTCAGTTTCTCCAAGCTCAGATATAGGAGAAGAAATATGGGTTTATGATTTGAATTACCTATCCAGTTTAGTTTTCTGGAGTGAACACAGTAGCTTTCAATTTTTTTCCTTGACGACGACACAGGAAAAGATGTACCTAAACTGCAGCATGGAGAAGTTCAGGTGACCCAGAAATATAAGATCTAGTCCAATGACTGGCTCAGCTCCATGGGCCTTTCAGCCCAGATTTCTGTGTCTGAGGCACAGAAGGTGGTGTTGGAAGAGATCAGGAATTCGTTATATGCTATCGATTTCAAAGAAGTGTGGTCCTAATATTTCTGGCTCCTATAAGTAGACTGTTATAGTTTTAGAAGCCGCAAACATTTCTAAATCCAACCCCTTTTGAGAACATCTTTACCCTTTTACACTGTATTATCTTTTGGGGGGTAATAAGGACAAGTTGTTTTATTGTATACTGTGGGAATCATGGTCTGTTGCTTATAGTAAAATTCTGGCAGGTTTCAAAAACTCTTTTCTTTCTGATATCCTAACAATTGGTGAGCCAAACCCAGTTCTCCCTCTCTGCAGCTATCATCATTTTAGAAGTTTCTCTCCTTTGTCTGCATTTTCCCAAATTGAAGAATTGTTGGTTTTTAATATCTACTCCTAATATGGAGGGGAACAATTTCCTTCCAGGTAATTTGAAGGGAGTAAACTGAAGGTAGTGGAAACATTGAACCGAATTCCCAGGGAGGTTAGAGACCCCTTACCTTTGGAGACTTTTAAGCACATAGTGATGCTCCCTTGTGTGGGATTGTTTAGGGATCTCTCTAGGGCATTTTCTCATTCTTGGTGTGACTGATATTTTGGGCCAGATAATAATTTGTTGTGGGGGACTGTTCCGTGCACGGTAGGATGTTTAGCAGCATCCTTTGTCTGTATCCACTAGATGACAGTAACAGCTCTCCCTTCTACCCCAGAATTGATAGCCAAAAATATCTCTGGACATTGCCAAATGTCTCCTGGGAGCACTATGGCCCTGGTTGGGTTCTGGGCATGAGGCTTTTTTGACAGTGGCTCAGTGGAGCAGGGGGAGGCAGGGCTAGCTAGAATTAGTCATGCCAGTCTTAGCTCCTTCTTATTTCCCAACCCACCTGAGGATTATAACATACTCCCATCAGTACAGTGCCTCACTAGGACAATGGTTCTCAATGTCTGGAAGGAGAGAGTAAGAATGCCCCTCCCTTTCCCAGGAGAGTTTGTTGGAATTTTATTTTTGGTGGGATGTTGAGTTTGAAAAACTCTAAAAGTGCATTGTGCATTATGATAACATCCCTAGCCATGTCTGACAATTAAAATTTTAAAAATATTTAAAAAATAAAGTTCCTCAGTCACACTGTCTACATTTCAACTACTCCATAGCCATATGACTACCTTACGGGGCAGCATAGATACAAAACAGTTCCCTCATGGCAGAAAGTTCTGCTGGATAATGCTGCTCTAGAAGCTTGATAATCACTGTACAAGAGGCCGGCTGAATCAATCCACAAATGTCTTAGCAACGAGCAGTGATTAACATTTACCAAACACTTACAAATATGCTAGGAAGTTTGCTGAGCTCTTGACATGTATTATCTCCTTTATGAGGTAGGAGTTGCCACTATTCATATTTCATGGATAAGGAAGCTGAGGCTCAAAAAGGTAAGGTAATTTGTCTAAGGTTACACAGCTATTAAATGGAGGAGCCAGGACTTTGATTCAAGTAGGCTGGATCCAAAGCTTGGGTTGTTAAACAAGCATGCTATACAGACTCAAGGTGGTCAGGTGGGATGATGGATTCCTGGTGGCATCAGAAGCAGCCCAGTTATGCTGACAGTAGATAAAAGAGAGGGTTCTCAGTATGTGGGCAGAACACTGCGTCAGTATAATGTAAATGTAGGCAGTGGTCTAGGAGGAAGGTGATTAGGTGATTAGTATTGTGAGGTCTAGAAACATGAATGGGGATACTGGGAAGGATATGTGACAGGGACTCCATTATTGGAATTAGTCCAGGGTTTCTCAACCTCAGCATTCTTGACATGTTGGCCCAGATGATTTTTCATTGTGGGGAGCCATCCTGTTCATTGTAGGGTGTTTGGCAGCATCCCTGGCCTTACCCCCTTGATAACAATAGCACCTTGTCACCAAGTGTAAAAGCCAAGGACATCTCTAGACATTGCCAAAATGTCCCCCTTGGGGACAATGCCAAAATGTCCCCCTGGGGGGCAAAATCACTTGCATTTTGGAACCATTGAAGTAGATCATAAAACAGTCTTGGTCACATGACAATAAGGCAAGGGCTCAGGCATAGCTACCAAAATACAAGATTCAGAAGGGACCAGCATCTTGTGTGATTTGATGCTGCACTGCTGAGCTATTGCCCTAGTTCTAAGAGTCTCTATGGCTAGAAACAGGATGAATCTCAGATTATGGACTAGAAAAGTCATCTCTTAGTAATGGATAGAAGAGTCAATCCATGGGAATGAAGTGTCTTCATCCGGGGCTGTGGAGGACTGAAGGGCTACTCTGACAGGGAACTGGGCAGGTCATTATGGAGACTGCCTCTCCATGGCATGGTGCTATTACTCTTAGCTACACTAAAAAGAAGTCAGTGGACATGTATCTCATGGCAACACCACAGGCCCTTGATTATCATCAGAATAAAAATTCCGTAAGTTATGGATATTCTAGGCAAACATGAGGCAAACCTACAATGACTACTATTAATGATGGGAAACTTTTTTTTTTTTTTTTAACTATTATCCCCAAGGTGGGAAACAGTTTTGTTAGCTGGTACTACTGGAAGCACCCTGGGGCAATTTTGTATTCAGGATCTTTCTGCTTGAACTCCCCATTTGAGATTTCTGAATGGCTTCTCTAAGAAACAACCATGCACCCAGGAGCCCCTCACTCTGTAGCAAGAATTGATTAGGGTTGGGAAGCCATTGAGAAAACACGCCTGGGCCTGAATAACATCAAAATGCCTAAGTTCATCTAGCACAGACATCTTAATGTGACACATTTCAAGAATATTTATTCCTTCTTTAGCAGAAAAACAGGATTCAAAAGTCTCTGTTTCATGGCCATGACTGTGCCCCATCATGATAAACAATTGATTATTCAGTACACAATGGCCAGGATTAAATTACTGGGTCACTAATAAAACAGAAGTCATTTAAAAAATATATAACTTGTGGTTACCAGGAAAAGTAGCTGAAGTCATTTTGTGATTGAACTTATGCTCATCATGTTAACATCATTCAACTGCAAGCAAGTTCTTTCCAAACATAATCTGTGACAAGCAAATGTTTTCTAATATTTTTATAATGTACTGCCTTTACTCACATGTTTCCCTCTATTACATTTTGAGAGAAAAAAAACACTCAAGAACAATGTCCCTATCCCATAATTTCTCTCTCTCTGATATTACTTCCAATTTTATTGCTTTGAACTGGCAGCTGCATTGTCAATAGTGCAGTCTCAAGCAGTATACCTTTCGCTGTTGTCACAGCGGACCAAGTGTTAAAAGAAAGGAGCAGGAGCTTTGTTGTAGTTGGGAGAAGGGAGGGCTGCTTTGGGCTTCTAGCTCTACGGCTGCTGTCTCTTGCCTAGCTTTCTCACTGTATGCTCTTAGGCTAGGGGTGTGGGCTGCTGTCTCCCTAGAGAAAAATAAGCTAGGTGCTGATCAAGAATGAATTAGGGAAACATCGGCTGTCTTGTTCTTATTTCCCTGAAGTCAGACATGCCCCACATCTGAAACTTGAGAAAGCAAAGACAGTTTACACATAATGATGAATTTTCAATCACTTGCAAAACATGTCCATCTATCTGAAACACATATAGCCAGACACCTCAGAGCTTCAAAGCAGTCTTTCACTCTGCAGCACCTTTTCAGGAACACATGCCAGGGATAACCCAAAAGAGGCCTTAAAAAGGACTGGGGTTCTAAATTAAATTTACTACTGCTTAGTTTTCTCCTCCATATTTAGTTAATAGGGGATAAGAATCTCAAAGATGGATGAAAAGTTGCAAGTGGAGAAGGAAATAGTGCACTCAGCTCTTGCAGGGCTCCACCGATGCAGGGATTGCTTGTCTTTTGTTAGAAAAGGGCAGCAACAGTGAATAGGTATGCAAGGAGGAGCCCTAGCTCCCAGCCAACTCTTCCTCATCTGTGGCCTCATTCATATACTTGAGACTCCCTGGAGGCCCCAGACATACATTTGAGAATTCTGGGCAACTGACTCTTCCACAGAATTGCTTTGGGACTTCTTTCATACCGTGCCAAGGTTGTGTTCCATCAAATTAGCATTGGCATGTTTAACTCTTTCTGAGGCTAGAGATTAATACAGCTTGGATTGATTGCAGTGACAGAAGAATGGACTAGATTGCCACTATATTTCATTTAATCCTGACGATTCCATGATCAAGTGGACCACAGCTAAACAGTTATCCCTCACAACTCCAGATGTTTTATGCTAGAAATGTGTCAGTGACATTCCTGCCTGTGGAATTATAACTCCACTGTGGTTTTTATATTTACTGGGGCTTTGTATTCTTGCCTCTCTACTAAGCCAATTATATGTCAGGCACAGCACCTATTTAATGTGCGTTTATCAGGTACTTTTAGAAGAATTTCAAAATATTGCTCATTTTCTCACAGCATCCCTGTGGGATTATTTAGCATTATTCCTTTGTTATTCAGTGATAAGACGTTAAGCTATAGAGAGATTGAGTATTTGTCTCCAGCTACCCAACAGTTGAGGGATGAAGTCAATATGAGAATTCCACTTTCAGACTTTGTTCATCATATCATAAATCATAGTTGATATATACACTGCAAAATCACAGAGTTAGAAGAGACCTTGGAGATGACATAGTCCAGCCTCCTAACAGATACAGTAACACTCCTGCCCAGTAGCCATTCTGCCTCTGCTCAAACATGTGGTGATATGCCACTCCATTTATCTCCAGTGTTGAGATTGTGGTTTTGAAATTGGGTGGCCACATTTCCTTCTTCCTCATCAAACACTACTCAACACTCTCAGGCTGATTTCTCTAGTATATAATTCTTTATTAAGTATGCTTTCCTGGCCAGGTGCGGTAGCTCATGACTGTAATCCCAGCACTTTGGAAGGCTGAGGCGGGTGGATCACTTGAGGCCAGGAGCTTGAGACCAGCCTGGCCAACATGAAGAAACCCCGTCTCTACTTAAAATACAAAAATTAGCCCTTCTTGAGAAAAGCTGATTTTTGTATTTTAAGTAGAGATGGTTGATGGGTGCAGCAAACCACCATGGTATGTGTATACCTATGTAACAAACTTGCACATTCTGCACAAGTATCCCAGAACTTAAAGTATAATAATAATTAGAAAAATTAGCTGGGCGTGGTGGTGCAGGCCTGTAATCCCAGCGACTTTGGAGGCTGAGGCACGAGAATAGCTTGAACCCGGGAGGCTGGGGTTGCAGTGAGCCGAAATTGCACCGCTGAACTCCAGCCTGGGCAACACAGGGAGAATATGTCTTTAAAAAAAATAATAAAAAACAATGCTTTTCTGAGCAGCAATGTGGCTACAGCAGGTGATGAGGACATATTCCTTGGCTCTTCTTGTCTCCATCTTCAGGGCAGTGGCAGTGGTAGCTGCAATTTGGTAGCTAGCCTGCAGCTATTTATTCATGCCCAGGATCTGCACACCCTCAAGAAGGTTTGGAGACGGTAGCCCAGATCAAGACTCATGTAGCCCCACTGGAAGCCATTGCCCTGGAAAATCACCTGGTGCTCTCGGCAGGCATGCATGCCAATGGAGGATGAGGGATAGGGCCCCAATCACCCTGGAAGTGGCCAATCACATGCTTAGAGGTAAAGTCCATGGTTCACTGGCCTGTGCTTGGAAAGTCATCAGGCTCTCAAGGTTACCAAAAAGGAGGAGGAGGACAGGGAGGAAGGCAGGGGGAGATGACAGCCAGGCCAAGCAGCAGATGCAGTGCAAATGTCACTTCATCAGTGTTGTGTCTAGCTTTGGCAAGACATCCATAATGTACTGTTAAAAAGAACAGGTTTGTAGAACATTTGTTAAAAAAAAAAGTCTTTGTGTATTTGTGTGTGTTTCTGTTTTACTATGTAGAGAAAATACCTAGGACACACATAATTTGTTCATAGTAATGACTTCTAGGGCGTTATTTTGAGAGTGGGAAATAGGGGATGATTTCCTTTACATGCTTTTATGTTGTTATAATTCTTATAGCTAACATGCATTATTTTTACAACTTCAAGATAAACAAATGAATGTGGAGAAGGGTGGTGGTGACCTAGGACCCTTGTGATTGAATAATTTCACATCTTATATTTGGAGTTAAGAAATTAGGGGGTAGAGGGAGAAAATTGCTTAAGTAAATATGACGTATCTTCATTTTGCTTGGGTAGACAAAGCTCAGACTATTCTAAACTCTGGATCTCTCAGTGGACATTGAAACCCTTCCTTCCCTGTGCAGGCACATTGCGAAGAAGAGAGATACTATCTACTTGGTGGTTTGAGTACAAGGCTGATTTGCTGACAAGGGTAGGCTCAGAGGAGCTCTGTTGATCATTTTTAGCTCCAAAGTTCTATCCACAATTCTTATATGAATAATAGAGTTGATGGTGGCTACAAACATTAAATCGTACTAAATCCCAGTGCATCCGCTTACTAGATGTATGAGCTTGGACAAGTTATTTAACCTCTTTGTGCCTTGATGTCTCCACTTGTAAATATGGATAATAGCATTATTCTGCATCACAGGATGGTTGTGGGTATCGAATAAGATAATGCATGTTATATACCTAGGATGGATACTGGCACAAAGTAAATGCCCAAAGTGTGTTTGCTAATATTATTACTAGACACAGAGAATGTTAAATGTTTGGAGTCCATCCAGGTGGGTATATCTAGCTGAAAGTTACAAAATAAATCATGGGCCTTTGACAGATATTTGGCTGCAAAGGGAGGAGTGAAATAATCCTGGGCAGCACCAATATTTAAAGGAGAAAAAGATAAGGATTCTGAAAAAGAGATGAAGGCAATGGACAGAGACAGAAGAAGGTAACTACTTAGGCATGGTATCATGGGTGTCAAAATTGTTGTCAATCAATGAATATCAACCAATAAAAATGGGACACAGACAAAACAAAGGGGTATCAGGAAGCTATTGGAGGTGATGAATAGGTTTATCACCTTGATTTTGGTGCATGGGTATATGCATATGTCCAAACACATCAAACTGGATACATGAAATGCATGCAGTTTTTTAATACATGAATTTTACCTCAATAAAGCTGTTAAAAATGGGACACCGACATTGGACCTATGTGTATGGGGTGATAGGAGTGGAGGGAAAGAGTGTCATCTAAGGAAGAAGACAGATGAAAGAAGAGAGTGTCAAAGACCAACATGGCCAGCTTCTCACCAATATTTGCTAAGGGGAAGCCCTGCCCAACTAGACCCCTGGGTAATCAGTGGACCTGGCCCTTTCCTTTCACCATACTCTAGTCCTCTCTGTCCTGACTGCCAGTCAGAAAACTACTAACAACCTTCTGGGATGATGCTGACTGTTCACCAAGGTCCCAACTAAACAGCCATTCAATCAATGGCCATAGACACATCCCAACTAAGATGAAAGAAAAAAAGAGGGTGGGCAGATGAGCACAGCAACCCAGCTATTTGTGATCAGATTTAGTACCGACCTAGCCCAGTGTCCTGGATCTGCTGAGTGAAATATCCAGGGCCTTCCTCCATGAGGCTAATCTCATGAGGGTAACATGAGTCACAAGCACTGATTTCATCACCAACTTTTCACTCCAGTACCCACTGTGAACAAGCTACCATCATTTCCACTCCCGACATCATTGTGCATTCACTTCCTTCTGACCAGCGTGCCATCTTCTTTCTGCTGTTCCAGCTCAAAGACTATTTATTTTCTGAAACGTTCCTCACTTGAACTGCCCTATCTACTGGCATCCTGTGTGGCCTCTTATATTGTCTACTTCACACATTTTGGATGATGTAGCATACATTTCCTTGTACTGTTATTGTCTCATGTTTGTTGTTAGCATATGGAAATAAATCAGTACAGAATAGTGTTTGGTGGGCTGGGATACAATAGCTCTGAGGAGAGATGGAAAGGTGGCTGTGAATTTTGCACTGATGTTTCACACTTGAATTGAGCTTGCAATAAGAGTCATAAGTTGGAAAAAAACAATAACAGAGTAAATATTGAGCGGGCTGGGGTGAAAATGAGACAAAATGGCTGCCCACTAGACAACTGTACAGGTGAAGTGAAGGGAGAGGACATGACATCATATGCAGATGAGACATATCTGCCCAGGGACAGACAATAGGAAACTTTCTAATGGGACATGTGTATGTGCATAAGGGCTATATATAACCCTGATGCATGAGGTTAAGGGAGGGAAGCCCTGAGTTGATGGTAACCATGAAGAAAGAGGGGCTGTGGCAAAAAACAGAAACAAAAAAACAAACAAAAACACTCATGTGTTTTCATTAAGTGAATTGCTTTCGAGGTTATTTCACTGTTTATTCCTTGTGAAGTGTGCAGCCAACTCCCTTGGTCCGTGTTAGATCAAGTTTAAATAATTATATTTTTCTTTCTGAGAGCCAAGCATCACTGTTTTAAGTCTTTTGTGTCCCTTGAAACATAGAGCCATGCCTAAGAGGAGTGATCTGACTGGTCAGCATATGCATAACTATTCTTCTCATGAGACTATAAATTTCTTTTTTTGTAACATCCCCCAAAATAATTTATTTTTATTTATTATTTTAAATTTTGTTTTTAATTGATTCATTATTGTACATATTTATGGGGTACAGTGTGATCTTTCAATACATGTATACACTGTATAATCAGACATTTGCCTTTTTGCTATTGAGTTGAGTTTCTTATATATTCTGAGAATTAACCCCATGTCAGATGTATCGTTTACAAATATTTTCTCCTACGCTTTAGGTTGTCTCTTCACTCTGTTATTTCCTTCTCTGTGGAAAAGCTTTTTAGTTTAATGCAATCCCATTTGTCTTTTTGCTCTTGTTGCCTGTACTTTTAAGCTTTTATCCAAAAAATTCTTTCCCGAACCAGTGCCATAAAGTGTTTCTCCTTCGTTTTTTTGTTTTGTTTTGTTTTGTTCTGTTTTTTTTTTTGAGTAATTTTATGGTTTCAGGTTTCATATTTATGTCTTAAACAATTTTGAGCTGATTTTCTTAATTTTTAATTTTATTTGTACATAGTAAGTCTATATATTTGTGGGGTACATGAGATACATTGATACAAGCATACCATGCATAATAATCATATCAGGATAAATGGGGTATACACCACCTAAAGCATTTTCATTTCTTTGTGTTACAGACATTCCAATATACCGTTTTAGTTATTTTTAAAATGTACCGTAAAATATTTTTGTTTGTAATCACCCTGCTGTGCTAATACTAGCTCTTTTTCATTCTATCTATCTTTGCACCCATTAAGCATATCCACTTCCCCCACCCCAACTACTATCCTTCCCAGCCTCTGGTAACCATCATTCTCATCTCTATCTCCATGAATTCAATCGTTTCAACTTTTAGCTCCCCCAAATGAGTGAGAACATGAGAAGTTTGTCTTTCTGTACCCAGCTTAATTCACTTAACATAATGTCCTCCAGCTCTATCCAGGTAGTTGCAAGTGACAGGACCTCATTCTTTCTTATGGCTGAATAGTACTATATTGTGTATATGCAGCACATTATCTTTATCCATTCATCTGTTGATCGACAAGTTAGTTAGCATCCAAATCCTGTCTATTGTGAAGAATGCTGCAATAAATATGGAAGTGAAGATATTTCTTCAGTGTACTGATTTCCTTTCTTTTGGACATATACCTAGCAGTGAGAATCCTGGATCATATGGTAGTTCTATTTTTAGTTTTTTGAGGACACTCCAACCTGTTCTCTATAGTGGTTGTACTAATTTACATTCCCACCAACAGTGTACAAGGGCTCCCTTTTCTCCACATCCTTACCAGCATTTGTTACTGCCTTTTGGATAAAAGCCATTTTAACTAAGATGAGATGATAACTCATTGTGGTTTTGATTTTCATATCTCCGGTGATCAATGATGTTGAGCACCTTTTCATATACCTGTTTGCCATTTGTATGTGTTCTTTTGAGAAATGTCTTTGTAGATCTTTTGCCTATTTGATAGGAAGACTAATCGTTTTTTTTCCTAGAGAGTTGTTTAAACTCCTTATATGTTCTGGTTATTAATCTGTTGTCAGATGAATAGTGTGCAAATATTTTCTCTCATTCTGTAGGTTGCCTCTTCACTTTGTAGAGTGTTTCCTTTGCTATGCAGAAGCTTTTTAATGTCATGTGATCCAATTTGTCTACTGTTGTTTTAGTTCCCTGTGCTTGAGGGGTATTACTGGAGAAATCTTTGCCCAGACCAATGTCTTGAAGAGTTTTCCCAATGTTTTTTCATGGTAGTTTCATAGTTTGAGGTCTGAGATGTAAGCCTTTATTTCATTTTGATTTGATTTTTGTATATGGCAAGAGATATGGGTCTACTTTCACTCTTCTGCATGTGGATATCCAGTTATCTCAGTGCCATTTATTGAAGAGACTGTCCTTTCCCCAGTGTATGTTTTTGGCACCTTTGTTGAAAATAAGTTCATTGTAGATATATGGGTTTATTTCTGGGTTCTCTATTCTGTTCCACTGGTCTCTGTCTGTTTTTATGCCAGTACCATGCTGTTTTGGTTGCTATAGCTCTGTAGTGTGATTTGAAGTCAGGTAATGTGATTCCTCCAGTTTTGCTCCTTTTGCTCAGGATGGCTTTGGCTATTTTGGGTCTTCTGTTGTTCTAAACATATTTTAGGATTTTTTTCCTATTTCTCTGAAGAATGCCATTGGTATTTGCATTTAATCTATAGATTGCATTGGGCAGTATGTACATTTTAGCAATATTGATTCTTCTAATCCATGAACATGGAGTATATTTCCATTTTTTGTGTCCTCTTCAGTATCTTGCCTCAGTGTTTTATAGTATAAATTGTAGAAGTCTTTCACTTCTTTGGTTAAGTTTATTGCTAGCTATTTGATTTGTACCTATGGTAAATGAGATTGCTTTCTTGATTTATTTTTCAGATTGTTTGCTGTTGGCATACAGAAAGGTTAATGACTTTGGGATGTTGATTTTATATCCTGCACTTTACTGAATTTGTTTATCAGTTCTTTTTTTTTTCTTTTATTATTATTATACTTTAAGTTTTAGGGTACATGTGCACAATGTGCAGGTTAGTTATATATGTATACATGTGCCATGCTGGTGTGCTGCACCCATTAACTCGTCATTTAGCATTAGGTGTATCTCCTAATGCTATCCCTCCCCTCTCCCCACACCCCACAACAGGCCCCAGAGTGTGATGTTCCCTTTCCTGTGTCCATGTGTTCTCATTGTTCAATTCCCACCTATGAGTGAGAATATGCGGTGTTTGGTTTTTTGTTCTTGCGATAGTTTACTGAGAATGATGATTTCCAATTTCATCCATGTCCCTACAAAGGACATGAACTCATCATTTTTTATGGCTGCATAGTATTCCATGGTGTATATGTGCCACATTTTCTTAATCCAGTCTATCATTGTTGGACATTTGGGTTGGTTCCAAGTCTTTGCTATTGTGAATAGTGCCGCAATAAACATACGTGTGCATGTGTCTTTATAGCAGCATGATTTATAGTCCTTTGGGTATATACCCAGTAATGGGATGGCTGGGTCAAATGGTATTTCTAGTTCTAGATCCCTGAGGAATCACCACACTGACTTCCACAAGGGTTGAACTAGTTTACAGTCCCACCAACAGTGTAAAATGTTCCTAATTCTCCACATCCTCTCCAGCACCTGTTGTTTCCTGACTTTTTAATGATTGCCATTCTAACTGGTGTGAGGTGGTATCTCATTGTGGTTTTGATTTGCATTTCTCTGATGGCCAGTGATGGAGAGCATTTTTTCATGTGTTTTTTGGCTGCATAAATGTCTTCTTTTGAGAAGTGTCTGTTCATGTCCTTCGCCCACTTTTTGATGGAGTTGTTTGTTTTTTTCTTGTAAATTTGTTGGAGTTCATTGTAGATTCTGGATATGAGCCCTTTGTCAGATGAGTAGGTTGCGAAAATTTTCTCCCATTTTGTAGGTTGCCTGTTCACTCTGATGGTAGTTTCTTTTGCTGTGCAGAAGCTCTTTAGTTTAATTAGATCCCATTTGTCAATTTTGGCTTTTGTTGCCATTGCTTTTGGTGTTTTAGACATGAAGTCCTTGCCCATGCCTATGTCCTGAATGGTATTGCCTAGGTTTTCTTCTAGGGTTTTTATGGTTTTAGGTCTAACATTTAAGTCTTTAATCCATCTTGAATTAATTTTTGTATAAGGTGTAAGGAAGAGATCCAGTTTCAGCTTTCTACATATGGCTAGCCAGTTTTCCCAGCACCATTTATTAAATAGGGAATCCTTTCCCCCATTGCTTGTTTTTCTCAGGTTTGTCAAAGATCAGATAGTTGTAGATATGCGGCGTTATTTCTGAGGGCTCTGTTCTGTTCCATTGATCTATATCTCTGTTTTGGTACCAGTACCATGCTGTTTTGGTTACTGTAGCCTTGTAGTATAGTTTGAAGTCAGGTAGTGTGATGCCTCCAGCTTTGTTCTTTTGGCTTAGGATTGACTTGGCCATGCGGGCTCTTTTTTGGTTCCATATGAACTTTAAAGTAGTTTTTTCCAATTCTGCGAAGAAAGTCATTGGTAGCTTGATGGGGATGGCATTGAATCTATAAATTACCTTGGGCAGTATGGCCATTTTCACGATATTGATTCTTCCTACCCATGAGCATGGAATGTTCTTCCATTTGTTTGTATCCTCTTTTATTTCCTTGAGCAGTGGTTTGTAGTTCTCCTTGAAGAGGTCCTTCACATCCCTTGTAAGTTGGATTCCTAGGTATTTTATTCTCTTTGAAGCAATTGTGAGTGGGAGTTCACTCATGATTTGGCTCTCTGTTTGTCTGTTATTGGTGTATAAGAATGCTTGTGATTTTTGTACATTGATTTTGTATCCCGAGACTTTGCTGAAGTTGCCTATCAGCTTAAGGAGATTTTGGGCTGAGACGATGGGGTTTTCTAGATATACAATCATGTCGTCTGCAAACAGGGACAATTTGACTTCCTCTTTTCCTAATTGAATACCCTTTATTTCCTTCTCCTGCCTAATTGCCCTGGCCAGAACTTCCAACACTATGTTGAATAGGAGTGGTGAGAGAAGGCATCCCTGTCTTGTGCCAGTTTTCAAAGGGAATGCTTCCAGTTTTTGCCCATTCAGTATGATATTGGCTGCAGGTTTGTCACAGATAGCTCTTATTATTTTGCGATACATCCCATCAATACCTAATTTATTGAGAGTTTTTAGCATGAAGGGTTGTTGAATTTTGTCAAAGGCCTTTTCTGCATCTATTGAGATAATCATGTGGTTTTTGTCTTTGGTTCTGTTTATATGCTGGATTACATTTATTGATTTGCATGTATTGAACCAGCCTTGCATCCCAGGGATGAAGCCCACTTGATCATGGTGGATAAGCTTTTTAATGTGCTGCTGGATTCGGTTTGTCAGTATTTTACTGAGGATTTTTGCATCAATGTTCATCAAGGATATTGGTCTAAAATTCTCTTTTATAGTCTTTAGGTTTTTCCAAATATAGCATGTCATCTGCAAATAAGGATAATTTGACTTCTTTGTTTCCAATCTGGATGCCCTTTATTTTTTTCTCTTGTCTGATAGCTCTAGCTAGAACTTCTAGTACTATGTTGAATAGCAGTCATGAAAGTGGGCATCCTTGTCTTATTCCAGATCTTAGAGGAAAGGAAAGGATCATTCAGTACGATAGTAGCTGTGGTCTGTTGTATGCGGCTTTTATTGTGTTGAAATGTGTTCCTTGTACATGCAGAGTTTTAGGGATTTTATCATGAATGGATGCTGAAGGTTATCAAATGTTTCTTCAGCATCAATTGAAATAATCATATGGTTTCTGTCTTTCATTCTGTTGATATTATGTATCACATTGATTGATTTGTATATGTTAAACCATCCTTGCATCTCTGGGATAAGTCTCACTTGGCCATGATAAGTGACCTTTTAAATGTGTTGTTGAATGCAGTTTGCTAGTATTTTGTTGAGGATTTTTGCGTCAATATTCCTCAGGAATATTGATTTGTAGTTTTCTTTTTTTGATGGCTCTTTATCTGGCTTCGGTATCAGGGTAGTACAGGACTTAGAATGAATTAGAAATATTCTCTCCTCCATTTTTCAGAATAGTTTGAGTAGGATTGGGATTAGTTCTTCTTCAAATGTTTGGTAAAATTCAGCAGTGAAACCATCAGGTCCTGGGCTTGTCTTTCTTTGCTGGGAAACTTTTTATTATAGCTTTGTTCTCATTACTTGTTATTGGTCTATTTAGGTTTTGGATTTCTTCATGGTTCATTCTTGGTAAGTTGAATGCATCTAGAAATTTATTCATTTCTTCTAGATCTTTCCATTTATTTGAATATAGTTGCTTGTAGTAGGCTCTAATGATACTTTTAATTTTTGAGGCATCAGTTGTAGTTTCTCATTTTTAATCTCTGATTTTATTTATTTGCGCCTTCTCTCTTTTTTTCTTAGTCTGGCTAAAAGTTTGTTGATTTTGATCTTTTCTAAAAACCAACTTTTCATTTCATTGACCTTTTCTATTTTTTGTTTCAATTTCATTTATTTCTGCTCTGATCTTTATTATTTCTTCTACTAATTTTGTGTTTGGTTTGCTCTTGCTTTGGTAGTTCATTAAGATGTAACATTAGGTCATTTATTTGAAGTTTTTCTACTTTTTTGATGTAAGCACTTATAGCTATAAACTTTCCTTTTAGTAGTGCCTTCCTTGTATCCTATAAATTTTGATATGTTTTGTTTCCATTTTCATTTCTTTCAAAAAATTTAAAAATTTTCTTCTTAATTTCTATAGGTTCATGTATCTCAAGATAGGAGCTATCATCCCACTATTCTTTCAGGAGCATATTGTTTACTTTCCATGTGTTTGTTTAGTTTCCAGAATACCTCGTTATTTATTTCTGGTTTATTCCATTGTGGTTCGAGAAGATGCGGAGTCTCTGTTGCCCAGGCTGGAGTGCAGTGGGATGATCTGGACTCTTTGTACCAAATTATAAACAAAACCTAAGGCCATGTCTGGCAAGCATGAAGTCACGCACCCTGACACGTAAAGCAAAAAATATATTCCGGCCAGGCGCGGTGGCTCACGCCTGTAATCCCAACACTTTGGGAGGCTGAGGTGGGCGGATCACCAGGTCAGGAGATAGAGACCATCCTGGCTAACATGGTGAAACCCTGTCTCTACTAAAACTACAAAAAAATTAGCCGGGTGTGGTGGCAGGCCCCTGTAGTCTCAGCCACTAGGGAGGCTGAGGCAGGAGAATGGCGTGAACCCAGGAGGTGGAGCTTGCAGTGAGCAGAGATCATACCACTGCACTCCAGCCTGGGTGACACAGTGGGACTACGTCTAAAAAAAAAAAAAAAAAAAAGAATAAACTACGTTTTGTCTGTCATGAGGTTATTCTTTTTCTCTAGCAGCTAAACAAGCACTGGGCTTGAGATAAGCAATGTTAAAGCAAATTCAGTTTCAATGTATGCTAACTGGCCCCCAGCCACTCATCCTTTGATTGGACAAAAGACTGATTTCAGTAACTTTTCCTGATCAAAAGGGCACCAACTATGGACTGGTCCTGGTGGGTTTACAGAGGCTGCACACTTGAGTGTCTTGATGTCCCCGCTTCACCTTTTGACATATAGGACCTAACTGTAATACATTTAAATGTTAAGTCTCCACCCTAAAATGAACATGGGTTGTATGTTGCTTGCATGTTTTGCCAATATGCACATGACAGGACCACCTTCATATATATTCACATCACCTCCTATAACCTGTTAACTATATATGTTTAGCTAATCCATTCAGCATGAAGTTCCTACTCCAACCGTTCCTTCAATGTGCCTGTCTCTGGTCTTTTCTGGAGGTTATTCTTCCCAGCCTGTGATATGACCACCTTGCAGGCTCTAACCTGTAAAATAAATAGTCTTGTTTCCTAAATTTATAGATCTTGTGTGATTTTTAACAGTAGGGAAAGACTTTTTCCTGAAGATGTGTCTTAGGGTGTTGATTTGGTCGGGTGCTTTGGCTTTGCTTCTGTATAAGCACAGTAAGGTAGTCTCTGTTTAATTTCTTCAGCTATAATCAATATCAACAGTGTCTGCAAGTGCTTCAGTGCCCTAGGCTGTGGGTATTGTGGTGGTGTGGCTTTGCTGATAATGATGCTGCTGGTTAGGTCAGGGATGTGCAAAGTGTGGCATTTCCACCAGTCGTGGAGGTGGCTTCTCCACTGTGCAGGGTCGCTTGTTCCTTGAAATGCAGGGCACTGCATAGGCTTGGGTGTCAAAGTCACAGCTGTTCTACTTGGTCTAGGCTCCAAGCAACTGGGGTGTGGCATTGCAGCCACTTGTGTGAGTATGATGGAATGACAGTGGGGCGTCAGAGAGGGGGAGATACAGTGGCTACTGGCCCCCAGAGCAAGATGCATTCTAGCAGTGGCTCTAGTCTCAAGATAGTGCTGTGAGGGATGGTGCACCATGTGGGCTCCTCCTCTGGAACAATGCAGCCACACGGACTCCAGGCAGCTCCCTAAACTGGGCTCAGTGTCTGTGAGGACTGTGGGACTCTGCTGTAGCAAGGACTGCAGGTGTCAATGGCAGTAATGAGGGCTGCTGGGGATCTTCTGTTTATATTTTCCCCATGATGAGAAGCCCATGCTGTCTCTGAGCCAGTCTCAGCAAGAGAGACAGGGTCATGGAGGCAGGGTGCTTCACTTCCCTCTCTACACTGCCATTCTGAGTTTCCCTGCTCCACAGGGAATTCACCAGTCCCTTGCTATATTCTGGTGTTCTCCCTTAGACACTCTAGTTGAAGTGTAGTTGTTTAATTGTTGTTTTCGTACTTTTTGTGGAGGGGATGAATGTTAGGTACCTCTCATCAGCCATATCTCTTGATGATGTCACTCTGAGTATACATTTCTTGAAAGCACTAACTGGATATTTCAATTTGATTGTGAGGCATATGATTAGTAGTCAAAAATACTTAGAAAGTTGAACAGAACTAAATAGAGTTAATCATTTGCTGAAACTCTGTCATCAATGAATTGTTCTAGATAGACACTACTTGTAGCTGCTTTATTTATTTGCAGCTCCATTGTAAATGGTAGCATTTCTGATGATTCCTCAAAGGCAAAGTGGGGTGGTAGAAAGAGTAGCTTGGGGGGCAGGAGGTATTTGTGTCAGTTCAGGCTCAGCTGAGTGACCTTGAAGTGTGGTCACTTCAGACCACAGGATCTTGAAACTCCCTACAATTCCATTCTGTGAATGAAGTAAGCTATGTTTACTGAAAGTTAGCACAGATACATGAGAGTAGGTAACTCAGTTTATCACTTTGGCCAGTATGATGCCATGCAGTCATTCTGTCCTTTTCTCTCAATTTAAACTAAACGATTTATTTTCTTGATTTGATTGACAAAATCCATTGTTTTCACCTAGAAGTTTGACTTTGGAATGGGAATCAAAGCAAATAATAGAATTATCATGATATCATATCATTAAACCTATTTGTCATGTAAGGAAACTGATGCTTAAACAAGGTAAATGACCTTCCCAAGGTCGTTCAGTCTGAATTATTAACCACTATGTGCTAGTGGGTGCTTAATACATTTTTTTAATGAATAAATGACATTAGTCAGCAGGTGATTTGAGCAGCATGGCTTCAACTAGTAGGAGTAGGAGTAGTACTAGCTACCATTTATTGAGTACTTACTAGATATCATGGACTCTTCTGAGTAATATGCATGTATTATTTCATTTGATTCTCACTGTAATACTATGAAATAGACTTCATTATCATTCCTAGTTACAGATGAAGAAATTGGGGTTTGGAGAGATTAAATTATTTGTTCAAGGAAACACATCTAATAAGTGTCTGACTTCAAAGCCTATGGTCTTTCTACCACTGCAGGCTATCTATAAATAGCAGGATGACTTTTATAATTTTCTCCTTGAATTTCTGCTTTTATATTAAATGTTTGAGATTTATAGGCTAGACATTTTATTTTCCTTCTCCGTGATCCCGTCACCTTTCTCCAGGCCCTCGCTGTCCCCCTCCACACTGTGTAATCTCAGTCTGAGACAAAAAAACAGATAGGAGGAGTAAATGAAGTGTCCTGTTGCTGATTTTCTATAATCTCAACATAAACACTTATCAGTGTTGTTGAGATTTAATCTCTCTAGCTCATCTGTGAGACCAATTTTAATTTTGAGCCATCTGCCACAGACAAATGAGTAATTATGGAAGAGCCCAGAGGGGCGGGCCATGGGGAGAAGGTTGGCTTAGCCTCTTTTCACCTGCTTGCATTGACGCAAGTGACCAAGAAAGAAAATTACTTGGGTGGGTTGTTGATATAGAGGCCAGCAGCTCTACCTCCCTGTTGCTCAAATCCTTAGACTCTAGTGAAAAAGGAAGGATGACTTTGAGGTCGTGCAGATTGCCTGGCAACAGACGGGAGAGCATTGCCATCAGGGCCAGGCAGAAGGAGGTAATCTTAGAACTAAGTTGGCTTGTTTACCAGCCTCTTCCTCTCACTCCACTGGTGGTGCCTTGTGAGGAGTACCGTTTGCCAGCTGGTCTCTCCATACCATACGACATGCTAAGTCAAATGGATGGAGTAAAGCTGAAAATAATAGTTATTGACCTCTGTGTAGCATTTTTCAAAGCTTTTTTTCAAAAGACTTGGGCATATCTTAACCTTATTTCTTTCTCACAATAGGTTTCTGGATTAGGTAGGGCTAGGCATTGTTAGCTTCATTCTGCAGATGGTGGAGTTGAGCTACAGAGAGATTCTGTGACTTGCCCAAGGTCACACTGTTAGCTACAAGCTGGCTTGCACCATTAACGGTGAATTAGAGTCTGTCACTCTGTCTTGTAGGCCAGTGGCTTTTAAGCTGTGTTCACTCCTCAGAGGCCAAGGAGGTGTGGGAGTAGAAGAGTGTGTGTGTGTGTGTGTGTGTGTGTGTGTGTGTGTGAGAGAGAGAGAGAGAGAGAGAGAGAGAGAGAGAGAACGAACAAGTGGGTTTGAAATACAACCTGCACTTAAACTAGGGAAACTCTGCTTGGGTCTGTTTTGCATCTGAGTGGGTTTTCATTTAATGAAAGACTCTACTGCTGAAAATGTTTAAGAACCACTTGTTTAGACAAATATTTCTCATAGAGAGTATAGTGGGTTGAACTGTGTCCCCCAAAAGATATATTCAAGTCTTAACTCTTGGTACTTGTGAATGTGACCTTATTTGGAAGAAGGGTCTTTGCAGATTTAATCAAGTTAAGATGAGGTCATCCTGGATTAGGGTGGGCACTAAATCAAATGACTGGTATCTTCATAATAAAAAGGAGAGGAAGATTTAGGTAAAGAGACACAGAAGAAAACTACAGAGACACAGAAGAAAGATACAGAGGAGAACTCTGACAACAGAGGCAGAGATTGTAGTGATGCGGCTATAAGCCAAGGTATGCAGAGGATTATCAGCAACCACCAGAGACTAGCAGGGAGGCATGGAACAGATTCTCCCTCCAGAAGAAACCAGCCATGCTGATACATTCTTATCAGACTTCTGACCTCTTGACCTGTGAGAGAAGACATTTTTGTTGTTTTAAGAGACCCAATTTATGGTAATTTGTTATGGCAGCCCTAGGAAACAAATACAGAGAGGTACGTGGACCTCTTACCTAGAAACAGGTTGGGGTGCATTTGTTAAAATTCTGCTTTCAGACCTAAACTCCAAGATTCTGAATCTGTAGGTATGTAGTGGGGCTCAGAAATCTGCATTTTGACAAGTTGCTCATGTGCACAACAATTGATTTAGAGCTGGTTTTGAGCATACACAGACGCGAGTCTCCTCTCTGAATTGCGGTTGGATTTGCTCTCCCTGATAACAGTACTCCTCTAGTGGTTTCTACAGTCAGTGGCTCAAAGGTAGCAAGCATACTAGACCAGAAATAGGTGGGCATTAGACCTTATGTTGTCTCAAGAATTTTGACTTCTGAGACCAATTTCAGATGATTTACCCAACAAAAATCACAAATTTCCCTGGTTGTCAAAAATCTACCCCTAAGTAAACAGGCCACAGTGATTAGGTAGTGGGCCAAGAGGGTCAGATTTCTGGAGCAACAAGTCCACAGAGTAACATATAACATACACACACACATGTGTGCGCACACACACCGACATACATAGACACACACACCCCTGTTTGGTGAGGAAAATTCTACCTGATAGAGTGTCATCATATTTTTAAAGATTTTGTTCTTATTAAAAATGAAAGTCTCCATATCAAAGTTGATCCTTGAAGTTACTGTCAGCCCCTTATGCCCAGCCCCTGACCTTTGTCTGAGATGATAGACTAAAAGACGGGGAAGAGCACAAGAGTCTGGGATAAGGATAGAGCAGACAGCTTCTTACTTCTAGCCTGGAGCTAAAGCCCTTGCCCAGTAAAGCCAAGGAAGGCAGTGGTTTATCTTCCCAAGAGTGATGGAGGTCAATTGTGCCCAATATCCTGGAAAGATAAGGGAGGGACTCAGTGAAAAAGAGTAGTTGTTTGAATTCCAAGTGTGGGAGAAAGGCCTCCCTGAAAATGGCTTGCCCGTCTAAACCAAAGGTCCTTCAGAAAGTCTGTGTTTGCTCACATCCCTGATGGCTCCCAAGTAAACAAATTTTGTTTCTATCTCCCAGAAAGACAGAGCTCCAGTACTGTGACAGTTACAGTTACAGACATATGACTTATCACAGAGATTGTCAGAGCAATGGAAGAAAATGAAATTTAGCAGAGGCTCATGTTGGGGGTTAGAGGGAGAGAGAAGAAAGGGAGGAGAAGGCTGCTGAAGAGACTTGGGAATGGAGCTGATAACTTTGTGGGTTTGTACATACAGTGTGATAGCTAAGTATGGACAAAGTAGGTCTTATATTGGGAATGTGTATGAAAGGGTCCTGATAAAAACCTGCCTGAGCCAAGTAGCTTTACCCAGGTTCCATAGGATTGACTTTCCACTGTCAGTGGGTTCATTTCTGTAAGTTAAGTAGTACCTTTCCCCAGGAAGGTCATGCCTTTGATTGCACCTTAGTGTAAGTTTGCCTAGTGTCTTTCTTCCTGACTGGCAGAGCCTCAGCATTTAGTAGAGCATAGAGGAAAGATGGAGGAAATGAGGGCCATCAAATGAGAACTCGGCCCACTTTCAAAACTCAGACAGAGCTGGCATTACTAGCCTCCTTCTTGGAAACTTCTCTGTGATCTCCTCATTCCCAAAACTGTAATGAAGCTAAATCAAGTTGAATATGAAAGTCCAGAGGGTCTTGTTCAATCAGCAAGCCATGTGCTTTTCTGGAAAATTCACTTAACTCTTTCATGTTCCTCAGCAAACATTTATATATCACCCATCATGTACTAGGCTCTGGGTTAAGTACTGATGAGGGAAACATGGAAACCATTGAACATGAGATTTTTGCCTCACATTTGAGAAACAATTTAATTACAGAGATCAGACATTTACACAAGTAAGGCTAGACAATAGTACAAAATGATATGTGATTGGTGTCAAGTGAAGGGAAAAGCCAATAGGCTGCAGATTCTCAGAGGTTGGCAAAGTCATTCTGGAGCAGTGTAGCTGGGTAAGCCTTAGTATAGAATAGCACATTAAATCACCCAGGCACTTGGCAGGGATCTGGGGAAATGGGGAATAAAACATACCAGCTTTAATGGAGATAGTGAGGTGGACCGAGTCAGGTCAGGAACATATTCACACCTCTCTGCTTTGCTAGTCATTCAAATCCTTCAGGCCCCTCCTTTCCAGAGGGCTGATATATCCTCCATTGATCTACTTTGTCTCAGAACTTCTGTGCTGGGAATCCTGACTTACTCAGACTGCTAGGGAAGCAGTGTGGCTTAGTGGTTAGGAGAGTGTGTTCAAGAGCTAAGCTGCCTGGGTTTGAATGCTGGCTCTCATATTTACTAGTTGTGATCTTGGACAATTGACCTAATCATCATGTGAGTCAATTTTTCTTTTTTATTTATTTATTTATTTTGAGACAGAGTGTCTCTCTGCCACCCAGGCTGGAGTATAGTGGTGCGATCTTGGCTCACTGCAACCTCCGCTTCCTGGGTTCAAGCGATTCTCCTGTCTCAGCCTTCTGAGTAGCTGGAATTACAGGCCTGCACTACCACATCCAGCTAATTTTTGTGTTTTTAGTAGAGACCGGGTTTCTTCTAGGCTGGTCTTGAATTCCTGAGCTCAAGTGAACTGCCCACCTCGGACAAATCCCAAAGTGCTGGGATTACAGGCATGAGCCACTGCAGCTGGTCTCAATTTTTCTTATGGTAAAATAGGGATGATAATAATACTGTCTATCTAATAGAGTTGCTAAGAGGATTGAATGGGATAAGCCATGTCAGATACTTAGCACAGTGTGGGTTGTATGTTACTCATTCATTAAATATACATTTATGAAGTGTTGGTGATGTACCAATAATTTTTCTAGTGATGTAATACAGCAGTGAACAAGAGAGAGAAAGTCCTGCTCTCTTAGTACTGTGTTCAATGCTGATGGTGGAGGGGGATTCAGGCCCTTTACTCAAGGAACTTTTATTATCACATAGTGTCTTTGCTTTCTGCTCCATTTATTACAATTCTTAGTCCGTGAGTTATAATTAAGTTTATTTTCATTCTTTTTTGTTTAATTAGGCAAATATGAAAGCTATGAATTTCCTTTAGACTCAGCTTTGGCCATATGCCATTAGATTTGATGCTGAGTGTTTCTATTATTACTATTTCTAAGACATTTGCAATTTTGGTTTTGTTATGTACTATTTCTACTTTTTGGAAAGTGTTGAGGTATTCCAATTTTGATGATTTAGTTTTTTTTTGTCCCTACTATGTGCAGAATTCTGTGTTCCTAAAGAAGAGAGACAGTGAAGAGAGACCTGTCTGACTTGAGGGGTGTTTAGAAGGGGCTAGGGGAATACAGGACTGGAAAGACCATTGCCTGAGGGCATTGAGGTGCAAGCTTCACGGATTGGTTTCTTTTCTAATAACTACAGTTATTGAAAGTGTTGGGGTACAGAAAATAATTCCCCAAAATATGGCACTTAAGCATGCTGAGTGCTTAGAAAAATGGAAAGGCTGCTGGGTGCAGTGGCTCATGCCTGTAATCCTAGCACTTTGGGAGGCTGAGGTGGGCGGATTGCCTGAGCTCAGGAGTTCGAGACCAGCCTGGGCAACACGTTGAAATCCTGTCTCTACTAAAATACAAAAAATTAGCCAGGCGTGGCGGTGTGCACCTCTAGTCCCAGCTGCTCGGGAGGCTGAGGCAGGAGAGTTGCTTGAACCCAGGAGGCGGAGGTTGCAGTGAGCCGAGATTGTGCCACTGCACTCCAGCCTGGGTGACAGAGTGAGACTCCAACTCCAAAAAAAAAAAAAAGAAAAAAAGTGGAAAGGTCTCAAAAATAAGCCTCAGAACTGAGCTCTCTTTCTGACCTTTGTCCACCTCCCTGTCTCTCTGATCCTTTTTAAGGATACACCCTGAGGGACTCTCTGTAACTTCCTTATCTGAGTAAAGAAGCTTCTTTCCAAAAGAAATGCAATTGTCTTAAGACTCCCTCCCTAGAAATCTAATCAAATAACCAAGAAAGATCAACCATGGAGAAGAGATGGGCAGTCATCACCATGACCCGATGGACTTTTCATGTATTTGTCTGATGACAGCTGCAAGAGATTACCTAAGGGACTTTATCTGCATAATAAGAAAACATAAAGTGGGGGAAGGACACCCTTTTCAACAAATGGTGCTGGGATAATTGGCTAGCCACATGTAGGAGAATGAAACTGGATCCTCATCTCTCACGTTATACAAAAATCAACTCAAGATGGATTAAGGACTTAAACCTAAGACCTGAAACTATAAAAATTCTAGAAGATAACATTGGAAAAACCCTTCTAGGTATTGGCTTAGGCAAAGATTTCATGACCAAGAACCCAAAAGCAAATGCAATAAAAACAAAGATAAATTGCTGGAACTTAATTAAACTAAAGAGCTTTTGCACAGCAAAAGGAACAGGCAGCAGAGTTAACAAACAACCCACAGAGTGGGAAAAAAATCTTCACAATCTGTACATCTGACAAAGGACTAATATCCAGAATCCACAATGAAAATCTCAAGCAAATCAACAACAACAACAAAAACAATCCCATCAAAAAGTGGGCTAAGGACCTGAATAGACAATTCTCAAAAGAAGATATACAAATGGCCAACAAACATATGAAAAAATGCTCGACATCACTGATGATCAGGGAAATGCAAATCAAAACCACAGAGCGATACCACCTCACTCCTGCTAGAATGGCCATAATCAAAAAATAAAAAAAATAGTAGATGTTGGTGTGGATGCAGTGAACAGGGAACACTTCTATGCTGCTGCTGGGAATGTAAACTAGTACAACCACTATGGAAAACAGTGTGGAGATTCCTTAAAGAACTAAAAGTAGAACTATCATTTTATCCAGCAATCCCACTACTGGGTATCTACCCAGGGGAAAAGAAGTCATTATACGAAAAAGATAATTGCACACACATATTTATTGCAGAACAATTCACAATTGCAAAAACGTGGAACCAACCCAAATGCCCATCAATCAACAAGTGGATAAAGAAACTGTGGCATATATATATATATATTTATACAATGGAATACTACTCAGCCATAAAAAGGAATGAGTTGGCTGGGCGCGGTGGCTCACGCCTGTAATCCCAGCACTTTGGGAGGCCAAGGTGGGCAGATCACGAGGTCAGGAGATCAAGAACATCCTGGCTAACACAGTGAAACCCTGTCTCTACTACAAATACAAAAAAATTAGCCAGGCGTGGTGGCAGGCACCTGTAGTCCCAGCTACTCGGGAGGCTGAGGCAGGAGAATGGCATCAACCCAGGAGGTGGAGCTTGCAGTGAGCCGAGATCGCACCACTGCACTCCAGCCTGGGTGACAGAGTGAGACTCCATCTCAAAAAAAAAAAAGAATTAATTAATGGCATATGCAGCAACCTGGATGAGACTGGAGACCATTTTCCTAAGTGAAGTAATTCAGGAATGGAAAAACAAACATCATAGGTTCTCACTCATAAGTGGGAGCTAAGCTATAAGGATGCAAAGGCATAAGAATGACACAATGGACTCTGGGGACTCAGGGGACAAGGATGGGAAGGGGGAGAGGAATAAAAGACTACAAATAGGCTGCAGTATATACTGCTCAGGTGATGGGTGCACCAAAATCTCACAGATCACCACTAAAGAACTTACTCATGTAACCAAACACTACCTGCTCTGCAATAATCTATGGAAATTTAAGAACAAAAAAGACAGCATTAGTTCTTGTATAGTTCCACCCCTCACTTTCCCTTAACTTGTTGGCACCGTCCAGAGTCCAAAGATAATCATTTATAAAATAATGTTTGCCTCCCAGGTCCATTCATTTCTCCCTTATGAAGAAAGTATTTATGTCTCAAACATCTGACTTTTCTTTGAGCCTCAAACTTTGTGTATGGTTTCCATGTCCATATGCATGTTAATAAATTTTGTATGCCATTTTCTCCTATTAATCTGCCTATTGTAAGTTCATTTTTAGTGAACCTTTAGACAGCAGAAGGGAAGCTGCAAAAGGATGCACAGGAATGGCAGGCTCATATCCTATTTTAGGGAGAATAATGCTATTTAGGGAGAATAATGCCTTATTCTTGGGATATTATTGCTCGGGATTTGAGAGAGGGGAACATGCTAGAGACAAGGAGACCAGTCAGAAGAGCTTTATGTTAATCTAGGACAGCAGTTCTCAAACTTGATTGTACATGAGAATCCTCTGGAGGGCTTGTTGGGGCCCCACCCCAGAGTTTCTGATTCAATAGGGCTGTGGCAGAGGCCTGAGAATTTGCATTTCTAACAAGTACCCAGGTAATGCTGATGCTGCTAGTCAAGGGACCGCACTTTAGGAACCACTCATCTAAGAGAGAGATGTTGAGAACCAGAGCCAGACTGGTGAAAGACGAACTAGAGAGGAGAGAAAGTATATGAAAGATATTTGGAAGGAAGGAACCACAGGACTCGGGGATTGGACATGGGGGCAAGGGAGCCAGACAAATAAAAGATGACTTCAGAGTATCAAACCTAGGTGCCTTGGAGGATATGAGAATCACAGAGGCAAAATCCCAAACATTTGGAAGTGGAATGAAGTCACTTGACAGGTACTGGGAAAATATATGAGGCCTTATTCCATAAGCATCTGCACCATGGCACTCAAGTTTAAAGGCCTCCTGTGTTGTCTTCAGAGAGAGGCTAATGAGAAGTAGAAAGACCAAGTCTGTATTTTGTCTCTCCTTTTCTAGAATATAACCTTTGAGTAGAGGAGGAAACAGAAGATAGAAAGCAGGGTATACGAAAGTTAGAAGGGGCTTAAATAGTCTGGAAACAAAGAACACATCATTGGGTTGCTAAGTACATTCAGTGAGTACTGAATGTATATGGGCAAACACTAATAAGGAAAAGGTAAATCAGTAAAACTCAGCATGGGCCACGTAGGGTAGCTCCAGGATGCTACCTGAGATCACTGGTGCAATTTCTGAGATAGGGCATCTCAATTCCAGACCACCTAACCTTCCCTAGTTTCAGGGCTTCTGACCTGGTGCCCTGTTGTGCCTGGCTATTTCCCAGCCTATAGGAATTTCTCTTACCTGCTTCTCTCCGCTGGGCCGCCTGTAGCTGAGCAGAAGCTCCACAGCGCCCACCACTTCCTTGCGTATGGCATAGAGCAATGCATCACCCACATACACGCTGTGGTTCAGCAGTAGCTCCATGATCTCCAGGTTCTCGTTCTCAATGGCAATGAGCAGGGCACTCCGGCCCAAGGGGTCCATGCAGTTGATGTTAACATTATAGTAGATCTCAGCCTCCTGAAGGGCCTGCTTCACAGTGGCATAGTCCCCCTTCTCCACAGCATTGAGGAAGGCCTTCTCCTCTGCAGAGAGCTCTGTCTCAGCCCTCACAATTTGCAGGGGGATGCGGTCTCTGTACGGTGAGTAGTTGACCTTTTTGTAGTACAGTTGGGCCATGGTTCATAGCAATGCAGAAATCTGAGTGAGGAAACAGAGAAAGACCAAAATATCCTTAGATACGTGGAGGTCTCAAGTGGCCAGTTATGGAGGCAGCCCTGCTAAGGGGTTAGAAAATCCTAAACTACTTCAATGACGCCGTCTTTTTTCCGCTTACAAAGAAGTATAACAGAAAAAGCCCAGGCTTTGGGGTCAGGAAGACCTGGGCTTAAATCCTGGTTTTATGACTTACCAGTTCTGTGGCCTTGAGTAAGTTACTCAAGCCCTCTGTGCTTTATTTATTACTAAGGTTGATGATACTAAGGTTATCAATCTTAATAATATTACTCGCAGTTATCATTTAGTGACTGCTTACTGTGTGCCAGGTCCTGTGCTACACAATAATTCCTACCTCATAAAGCTATTGTGAGAGTTAAATAAGATATACATTATCAAAGCAACTGGCATAGGGTAAACCTCCTAAGACATGGCATAAGCTAATTCCTACCTTCCTTCTCTTCTGGTGCCTGAAAATATTCATGGTAACACTTCTGATTAGTGATGCAAAGTTGGAAATCTTCTTTGGCCAATTTCCTTCAGGCTCTAGGTCTCTGGTCCTATGCTAATTTTCAGGATTACATTTGTAACTGTCCCACATGCACATCCTGGATTGAAATCCTATTTCAGTTCTAACTGCAACCCTGCTTCTTGCTGCTGCTCAATGGGGAAAGGGGTATTGACTCCAATAGGCCAAAGCCAACTGCAAAAGATAAACATGTACCCTCTGTGCCTGCTCATGATTTTTTCCTCTGCCATTTCAAATGAAAAGCTAACAGATCTGAGAATCTGTATGATTAAATTCTGATAAGTGAATGGTCTGTTTTATTTGTATCATACCTAAATCCAGGTTATATTTAATAGAATTAGTTTTAAAGTAAAAACCTAGTTATTGAGCTCCTACAATGTGTTTAAACTGTCTCTGGGAGACAAAGGTAAAAAGATAGCCTTTGTCTTCAATCACATAGAATGAATCGCAGTATAGAGCTCTTGCCTCATAGTTTACAGGTAAAATTTATACACATTCCTCATTAACTCCCTGTAGCATCCCTGTGAGATGGGAATGATTATCTTCTCCAAGGGAGAAAATGAGGCTCAGATCTATTAGGTGTTGGCTCCACTTTTCCCCTCATCCCTGAGGCCTCCAGGCCACTCTGGAGGCTGAGTTAGGATGGACCTATTCCAGTGTCTTTCATTACTTAACTGTTTTGCCAGCTAAAGGACATGGAAATGTGCTAAAGAGCCCCTTTTCTCACCTTCTGGATGTAAGAAAAGATAAAGACATGAAGCTTCCACCAACATTTACCTCAGTCTTCCAGGTAATGACATCCCTGCTTTGGCAGAGGGAGAGGCCTACCTTATATCAAGTGGTATTTGCAATTCATGTGCTTGTGTCTTTCTGGGAAGTTAGTATTTGAAGATGAGTGTTGCCTCTTGCCCTGAGCAGGCCCAAATGACAAATTTCTCTCCACATCTAAATCCCAAGAGAACAGGGTGCTGTTTCACTGCCTCAAGACCCAAATGACAAATCTCTCTCCACATCTAAATCCCAAGAGAAGAGGGTGCTGTTTCACTGCCTGAAGAAGCACTGATACATTCTTCCACTACTTTCAAGTAAAGTGAAAGTAGTGAAAGTGGCTAAACAAACAGCACTTAGAGTAAGCATTTGCCAATACACAGCACAAAACTTTAATGATACTAATTGTAGACTGCCTCTGTGCCTTTACCTTGTAAACAAAAATGAGTGGGGGAGAGAAGGGATAGTGTGACCTCCTAAAGTGAGGACCAACAACCCAATTAGCTTCTATTTATTTAATCAATACAAACACACTGAGAGCCTCTATTGTGTCTAGCACTCTGCTAGCCCCTGCTAGGGGATAGGAAACAATACAACCCTGCTCATTGAAGGCTGGAGGCCTCACAGAAAGTTTCATAAAGATGGTAGCTCTTAGGCTAATCCTTGGAGGATGAATTAAACATGAAAGTGTGGGGGCAGTCCAGGCACTGCCGAGTGCAACAAGAAAGATGAGATCAGTTATGGCCTAGTTGGGTGATGGGTTGGGGGGAATGCAAGGGGTCTTATTTTTTCAGCTTAATAGGATATAGGGATTAGAGGTGAGCTAACATTCCAAGGCAATAGCTCATAATCTTGGTATCCTCATCTGAAAAATGGTCTTGAACACTTGCTGCCCATTTGCCATTTAAGAGGCTACCATGGAAGAAAAGGCTAGATGTCCTTTCAGATGGTGTCACTGGTGGTGTTACTGGTATAGGAAGCATTACTGCTACAGGAAGATCTGCAACCCCTTTAGTAAGGCACAGTTGTGGGGGGAAGCAGAAGAATATTGTATCCCAGGGAAAGGTGAGAATGAAGGAAACTAACTCAATCGGTGTCCTATTATGTGCCAGGCACTGTGCCAGAAGCTGGGGCAATAAAGTTATAAAAATAATCATTAGTTTTGAATACTTAATGTGGCTCAGGCATGGTGCCAGGTACTGGAGTGGCACTATTACTACCACTGCCTCTAATGGTAATCATAATGAAGGCAACAAGCAGTACCATTCATTGAACTCTCACTATGTGCCAGATGCATGGGTTAAAGTAGTGAAGAGAGACAACAGTAAAATCATGGTAATTTGTAACTTGAGGCAAGTATAATCGGATGATATATAGTCAGTTCAAAGTCCAGTTTTAATTTTCATCTCTTGCATTTGGAATTAGTCTGGTCTATGTAATTTTCCAGTGGGCTCTGTTGTAAGAGGCTTCAATAGTATTCCTCTTTAGAAAAAATAAATCTACAAAGGTTTGCCTGAGATTTTACCATTAGAGTCACTCTTGCTTTAAGGGACTACATTGCCAAAACTACCCCTGGATGAAATAATAAATCACATGGCTAAAAACTAGTAATATATTAACATGAATTCCCTCATTAGGAACGTTGCTGTGACTTTGGAATTAAAGCAATGTCTGGCTAAAAGAATGCGGGTGAAGTGATGGAGGGTAAAGGAGAGGTCTGGTATCCAGCCTTGGAAAACTCTGTTAAATAGTTATGCCCAGCTCTATACTACGAATAAAGAATAATGCAAAAATGGATTTCCTGCATTGTCTGTTGACATGCAGACTCACATAGCTGTCTAATGACTTGCCTAATTCTTTGCCCTTTTCCAATCCCCCACAGCTGCAGCCACTTGACCCTCACTCATAGCTTTAGCCTCAGCCTCACTCCAGGCTCAGAGGCCAATCCTTTCTCTGCATGCTTGCTGTTAGGCCTACTCTGCCATTATTCTGAGAATAAGTAACTAGTGATGGAGTTTCTGGTATCTTTTAAGAATGTATTATTTGGAAGGTTTTTCCCCATGACCCTTTACCTTTATACTTGGCAGATGCACTAATCTGCCATTAACCAAAGCTAAGCCTCTAGGTATATTCTTAACCAAAGAAACAAAACCTGCCAGTATTTCTTGCCATTCTGCCAGTGAACCCGCTCGCAATGTAGTTCTCCAACCATGAAAGATTAAGAATTGTCTAACAGGCTGCCTCAGAGGGCTTATCATGTTCCCTCTTTTCTTTGCTGCTGGCCAGAGGCGTTTGTCTAATAGAATCTGTGACATTTGTGGGCTTAAATGATGCGATTCAAAGAGCTAAATCGATGGACTTGGCAGAAGGCCAGGGCACAAAATGGCTTTGGCAAATCCCAGCCCAGATTTCTGCCCAGCATAAGACTTCATCTGTGAGGAGGAAAGGCTGGCTTTCTACCTAACTAAGAAAACATCAGTGCCTTCAGAGTGTCGTGGTATCTGTGCATGGCTTGCACCACGTGTCATGAAGACTGAAGCTTAAATGGTAAAACCCTTGTGACCTCTCACAATTTTCCAAACTTATCTGTCCAGTTGTTTATCTCTCCAGGGCCTTTCTAAGGCAAGTAAATTTAATCTGATAAATTTGTACGATCTCAGGTGTGAATGACTGGTAACACATTGAATAAATAATTCTTAATATATACCGGGCACTATAATAGAAGCTGATGATAATGGCTGAGTGGCTTAAAACCATACTTCTCCTAGGAAAAAAAATAATATTTGAACAGGGACCTTGAATGAGCAGTCCAAAAAGTGCCTATAGTGGAAATTTCTTGTATAAAAGCACAGGGGTGGGCTGGTCGTGGGAAAGTTATGGGGTTGTTGATTTTGAGAGCATTTTGGCTTGAGATTATCACTTTGAGAACTAATTTTAATGTAGTGACACTATTCTTTCCCTGAAAGGTCCAGATCTTGAACCTCCTGCAAAGAACTCCAAAGTCCATCTAGAATAACCCCCAGCCCAATGAAAAAGTCCCCTTGACAGTATCCTTGTTAAGTGGTTGTTCGGTTAATCAGCACCTCCACAGATGGAAAACTCACCACTTCCTCACCTGCGTGGTGAACACTGACTTTCAGCAAATACTCTCCTATGTTCAGCTGAAATCACCTGCCTATAACCTTTATCCCCTGGCCCAAGTTCTGCTCTCTAGAGCAGCATCAAGCAAAGCTCCCCTTTATTACACATGACAACTTTCAAATGTTTAATGTCAGCAGTAATGTAGTCCTCTACCTAACCATTCTCAGTTTCTTCAGTCATTCTTATTAGATACTTTCCAGATTTTGGAGCATCCTACTGGTCTGCTTCTAGTTATAAAGTACTTTGTTTCTCTTAAAGTGTAATGTTCAGAAGTGAACATAGTGCTCTAGAAATGGTCAGATCAGCACAGATTATACTGTGGCTTTTTGTTTTTTAGTCCATTCATTCATTCAGCAATGCTTTGTTGAGGTGATAGTGCTGCAACATCTTGGTTCAGGAGGTACTTTAAACAGTTCTGTATAGTAATATATTTGCAGTAGTTTGTTTTTCATGTGTATAAATCTTGTCAATCTAATTATTTCCTTAATTTATAAATAAGGTAAGACTCAACACTTATTCTGTGCCGGATACTGTGTGTGCTAAATGTTTTGTATACATTATTTAAATTAATACTCACTTTTAGACAGTTACCACTGTTATCTCCCACCTTACAGATAAGGAACCTGAAGCACAGAGAGGTTAAGTAATTTTTTAAGGTCACGCAGCTAGTAAGTGGTGGGAATGGGATTGGAGTCAAGCTTCTGGCACCAGAGTCTACATTCCTGACTACTTCAATGAAGGCAGATTCTTTTGTATGCTCCACAAAATCTATGAGAGTGCCAGCAATAGTAGATATTCAGTGTTTCAGTTCAATAAGTGCTTGCTGTGCATCTACTATTTGTCACGCCCAGAGCACTTGGTAGTAGGGAACACAAATATGCATATATAAATGACATTGCCCTTGCCATCAAGCAACTCCAAGTCCAGAGGGGGAGACAAAAATGTAAATAAGTTAAACATAGTGCAGGGTGATAGATATTCTAATTGATAGTATGGATACAAAGAAGGAAGTATTCAACTTTAAGTGTTAGAGATAAGGGAAGGCATCACAGAGGAAGTAATATCTGAGCTGTGTCTTGAAGGGTTGATAAGAGTTTCCTACATAGCAATGATCTAGGGATGGTCTTTCTAGATTGTAGACACAGCATGTGCTCAGATGTGGGTATATAAAACACAATGGTATTTAAGAACACACTGGCCTTCTATCTGCTCTTTAAACCTGTCAAACATGTGATCACATAGGGGTCCTTACACTTTAGTCCTCTTCCATAAAGCTGCACATTTTCCTTCCTATTGTATAGTTTCAGAACAAATGTCCTCTCTTCAGTGAAGCCTTTCAAGACCACGCTTTCAAGCCCCACACATGTCATTCTACATCTCACTATCCTAGCTTCATTTCCATCTACATTTTTTTCAAGGTAAGTTCTTCAAGAACTTATAATTATTTGAATTGACTACATTTTTATTTGTTCACTATTTTAACATTTGGCTCTCCCAACCCAAATGTAAACTCCATAATAGCCAGAACCTCATCAGTCATGTTCACTATTTTATTCCCAGTACCTGGCACATAGTAAGCTCCCAATAAATATGTATTGAATTATTCCATGAAAGAATGGTGGGGATAGAGATGGGAGAATGCTCTGTTGGCAGAGCCCTGCTTTTGTTTGTGAGATTAACCACATCCCCACGCAGTCATGGGCTCGGGCAAGAAGCCCCTCCTTCACCTCAAGGACTGAGTCTTAATTAGTCTAAGGCTAAGTTATTAGGTTGGTGCAAAAGTGATTGCCTTTTGTGAATCTACAAATCCGAGAAATTCAAAGACCTCCAAGAAGGAAAAACTGAAAGAAATTCCCACTGATACACACTACAATCAAACTGTCAAAAGCCAAAGACAGAGAATCTTGAAATCAGTGAGGGAAGTGACTTGTTACATACAAGTGATGCTCAATAAAATTAACATCCAATTTCTCTTCAGAAACCACACACAGAGATCCAAATTCAGTAGATGATAAGCGCTAAAAGAAATAAAATATCTTCAATCAAGAGTTCTATATCCTGCAAAATGATTCTTCTAAAATGAAGGCAAAAGTAAGACATTCTTAGACAAAAGCTGAGGAAGTTTGTTGTTTACTGACCTGTCCAACAATAGATGCTAAAGGGAGTCCTTGAGATTGGATTGCAATTTGAAGCCATATGAAGAAATAAAGAACGCTGATAAATGTAACTGCATAGCTAAATTTAAAAGCCAGTATTATTGTACTTTTGGTTTGTAAGCCCTATTTTTTTCTACATGATTTAAAAGACAAATGCATGAAACCAAAATTATGAATCTATGTTAGTGGACACATATGATATAAAAAAGTTGTGACAATAACAACATAAAGGAAAAGAGAGCTGCATAGGAACAGAGTTATTTATACTATTTAAGCTATGTTATTAATTCAAGCCAGTTTGCTATATATTTAAGATGTTAATTTTAACCTCCATGGTAGCTACTAAGAAAATAACTAAGAAATAGCTAGAATAGGAAATGAGAAGTGAATTAAAATGATACACTACAAAAAGTCAAACACAAAAGAAGGTATTAATGAAGGAATTGAAGAACAAAAAATATATGACATATAGAAAACAAATGGCAAAATGGCAGAAGCAAGTCCAGTAGTTACAATTCAAAGGATTTGGGTGAGGGCGATGGGACATAATCATGTCACATTTGGATATGTTGGTGTTTGAGGCTTTCTTTGGGGTGGGGGACATCAGGAGGAGATCCAGTCAGCATCTGAAGCTTATCATTGAGAGCTAGTAATATAAAATTGGGAATCATTGCATATTGATCAAAGGTTCTCAACCCTGGCTACATATTAAATACCCTTTTACAAATATCCATGCTTAGGTCACCCCTCCTCTCCACAATGACATTTTAAAATAGCTCCCCAGGTGAACCTAACATGCAGCCAGGATGATGTATCATATTATAAGTGGTAACTGGAGCTGTTAGGAATTGATATGATCACGAGGGAGAATGCAAAGAGATCAGGGGAACTGGAAAAGAAATTTCTACTTAGGATGGTAGTCTAGCACGCTGTCTAGTACAGTAGCCACTAGCCACAAGTGGCTATTTAAATTTAAATAAATTAAAATGAAATAAATTCAATTCCTCAGTTGCATCATCCACATTTTAAGCACTCAATAGCTACATGTGGCTCACGGTTACTGTACTGGAAAGTATAGACATAAAACATTTTCATCATTGTGGAAAGTTTTATTGGATAGTGCCAAATGACCCAAATTTCTCTTCTGACTCTAAAAGGACTATAATACAGGGGACTCTTTCAATTTTAAGGTTAAAAATGCAGTGCCTATGTTAAAATGTCAGTACTTTCATTTGAATAATGTATTTTCATGGCTATAAACACGTGTGATTTTATTTTTGTAAGCTTTTTCCTCTCCTTCTCTCCAATGTCCAGGGGAGGTTTGTATAACCACTGACATCTGGATGAAATCAATATATTTTATTTTCACTGAGGTGAAGACATAAGTAAAAAGTTATATATTTGTTTCCCTTAAGTCATTCAGCTGCATGGGGGATTTTAAATCTGTTGCTCAACACTCATTATCACTTTGTCTGCGTGATATTCTTTGAAGTAGTCAAGGTAAAAGCAGAATGGAAACACACTGAAACAGCAAATAATAAGCAGCGTAATTCGTTAAAAGTCTTGCATTTCATTACTAGTCTTGGATTGTCTTTAATCCCAGATCCCACAGGCCATCAGAAATGAGCCTGTCCCATTTCCGTTGCCCCTTTACTTTGGAATGTAATATGACAATGTTCACACAGGAGCTTATTGGCCAAACTTCCTTAAATGGGACAAAGGGACTACTTTACAAAATTGTTTTATTTTATTATTTAATTAATTAATTATTATTATTATTATTTTTGAGACAGAGTCTCACTCTGTTGCCCAGTGCAGTGGTGCGATCTCGGCTCACTACAACCTCCATCTCCCAGGTTCAAGTGATTCTTCTGCCTCAACCTCCCGAGTAGTTGGGACTACAGGCATGCACTACTATGCCCGGCTAAGTTTTGTATTTTTAGTGCAGACGAGGTTTCACCATATTGGCAAGGCTGGTCTCAAACTCCTGATCTCGTGATCTGTCTGCCTTGGCCTCCCAAAGTGCTGGGATTACAGGCGTCAGCCAACGTGCCCGGCCTACAAAATTGTTTTTAAATGATAACAGTTAGGGAATCTGGATGAAAGGTACATGGGAGTTCTTTTTACTATTTTTGTAATTTTTCTATGTGTCTGAAATTATTTCAAAACAAAAATTGCAAAAAATTACTTAAACCAGCAAATCATGAATACATAAAATAAAACTATATGGCTTAAAATAAATCTTTCCAGTCTTCTTCCCCTATGCATTTTTAAATTAACTCATCCTTAATACACATTTTTCTACCCAGTTTTCTTTACTTAATATTGTGTAGGAATTTTTCATACATAATTATCTGTAATAACACTCTTTGCATATACTGCCCTTCCCACCACCAATTTCTCTTGTGGGGAAGTAGCTCTGACAGGTGAGATTGAGATAGTATGCTTTCTACCATTCTGTGTTAAAATACTCTACTAAAATGGCTACATAATGTTTCATTCGGTCATGTCAGGTATACTACAATGTATTTAACTAGTCTCAAGCTTGGGAATATTTAAGATTTCTTTCATTGATCTATATTATTGTAAATGAAGCTGAGAGAGATATTTCTGTACATAAAGATCTTCACATATATCCAGGTTATTTGCTCAGTATAGCTTCCTAGAAGTCAAATTACTGGACCAAAACCTGGCAGCATTTTTAAAGCTCTCAACACATACTGCTGAACTTCTTCCTAAATTATTTTATTGATTTAACAGCAGTGGCTTTCTAAGGGGAATGAAAACATATCAGAAATCCCAGGAAACAATCAACAGTTGACTGGATTTAAAAAAATGTGGAATAGTATGTAGACATAAAAAGAAAGAAATCATGTCCTTTGCAGCAACATGGAGGGAGCTGGAGGCCATTATCCTAAGTGAACTAACTCAGAAACAGAAAACCAATACCACATGTTCTCATTTCTAATTGGGAACTAAACAGTGGACACACATGAACATAAAGATGGAAATAATAGACACTGGGACTCCAGAAATGGGGATGATAGAAGGGGAATGAGGGTTGAAAAAATATCTATCAGGTAGGGTTCACTATTTGGATAATGGGTACACTAGAAGCCCATTCCCCACCAGTACCCATGTAACAAACAAGCACATGTATCCCCAAATCTAAATAAAATTAAAAAAAGAAATCCCAGGAAACAGAAGTGAACCTCAGTTTCTTCATGTACAATGTATGATTTATGATCCAAAGTCCCTTCCCCTCTCATATAGTCTTAAGATTCTCTGATTCTGTAATAGATGAAAAATATGTCATGAATGAAGTACATTTAAGATGTTCCAATAGATGATACTTCCATCTTGTGGGAAAGAAAGATTGAGGAACCCTTCAAATGATGGCCTGCAGATGTGGTAAAACTACAAGAGAACCAGAATTCGAAGTGGAGCCTGAAGATGTGACTGAATTGCTGCAATCTCATAAAACTTTAACGCATGAAGAGTTGCTTCTTATGGATAAGCAAATAAAGTGGTTTCTTGAGATGGAATATATTCCTGTTGAAGAGGCTGTGAAACATTGTTGAAATGACACTAACAGATTTAGCATATTACATAAACTTAGTTGATAAAACAGTGGCAGGGTTTGAGAAGATTGATTCCAAAACTGAAAGAAGTTTTACTGCAGGTAAAATGTTATCAAACAGCATCTCATGCTACAGAGAAATCTTTTATGAAAGGAAGAGTCAATCGATGTGGCAAACTTAATTGTTGTCTTATTTTAAGAAATTGCCGGGGGTGGAGCCAAGATGGCCGAATAGGAACAGCTCCAGTCTACAGCTCCCAATGTGAGTGATGCAGAAGATGGGTGATTTCTGCATTTCCATCTGAGGTACCGGGTTGATCTCACTAAGGAGTGCCAGACAGTGGGAGCAGAACAGTGGGTGCAGCGTACCATGTGCGAGCCGAAGCAGGGCGAGGCATTGCCTCACTCGGACAGCGCAAGGGGTCAGGGAGTTCCCTTTCCTAGTCAAAGAAAGGGGTGACAGATGGCACCTGGAAAATCGGGTCACTCCCACCCTAATACTGCGCTTTTCAACAGGCTTAAAAAATGGCACACCAGGAGATTATATCCCGCACATGGCTCAGAGGGTCCTACGCCCACAGAGTCTTGCTGATTGCTAGCACAGCCATTTGAGATCAAACTGCAAGGTGGCAGTGAGGCTGGGGGAGGGGCGCCTGCCATTGCCCAGGCTTGATTAGGTAAACAAAGCAGCCGGGAAGCTCGAACTGGGTGGAGCCCACCACAGCTCAAGGAGGCCTTCCTGCCTCTGTAGGCTCCACCTCTGGGGGCAGGGCACAGACAAACAAAAAGACAGCAGTAACCTCTGCAGACTTAAATGTCCCTGTCTGACAGCTTTGAAGAGAGTAGTGGTTCTCCCAGCACGCAGCTGGAGATCTGAGAACGAGCAGACTGCCTCCTCAAGTGGGTCCCTGACACCTGACAAGCCTAACTGGGAGGCACCCCCCAGTAGGGACAGACTGACACCTCACACGGCCGGGTACTCTTCTGAGACAAAACTTCCAGAGGAACAATCAGGCAGCAGCATTTGCGGTTCACCAATATCCGCTGTTCTACAGCCACCGCTGCTGATACCCAGGCAAATAGGGTCTGGAGTGGACCTCTAGCAAACTCCAACAGAGCTGCAGCTGAGGGACCTGTCTGTTAGAAGGAAAACTAACAAACAGAAAGGACATCCACACCAAAAACACATCTATACGTCAACATCATCAAAGACCAAAAGAAGATAAAACCACAAAGATGGGGAAAAAACAGAGGAGAAAAACTGGAAACTCTAAAAACCAGAGCACCTCTCCTCCTCCAAAGGAACGCAGCTCCTCACCAGCAATGGAACAAAGCTGGACGGAGAATGACTTTGACGAGTTGAGAGAGGAAGGCTTCAGACGATCAAACTACTCCGAGCTACAGGAGGAAATTCAAACCAATAGCAAAGAAGTTAAGAACTTTGAAAAAAAATTAGACGAATGGATACCTAGAATAACCAATGCAGAGAAGTCCTTAAAAGAGCTGATGGAGCTGAAAGCCAAGGCTCGAGAACTACGTGAAGAATGCAGAAGCCTCAGGAGCTGATGCGATCAACTGGAAGAAAGGGTATCAGTGATGGAAGACGAAATGAATGAAATGAAGCGAGAAGGGAAGGTTAGAGAAAAAAGAATAGAAAGAAATGAACAAAGCCTCCAAGAAATATGGGACTATGTGAAAAGACCAAATCTACGTCTGATTGGTATACCTGAAAGTAACAGGGAGAATGGAACCAAGTTGGAAAACACTCTTCAGGATATTATCCAGGAGAGTTTCCCCAATCTAGCAAGGCAGGCCAACATTCAGATTCAGGAAATACAGAGAACGCCACAAAGATACTCCTCGAGAAGAGCAACTCCAAGGCACATAATTGTCAGATTCACCAAAGTTGAAATGAAGGAAAAAATGTTAAGGGCAGCGAGAGAGAAAGGTGGGGTTACCCACAAAGGGAAGCTCATCAGACTAACAGCGGATCTCTTGGCAGAAACTCTACAAGCCAGAAGAGAGTGGGGGCCAATATTCAACACCCTTAAAGAAAAGAATTTTCAACCCAGAATTTCATATCCAGCCAAACTAAGCTTCATAAGTGAAGGAGAAATAAAATACTTTACAGACAAGCAAATGCTGAGAGATTTTGTCACCACCAGGCCTGCCCTAAAAGAGCTCCTGAAGGAAGCACTAAACATGGAAAGGAACAACCGGTACCAGCCACTGCAAAAACATGCTAAAATGTAAAGACCATCAAGGCTAGGAAGAAACTGCATCAACTAACGAGCAAAATAACCCGCTAACATCAAAATGACAGGACCAAATTCACACATAACAATATTAACTTTAAATGTAAATGGGCTAAATGCTCCAGTTAAAAGACACAAACTGGCAAATTGGATAAAGAGTCAAGACCCATCAGCGTGCTGTATTCAGGAAACCCATCTCACGTGCAGAGACACACATAGGCTCAAAATAAAGGGATGGAGGAAGGTCTACCAAGCAAATGAAAAACAAAAAAAGGCAGGGGTTGCAATCCTAGTCTCTGATAAAACAGACTTTAAAACAACAAAGATCAAAGAGACAAAGAAGGCCATTACATAATGGTAAAGAGATCAATTCAACAAGAAGAGCTAACTATCCTAAATATATATGCACCCAATACAGGAGCACCCAAATTCATAAAGCAAGTCCTTAGTGACCAACAAAGAGACTTAGACTCCCACACAATAAAAATGGGAGACTTTAACACCCCACTGTCAACATTAGACAGATCAACGAGACAGAAAGTTAAAAAGTATATCAAGGAATTGAACTCAGCTCTGCACCAAGTGGACCTAATAGACATCTACAGAACTCTCCACCCCAAATCAACAGAATATACATTTTTTTCAGCACCACACCACACCTATTCCAAAGTTGACCACATAGTTGGAAGTGAAGCACTCCTCCGCAAATGTAAAAGAATAGAAATTATAACAAACTGTCTCTCAGACTACAGTGCAATCAAACTAGAACTCAGGATTAAGAAACTCATTCAAAACCACTCAACTACATGGAAACTGAACAACCTGCTCCTGAATGACTACTGGGTACATAACGAAATGAAGGCAGAAATAAAGATGTTCTTTGAATCCAACGAGAACAAAGACACAACATACCAGAATCTCTGGGACACATTCAAAGCAGTGTGTAGAGGGAAATTTATAGCACTAAATGCCCACAAGAGAAAGCAGGAAAGATCCAAAATTGACACCCTAACATCACAATTAAAAGAACTAGAAAAGCAAGCAAGAGCAAACACATTCAAAAGCTAGCAGAAGGCAAGAAGTAACTAAAATCAGAGCAGAACTGAAGGAAATAGAGACACAAAAAACCCTTCAAAAAATTAATGAATCCAGGAGCTGGTGTTTTGAAAAGATCAACAAAATTGATAGACTGCTAGCAAGACTAATAAAGAAGAAAAGAGAGAAGAATCAAATAGATGCAATAAAAAATGATAAAGGGGATATCACCACCGATCCCAAAGAAATACAAACTACCATCAGAGAATACTACAAACACCTCTACGCAACTAAACTAGAAAATCTAGAAGAAATGGATAAATTCCTCAACACATACACCCTCCCAAGACTAAACCAGGAAGAAGTTGAACCTCTGAATAGACCAATAACAGGATCTGAAATTGTGGCAATAATCAATAGCTTACCAACCAAAAAGAGTCCAGGACCAGATGGATTCACAGCCGAATTCTACCAGAGATACAAGGAGGAACTGGTACCATTCCTTCTGAAACTATACCAATCAATCGAAAAAGAGGGAATCCTCCCTAACTCATTTGATGAGGCCAGCATCATCCTGATACCAAAGCCGGGCAGAGACACAACCAAAAAAGAGAATTTTAGACCAATATCCTTGATGAACATTGATGCAAAAATCCTCAATAAAATACTGGCAAACCGAATCCAGCAGCACATCAAAAAGCTTATCCACCATGATCAAGTGGGCTTCATCTCTGGGATGCAAGGCTGGTTCAACATATGCAAATCAATAAATGTAATCCAGCATATAAACAGAACCAAAGACAAAAACCACATGATTATCTCAATAGATGCAGAAAAGGCTTTTGACAAAATTCAACAACTCTTCATGCTAAAAACTCTCAATAAATTAGGTATTGATGGGACGTATCTCAAAATAATAAGAGCTATCTGTGACAAACCCGCAGCCAATATCATACTGAATGGGCAAAAACTGGAAGCATTCCCTTTCAAAACTGGCACAAGACAGGGATGCCTCTCTCACCACTCCTATTCAACATAGTGTTGGAAGTTCTGGCTAGGGCAATTAGGCAGGAGAAGGAAATAAAGGGTATTCAATTAGGAAAAGAGGAAGTCAAATTGTCCCTGTTTGCAGATGACATGATTGTATATCTAGAAAACCCCATCATCTCAGCCCAAAATCTCCTTACACTGATAAGCAACTTCAGCAAAGTCTCAGGATACAAAATCAGTGTACAAAAATCACAAGCATTCTTATAAACCAATAACAGACAAACAGAGAGCCAAATCATGAGTGAACTCCCATTCACAATTGCTACAAAGAGAATAAAATACCAAGGAATCCAACTTACAAGGGATGTGAAGGACCTCTTCAAGGAGAACTACAAACCACTGCTCAAGGAAATAAAAGAGGATACAAACAAATGGAAGAACATTCCATGCTCATGGGTAGGAAGAATCAATATCGTGAAAATGGCCATACTGCCCAAGGTAATTTATAGATTCAATGCCATCCCCATCAAGCTACCAATGACTTTCTTCACAGAACTGGAAAAAAACTACTTTAAAGTTCATAGCGACCAAAAAAGAGCCCGCATGGCCAAGTCAATCCTAAGCCAAAAGAACAAAGCATCACACTTCCTGACTTCAAACTATACTACAAGGCTACAGTAATCAAAACAGCATGGTACTGGTACCAAAACAGAGATACAGATCAATGGAACAGAACAGAGCCCTCAGAAATAATGCCACATATCTACAACCATCTGATCTTTGACAAACCTGAGAAAAACAAGCAATGGGGAAAGGATTCCCTATTTAATAAATGGTGCTGGGAAAACTGGCTAGCCATATGTAGAAAGCTGAAACTGGATCCCTTCCTTACACCTTATACAAAAATTAATTCAGGATGTATTAAAGACTTAAATGTTAGCCCTAAAACCATAACAACCCTAGAAGAAAACCTAGGCAATACCATTCAGGACATAGGCATGGGCAAGGACTTCATGTCTAAAACACCAAAAGCAATGGCAACCAAAGCCAAAATTGACAAATGGGATCTAATTAAACTAAAGAGCTTCTGCACAGCAAAAGAAACCACCATCAGAGTGAACAGGCAACCTACAGAATGGGAGAAAATTTTTTCAACCTACTCCTCTGACAAAGGGCTCATATCCAGAATCTACAATAAACTCAAACAAATTTACAAGAAAAAAACAAAAAAACCCCATCAAAAAGTGGGCGAAGGATATGAACAGACACTTCTCAAAAGAAGACATTTATGCAGCCAAAAAACACATGAAAAAATGCTCATCATCACTGGCCATCAGAGAAATGCAAATCAAAACCACAATGAGATACCATCTCACACCAGTTAGAATGGCAATCATTAAAAAGTCAGGAAACAACAGGTGCTGGAAAGCATGTGGAGAAATAGGAACACTTTTACACTGTTGGTGGGACTGTAAACTAGTTCAACCATTGTGGAAGTCGGTGTGGCAATTCCTCAGGGATCTAGAACTAGAAATACCATTTGACCCAGCCATCCCATTACTGGGTATATACCCAAAGGATTATAAATCATGCTGCTATAAAGACACATGCATACGTATGTTTATTGCGGCACTATTCACAATAGCAAAGACTTGGAACCAACCCAAATGTCCAACAACGATAGACTGGATTAAGAAAATGTGGCACATATACCCCATGGAATACTATGCAGCCATAAAAAATGATGAGTTCATGTCCTTTGTAGGGACATGGATGAAACTGGAAACCATCATTCTCAGCAAACTATCGCAAGGACAAAAAACCAAACACTGCATGTTCTGACTCATAGGTGGGAACTGAACAATGAGAACACGTGGACACAGGAAGGGAAACATCACACTCTGGGGACTGTTGTGGGGTGGGGGGAGGGGGGAGGGATAGCATTTGGAGATATACCTAATGCTAAATGATGAGTTAATGGGTGCAACACACCAACATGGCACATGTATACATATGTAACAAACCTGCACATTGCGCACATGTACCCTAAAACTTAAAGTATAATAAAATAAAATAAAATAAAATAAAATAAAATAAAATAAAATAAAATAAAAACAACAAAAAAAATAAATAAATAACAAAACAAAACAAAAAAAATTGCCACAGCCACTTCAACCTTCAGCAACCCCCACCCTTATCAGTCAGCCTGATCAGTCAGCAGTCATCAACATTGTGGCAGGACCCTCCACCAGCAAAAAGATTATGACTTGCTGAAAACTCAGATAATCGTTAACATTTTTTAGCAATACAGTATTTTAAAATTAAGGTTTGTATATTGTTTTTTAACATAATGTTATTGCATACTTAATAGGCTATAGTATAGTGTAAACATAAATTTTATATGCATTGGGAGATGAAAATATTTGACTTGCAACATTCACTTTATTGCAGTGGTCTAGAACTGAACCCTCAATACCTCCGAGGTATGCTTGTATAAACATTTGACCATCCTTCTGTTTCAGGGCAGGACTTTGTTAAATGAGTTCCAAATTTTACCTGCTATTTTTTTCCAATTATAAAAATACATGGAGGATATCAGTGTCTATAGCATTGCTAGCACTAAATGAAATTGTAAAGATCAGTGTTAGCTGAAGTTATTGGGTGGTGGTTAGGAAAGGTATATGGAAGAGGTAGAACTTGAGCTGATTTTTAAAGGCTGGGTAGGATATAGATAGACAGATGTAGGAGCTAGGAGAAAACTTTTATTATATGTGGGGTAGGGGTGGAAGTCAGGGGTGAGAATTGGTACTGTTTTGGATAGGGCAATATTTAGAAAGAGAGGGAAGAATGTAGGAGTAAGTAAGCTGGGCCTACTTGTTGGAGGGTGATGAACATCTGGTTGAGAAGCTGTGACTTGATCTTATAGGCATTGAAGAGACACTCTAGGTTCTTAAAGAAGTGATCAAGAAAGCTGTATGTTATATGGTGACTCCTATGGCTGTGTCAATGGTGAACCAGAGTAGGGGAGAATGGGACTGTGTCATACGTTTATAGATTCTATCTAGAATGGTGGCAGTCTGAATGGAGAAGACGAGAATTTTAGAGTTATTTCAAAGGAAGATAAAACAAGCCTTGTTAGTGAATAAACTCTAGAGAATGAGGCATAGGAGGAACCTTCAAATAATATCCAAGTTTAAGCCCTGGTGACTGGAGGAGTTACAGTGCTGCTATCTGTGTGACTGAGAAAGGCCATTCATTAAGGCTGATGACTAGGGCCCTGATATTTCCAGGAGAATCTGAGTTCCTGTCAAATAGATTCTATTTCTTCATGACTTCTATTATTCTTCAAAGATGCTTAATTTGCTTTTTTGGTTTTCATTTGGCAGTAACTTTTAACGTTTTAACTTTGTTTCTCGGCCCCAGAGAGTTCTGCCAAATAATGATCTTAAATGCTTAAATGCACTCAAGAAGTTCTGCTGAGTACTCCCTTATACTGCAATCACCTTCAGTGCGATTATCTTATAAATTTCTCATTTTGCATATCGGGTGCTCTAAAACCAGGTCAAGCTTATTGTTACTCAGAGAGTTTTACTTTTGTACAAGGTCATGTTTCCTGCAAAGTGGTTAATTCTGCACATTCCTGCCTGCCCCCACATAAAACATTAAGACTTAAAATGTTACAATAGAACAGCTTCAAAATGAAAGAGAAAAACTTATCAGGGAACATTTCTGAAAGCAATGGTATGTACCTCTATTTGTAAATTGGTGCAGTTTAAAAATAGTGTCCTGGGAATTAGGAGACGTGGATTGTAGTCCCAGCTCTGCCACTAACTTGAAGCGTGAACTCAGGCAAGTCACATTACCGTTTTTTTTTTTTTTGACAGAGCCTTGCTCTGTCGCCCAGGCTGGAGTGCAGTGGCGCGATCTCGGCTCACTGCAAGCTCCGCCTCCTGGGTTCACACCATTCTCCTGCCTCAGCCTCCCCAGCTCCCGATTAGCTGGGACTACAGGCGCCCACCACCACGCCTGGCTAATTTTTTTGTATTTTTAGTAGAGACGGGGTTTCACCGTGTTAGCCAGGATGGTCTCGATCTCCTGACCTCGTGATCCGCCCGCCTCGGCCTCCCAAAGTGCTGGGATTACAGGCGTGAGTCACCGCGCCCGGCCACATTACCGCTTCTTTATGTCTTCATTTCCTTTTCTGAAAAATGAGGGCGATAGACAAGGTGATTGTTATCGATGTCAGCCCTAACATCAATTATTTATTAACACGATAAAAGTTTGCAAAGTATTACCAACAATTATGGTACTTAGAGACTATTGGGTTAGATACAGCACCAAAGGAGGGCACATTTATCAGTTAGCTATTTGTTTATACTATGAAGACAGGCAAACAGGATGATTCAGACTAAAAGAAATGAAGTTTGAGATTCAGTTATCAGTTTAGGCTGTTTTATAGATGAAATAAACTAGATAATCCAGATAGAATCTCAATTCCTTTTGACACTGGGGCGGGGGCAATCCAAGTTTGGATTGTAAACCTGTACTCAGAAGGTAGTACATCTCAACTCAGAGATGGAGTTGCTCTGATATCTTGAGGTCTGTGACTGTAGCCTCTTGAGTGCTGTTTCCCAGAAATAACAGTCATACTGCTCAAAGGCATCTTAATGAATCCTGATCATTGTGATTTCCATCTTAAGGGAAACCAGCCCAAGATCTTTCCTCTAATAGAAACTCTGAGGAGTATGTTGTTATAAGAGGTTTTCTTCCCTTGTGTCCCTTCCAAAAATTAAGACTATTCCCAGGGTCTCTCTATTGCCTGTTAATGATTGCTTATGATTCTATCATTCATAACTTAACCTCAGTACTTCAGAAATCTGGAGGAAAGATCACCTGGAAGTCAGGATGCTCTCTATGGGCCCTATAAAATATTGCTGTAAGTTTAATTTAATTTCTTTAAGCATTTAATCTAGTTCTTCGATATGTGCTGAGCCCCCATGTAAATAAAGGAGCACACTAACACATATAATAGCTCTGCTCAACACGTTTTTCATCTCCTGACTCAATTCAATCCTCCTTCTCTCATGCTATCTATTCTCCCAGATACCCATCGCATCTACCTTCCTCTATGGATTAAATACTGATATGAAATGCGTCCTTCTTGGCTGCAAACTTTGGCTGCCTTTCAGTGTTCTGCCTCTCCCACTGCCTCAGGTTACAATTACCCTGTCTTGCATCTCTTGCCCTTCTGCCACCATGTTCCTTTTAAGCTCCAGAGATGATTCTTTCCTTGGGCCCTTTACCAAGTTGGACCGTGCTTACAATCCTTTTTAGTGACAGAGACCTTCCCCACTTTAGATTTCTTCTTGCCTTAGAAAAATTCAGAAATCTGAAGACGGTATTCATATTCCAACAGCTGTGTAGATGGGGACAAGTCAATTCTGCTCATTTCCTTCTAGAGTTTTGCAGGCTAAATTACTATTAATAGACTCCACGCATAGTAGGCATTGAGAGGTTGCCTAGGGTTTGGGGTTAGGAAGTAGGAAGAAAACTTTACTACGTGAGTATGAGGCACAAGAGAGAGCGATACAAAATTTTTACAGGGGCAAAGGTCAGCATTGTTCTGCCCCTGGGAACTCAGTGTAGCTGACTGGGAATTTGCACTGCGTGCTTGGTGCGTGGGTCTAACAGCTTTGTACAGGAATTGCTGATTGTGGTTAGAGGAGCTTGGTCTGGCTTGTGGCACCCTCCTTCTTCAAAGGTTGTATACATTCTACATATTTATGAATGGGCTGCCAAATATCACCCATTTCTAATTTAATTTTTAAATCTTGAGAAAAAATATTATCTTGAACTCATCAAAAGTGACAATTTCCTCACAAACCCCCTTGTCTTTAGAAAATTATTCTTCCTCATTTTTCTCTTGTTTCTCATTATGGGCTTCCTTTTCTTACATAAACTGCTGAACATTTCTAGCTTTTTAATATTTTGGCATGGCTACTGTTGTAAAGATATTTTAAACTTTTGAGGTTTATAGATGGACTTCTTATCTTTTTCTTCTTTCAATTTTTCCTCCAACATTAGAATGTTCTCCTGGAGATGAGCAAGACAAAATGGTTAGCAGCTCATGTGACCTTCACTGCTAGTGGGTAGTCAGGCCAAGATAGGAGGAGGCACCAGCTATTTTCTTAGTATGTAAAAACTCAGTCCTATATATGGATATATTGGGACTGACTTTCTGAAAGTCAATTAAAAAGACACTTTTAAATTGGAGTATTGCTACTTTCCCTTTTTAATTTCCCTCCTACATCTATTTCCACTGCCTCTGCCAAGCACAGAGCCTAGGAGCTAATGACACAAGGCCTTGTTCTTACTTAGCTATGTACCATCCATAAAGGTATTAGCCGATTAAAAGGCTTAAAGTATTACTGCTCACAGGAAATACCTTGCCATTTTAATAGAGGATTCTTAGAAATTGAAAAGACTTCAAGATCTTTAGTAATGAATTTTTAATGGTGGAATTCTGAGAATAATATTTTTCCTCTGGAGAGAAAAAAGTGGTGAAACGCTTGCTTTTTATATTTGTTAGGGTAGCTTAATGCCCTTGGTGAGCAGGGAGCATGCACACATATCCCTAGGTGGATGAATTCTTCTCCTTGCATACTGGCTTATAGTGATGTTTCCACAGTGATTCTAATCTCTAGAGACAGAAGCAGTAGTGTACTACAGATGGCTCATACTATCTCACAAGAACAGATTGTTAAATTTTCAGAAACTTTGTAAGCTGTTTTTAAATAGTTATTAAAAATTAAATTATTTCAACTTACAATTAAACAAATTACATTAGAAACAAAGTAATAATGAAAACAAAGTAATTTCCTATTTATTTTACTTCATTTACAGGAGAATCTATGCTCCTGAGGTTATTTATATCTATTGTATTACATATGTTGTAGAAATATTACATATGTTGTTAACTTGAAATTGGCCATAGCGGGAGTATATATACAATATAAGTTGGCAAATGCTATAAATCAGTGCTAGATTTACTGTTCTGTCGACAGTTTAGAATTAAAGAAGTGATGAGGAAAATATTAATAATGCATATTAAACTTAAAAGTGTGTCATGGAGGGGATTTATACTTCTGGCTAAAATAGAGTAACAGGGACTAAATTTAATCTCCTACTTGAAACAACCAAAAAATAAAATAAAACATATTATATGGTGATTTTCAGGACACAGGGCACTAGCCAATGAAAAGCAGTGGTCTCTGAGTGATGGGAAACAAGGTAGAAGGGTTCTATAATTTTCTAAGCTTGCTACCTTGAGAGAGTTTCCAGGTCATGGTTCAGGGAGAGGGAACTGAAGCAGAGCCTGGTGGACTTCTGGTGAAGGTAGCTAGAGATCACAGGAGAGGGTAATGGATAAGAGATAGTTGTACAGAGAAAGTACCCCAAATATCTGCACAGGGTCTTCCATAGGTATTAAGGAGAACATTAATCTGTTCCCCCATAAAAGCAATGAGAACACTAGGAAAAAAAAAATGACTTTTCAGAACTCTGGAAATTAACCAAACACTTGCAACAATCTAAGAAGCATTTATTCAAGAAAAACAGTTAAATCTTTATTGGAACAGATAGCACTGTGGCATTTTTACTTGCTGTAGTCTGATAATCCACTCTCCTGCTTGATGGTAGCTTTGAAAACGTGCAACTTCAGAAATACAGCAACTGGAAAATTCAGCAGGCTAGTAACCACTGGAGAAGACAGAATGGGTTTGGAGCTCCCCAAAGACCCATCACCAGAGAGCTGTGACTATATGAGCTGTCTGGAAAATCCCGGGAAAAGCTTGTCTTTATTTTGACCTTACTCCAGGGCTTTGTCAGTGAGGAAAACCCTATCCGTAGACTGTCTGTACCCACAAAAATTGTTTTTAAAATAATTTACAAAATCCATGGCAATTGTTTAACACTATAGTTCCCTGAGGAAATAATACTAGTTGGAGCAAAATAGAGGATGACAAAAAACTTAAAAGGAAAATATCGGGAATGAGATGTTTACAGGGAGCTTTAAAGAGCTCTGAAATTTTCCTGGGATTCTGAAGGGTGGGGGACAAATGTATGGCTGTGTCTATGCCCAGAAAGCACCTGAGAAGGCCCTAATCACTCATGTAAGAGTGACCTTGATGCTCTGCACAAACAAGAAATGAAGATTAAGGCAGAATTATTAACTGCTTGCCAGGGAATTGAGGGTTGCTCCACGTCAGCAAAAGGTGGGAGAATTATTAGTTCAAGGCATTTAAATAAATCTCTGTCCAATCACTGGCGACTAAGATAATTGAGCAGAGACTTGAGTGACTGTATACAATAAAGAACACAAACTTTTTAAAATTAGTCCGGGAAATTCACTAAATAGAAAAAAAAAAAACAGCAGCAACAACAAAATAACAAACAGCAATAGCAATAAACCCTGGAAGGAGGACTAATATGATTTCCATAGGTGCCATATTATATAATTATTATTATATATTATTACTTTAAGTTCTAGGGTACATGTGCACAACGTGCAGGTCTGTTACACAGGTATACATGTGCCATGTTGGTTTGCTGCACCCATCAACTCGTCATTTACATTAAGTATTTCTCCTAATGCTATCCCTCCCCCAGCCCCACACCCCCCGACAGACTAAAAAGATCATGTTACAGCCGGGCGTGGGGGCTCACGCCTGTAATCCCAGCATTTTGGGAAGCTGAGGAGGGCGGATCACGAGGTCAGGAGATCGGGACCATCCTGGCTAACACTGTGAAACCCCATCTCCACTAAAAATACAAAAAAGAAAAAAATTAGCCGGGCGTGGCGGCGTGCGCCTGTAGTCCCAGCTACTCAGGAGGCTGAGGCAGGAGAATGGAGCAAAGCGGAGAGGCGGAGCTTGCAGTGAGCCGAGATTGCACCACTGCACTCCAGCCTGGGCGACAGAGCAAGACTCCGTCTCCAAAAGAAAAACAAAACAACAACAACAACAAAAAACAACAAAAAAATCATGTTACATGATGAAGTAGAATTTATCCCTAAGAAAGGAGAATACAACATATACATATGAAAATTAATCAATGTCGTATACTATATTAACAGAATAAAAAAGCTGCATGATCATCTCAATAGATACAGAAAAATTTTTTTATGAAATTCACCATCTATTCATGATAAAACTCAACAAAATGAATATGGAGGCTGGGCATGATGACTCACACCTATAGCCCCTGCACTTTGGGAGGCTGAGGTGGGAAGATTGCTTGAGCCCAGGAGTTCGAGCCTAGCTTGGGCAATGTGGCAAAACCTTGTCTCTGTAAAAAATAGAAAAATTACCCAGGTGTGGTGGTGTGCACTTGTAATTTCAGCTACTTGGAAGGCTAACATGGGAGAATCACTTCAGCCTAAGAGATCGAGGCTGCAGTGAGCCATGTTTGTGCCACTGAACTCCAGCCTGGAGTGCCACTCTCACTGACAGAGTGAGACCCTGTCTCTGAATAAATAAATAATAAAATAAGTAAATAAATATAGAAAAAGCTTACCTTAACACAATAAAGACCGTATGTGAAAAACTCGAGGCTAACGTCATAATCAATGGGGAAAAACTGAAAACTTTTTCTATATGATCCAGAAGAAGGTAAGGATTCTCATGCTCACCACTGCTATTTAACGTAGTACTGAAAGTTCTACCCAGAGCAATTAGGCAAGAAAAAGAAATAAAAGGCATGAAAATTGGAAAGGAAGAAGTAAAATTATTTGTTTGCAGATAATATGATCATGTATGTAGAAAACCCTACAGAATTCACACACAAAAAACTGTTAGCACTAATAAATAAGTCAGTAAAGTTGTAGAAAAATACATCATCATACAAAAATCAGTGGCATTTCTATACACCAACAATGACCTATCCAGAAGAAAAATTAAAAAAAAAAATCCCATTTACATTAGAGACAAGAACAAGCAAAAAGAAAATACTTAGGAATTAACTTAACCAAAGAGTTGTAAGACGTATGCACTGAAAATCATAAAATATTGATGAAGAAATCTAGAAAAGACACAAATAAATGAGATGAGATCCCAAGTTTATGGACTAGAATAATTAATATTTTCAAAATGTCCATACTACCCAAAGTGATCTACAGATTCAATGCAATTCCTATCAAAATCCCAAATGGCCTTTAAAAAATAGAAAAAAAAATCCTAATATTTGTATGGAACTACAAAAGACCTGAAACAGCCAAAGCAGTCTTGTGCAAAAGGATAAGCTGGAGGCATCATATTTCCTGACTCTAAGTTATATTATAGTAATTAAAACATTACGGTACCAGCATAAAAGTAGACATACCGATCAATAGAATAGAACAGATAACCAAAAAATAAACGCACACATTTATGGTCAACTGATCTTCGGAGTGTCAAAAACGCAAAATGGAAAAAGGATAGACTCTTCAACAAATGGTATTGGGAAAACTGGATATCCAAATGCAAAAATTGAAATTAAATTCATATCTTACACTGTACACAAAACTTAAATAAAGATTTAAACATAAGACGTGAAACTACAAAACTGCTAGAAGAAAACATAGGGAAAAACCTTCTTAACATTGATCTTGTCTATAATTTTTAGGATGTAACTCCGAAAGCACAGACAACAAAAGCAAAAATAGACAAGAGTTATTACACCAACTAAAAAGCTTCTGCCTGGCAAAGGAAAAAATCAAGAAAACAAAAAGGCAACTCACAGAATGGGAAAAAGTATTGGCAAACTATGTATCAAATAAGTGGTTAGTATCCAACATATATAAGAAACTCATAACAACTCAATACCAAAAATACAAATAACCCAATTAAAAAATGGGCAAAGAACCTAAATAGACGCTTCTCAAAAGAAGAAACGCAGATGGCCAACAGGCATATGCAAAGGTGTTAAACATCTCTAATCATCAGAGAAATGCAAATGAAAACCCCAGTAAGATACCACCTCACACCTGTTAAGATGGCTATTACAAAAAAAAACAAAATATAAGTGTTGGTGAGGATGTAGAGAAAGGGGAATTTTTGTACACTCTTGTGGGAATGTAAATTAGTGCAGCCATTATGGAAAACATTATGAAAGTTCCTCAGAAAATTAAAAATAGAACTACCATAAGATCCACCAATCCCACTTTTGTGTATGTAGCCAAAGGAATTGAAAATAGCATCACAAAGAGTTAATATTCACTCCTATGTTCATTGCAGCATTATTCACAATAGCCAAAATATGGAAATAACTTTAATGTGTGTGTGTATAATTAAATATTATTTAGTCTTAAAGAAGAAGAAAATCTTGCCACTTGTGACAACATGGATGGAACTGATGAACATCATTCTAGGTGAAATAAGCAAGACACAGAAATTGAAATACTACATGATCTCATTTAATATGTGGAATCTGAGATAGTCAAATTCAAGGAAGAAGAGAGTTGGATAGTTGGAGGAGGGAAGAATTGGGTAATGTTGGTCAAAGGGTACAACATTTCATCTTTGTAAACCAGTTTAGCAATTTCTTTTAAAAGTAAGCATACACGTACCGTATGAGCCAGTCTAAAAGTACCTAAGTAGTTATCCCAGAAAAGTTAATGTATATGTCCATACAAAAAAATTGTTGGTGAATTTTCATAGTGGCTTTATTTTTAATAGCCCCAATTTCAGTCTTACAAGATGAATAAGTTCTGGAGTTATAATATACAACATGGTGACAATAGTAAAAAATGCTATATTATATACTTGAAGTTTGCTATGAGGCTGGATCTTAAATTATATCTCAACAGACATACACAAATGGTAACTATGTAAAGGTTACCATTAATTAGTTAATTAGCTGGTAATAATTTCACAATGTATATTTATAACAAAACATCAAGTCATACGTTTTAAGTATATATAATTTTTATATGTCAATTATATCTTAATAAAGTTGTTTAAAAAAGACCCGCAGCTAACATCATACTTCATTATGGAAGAATGAATACTTTCCACCTAAGATCAGAAACAAAGCAAAGATATCCACTCTTGCAACTTTTATTTAGTATTATACTGGATGTTTTGGCTAGTGCTAGAAGGAAATAATAAGAAATGAAAGATGTACACATTGGACTTTTGATAAAGGTATAGCAATCAAGAAATGTGGTAGTAGCATCAAGAGAGACAAATAGATTAATGGAAAAAAAGAGTCCAGTAGTATGCCTACACATATATACAAAACTGATGTCTGAAAAAGGTAAAGGCAATTCGTGGATAAAGAAGGGTCTTTTTCAACAAAAGGTGCTGGAACAATTGGATTTCCATGTGAAAATAAGGACCTTTGAGCCATACTTTACACCATATGCAAAACTTAATTCAAAATGGATCACAGACCTATGTGTAAGGCCTAAAATCATAAATGACTAGAATAAGATATAATGAAAAATCTTTGTGACCACGAGCTAAGCAATGATTTCTTCGATATAACATCAAAAGTATAATCTATAATAGATGAAAGGAAAGATTAATCACACTCCATCAAAATTAAAATTATCTGTTGTTCTAAAGACACTATTGAGAAAATGAAAACATGAGTTACAGACTGGGAAAATATATGCAAATCATAATCTGATAAAGGACTCATTCAGAACATATAAAGACTCTTAAAACACCCCAAAATTGAAACAAATAATCTGGTTTTTAAGTTGGGCAAAATATTTGAAAAGATACTTCACCAAAAAGGATATATAAATGGAAAACAGGCATATGAGAAGTTGCTCAGCATCACTAGTTTTTAGGTAAATACAAATTAAATCCACAATGTGACACCATTATGCATCTATTAAGTTAAACCTAAAATTAAAATGACTGACCATACCAAGCGTGGGTGAGAATGTGAAGGAGCTAGAACTCTCATATACTGCTAGAGGGAATGAAAAAATGGTACATCTTTGTAAACCAGCTTAGCAATTTCTTTTAAAAGTAAGCATACATGTACCGTATGATCCAGTCTAAAAATAACTAAGTAGTTATCCCAGAAAAGTTAATGTATATGTCCATACAAAAAAATTGTACGTGAATTTTCATAGTGGCTTTATTTTTAATAGCCCCAAACTGGAAACAATCCAGTTGTTCTTCAACAGGTAAATGGATAAGTAAATTGAGGTGTATTCATATAATGGAATACTATTCAGCAGTAAAATGGAATAAATTGTCAATGCATGCTACAATATTGATAAATTTCAAAATAAGTATGGTGAGTGAATGAAGCAAGAGAAAAAGAGTATACACATTATTATTCCATTTATACAATATTCTTGAAAATTAAAATGAATCTATAGTGAGAAAAAGATCAATGGTTGCCTGTGGATGATGGGGATGCAGAGGCATTACAAAAGGGACAGGAGGAAACTTTTGAGTGTGATAGATATGTTCATTTGTGGTGATTTCAGGAGTTTAATGGGATATATGTCAAAACCCACCAAATTTTACACTTTATGTGCAGTTTCTTATATGTTCTATACCTTATTAAAATTGTAAATTGCACAAAAATTGAGGAAATATTCTTTTAGTATTTGAATTCAGATTAATCAATGAATTCATTCATGTCATTGATGGATGAATAAAATTTCAACATACATCATTGTTTTTTCATTTTAGTTTCACTCATTAACTTAAATAAAAATATCAACCAATGTTCATATCAAAACTTGACTCCTTCATCAATTACAAACATAGCCCAGCTAAGGATACAAGCTTCAGCAAAAGTCATTGAAAGCATTTTGTGAGATTCAATAGGCTATATGGAATTTACAATAGAGTATTGTATATTTCATTATTATTTCTAAATTGTGTGCTACACATCATTTATATCAATAAAATCTGCAATATATCTATGTATTAGTCAGAGATACACATCCCATTAGCCTGAAGACTGTGACTAATATATATATATATTATATATATGTATATATATATATACACACACACACACACACACATCCTGTTGGTCTGGAGAACTCTAATACATAAATTTATATGTATATGTATATACAGAGAAGACTATCTATGTGTATGTATGTATATATCCGTATATGTATATATGAGAGAGATTTATTATAAATAATTGGCTCATGGAATTATGGAAGCTGAGAAATCCCAAGATCTGCAGTCAGCAAGCTGGAGACCCAGGAGAGCTGATGGTGTAGTTCTAGTCTGATTCCAAAAGCCTGAGAACCAAGAGAGCTGATGATGCATGTTCCAGTTCAAAAACCAGCAGGCTTGAGACCCCTAAAAAGCTGATGTTTCAGTTCAAGTTCAAAGGCAAAAAAAAGACTGATGTCCCAGCTCAAGTGGTCAGGCAGGAGGAGTCCCCACTTGCTCATAAGAGAGTCAGCATTTTTATTCTAGTTAGGCCTTCAACTGATTGGATTGAGGTCCACACACATAACAGGGGCAATCTGCTTTACTCAGTTTACCAATTCAAAGGTCAAGCTCATCCAAAAATACCTGCACAGACACACCCAGAATAACATCTGACTAAATATCTTGGCGCCCTATGGCCCAGTTAAGTTGAGACATAAAATTAAGCATCACATGTCCACCATTTGTCAATTTGGCACCTAAACACATCTCATTAAACCACACTTCATCCCCAAATAAAAACAATAACAAGGTCATAATTCAGCCTAACATGATGCAACTGTCCTGTGTACAACTGAAAATTCACTAACCCCTTTTCTAGAAGAGGAGGTAAAATCCTTGAGTGATGTTTACTCTTTGCCTTGATGTCTCACAACTTAATTACCACGATGTAAAGTTAATACATTTTATATTTCATGATAAAGGAATAAAAAAGGAAATAATACAAAGATGGTTGCTTAATATATATAAACACAAACTTATTAGATATGGTTTGGCTCTGTGTGCCAGCCCAAATCTCATGCCGAATTGTAATCCCCACATGTCAGGGGAGGGACCAGGTGGGAGGTGATTGGTTCATGGGGGCAAATTTCTCCCATGATGTTCTCATGATAGTAAGTGAGTTATCACAAGATCTGATGGTTTTAAAGTGTGGTACTTCCCCCCTCGCTCTTGCTCTCTCTTTCCTGCTTCACCATGGTAAGACATGCTTGCTTCCTCTTCACCTTCTGCCATGATTGTAAGTTTCCTGAGGCCTTTCAGCCATGCTTCTGTACAGCCTGCGGAACTGTGAGTCAATTAAACCTCTTTTAGTCATAAATTACCCAGTCTCAGGTAGTCCTTTATGGCAGTGTGAGAATGGAATAATATAATATTCGTTATAAAATAAGGAAGAAATACGCATGATAATTATAGTTCTAATTTCTGTAACTGGCCATGTGGTCACAGTTAGCATTTATAACTACCTTCTTCCACTACTCATTCTGTGTTCCCTTTGCCTTCACAAGCATCTCAGCTGGTCACGGTTGTTTATCTGGTGGGATAACTGAAACCTTTATTCCTGAAGGTTCTGGGCCATTAAGCATCCTGCCTGGATTGGGTTATAGTTTTTCACTGACCTTAATCACAGGGCATGGTAATATTAAGAGATCCTCTAAGGAATCTCCTGTGTTTCAGACATATTCTTCCTTACCTTCATTATGGAGTAGTAGTTCAATTTTCCATTGGTATTCAGGCTCAATCACACCAGCCAACACCATGAGTCCCTTCTTTGCCTGCTGATTAAGATGCTTGAGGGGACCAAAGTGGCTGGGCAACAGTCTTAATTTCCAAGTCAATGGAGTTGTTGTTATGTCTTCTGGTAGAAGCATTCCTGCCTTTGGAACTAAGGCCTCTAGGTCAGCAAGGCATAAGGTCATGGGAGCAGGAAACAAAAATCTTGCTAGTGGGTTACTAGGGGTAATAATGAGCGATTCCACTCTCATTTGTACCCCTAGATTTTTGGAACTGTGAATCTTGGCTATGGGAGCACAGCATCATATATTGGATGCTGATTCAGAGCATATAGACCCTTCTGGAGGAACCTGCCCTAACCTTAAAAGTATTGTTACCAAGTTGATTCTGTAACTGAGTCTTGAAAAGGCCATTCCACTGTTCTTTCAAGCCAGCTGCTTTAGGATAGTGAAGAATATGGTAAGACCAGTGAATTCCATGACCATGGACTCACTGCTATACCTCTTTTGCTGTGAAGTGAGTTCCTTGATCAAAAATAATGCTGTGTGGAATAATATGATGGTGGATAAAGCATTCTGTAAGTCCATGAATGATAGTTTTTGCAGGAGGTATTGGTCCCTGCTGCTATCAGATTGGGCACTCAGCAGTGACTGTAGCCAGGTACGCCTTGGTGAGTGGGAGTCCATGTTGCTGAGCCCATCGATTACCTCCATCACAGCCATCATGACCACTTTCTTCATAAACCCATTGGTGATGATGGAAGTGGCTGAGTAAAGAGCCTGACTGCTATCTACAGAACAGATCATACTGTCCACTTGATTATTAAAATCTTCCTCTGTTGAGGTAACCCTTTGGTGAGCATTTACATGGGGAACAAAATCTTCACTTTTTTGCCCATTCAGAGAGGTCTATCCATATATTTCTTTCCCAAATTTCCCTGTCATAAATTTTCTAATCATGTTCCTTTCAAGTCCCTGACCATCCAGCCAAACCATTGGCTATAGCTCATGAATTAGTATATAATCTCATGTCCAGCCATTTCTCCTTTCAAGCTAGTGAACAACTAGGTACACTACTCAACATTCTGCCCACTGAGAGGATTTTCCTTCACCACTCTCCTTAAGGGACATCCTAAAATGAACTGTAATGTGGCAGCTGTTTACTCTTGGGTGGTGCCTGTATATTGTGTCAAACTGTCTGTAAACCAGGCCTGAGTCTTCCCTTCTTGTGTCAACTGATAATAGAGAACTCCTCATAAGGCCATAGGTACAGGCTGGGAGACAGAAGACGGCGTAGCAGGAGAGGGAACCATGGATATTTGGGCCACTTCTTCATTTAACTTACATTTGTCCTCAGAACCTGCTCAGGCCTTATCACGTATATATCACTTTTATTTGATGATGAAGTGACCCCCAACTTTATAGCTTGGTGTGTCAGAAAACACCAAGTTCATGATGTGCAGCTCAGGTTGCATGGTAACTTTCTGTCCCATGTTCAAGCATTCAGTCTCTACTAAGGCCCAGTAGCGGGCTAAGAGCTGTTTCTCAAAAGGGGATTAGTTAACCACAGAGGATGGCAAAATCCTAAGGGCCTGCGCTGTGATTCACTTCTAGGGGACTGCCAAAGGCACCAAACAACCTCCGTATCTGCTACTGACACTTGAAGCATCATTGGTTCGGCTGGGTGATGTAGCTCAAGCGACAGAGAAGCTTGCACAGCAGCCTGGATCTTATTCTGGGCCCCACTCAAAACTAGCAGGTTTACAGGTCACTTGGTAAATAAGATGGAGTAACACACTCAAATGAGAACTATGTTGTCTTCAAAATCTAAAGAGGTCCACTCAGCATTGTGCTTCTTTCATTGTAGGAAAGGCCAAATGTAGCAACTTATCCTTCACCTTGGAAAGGATATCTTGAAAGGCTTCACACCACTGGACTCCAAGAAATTTTACTGAGGTGGAAGGTCCTTGAACTTCTGTCAGATTTATTACCCACTCTCTGGCACACAAATGTCTTACCAATAAGCCTAGAATAGTTGCTACTTTTTGTTCACTGGGTCCAAGCAGCAGAATATCATCAATGTAATGAATTAGTGTGATAGCTCGTGGAAGGGAAAAGTGATCAAAATCCCTCTGAACTATATTATGACATAGGGGTGAACAGTTGATATACTCTGAAGTTGGACCAAGAAGTTGTATTGCTGGCCTTGCCAGATAAAAGCGAACTGCTTCTGGTGGGCCTTATGTACAGGGATGGAGAAAAAGACATATGCCAGACTAATACATTTATACTATGTATATATCAAGGGATGTGTTAATTTGCTTAAACAATGACACTATATCTAGTACAGCAGCTGCAAGAGGTTTACAGTAATACACTGTCATATGAAGATCCATCTGTCTTCTGCATAGGCCAAATGGGCAAGCTGAAAGAGGATATGGTGGGAATCACCATCACCATTTTTCAAGTGCTTAATGGTGGCACTAATCTCTGCAATCTTGCCAGGAATGTGCTATTACTTTTGGTTTACTATTTTCTGAAGTAGAGGCAATTCTAGTGGTATTCACTTGGCCTTTTCCACCGTAATGGCTCACACTCTATAGGTCTGGAAGCCACTGTGATAATTCTGCCAGCTGTTGAGTATATCTATTCCAATTATGCATTCTGGAGCTGGAAAAATAAACACAAGATGGGTTTGAAGACACACTAGACCAACTGTGAGACAGATCTGAGCTAAAACTTCTTTGATCACCTGACCTCCATAACCCCCTACTGTGACTAGTGGACCACATTGATATTTTGGAATTATTTTCACTTCAGAGCCAGTGTCTTGTAGTCCCTCAAATATCTGATTATTTTCTTTCCCCCAAATGCACAATTACCTTGGTAAAAGGTCATAGGCCCCATTGGGGAAGGCTGGGATAAAGATTAACAGAATAAATTTTTTCAGTGTATCAGGGTCCTTCCTCTAGGAGACCTGGTTTCCCCTTCATTCAAGGGGTTCTGGGTAGGTAAACTGGCTAAAGTCAGAAAATTGATTGACTATCTGTTTTTATGATTCAGGTTAGACTTTGGCTCACTTTACCTAGAAATTTTCTGCTCATCCAGATTAAGTAAGAATTTAGTAGGCTTCCTAACTACTTCACTTTTAGGGACTCCGTGATTAAGTAGTTAATACCATAGGTCTGCACAAGTCAGATCATTCTGATGCTGCTTTGACTCTGTTGTCCCTTATGGTAACCATGCCCACCTTGTCTTTGGCAGTTGAGTGCTGCACTTGGCCCCTGCCACACCAGAATCTAGGTACTCCCATAGCATTTAGGTTTCCCAATTCAGTCACTGCAGTTTTCACTGTAAGGTCTGGCCTACAGAGAAGAGCAACCACAGAATTCTTCAAGAATGCTGAGACTCCCCTCACAAATTTATGTGAATGATATGTCTTCTGGACCTTTCAAGGATAAATGAGAAGACCTTAAATGACAAATCCACTGAAACATCCCAATCTCTAAACTTTTGAATCTTTCCTCTACATTAAACTCTACATCAAACTAAGGTAGGTCTGGCATTTTCAATTTGCCACTGGAGGCCTTTTGGTCCTTCTTTCAGCTATTCACCCAAACAATTACAGTATTTTCTAACTCCATAAGCTGCAACATTAAATGCAGAATCTCTAGTTAGTGAGCCCATATCGACAAATTTGGCCTGATTCAACTTTATGTTCCAGGTACCATTATCCCAAATTCTTAATATCCATTCCCACATATGTTCCCTGGATTTCTGTCTGTTGACAGAAAACTCAAATAGTTCTTCTGGAGTATAGTATACCTCCTCATGGTTTGTACCTCACTTTTAGGGGCCTGCTGGGGCTTGAATCTACTTATCAGTGTAGAAGCAAAAAGGAGTGGTGGGAGTAAGTTCTGAGAAGACTCAGCATTGTCCTGCACAGCAACTGCCTCAGGGGAGGCCGTTACACTTTTCCCAGGCAATGCAGGGTTAATCCTCTCAGACAAGGGTAGAGAAGTCGCTACCACTGGGGGTACAGAGGCCTACTTAACTGGCAAAGAAGTGTCATAATTTAGGAGCTCTATGTCCCTAGCTTCGTTATGGGCTTCCCACATATCCCCACTCCAAAATTCAGGACCTCATCTCTTCCCAATAAATGCCTTCACTTTATCAGTAGACAATCTACAAAGCTGGAAGTTTAACTTTCATTGTAATTCAGCCAGTTTCAGGTTGAAACTCTGGATTTGATTTTCAGCAATCTCAGTCCTATGGATACAGGAGATAAAGGTCTCCTTCAGGGCACATATAGAAGCTTTCAGATCATTTATGTGGCACTTGACCTGGGAATTTGAATCCCTGAGCTCATTCTTTTCTTTCTCTATTGTATCTAGCAACATCAGGAGCAGCCAGACAATCTCATTACATTTGTTGGTTTGCAAAAAAATGTTTGGGTGTATCATATACAAATCATCCAGATCTTTGTTTCTTATAAGTGGTTGATTAGGAGTATTCAATATGATATTTTGCTTTTATCTATTGCCAGATCACACCATGGACCATCAGTGCTCTCTTTACTACTGAAAATAAAGTCATTAGTGTCTTTTTAGATTAAGACTTTTTTATTGTATAATGTAAGCTGTGCAACATGATATTTTGATATACGTATACATAGTGAGGCAATTGTTACTTTTAAGCAAATTAACATAACAGTCATCTCATATAATTACCTTTCTTTTTCTTTCTTCTTTATTTTTTTTGTAGTAAGAGTACCTAAAACCTATTCTCTTAACAAATTTCCAGTACACAATACAATATTATTAACTATAGTAACTATAGACCCCATGCTACACATTAGATCTCTAGATTTATTCATCCTATATAACCACACCTTTGTACCTTTTGACCTTCATCTCCCCACACCCCAACAACTGTTTCTATTCATTCAACTTTTTTTTTTAGATTCCACATATAAGTCAGATCATGCAGTGTTTTTCTTTCTCTGTCTGGTTTATTTCACTTAGCATAATGTCCTCTAGGTTCTCCATGTTGTCGCAATTGACAGGATCTCCCTTTTTAATGCTGAATAATATTCGATTGTATATGTACACCACAATTTCCTTATCCATTCGTCAACAATAGTCTGAAGTCCAGAAAAGACTGATGTTGCAGTTCAAATAGTCAGGCAAGAGGAGCCCCCTCTTACTCATGGGAGGCTTATGGGAGGGTAAGCCATTTTGATCTATACAGGCCTTCAAATGATTGAATGAAGGCCACCCATACTGGAGAGGGCACTCTACTTTACTCATTCTGCCAATTCAATTGTTAATGTCATCCAGAAATATCCTTATGGAAACACATAGAATAATGTTTGACCAAATATCTGGGCATCCCACGGCCCAGTCAAGTTGACACATAAAATTAACCACCACGATTTATGTATAGCAATATAAAGCAGCAAATAGATATTTTTTCTGGAGATCTGGTTGTTAAACATTTACCAGAACACCACTGGATGGAGAACAAGTATTTGGCTTCTGATAAGTTTATCCTGGTGGTAGGCAGGGTTTCTACCTCTAAAGCAGATGCTTCTCTTTGCTCTGGATCTTAGGAAAAATAAAACACCTCATATCTAGACACACTGGCAACCCCTTTGTCATTTTACTTACAGTCAGAGAACAAGAACCTGCTGACACCTTATATCAATTAGGTGCCATATGCCTGTCAGTCAGTTGGTGAAAAAAACTGTCTTGTCCCTAGCTCTATTGATTGCAATCTTTTATAGAGCACTCCAGTTTAATGGAGATGGTAGCTGATATTTAGTCATTTTGTACCTATTTCACCCTTCCTTTCTTCTTCCTCTGCTTGACACAAATTTACCCTTGTACCTGACAAGACAAATAGCTTGGAAACATGAGTTGTCACTTGAACTTGAACGTAAAGATTTTAGGCTGGTATTCAAATATTGAGTGAACATGTTATACCCTAAGCATTCTTAGGAGTATGGAGCATCTTATTCATTTTTATATTCCCCTAAAGGGTCAGGCTCATTGCCTGAATGTAGTAAGTATTCAATATATATTCGCTAAATAAATGAGACCTCAAGGTGCATATGATTTGCCTACTGTCCAATGTCCTTTACCATGCTTATCTTGGCTTGCTCATGGTACATATTTTCTTTGATTTTAATTCCATGAAGACAAAACTTGTTGTCTCATATTCACCAAAATATTTCCTCACTGAGCACAGATTCCGGCATAGAGCAAAAGTAGCTGGAAAAAATTTTATTGAGGAAATGAATGAACAAATAAACTTTGGGCAAGTTATTTAATCTCCCTGAACTCTTGTTTCCTAATATGGAAAGTAGCATTACTAATCCCATTGTGCAAATATATGTATAAAGTTCCTAGAACGTTGCTTGGCACATAGCAGGTAATCAATAAATGTTCATTTTCTTCCTTTCTTGTTCCCTTTGCCTCATCCTGACGATGTACCTGGATGCATATCCTATACCCATTTTCCATAATGACTTTGTTCTAGCAAGCAACCTAGTAAACCAAGCTATCAAGTGTCTGTTAATGGCCAATATCAATTTAATTCTCAGGGAATTTACAGATGAAAAACCTTCAAGATTCAAAGCTGTAAGTTGGAAAGAAAGGCTTTTCAGACCCCATGAGCAAAGTTAGAGGAAATATTTTGGGCTGAGGCATGATGCTTCTTAGAGTGTACAGTGTTCCAGCATGCTTTCCCTTATTCACAAATGTAACTCTGTCACAGCTATTTTCTTTCTCAGGAGTGACCCCTGAAGATCTTTAGCACATAAGACCATGGGTTATGAGTTTTTTGGCTCGCCCACTCTAGGAAGTAAGAATGTTCAGAATTTTCACACTCTTAAAGCCAAGGTTTCAACTTCATATTGGACCAATTAAGACTTTCATGAATGAGCCTAACTCATTCAAGATAACTTTTGAGAAATTCATCTATTCATCTGCCTCTCATCTTAGATGTAGATTCTAGTTTTAGTTGTACCAAAGCTTATCTTGAGGCAATCCTGCAACTTCTCTATGCAGTTCTCTCTCCATAAAGCAGATTTGTAAATATGAATCAAGAGAGAATTGGATAAAGAAAATGTGATGCTTTCACACAGTGGAATACTGAACTGCAGTTAAAAGGAATGATCTAGATCTCAAAACGATGAATGAAGAAAGCAAGATGCATACTGTATGATATCTTTGAAACAAATTAAAACACACAAAAATAATACTACATATTTTCACATATGTAGAAGTATCAAAATGTTCTGTAAGAAAATTCAGAAACCAATAACACTTTTTACCTTTGGGGGGAAAATGAAGGCACAAGAAGGTTTCTTGGATTGGGAGAAAGTTGCCAGCTTTATCTGTAGTGTTCTATTCCGAATTAAAAATATTTTTATCTAGTTTTCTAAAATCAAGAACATTCTATTTTTCTTTAAAAGGGACAGTTAGACTAAGTAGTCTCCAAGGTTCCTTTGAAATCTAAAATTCTGTGGCTTTGCAGCCGGGTGTAGTGGCTCATGCCTCTAATCCCAGCACTTTGGGATGCCAAGGTGGGTAGATTGCTTGAGGTCAGGAGTTCGAGACCAGCCTGACCAACAAGGTGAAACACTGTCTCTATTAAAAATACAAAAATTAGCCAGGCATGGTGGTGGGCACCTGTAATCCCAGATACATGGGAGGCTGAGGCAGGTTAATCACTTGAACCCAGGAGGCAGAGGTTGCAGTGAGCCGAGATCACACCACTGCACTCCAGCCTGGATGACAGAGTGAGACTCCATCTCAAAAATAATAATAATAATTCTATGGCTTTAAGATACAAGGAGAAATTCAGTAGTGAAAGGTTGCAACAGTATCTCAAAATTCTCTTGAGATGGAGATGCACACTTCTCTGGGATAAATAGATCACGTTAAAATGGCCCCAAGACAGGGAGATAAAGAAGACAATCTCCAGGAGCCCACTTTGGGTAAATTTTTTTCTTGGGAGATCAGAGCAGACCACCTTTATTTCAACCCCGTGTGTCTATGAAAACAAGCAAAGATGTTCTCTTCAGCTCTCTTAAATGAATGATTGCTTTCTGGGATCCTGCATGAGCTATGTCTGGGCATCAGTGGAGGATCAGAAGTGCTTGGTTACCAGATGGCCTACTACAGAGAGATCGAATTGTCTCAGATATTTCCCACCATGGCATACTTCCATCTTTTGACAGAAAAATCAAGGAAAAATGTTTTCTCTGCAGAAATTCCTCGTGCGACTTACTTTTCTTTTATGCTAACTGCTGCTGCTAGTAGAAACTGCTCTAAGCAGAACTGCTTTATCTTTGATGGGTAGGCAAGGGCTTGTCTGAAATTAAAAGACCCAGACATCCGATTGCCACTGAATGAGGTAAAAGAGACAGAAAAATTGATCAGAAACTACTCTTTTACTCCCACCAGTTGTCTGTCTCTTTCCTCTTTCCTTCCTTGTGTCTCTATCTCTTCTAGGTCAGCAATGCAGGGCTGTTAGAGACCTTCAGTCCTGGAGATGCTCCCTTTCCCCTCTATACCAATTGCATTTGTTATACTCATTCCTGCCGGTACCACAGTGGTCATGCCAGTGGCTAGATGCATTTGGAATTCTTTCCCATTTTCCTCTGGGCCTACATCTAGCCCCTCCTTCAAGAAGCCTTCCCTGACCACCTCAGTACACAGTGACTGCTCTTTTCCCTGTACTCTTATGACTTATTAGCTGAACCATACAGATTAATCTCTCATCATTTAGATAATGTTAACCTTCTTTCTCTATCATCCTATTTCATAAACAGGGCTGAGATTTAGACGAATGGGGGACAGTGGCCAAAGGCAATGGTCCATCAAGGCTCAGATGTTCATACAATCCTTCACCACCATTTTTTTCTCCCACTTAGAGTGAAAATGTTAGGTTAACGTTTGGGTGGAGGACACCATGAGCAAATGAGCAAAGTAGATAGATGAATCAATTTGATAAAGAAAAGCCCTTTAGGGCTCCTGCACATCATTTTCTAAAAACCTGGCAGCAATCTATCACACCTAGGTCTATTCATCAAATAAATAATTTGATAGGTTTTTTTAAAAAAATGAATTTAGCTGCTGACTGGATATGCTACCTTTGTCATAGCCTGGAAATCTCTCTACTGGGCAATATAGAGATTTTTTCAAAAGCTTATAAATACCAAGCCCATTTTTCCTAATACACAGGAGCCCAAAAAGATCCCTAGGGTTTCAGGCTATCTAATAAATAATCTACATCTTTTGTTTCTGAAAAGAAGAAATCAATCAGCCCAGCTGGCTTCTTAGATTAGCTTTCTAACTCAGAGAGAATTTATCATCACTCTTATTACTGTACTTAGCTTGGATGTCAGACTCAATTTAGGGTTCAGCACTGAGAATCACAAGTCACAGATCAGCTAACTGTGACATTAATCAAATGAATCCAGTATATGAGGGATAGAGCCAGTATGATCCTTTGGCAAGTAGAGACTTTCCCAAGTTACTACCTTGCACATTCAAAAAAATAATTTGTGCTTGGGCACAGGGTAAGACTAGAAAATGGTGGGAAGGAGGGCTTACAAAAGCATGGAAACTTTTGAAGGTGATGGATATTTCTATTTATCTTGATTGTGGTGATGGTTTCACAGGTGCATACATATGTCAAAACATATCAAGTTGCACACTTTAAATATTTTTACTGCATTTCAATTATATCTCAAGAAAGCAGCTTTAAGCATTTGAAGATATACATTTTTTAAAATTGCATTTACTCATTGAGAAAAATTATCATATGGCATAATTTCTACCTTAACCCCAGTGGCTAAGATAACTGACTGTGGAGTTAGACAGACCTATGGCTGTCACTTACTAGCTGAATTTCTTTGAGGTTTTTATCCTCTTTAAATCTTATTCTCCCATCTGAAATATGGGAATTGTTTTTTAAAACATTATTATTATTATTATTATTATTATTATTTTGAGACTGAGTCTGGCTCTGTTGCCCAGGCTAGAGTGCAGTGGCACGATCTCAGCTCACTGTAACTTCTGACTCCCGGGCTCAGGCAATTCTCCTGCCTCAGCCTCGTGAGTAGCTGGGATTACAGGCACCTGCCACCACACTAAGCTGATTTTTGTATTTTTAGTAGAGACAGGGTTTCACTGTGTTGGCCAGGCTTGTCTCAAACTCCTGACCTCAAGTGATTCATCACCTTGGCCAAAGTGCTGGGATTACAGGTGTGTGCCCAGCCTTTAAAATTATTATTATTATTATTTATTATACTTTAAGTTCTAGGGTACATGTGCACAACGTGCAGGTTTGATACATAGGTATACATGTGCCATGTTGGTTTGCTGTACCCATCAACTCATCATTTACATTAGGTATTTCTCCTAATGCTATCCCTCCCCCAGCCCCCCACCCCCTGACAGGCCCCGGCGTGTGATGTTCCATGCCCTGTGTCCAAGTGATCTCATTGTTCAGTTCCTGCCTATGAGTGAGAAAATGCGGTGTTTGGTTTTCTGTCCTTGTGATAGTTTGCTGAGAATGATGGTTTCCAGCTTCATCCATGTCCCTGCAAAGGACATGAACTCATCCTTCTTTACGGCTGCATAGTATTCCATGGTGTATATGTGCCACATTTTCTTAATCCAGTCTATCACTGATGGACATTTGGGTTGGTTCCCAGTCTTTGCTATTGTGAATAGTGCCACAATAAACATATGTGTGCATGTGTCTTTATAGTAGCATGATTTATAATCCTTTGGATATATACCCAGTAATGGGATCACTGGATCAAATGGTATTTCTAGTTATAGATCCTTAAGGAATCGCCACACTGTCTTCCACAATGGTTGAACCAATTTACACTCCCACCAACAGTGTAAAAGCATTCCTATTTCTCCACATCCTCTCCAGCATCTGTGGTTTCCTGACTTTTTAATGATTGCCATTCTAACTGGTGTGAGATTGTATCTCATTGCGGTTTTGATTTGCATTTCTCTGGTGACCAGTGATGATGAGCATTTTTTCATGTGTCTGTTGGCTGCATAGATGTCTTCTTTTGAAAAGTGTCTGTTTGTATCCTTTGCCCACTTTTTGATGGGGTTGTTTGTTTTTTTCTGGTAAATTTGTTTGAGTTCTTTGTAGATTCTGGCTATTAGCCCTTTGTCAGATGGGTAGATGGCAAAATTTTTCTCCCATTCTGTGCCGTGCCTGTTCACTCTGATGGTAGTTTCTTTTGCTGTGCAGAAGCTCTTTAGTTTAATTAGATCTCATTTGTCTATTTTGGCTTTTGTTGCCATTGCTTTTGGTGTTTTAGTCATGAAGTCCTTGCCCATGCCTATGTCCTGAATGGTATTGCCTAGGTTTTCTTCTAGGGTTTTTATGGTTTTAGGACTAACATTTAAACCTTTAATCCATCTTGAATTAATTTTTGTATAAAGTGTAAGTAAGGGATCCAGTTTCAGCTTTCTACATATGGCTAGTCAGTTTTCCCAGCACCATTTATTAAATAGGGAATCCTTTCCCCATTTCTTGTTTTTGTCAGGTTTGTCAAAGATCAGATGGTTGTAGATGTGTAGTATTATTTCTGAGGCCTCTGTTCTGTTCCGTTTGTCTATATATCTGTTTTGGTACCATTACCATGCTGTTTTGGATACCGTAGCCTTGTAGTATAGTTTGAAGTCAGGTAGTGTGATGCCTCCAGCTTTGTTCTTTTGGCTTAGGATTGTCTTGGCAATGCGGGCTCTTTTTTGGTTCCATATGAAGTTTAAAGTAGTTTTTTCCAATTCTGTGAAGAAAGTCATTGGTAGCTTGATGGGGATGGCATTGAATCTATAAATTACTTTGGGCAGTATGGCCATTTTCATGATACTGATTCTTCCTATCCATGAGCATGGAATATTCTTCCATTTGTTTGTGTCCTCTTTTATTTCCTTGAGCAGTGGTTTGTAGTTCTCCTTGAAGAGGTCCTTCACATCCCTTGTATGTTGGATTCCTAGGTATTTTATTCTCTTTTTAGCCATTGTGAATGGGAGTTCACTCACGATTTGGCTATCTGTTTGTCTGTTAATGGTGTACAGGAATGCTTGTAAATTTTGCACACTGATTTTGTATCCTGAGACTTTGCTGAAGTTGCTTATCAGCTTAAGGAGATTTTGGGCTGAGACGATGGGGTTTTCTAAATATACAATCATGTCATCTCCAAACAGGGATGATTTGACTTCCTCATTTCCTAACTGAATACCCTTTATTTCTTTCTCTTGCCTGATTGCTAATTGAATACCCTTTATTTCCTAATTGAATACCCTTTATTTCTTTCTCTTGCCTGATTGCCCTGGCCAGAACTTCCAACACTATGTTGAATAAGAGTGGTGAGAGAGGGCATCCTTGTCTTGTGCCAGTTTTCAAAGGGAATACTTCTAGTTTCTGCCCATTCTGTATGATATTGGCTGTGAGTTTGTCATAAATAGCTCTTATTATTTTGAGATACATTCCATCAATACCCAGTTTATTGAGAGTTTTTAGTACGAATGGCTCTTGAATTTTGTCAAAGGCCTTTTCTGCATCTACTGAGATAATCATGTGGTTTTAGTCATTGGTTCTGAAGATGTGATGGATTATGTTTATTGATTTGCGTATGTTGAACCACCCTTGCATCCTAGGGATGAAGCCAACTTGATTTTGGTAGATAAGCTTTTTGATATGCTGCTGGATTCGGTTTGCCAGTATTTTATTGCGGATTTTCACATCGATGTTCATCAGGTATATTGGTCTAAAATTCTCTTTTTTTGTGTGTCTCTGCCAGGCTTTGGTATCAGGATGATGCTGGCCTCATAAAACGAGTTAGGGAGGATACCCTCTTTTTCTATTGATTGGAATAGTTTCAGAAGGAATGGTACCAGCTCCTCTTTGTACCTCTGGTAGAATTCGGCTGTGAATCCATCTGGTCCTGGACTTTTTTTGGTTTGGTAGGCTATGAATTATTGCCTCAATTTCAGAACCTGTTATTGGTCTATTCAGAGATTCAACTTCTTCCTAGTTTAGTTCTGGGAACCTGTATGTGTCCAGGAAATTATCCATTTCTTCTAGATTTTCTAGTTTATTTGCATAGAGGTATTTTATATATATTTTATAGTATTCTCTGATGGTAGTTTGTATTTCTGTGGGATGGGTGGTGATATCCCCTTTATCATTTTTTATTGCATCTATTTGATTCTTCTCTCTTTTCTTCTTTATTAGTCTTGCTAGCGGTCTATCAATTTTGTTGATTTTTTCAAAAATCCAGCTCCTGGATTCATTGATTTTTTTGAAGGTTTTTTTTTTGTGTGTCTCTATCTCTTTCACTTCTGCTCTGATCTTAGTTATTTCTTGCCTTCTGCTAGCTTTTGCATTTGTTTGCTCTTGCTTCTCTAGTTCTTTTAATTGTGATGTTAGGATGTCCATTTTAGATCTTTCCTGCTTTCTCTTGTGGGCATTTAGTGCTATAAATTTCCCTCTACACACTGCTTTAAATGTGTCCCAGAGATTCTGGTACATTGTGTCTTTGTTCTCATTGGTTTCAAAGAACATCTTTATTTCTGCCTTCATTTCCTTATTTACCCAGTAGTCATTCAGGAGCAGGTTGTTCAGTTTCCATGTAGTTGTGTGGTTTTGAGTGAGTTTCTTAATCCTGAGTTCTAATTTGATTGCACTGTGGTCTGAGAGACAGTTTGTTGTGATTTCTGGTCTTTTACCTTTGCTGAGGAGTGCTTTACTTTCAATTATGTGGTCAATTTTAGAATAAGTGCGATGTGGTGCTGAGAAGAATGTATATTCTGTTGATTTGGGGTGGAGAGTTCTGTAGATTTCTGTTAGGTCTGCTTGTTGCAGAGCTGAGTTCAGGCCCTGGATATCCTTGTTAACCTTCCGTCTCTTTGGTGTCTAATATTGACAGTGGGGTGTTAAAGTCTCTCATTATTATTGTGTGGGAGTCTAAGTCTCTTTGTAGGTCTCTAAGGACTTGCTTTATGAATCTGGGTGCTCCTGTATTGGGTGCATATATATTTAGGATAGTTAGCTCTTCCTGTTGAATTGACCCTTTTACCATTATGTAATGGCCTTGTCTCTTTTGATCTTTGTTGGTTTAAAGTCTGTTTTATCAGAGACTAGGATTGCAACCCCTGCTTTTTTTGTTTTGTTTTGTTTTGTTTTGTTTGCTTTCCATTGGCTTGGTAGATCTTCCTCCATCCCTTTATTTTAGCCTATGTGACTCTTTGCATGTGAGATGGGTCTCCTGAATACAGCACACTGATGGGTCTTGGCTCTATGCAATTTGCCAGTCTGTGTCTTTTAATTGGGACATTTAGCCCATTTACATTTAAGGTTAATATTATTATGTGTGAATTTGATCCTGTCATTATGATATTAGCTGGTTATTTTGTCCGTTAATTGATGCAGTTTCTTCTTAGCATCGATGCTCTTTACAATTTGGCATATTTTTGCAGTGGCTGGTACCGGTTGTTTCTTTCTATGTTTAGTGCTTCCTTCAGGAGCTCTTGTAAGGCAGGCCTGGTAGTGACAAAACCTCTCAGCATTTGCTTGTCTGTAAAGGACTTTATTTCTCCTTCACTTATGAAGCTTAGTTTGGCTGGATATGAAATTCTGGGTTGAAAATTCTTTTCTTTAAGAATGTTGAATATTGGGCCCCACTCTCTTCTGGCTTGTAGGGTTTCTGACGAGAGATCTGCTGTTAGTCTGATGGGCTTTCCCTTGTGTGTAACTCGACCTTTCTCTCTGGTTGCCCTTAACACTTTTCAACCTTGGTGAATCTGACAATTATATGTCTTGGGGTTGCTCTTCTCAAGGAGTATCTTTGTGGTGTTCTCTGGATTTCCTGAATTTGAATGTTGGCCGGCCTTGCTAGGTTGGGGGAAGTTCTCCTGGATAATATCCTGAAGAGTGTTTGCCAACTTGGTTCCATTGTTCCCATCACTTTTAGGTACACCAATCAAACATAGATTTGGTCTTTTCACGTTGTCCCATATTTCTTGGAGGCTTTGTTCATTTCTTTTTACTCTTTTGTCTCTAACCTTGTCTGCTTGCTTTATTTCATTAATTTGGTCTTCAATCACTGATACCCCTTCTTCCACTTGATCGAATCGGATATTGAAGCTTGTGCATGCGTCACGAAGTTCTCATGCCATGGTTTTCAGCTCCATCAGGTCATTTAAGGTCTTCTCTACACTGTTTATTCTAGTTAGCCATTTGTCTAATCTTTTTTCAAAGTTTTTAGCTTCCTTGCAATGGGTTCAAACATCCTCCTTTAGCTCAGAGTAGTTTGTTATTACTGACCTTCTGAATCCTACTTCTGTCAACTCATCGAAGTCATTCTCTGTCCAGCTCTGTTCTGTTGCTGGCTAGGAGCTGCAATCCTTTGGAGGAGAAGAGGCACTCTGATTTTTAGAATTTTCAGCTTTTCTGCTCTGGTCTCTCCCCATCTTTGTGGTTTTATCTACCTTTGGTCTTTGATCCTGATGACCTCAGTTTGAAATGCAGAAATCATCCATCTTCTGTGTCAATCATGCTGGGAGCTGCAGACCAGAGCTGTTCCTAATTAGCCATCTAAAATTATTTTTAATTTTTAATTGATACATAATAGTTGGACATATTTATTTATATGTATGTTTATGGGGTACATGTGATATTTTGATATATGTATACAATGTCTAATAATAAAATCAAGGCAATTGGGATATCTACCACCTCAAACTTATCATTTCTTTATGTTGGGAATGCTGTATATATTCTCTTCCAGCTATTTAAAAATATATAGTCATACTTCAGTATATGTGAAGGGTTGGTTCCAGGACCCTTGTATTCCAAAATCCAAACATCCTTCTGTCTGCAGTCAGCCCTGCCAAACCCACAGATACAAAAAGTCAGCCCTCTGTATCCACGGATTCTCAAATACTGTACAGTTGACTCATTAACAATATGGGTTTGAACTGCATGGGTCCACTTATACACACATTTTTTTTCCAACCAATCATGGGTCAGAAATACAGTATTCACAGGATACAAAACCTGCACTTTTTAAATATGGGGTTCCACAGGGCCAGCTTCAGGACTTCAGCATGTGTGGATTTTGGTACATGTGAACATACTGGAACCAACTCCCCATGCATACCAATGGATGAACGTATGTTCAGTCTGAGTTTGGTTGGAAAAAAATCAAGGGTTAATTGTACAATGAATTGTTAATTATATATAGTCTCCTGACAGTGCTATTGAACACTATAAGTTATTTATTTTATTTTATTTTACTTTAAGTTCTGGGATACATGTGCAGAACATGCAAGTTTTTTACCTAGGTATACATGTGCCATGGTGGTTTGCTGCACCTATCAACCCACCATCTAGGTTTTATGCCCCACATACATTAGGTATTTGTCCTAAAGCTCTCCCTCCCCTTGTGCCCCAACCCCTGACAGTTCCCAGTGTGTGATGTTCCCCTCTCTGTGTCCATGTGTTCTCATTGTTCAACTCCCACTTATGAGTGAGAACATGCAGTAACACTATAAGTTATTATTCCTTCTATCTAACTGTAGTTTTGTATGTGTTCACCAACCTCTCCACACACCCTAGTCCCCCCTGCCCTTTCTAGCCTCTTGGAAACACTATTTTACTCACTACCTCCATGAGATGAATTTTTTTTTTACTCCCACGTATGAGTGAGAACATGGGATATCTGTCTTTCTGTGCCTGGCTTATTTCGCTTAACATAATGCCCTCCAGTTCTATCCATGTTGCTGCAAATGACAGGATTTCATTCTTTTTCATGGCTGAAGAGCATTCCTTTGTGTATATGTACCATATTTTCTTTGTCCACTCATCTGTTGATGAGCACTTAGATTGACTCCATACCTTGACTATTGTGAATGGGGCTGCAGTAAACATGGGAGTGCAGTATCTATTTGATATACTGATTTCCTTTCTTTTTGGTATGTACCCAGCAGTGGGACTGCTAGATCATGAAATAGGGGAATTGTAATTAGAGTATCTGGCCAGGCACGGTGGCTCACGCCTGTAATCCCGGTACTTTGGGAGGCCGAGGTGGGCGGATCACCTGAGGTCAGGAGTTCGAGACCAGCCTGGCCAACATGGCAAAACCCCGTCTCTACTAAAAATACAAAAATTAGCTGGGCATGGTGGTACACACCTGTGATCCCAGCTACTCAGGCGGCTGAGGCAGGAAAATTGCTTCAACCTGGGAGTCGGAGGTTGCCGTGACCCGAGATCGCACCACTGCACTCCAGCCTGGGTGACAGAGCAACACTCCGTCTCAAAATAATAGTAATAATAATAAAAATTTAAAAAGCAATTAGAGTATCTGACTCATATTTTCAGGGTTAAATGAGATAATGCACAGGAAGCACTTTGCACGGTATAGTTGTTTAGGACAAATTAAATCTTAAAGAAATGGCAGCTATTATTTTACCTGCCACTGTGATATTAATCTTGTCTTGGATGAAAGCATACCAGATTTAGAATCACCAGCAGATTTCTAAAACAGTTTATTGCAGTCAATCAGCAACCTTTATTAGACACTCACTTGTGGGGAGATGCCCATAAGTAACACCACTGGAAAGTAGCAAGATAAGCAAATCAGGGCCCCAACCTCAGTGAGCTTATAAAATAAATGGGAGAGAAGGAACATACGTTTGAATGAGATGGTACCAAAGCACGTACAGAAATATACAAAGAAGTACAAATTTAAGTGTTAGAAACAATTCAAATATAGGTGAGTAGATGATCTGGACAGGGTTCACTGGGGAGCACAGCAGGAGAATTTAACCTCCTGGGGAGCAGCGTGGGCTTTGGAGTCAAACAGATGTGTGTTTGCGTCCCACTGCTACCACATTTGAGCTAGGAGAGCCTGGGCATGTCACCAAACCTTTCAGACCCCCAGTTTTATACATGGAAATACTAATATCTTCTTCCTAGGGTTGTTGCGACGATTAGATGATGTAATACATTGCCAACACTTAGGATAGGTACATCCTGTCCTACAACATGTAGATACCTACAACATGGTAAGCACCTAACAAAAATGCAAGCAATTTCTATCAGTATATCTCCTAATCTCAGGTTTCCTTATCACTTTTGTTCCCATATATTTCTACCACATTTGATGGTAGATTTCTGTGAAAGAATCCTAGGGCGATTTCACTGACCAAAGCCTCCTGATTTGCCTGGCAGTGTGTCAGAGTCTCAGCAAGCCTGATAAATTCTGCCCTTTTGAATGCCACTTAACCATTCTAGTGGATAATTAGAGCTAACACTTACATGGTGCTATGACACAACATTTTTGTGTCAAATAATATTGGACATTTTAGAGAGTACTCACTGGCCCAAATCTTTCTGTGCCCAGGCTACCAATTTATATTCAGAATCAAGCTCTTGTAAATGTCAAGTACATTCTTGCAGTTTTTCAGGCCAAAAAACTTTGAGTCATCTAGCAGTTAGATCCCTAGTTTTCACCCAGGTGGTCCAGCTTTGCTCCTGTTGTGGGAATACTGGCCTGGTAAAGAGGCAGTAGAATGAAGTGCTTTGAACTCAGACTCTCAAGCATAATTTCCTGGGTTGGAAACACAGCTTCACTACTTATCAGCTGTGAGACCTCAAGAAACTTGCCTCTCTGTGCCTTAGTTTCCTCAGCTGAGAAATGGAGGTAATACCATACACACATACATTATTGGGTTGTAGTGAGAATTACATAAGTTAAGAATGCAAAGTGCTTGGAACACAGGAAGTGCTCAAAACATGTTATCTATTATTGATTAAAAAGTAAGCTCAGACAAGGTGCAGGGACTCACACCTGTATTCCTAGCACTTTGGGAGGCCGAGCTGGGCAGATCACTTGAGGCTAGGAGTTCGAGACCAGCCTGGCCAACACGGCAAAACCTCGTCTCTACTAACAATACTAAAAATTAGCCAGGCATGTTGGTGCACGCTTGTAATCCCAGCTATTTGGGAGGGTGAGACATGAGAATCACTTGAACCTGGGAGTCGGAGGTTGCAGTGAGCCAAGATCCTGCCACTGCACTCCAGCCTGGGCAACAGACCAAGACTCTGACTGAAAACAAAACAAAACAAAAAGTGAACTCAAATTAGATGGAGATTTTTGTTTGTTTTGTTCACTGCTATATCCTAAGCACATAAAACAGTACTTGGCACATAGTAGGTGTTCAGTAAATATTTGTTGAATAAAAAATGAATCCTTGATTTCTTTTCTCTCGCACGTCACGTTCTACTTTCAAAATATATCTAAGATCCAATCAGGTTTTACTGCCTTCTCTGCTACCATCTGGTCAATAATTTCCATCTCCTTTCACCTGAATTATCACAATAGTCTCCTAACTGGCCTGGCTGCTTCTGTCCTTTATACCCTGCAACCTGCTCACACATCACCCCTCCTCCACACATTTTTTTCTTCAAACAGTACTGAAAGTGATCTGTTTTCAAAACAAGTTAGATCACACTGCTCCTCTGCTCAAAACCATCCCATGGCTCCCAGCCTACTCACAGGAATGGACAAAAATTTTCACTGACCTGGTCTTAGCTACGTCTATGACTTCATCTTCGATTACCTTCCCCTTTGCTTACTGGGTTCTAGTCACACTGGAACAGAATCAGCATTTTTTTGGGGGGTGGGGCATACAGGGTCTCACTGTGTTGCCCAGGCTGGTCTCAAACTCCTGAGCTCAAGTGATCCTCCAGACTCAGTCTCCTACTGAGTAGCTGGGACTACAGACCTGATCCACCACACCCAGCTAGAATCAGCATTTCTTTTATGCACCAAACACATACTCCTGCTCTTTCTTTTTCTCGTTCTTTCTTATTGCCTGGACTATGGCATTAAACATACAAACAAACCAACTCCAAGCTACTTAGAGCTGAAGCAGCCTATTGTCTTGATTTTTAATGCAGAATTCACTAGAGAGTTGAGGTATAAGTAGCTCTATCACATGTAGTACCATGTTCCAAGACTGTTGGACTCTTGACAGGGTATTTTTCAAATTTGACAAAAATTGGACAGGTACCCCGCATGTCTTAGAAGCATCAAAAAGTAAATACACAACATGCTTTAAACAATCTTTCATTTGTTTTAATATATTTAGGATTGGGAGCAAGCAATCAATCAGAATGTCTACGTGTAGAAATTGGAAACATAAACATTGTGACCAACCATTGCATTCTAATAAGCTTGAATGCAAACAGAATAATTACATGGAAGCACTTTTCTACTCTATCTAGGTCCCCCTCCTACCTCAAAGAGTTCAGTAGGAGCCAGTTGTTCTAAGACCTCTAAGAGCAGAGCATGTTAATAACTGCCCCCTCTCCCTGGAGACTTGATTAAGACTAGGGGCTGCTTATGTGGGTATTCATTTCTCAGAGAGAGAGTGAGTACCTACTGCTAGCCAAGCATTGGGCTAGGTATTGCGTATATAATGGTGAGCAAAAACAGACGTGATGCTTGCTTTCTTGGAATTTGTGGTCTTATGTGTGAGGCAAACATTAATCAAATAATTCAAAAAACATTACAGAGTACACAATTATAAACGAAGATAAATATTCTGAAGGCAAGGAATACAGTTCTAAGGAGGTATATACTATAATGGGGAGTGAATTATGGCCTCCATGAAGCAATATCACTTAAGCTGAGATTTGAAGGGTCAGTAGGAGTTAAATGATCCATCAGAAAAGAACTGCTTTCCAAGTAGAAAGAACAGAATGTCCAAGGTGCTGTGGAGGACTAAAAGCAAGGCCAGGGTGGCTGGAGTACACAGAGCAAGGAAGTGATAGGAGGTGAGGCTAGAGAGTTTGACTCGGGTGTTTCTTAATGTGAGTGCCATTGGCTTTGGGGTGAGACAGTTTTCCATAGGGGTGGGGAGTGCTGGTTTGCATATGCAAGGTTGTAGGAGGTTTAGTGTCCTGGTCCCTGCACACTAAATGGTAATACTGCCCCCCTTGGTATTTATGACAACCAAAATGTCCCCAAACTTCCAAATACTCCCCAGTTAAGAACCACTGAATATGGGGGCATATAAGTCATTTAAGGATTTAGGGTTTTATTCTACAAGCAAGAGGGGAGCAATGAGAAAAAGTTTAAGCAGAGGGACAAAGTGATTCAATTTATATTCTGAAAAGATCATTCTGGCAACAGTGCAAAAATGGAGGGTTTCCCCAGAGATCCTCACTAAGAAGGTTGTTGTTAAAATGCAACGGCTACCTAGGCAATCTCTCACCAGTTACTAATAGTAAAGTTTTAATGCATTTGTAATAGCAACTATTTATTGAATGCTTAACATATGGCAGGTTTGTTCTTTACATACATTATTTTATGTTATTCCTCATAATTACCCTGCAAACTATGCATGACATCCTCATATTACAGATGAAGAAATGTAGCCTCAGGGAAGCTTAGTGATTTTGCAGTGCTATGCAGCAGAGAAGTGGTGGATCCACAAGTCCACCAGACCTGTTTGACCCCAGAGTCCATGTTGCACTTAATTAACCATAGAGTTATCTGTATGTTCTGTTGTTATATTATCAACAGAACATCTTAGTAGAGTATGGAGACCGGAGGGCATAAGAGTCTGGCTGGAACACAAGAATGCTTGCTGTGGAGCATTTTGAACAAGTAGTAACCAGTGTGAAAACCTTGAGTGCTTGGAAGTAGGAGGGTGGCAATTAGGAGGTAATGAAGTGAGATAGAAGAATGCTGAAGGCAATCCTGTTCTTCCCCAAAGTTTGCCAAGGGCAGATCCCACTAGAGTCATTTCTTCCTGGAACCACACTATCAATTTGCAAGAGGCCATTTGGAAACTTGAGGAGAGAGCAGCACAATGTGATCTTTTGCCCAGCAGCATCACTTGGGAATTTGTTAGCAGGTCAAATCTCAGGTCCATATTAGACCTTCTAAATCAGACACTCTGAGATGGATCCCAGCAAGTTGTATTTCAGCAAGCCCTCCAGGAAATTCTGAGGCACACTCACATTTGAAAACCACTGCTTTTGGAAAAGTAGTGGGGGTATTCTAAGTCAGGGAAACAGTGTGAGCAACATTTCAATGAGATTAATATAGGTGTTGTGTCTGTGGACTGGGAAAGAACCAGGTGTGGCTGGAGGGTAGAGTGCATGGGTAGGGGCGGCAAAAAATAAACAGGGTCATATTGGAGGTTTCTTGAACTTTACATTTCAAGTAATAAGTGACATAGGTTCAAGGGGGAGAACAACATGGACACCAGGAAATTGGTTAAGAAGCTACATTTCTCATATAGTCTTGTTCTCTGTCCTGGCCACACATTAGAATCACTTCAGGAGTTTGTCAATGTTACCAGCTTCATGTCATTGCTATCGTGAATTTTACTACAATGAACATCTGCGTGCATGTGTCTTTATGATAGAATGATTTCCATTTCTTTGGGTACGTACCCAGCAGTCATAAAAAAAGAATGCGATCATGTCCTTTGCAGGGACATGGATAGAGCTGGAAGCCATTATCCTTAGCAGACTGACACAGGAGCAGAAAACCAAATACCACATGTTTTCACTTATGAGTGGGAGCTAAATGATGAGAACACATGGACACATAGAGGGGAATAACACATACTGGGGCCTTCTGGAGGATGGAGGTGGGGAGGGAGAAGATCAGGAAAAATAATGGGTACTAGGCCTAATACCTGGGTGACGAAATAATCTGTATAACAAACCCCTGTGACACAAGTTTACCTGTGTCACAAACTTGCACATGTACCCCTGAAACTGAACCTAAAAGTAAAAAAAAAAAAAAAAAAATATCTTACCAACTCCAGGGTCCCTCTCCCAGACATTCAGATTTAATTAGTCTTACTGGTGGCCCAACATTGGTATGTTTCAGAAGTTCTGCAGGTGACTCTAAAGTGCAGCCGGAGTTGAGGATCCCTGTTCTAAGAGAAGTATAAAGCACATCTGTAAATGGATGGGAAGGAACTGGGAGTGACCCTGCTGGGAGCTGTTTTCCTCACCACAGCTGGGGTGTGGCAAAGGACCCATGCAAAAAGCTTAAGCTGGGGTCCTTAGTCTTTATATAGGGTGAGCCACTTCTGTGACTACTTTGTGAATTACTTCAGCAGCTCAGGATGAACCTTTGCTGCAAATTTGAAATTGACCTGATATGATAGAGGGAACTGTCCCGGAGCTGTTTCATGCAGATGCCTGGACAAATCTCATCCAAAATCTCTATGTATCCCCCAAGGCCGACCATGGGTTCCCAGGAGAATGGACAGATCTTGGCAGGGGGAAGGTGGCGGCGGGGGGCAGGGGTTGGTCAAAGCCTGAACGTCAGTTCCCAGAGCTGCTTCCCTCTGAAACCCAGTTGGCAAATGTGCTGCTTCCTCTCCATGTCTGCCTCTGCAGCTTCTGCTGGCCCATCAAGTTGCTCCCACACTAGCAGAGAGCAAAAAGAGGGAGGTGGTGAACACAGCTCAACAACATGCAAATTATAATCATCTCCATCCAGAGGATGGTGGTTGAGAGGTACATGAAAGGGAAGTAGAGGGCCATGGCAGGTCACTGTGAGTTACCTGAAATCCAGCCAGCAATATGGCCAATTAGATAGGCATTAGGCATAGTGACTTTTAGAACTACTCAGCTTTGTAACAATTACAACAAATAATATTAGTAACTAATACTTATTTAGTGTTTACTAAGGGCCGGCCAGATACTATGCTTAGAGACTTATTTCTATTGATTATATCATTTAATTCTTATATTGACCTTATGAGATAGGCACTGTTGGTATCTCTTTTTTACAGATGAGGAAACTGAGGTTCAGAGAGGCTACGGAATTTGCCCAAAGTCATACAGCTAACAAGTGTAGAACCAGGCCCCTCAACTGGGTCTGACTCCACAGTCAGACTCCACAGCTGTTAATCATTCTGCTGAAGTTGTTAATAGTAAAACCATCCTCCATTCTGGAATGAGTAGAATTTATATGGGATGTATGGGAAATTAGATGGAGGCCAGGTAACAGAGGGCCTTGAAGACCAGGCTGCGAGGTTTGGGTTTGATTCTGGAGGCATCGGAGAGCCATTAGATGCATTATTATTGGCATTAGCAAACAAACTCTGGCAATAAACACTATGTGTAAGATGGGTCCAGATGGGGAGAAACAGGCAGGAGTGGCTACATAATTTGCAGGGCCCAGTGCAAAATGAAATTGCAGGGCTCCTTGTTAAAGAAAAAAAAATTAGGACTTTCAAGGTGGTAACAGCAGAGCATTAAACCAAGTGTGAGTACCTATGAGCCTGCTCAGATAGCATGACTATGAAGCTAGTCCTGAAGATAGGAAGGCAGTCAAGAAGGTATCCAGTATAGGGAGGTGGGGTGGAGTGGGGGTGGAGTGGCATAGATAAGGTCTAGGACTGGGGTGGTGGTGGTGAGGCTAGGAATAATAGGATGGAAAAGTAGAATCAATAGGTTTTGATGAACATTCCTCTCTCACCTCCCAACTTCAGTGAAAACTCTGAGATTGAGTCTGGATGACTGAATGGAAGGACTGGAAGGGGAGCTAATCTGAAGGAGAAATTGATAAATTTGCTTTGGAAACCTACTCAGTTCCATCTGCATACTTGGTGTTTAGATGAGTATGGATGTTACTATTTCACATGGGATACTGTCCCTTAAGTGACATGGTCTCTTGCTTTGCCATGAAACTATGTTTTGTTTCCTCCCTGTGAGAAGAGAGATTTAAGAGATTTTTTTAGTTTGTTTCAGGGAGCCAGAGCCAGGACAAGTAAGCTTTCCTTCAATATGCTTTCTTTGGACTATAAAGGGAGTTCCTACATGGGCTTCAGTTACAGAGCACACAGCAATCAATTCTCCCTCCCTCCACACCTAAGGGTTTGTGCAGATCCTGAAGATCATTCCAGGTACACTGTGGTAGGCCGGCATAACAGAGTCATTCATTACCTTGACTTCTAGTCTCCCCTATATTCTCAGCACTTCCTTGGCCCTGTTCTTTCTAATCTGCCCCTTAGGACACAGAGGTACTCTAGGAGCCTTTAAATGGCTCCAAAGCAGATGCCCTTGCTCTCCATCCAGGTCACTCTGATAAAGGGACTGACTGGACCCAGAAGAATAAGAGAGGTTTCAGTCCCAGCACAGCCTGGCAAGTCTGCTTGTTGACCAGTGGTAGGGTAGTTCCATATTAAAGGACCAGAATGGCGGAGTTTACCAATTATGGGCTAACCATATGGGTGGTAGGGGGAGTTAAGGGGAGAGGAATTTCATCACATAGCCACCGTACATCCTGCTGGCCATTCCCTGTTTGTCTCCTGTCTTGTAAAGTGTCCAGCTATACTCTAAATAGCACCCTACAAAGAAAGTAGCCCTCCACTATATCCAAGGTGAAACCCACCAAACACATGCTCATAGATTAGTTCCTCTCATAAGAAGAGCCTGGCTTGGACATAAGTGAGGAGATTAGTGCCTTGGTGGATGATGTGAGTGGCCTTGGCCAACTTCCTCCTTGATCCCCAAGCTGCTGGGTCCTTGATGAGAGATAAAAGACCAATAGAGCCTCATGCAGAAATCACCTCCTTTTGTATGAACCTTATTGTATTTTAGAAATAGAGAAGGTGATGGCTGGGCGCGGTGGCTCATGCCTGTAATCCCAGCACTTTGGGAGGCCAAGGCAGGTGGATCACGAGGTCAGGAGATCGAGACCATCCTGGCTAACACAGTGAAACCCCATCTCTACTAAAAATACAAAAGAAAAAAAAAATTAGCCAGGTGCGGTGGTGGGTGCCTGTAGTCCCAGCTACTTGGGAGGCTGAGGCAGGAGAATGGTGTGAACCCGGGAGGTGGAGCTTGCAGTGAGCCAAGATTACGCCACTGCACTCCAGCCTGGGTGACAAAGCAAGACTCTGTCTCAAAAAAAAAAAAAAAATATAGAGAGAAGGTGACTTTTGAGACAGAGGAGAGAAAGACCCCAATTTTCCACTTTGTAGCTGTGTGACCTCTGGCCTGCTATTTTTCAGAGCATCAGTTTTTCTAGGCATAATAATAACTACGTAATAACATAATTGTGAAGAGTAAATGAGTTCATACATGTAAAACACTAATAACAGTGCCTGGCACATATCAAATGTTTGATAAATGAAAGATTAATCATAATCTTAATCATATTGAGAGAAGCTGAGTCGTTAGAGTGTGTGGGCTGTGCAACCACAACCAGCTGGGAATCTGGGTTGTAACCGTCTGAGAGGATCTGCCTGTCACTGCCACAGTCAATAACCCTGGCTTATCCAGACCATGTGAGGGTTTTCTTGTGCCTTCTGACCTGGATGCTTTAATGTTGCTTTGTTTTCTCAAATGCTGCCCTAGCGTGGGGGAGCTAGGGACAGGCTTCACTGAGGACTGTATCTTTGACACAGCCAAGAAGAGGACAAGTGTGAGTTTGGACACTTGCCTAACCACGGGCCTTCTTTATTAACCTGGGATCCTCTGCCACTGCAGAAGAGAACCTAGCTGCCATGTGTCACGTTTGAGTTGGGTGTAGTTTATGAATCGAGATTGCGGGGGCCAAACCGGGAAGGAGTAAAGTCTGTTTTCAGTGTAGTCTTATTTCCTCCTGTAGGGTCTTGCTGCTGAGGCACCCAATATTTTCATAAAATCCCTTAGGCTGCTTCGGGTATCTTCATCATGATCATCCTCAGGCCTTTCTCTCCTAGGCAGCTTTGACAGCCATAGACCTTTCTTAAACTCTCTTCCTCATCTTCACAACTTGCCTCTTCAGGGACCCAGATTCTCAGAAGTCTGCCTGACTTTGAATGTGATAACATGCTTTGGGTCTGGGTGTTAATGACCAATGATAACTGTACTGTTCCTGCCAAGTTTTATTCATAATTAAGTGAGGACCTTGGATGCCTCAGAAGAGGGAGCACAGCATGAACTCTGACGCATAAAGGCAAGGGAAAACCATTTTAGAGCAGAAGTCTTTAGTGCCTCTCAATTCAAGACCTGGTGAAAGTGGCTGCATCTGTGGGTAGAGCCTCTGCCCTTCCCTCTGCCTCTACCTATCCCTTAAAAACACTGCATGTTCTCACTCATAGGTGGGAATCGAACAATGAGAACACTTGGACACAGGAAGGGGAGCATCACACACCGGGGCCTGTTGTGGGGTGGGTGGAGCAGGGAGGGATAGCATTAGGAGATATACCTAATGTAAACGACGAGTTAATGGGTGCAGCACACCAACATGGCACATGTATACATATGTAACAAACCTGCACGTTGTGCACATGTACCCTAGAACTTAAAGTATAATAAAAAAAATCGTACTTCAAGAGGTAGGATACTCTAGTAGTTTAGAGAACAAACTCTGGAGCTAGGGTCAAGAAAAACCCTACATACAGATTATCAGGAAGAAATGCAATAGTGAAAAGAGCTAGGGCAACGGAAAGAGGAAAGACCCAGATTTAAATCCCTGCTCCACAGTAGCTGTGTGAACTTAGACATGCCATTTAGCATCTCTAAGCCACAGATTCATCTGTGAAGGGGAGATAATTACAGCTTTCCCACTTACCAGCTCAAATCGTAGCCTGGTCAAATCCTAGCTCTCCCACTTAGCAGCTCTGTGACCTTGGGCAAGTTACTTCATCTTTCTCTGCCTCAGACTTCTCATCTGTAAAATGGGCTTAATAACTGTACGTACAGCCATGCATTTCTTAATGACAGGGATATGTTCTGAGAAATGTCTCCTTAAGAAATTTTTTCATTGTGTGAACATCATAGTGTGTACTCATAGAAACCTAGAGGGTATAGCCTACTAGGAACCTAGGCTATGTGTTATGGTCTATTGCTCCTAGGCTACAAACCTGTACAGTATGTTACTGTACTGAATATTGTAGGCGATTGTAACACAATGGGAAGTATTTGTGTATCTAACACACAATATCATTTATACACAATATAATTTATATATAATAAAAATGATAAATGATATAAATGATAAAAAATGGTATGTCTGTATAAGGCAGCTCCATTATAGTCTTATGTGACCAACGCCATATATGTGGTCTATCCTTGACTGAAATTTCATTATGCAGCATGTGACTGTACTTCTCAGGGTTCTTATGAGGATAATAAATGAGTTGATATGTGTGTAGTGGCTAGACTAGTGCCTGGCACATGGAAACTGTTACATAATTGTTTGTTAAGTAAATGTGAAACCGAGGATGTATGGCAGCCAAACTTCCTGCCTGTGAGAGGGCCAGCCAGAAAACTACCCACTTCCCTCAGGGGAGAGCATGAGCAGTGTCCAGGCTGGAAACTGTGTGGTTTTAATCCTCTGCAGAAGGGACATGCTACCCTCCCCCATTTGACAAGGGTAAAATACAGGCTATGTCTGAGCAGGCTGTGTAGGGGGAAAAAAGGATCAGCTAGACACCATGTACATGGTAGACTGGTTCATCAACTGGGATGGGGCTGTCTTTGAGCAACCTCTGGCTAAGAAAGTGCCCCCCAATTTCTCCTTATATGTAGTGGACCTTATTAATCTCTTTGCCTGGTTTTGTTGCTTCCAGGAGGAAAGGACCTAAACTGACAGTGCCTGAACAAGTCAGAATGTATCTAATCTGGCGTGTGTGAAACCTAGCAGCCATCCAAGAAAGCGCAAGTAAGTAGGGTTCTGCGGGATATGCATATATTTTTATAATAAAAAGGTTACAGGCATCATAATGACTGTGACTTGGAAAGAGTCATTTGCTGCCTCTTATCAGCTGAGACTGGCCCTATGAAACAGCCTGTTCCCGTTGGAGGCTCCCGGGATCTCAAGGAGTAAATCCAGTTATTCATCTCAACCTTGCTTTGGCTGTGCTGAATTCCTTTGCCTGGAACTGGGAGGCTCCCCAGTGGGGGGCTTTGGCATGCTAGGGCTTCTGCAGCAGGGGCTCAGTGTTCCACTGCCCTCATATCCATGACTGAGAAAGAAAAGAGTGGGGTCAGGTGGGTGGCTAAAAGGTGGCTATTTTGATATCAAAATAGTGGTGAGTCCGTTCATTCACTAAGCCAAAATAGAGCATTTGCTACCTCTAGGGTCACCAGCTGCCTCCCTGCACTGCACATTTTGCTTTACAGTACCCTGGAGGGATATGTTCCAAGACCCCAGTGGATGCCTGAAACTGCAGATAGTATCAAACTTCATGTATACAGCATTATGTTTTTTCCTATACATATATACGTATGACAAAGCTTATAAATTAGGGACAGTAAGAGGTTAACAACAGTAATCAAAAATAAAATGGAACAATTATTACACATACTGTCATGAAAGTTATGTAAATGTTCTCTCAAAATATCTTACTGTACTCACGTATTTTCAGACTTCCATTAACTACAGCTAACTGTAACCACAGAAAGAGAAACCATGGATAACGGGGTCTACTGTATATTCAACTTAGGACTTGGGTAGACATTTGGGGATTGATATTGTTTTCCTGGGCATCAATCATTTCCTGACAGGATCAGACTTTATATAAAATAAGGGACAGCCTCCTATCTTAGGTTGAACCACATAACATTGGTGGGTTTGTCGGTAAAATGGTCAAATACTGCAGTTCGGTGTGATTCCACCTACCATTTCTTGGCTATGCCTCACAATATCCTGTACAGAGTAGGCAGCAGGTTCTTGTCAAGTCTCTTTTTTTTTCTTTTCTTTTCTTTTTCTTTTTCTTTTTTTTGATGAAGTTGCAGGCAGCCAGGATCTCACAATTCTCTTTGCTTTCACATGCAAAGGCAATTCAGAATAATAACATCATCTCTAATTGATGGAGCATTTCAGCTTGGTGGGATGGGGGTGTGTCTTTACTGGGCTCTTATGTAGTCCATTGTTCTACTTAATGCTCAGAACAGCCTTATGAGGCAGGTGTTATTATCTCCTCTTCACAGATGAGTCTGTGGCTTAGAGATGCTAAATGGCATGTCTGAGTTCACACAGTTACTGTGGAGCAGGGATTTGAATCTGGGTCTGGCCTCTTTCCATCGCCCTAGCTCTTTTCACTATTTGCATTTCTTCCTGTTAATCTGTATGTAGGGTTTTTCTTGACCCTTTGCTAATACTTTTCACCTTCAAAAGTTTAAAGGTTATTGAGGGGTTCCTCCAGTTCTACGATCCTAATGAACACAAGCAGCTTGCCCCAGTTATTTGTGCATAATGTTTCCCAGCTACTCCAAACAACTTCCTACCATGAGGAAATACTCCTGTGTACTACTCAGACAATTGAAAGCTCTAGTTATTAAGCCACTTCCTTTGGTGTTAAATAGCAGTATTTTGCCGGGTGCTGGAAATTGATCCTGTATATAAAATGTATCTTGAGGCTTCAGTACATTTTGTATTTATATAGCCCTATCTTTATAGAAATTGGATCACTAAACTGTCTCAAGATCATAGTGTAGATTTTGTTGTTGTTGTTGTTGTTATTTATTTATTTATTTACTTTGGAGACAGAGTCTCACTCTATCACACAGGCTGGAGTGCAGTGGTGCTCTCTCAGCTCACTGCAACCTCCGCTTCCCAGGTTCAAGCAATTCTCCTGCCTCAGCCTCCCAAGTAGCTGGGACTATAGGCGTGCGCCACCATGCCCAGCTAATTTTTGTATTTTTAGTAGAGACGGGGTTTCACCGTGTTGGCCAGGCTGGTCTTGAACTCCTGACCTCAGGTGATCTGCCTGCCTCGGCCTCTCATAGTGGCTAGGATTACAGGCCTGAGCCACCGTGCCTGGCTCATTTTGAAACAGAACAGTTTAGATGTCAACAGAGCCTATAGAGATCATGTAATCAGAATCTCCCTCCCTCATCTTATAGCTGAGAAAACTGAGGCTAAAATGGGAAGTGCCTTGCTCAAGATCAGAGAGCTAGTTCAAAGGCAGAGGCAGGGCCCAAACTGAGATATGTCTGACTCCTGCTTCCTTCATTGTATCCTGTCTCCTTCAGCACTATCATCCTTACAGGTATTTAGCTACCAAATCTTTACTGAACACCTGCCATGTGCTAGATTTTGACTCAGAGTTGTTAGGTAATCTTTGTAGGGTCACACTACAAGCACATTATATGATTTGGAGCCTCAGTCTCTAGTATTTCCTGCCAGCCACATTGCCAGTCCTCCCTGCAGCCTTGCATCTCTTAGTTTTCCAGTACAATTCAGAGAAGGGCATCGTTGGGGTATAGATAGGCAGGATCCTCAGTGAATACTTGCTGATGTGAAAAAAATTTTAAAAATGACTCCTCCCTTGAGGATCAGTTGAACAAACTCAGTAAACTGTGGTTCTAAAACCGGTTCTCAAGCATGCATCAGGGTTGCCTGAGAGAATGTTAAAACACAGATTGCAAGGCCCCAAGCTTGGAGCATCTCATTCAGTAGAAGTGGGATGGGGATGGGGAATTTGCATTTCTAACAAGTTCCCAGGTGCTGCTGGTGCTGCTGGTCCAGGGACCATACATTGAGAACCACTGTTTTAGTCTATAAAATGGGTGTAATACTTAACCTCGTTCCTCTTTAAGGTTGCCTGAGCCAGCTCAAAGTTTTCAGTGAGAATGGTTTGGGAGATAGTACCTCAGTTTTCTCCATCATTTTGAATGTGCAGAAATAGCTTCCAGATTGTATCTGACATTATGCCTTTTCATAGTATTCTAGAATAAATTTTGAAAAAATATTAGGTCATTTAGTCCAGCCTTCTGCATCTAAACTGGGATCTACCTAACTCATCCCAAATATATGCTTGGCTCTTTACAGTTTTTTGTTCGTTTATTCCTTGAGTGGTTATAATGAGAAGCTTCTCTGCATGTGCTCCTGTGAACTAATCATCTCCTTATTCTAATTCCTTCCCTTGGATGCTCAACAGCGATTGCTGCCAGCAAATCTATCTGTTCAAGGATGTGTGGATATAGTGCCTAGCATAGTGCTTGGTGCATAGCAGACATTCAGTGCATGTTAGCTGCCTTTCCTTCCCCTTCTCAAACTGGTAATACCTCCTGATTTCTCATGAGCCATCCTAGCACTCCCCTGATCCAAAACAGGGCATGGACCAGGTTATAACTGAAAAGGTAAAAGATCTCCAGATGACATCCTCCCCTATATTTCTAAAAATAGTGGCTCTCAGTCCTGGTTGCACATTAGAATTACCTGGGTAGCTTTGAAAAAATACTAATGCCTAGGCCCCATACCAGACCAACAAAGTCAGAGTTTCTAGGAGTAAGACCTGGGCATCAGTATTTTTAGAGCTCTCCAGATGATTCTAGTATGCATCCAATGTTGAAAACCACTGTTAAAAATAAAGCCGCTTTTCCCTCTACTCTGCCTTCTTGCCATTTTTTTTTTTTTTTTTGACATAGTCTCAGAGTCTGGCTCTGTTGCCCAGGCAGGAATGCAATGGCATGATCTTGGCTAACTGCAGCCTCCCCTTCCCAGGTTCAACTGATTCTCCTGCCTCAGCCTCCTGAATAGCTGGGATTACAGGTGCCTGCCACCACACCTGGCTAATTTTTTGTATTTTTAGGAGAGACAGGGGTCTTCTTGCCTTTTAAACACAGGTTCTCTAACTCTAGATTCGGTGGTCCTGAAATTTTAGCGTGCTTCAGAGCCACCTGAATCATGCAGATTTTCCCCCTCTCAGAGTTTCTGATTCAGTAGGGCTGGTGTGGGGCCAAAGAATCTGGATTTTTTTTTTTCTTTGGTAGAGATGAGGCCTTGCTTTCTTACCTAGGCTGGTTTCAAACTCCTGGCCTCAAGTTATCTTCCCACCTTGGCCTCTCAAAACGTTGGGATTACAGGTGTGGGCCACCATGTTTGGCCAGAATTTAGAGTTCTAGGTTTCCAGGTGGTGTGAATGTTGCTGGTTCAGGGATTACACTTTGTAAACCACTGTTGGAAGGGGCACAATTCGCGTCATCCGGTGCCCCTTAAAAGACAATTTAGATGGCTGATTTTTTTAGACCTCAATCTCCATGACAATTTTCAAGCACTATAAGGGTTTGCACACCCACACAGCTGTGTTGGGTAGAGCTGTATCAAAGTTACCAAGTATCCATTTGCGAAGACAGATGAAATACAAATGGTGTGCATTAGAGGAACTAAGCAAATGTTCTCCTGGGTAATAGGAGGAGGCCAGTAGCTGAAGAAAGAGTTAAATAATTAGGATGTTTATCCTGATTCAGTGTCTGTAGAGCTTGGGCGTCTTTGCCTCCATCTCCCCCTGCCATGGTTAGAACTGTCTTCTAGTATTTAAAGAGAGTTGTTGTTAAAGCACAATGGCAAATTAGATATCACAGGCAGCAAGAAATCAGAACAAAACAAAGCCACCCTTAATCCAGGGCAGCAGACCAGGAAAAAAAATCTTTGGGGTTGTTTTTGAATATTGCAGTTAGCTTTAAGTAACAATGCCCAGTGCTTGCAAGTTTAATTATTCTCTACAAAGATGGGGGTGGGGAACAACTAGACAGAGATGATGAGGTTGGGAGGAAATTGGTTAGTGATTCTGTTTGCTTAGAATGACCGGCAAGGCGGCTCCTGCATTTGCCATCCATCACCTCTTCTCTAGAGGATCAAAGGCAAGAACAGAGGCAATAAATGGGCCCAGTAGCCCTGAGACACCAATTACATTACAATGTACAGAGAAGCACCTCTGGAAGGTTGGAGTGTGTGTGTGTGTGTGTGTGTGTGTGTATCTCAAGGAGAGACTGGCCCAACAATATCAACTTTAATAGCAATTCAGTCTTTCTTACCTGTGTTTCTCTTATATAGTCCAAGGTAAGGATGAGCTGGCATAAATCCTGGCCCAGACAGGGGTGCTCAGAAAGCATAGTTGGCAGGTCAGTCCTGATACCCTTTCTCTTCCTGGTCCCACATCCTAGTACTTTAAGACCATCTTCTCATCTCTCTTTCCTCAGAATGACCACCAGCTCACCCTCCTGAGGGCTCGGTCGAACTTGACCATGTATTTCCCAGAGCCTTAGCTTTTGCTCTGTGTGTACTTGTGCATGCACCCATGTGTGCATGTGTGTGTAGAGGGAGGTGAAGCACAATAACTTAATGTAAACTATCCAAATTTAGACTCCTTGGGTTTGAATCCCAACTGTACCTCCTATTTGCTGCATTACTTTGATGAAATCACTTCACTACTCTAAGCCTCAGTTTTTGCCTGTAAACAAAAGATAATGAAGCAGCCTGATATAGAGGGCTCTTGTGAGGGTTAAAAGAGGTAATCCGTGTAAAGCACTTAGCTTGGCACATTTTAAGTACTTAATACGTGGCAGTTGTTGTTTATCATTATTACTCCTTTTTAAAAAATTTTATTTATTTGTTTTTTTGAGACAGAGTCTTGCCCTGTCTCCAGGCTGCAGTGCAGTGGTGCAATCTCGGCTCACTGCAACCTCTGCCTCCCGGGTTCAAGCAATTCTCCTGCCTCAGCCTCCCGAGTAGCTGGGACTACAGGCGTGTGCCACCACACCCAGATAATTTTTTGTATTTTTAGTAGAGACGGGATTTCACCATGTTGGCCAGGATGGTCTTGATCTCTTGACCTCGTGATCCGCCCGCCTTGGCCTTCCAAAGTGCTGGGATTACAGGTGTGAGCCACCGCGCCCAGCCACGATTATTACTACTTTTACAGAGGAAGAGAGAAACTTCTGGGGCAGGTAGAGAAGCCCAGAGTGGTGGCAATACAAACTAAATGTCTGAGGCACTGCAAAACTATTTTCGGCCCCAGTGATAGCCTTTTCCTTGGGTGATTGCCACTAATAATGTGGCAGAATTAAGCCTACTATTTTACGGGATATGAGAGGTTAGATATTCTTGGGAGGAGAGGTTTAGAGAATAAAATTTCCAAGCAGAGAAAGGAATATACTTATGAGGGACCTAATGTAGAAAGAAGCAGAGCTGACAGAGTATCTCAGCAGGAAGTGAGGTGTTGGGCCTTGGACCTTGGGGCGCTGGGCCTTTCTTCTTCCTTCCCCATCCACACACCAGCAGCGTCTGAAATACTTGTGTTTTTCTGCAAATGTTCTGCTTTCTTTCCTCTAGCCTTTGGGCACATTCATCTTCTTGCACTGCTGGTCCTTTGCTTATGCTATTTCCTTCTTCTAGAACACCGTTTTACCTGCCATTCATCTGGTTAACACTTATTAAACTAGTACAGTAGCTATGAGCCACATGTGGCTATTGAGCACTTAAAGTGTGGCTAGTATGAAGTGAGATACATAGTAAGTATAAAATACAGACCAGATTTTGAAGACTTAGTACAATAAAAAAGAATGCCTAATATCTCATTGATAATTTTGTATACTGATTACATGTTGAATGATATTTTGGATACAGTGGGTTAAATAAATTACATTGAAATAATTTCACTTGGTTTTTATTGACATCTTTGAAGGTAATAAATGCAAATGGCAAAACCACAATTACTTTTGCACCAACCTAATACAAATGTGGCTTGTATTATATTTCTACTGGACCACACTGCACTAGACTGTCAGCTCCATGAGGGCAGAAACCTTTTCTGTCTTGCCCATCATGGTGTCCCTGCTATCTGACATAGTGCTAGCTAAATATTTCTAAATAATTGAATAAAGGAATTGATATTATATCTAGGTTTGTATTGAACGCTGAAACTTTGGCTAAAAGGTTCATGGAATCATTTTGGATTTATTTTTCCATTCCTCTGGGTGACTGAGTATTTAACTCATATTACTATATTTCATGTCTTTAGTTTCACTAATGACAGGAAGTTGTGGCTGTGGCTACGTCATGTAATGTTGTTCCATTTACAAATATATTATCTGTAAATCTTTCTCATGTCTTTTCAGAGAAGAGATGTGAAGAAGAATAAATAATTCCCAAGCTAAGGGAAATTTAAAGCAAGAAAAGTGGGGAAGCCAAGAGAAGCCAGGCCTTGATGGTTAAAAGGACCTATATTAGTTTTTTATTGCGGCATAAAAATTAGTAAAACTTAAAGGTTTAAAATAGCATAAACGTATTAATTCACAGTTTCTGTGCGTGAGAAGTCTGGGTACAGCATGCTTTGATTTTCTGCTCATAGTCTCACTGAACTGAAATCAAGGTGTCTGGCAGGGGCTGAATTTCTCATCTGGGTTCAAGGCCTCTTCTCATTTCATTCGATTTGTTGGCAGAATTTGGTTTTCTTCTAGCTGTTGGCTGGCGACCTCTCAGCTCCTAGAAGCTTCCCACAGTATCTTGCCATGTGGCTCCCAAAGGCAGTTCACAAGATAAATGTTTGCTTTCTTCCAAGTCAGCTGGATCCTGTCTCTCTGACTTCCTCTCTCACCAGCCAGATAAAACTCTGCTTTTAAAGCGCTTATGCAACTGTTTAGTCCCATCTAGATAATCATACCATCTTAAGGTCCTGATTTGGGACCTTAATTACATCTGCAAATACCTTCATAGCAGTATCTAGATTGGTGTTGGATTGAATAACTGGGAGAAGGTGTATATACACCAGCGACTGAGAATATTGGCAGGCCATCTTAGAATTCCACCTATCACAGAAATTCTGACAAGGGCCTCCATCATTTCAGTGAGAAATAAATTATGAGAAGAAACTTTGAGTCTACAGAAGGAGGCAATTCTTTCGAAGCTAGAGAAAGCCTATTGAGGAAGTAGCCACAGGAACTGTGAAGGGGCATTTGAATTAAGGCAATGCCAGCACTGGAATGCATGGCATGTTAAATATAATATAAAATAACTCCCCCGGTTTTCCTTTTTTTTTTTTTGGGATGGAATCTCGCTCTGTCGCCCAGGCTGGAGTGCAGTGGCGCGATCTCGGCTCACTGCAAGCTCCGCCTCGCGGGTTCACGCCATTCTCCTGCCTCAGCCTCCCGACTAGCCAGGACTACAGGCGCCCACCACCACACCCGGCTAATTTTTTGTATATTTAGTAGAGATGGGATTTCACCGTGTTAGCCAGGACGGTCTCCATCTCCTGACCCCGTGATCCGCCCACCTTGGCCTCCCAAAGTGCTGGGATTACAGGCGTGAGCCACCGTGCCTGGCCAATAACTCCGCCATTTTTCAGATGAGGAAATGGAGGCCTAGCAAGTGGAAGCCTTCTGGTAGTGATCATTGGCAGCCATCTCATGTTATTTTTTTTTCTTTCTAGAATCTATTGACTGTTGGAAGGGCTGGAAAATGGAGCATTTGAGATCTGATGAGCTTAAAATCTCTCATCAAACTAACTTTCTCATCTTCTCCATGACTACCTGCATTCTGAAATAACTTAAAGCCTAAAAACACTTTTATTCTTCAAGTTTTAGAAAAAGAAAACTACTTTGTATATAACATTGGATTCATCCTCGCATTCGTATCTAACATTGAATATACTAGGTTTTTCTCTTTTGAGACAGGGTCTCACTATGTTGCCCAAGCTGGTCTTGAACTCCTGGGCTCAAGCAATCCTCCTGCCTTGGCCTCCTAAACTGCTGGGATTACAAGTGTGAGCCACCATGCCCAGCAATGCTAGTTGTTAAATCATGAATTGTGCTGAATCTTCCATTTTTCAGATGTATATTTTTATTTAAACCAATTGTTTAAGAGGTGAGTAACTTGGGCAAAGACACAGCTCTATTTCTCTTTCAGGACCAAGTAGTGATGGAATTATTTGAGAACAGTCTTTTAAGGACAGGGACTCAGAGGTTCTGGGTCTTTGAAGGCGAGTAATCATAACAGCTTAGGATGGAAATTACCTTTGAGCTTCAAAGTTCTCTGATTAGACCATTAAAAAGGATCTGATGAGGAACACAGAAGGAAATGTAATATCCTAGGGTCTTGAAGGAACCTTACCTGAGTGACATTCTTAGGCCTGAATGTAAAAAACACACACAGTTTGTTTCTCCAGTGTTGACAGTACATTATCAATGTGATGAGATGAGCAAGTATTATTTTTGCAGAGGCAGAAAAAATAATGAAATCTAAAAATAATGAAATCTCTGGGGTGTGACCGTCAATGATCATATCTGACTCTGTCAAAGACTGAATTTAAAGGTATGGCTGCCTCCTATATTTCTTACCTTTGCAGGGGCCTGATTCAGATCCCTGTCAAATCAGCTTAGGTTATTTATTGAAAATCTTTTCTTTTCATTGTTCATTTTTCCAAGGATTCAGACACTGGGGATAATTTTTCTACTACAAAATAATCAATAATCTGACTGCAGCTGACTTTTCCCACTCATGACAGCAGTCAATTTTCAACTCTTCTGGGGATATTTATCTAGTTGCCTGATGCTTCAGGCCACTTGATAACTTCCATTTGCTACTGGACTTTAGGGTCTTTATCTTCCTCGTTACCACCTCCATCACAGGGCCACAGGAGAATGGAAGAAACTGGCAGAAAATCAGTTTGCTTTCTGGTTGTTAGAAGCTTTGTGGAAAGGTCCTGTGGGAGCTGGGGTAGAAACAAACAGTTGATTCCACTGAGCCATGAAGAATTATTTATCACCTATAGCTTTTTCTCTTTTTTTTCTGTCTTCCCCATCCTTACATATAATTGAGAACAGACTTCGTGGTCCACAAAACCCTCTGGATTCACAATATCAAATGATGTCCACTATGTCAACCCATACAGTAAGTATAGTAGGCAAGTAGAATAAACGAAACAAAAACAGAACACAGGGAGGCCTGCGGAAGATTAGTATAGGTGCTTCCATCTAATTAACTTCTGAGGTTGAGTCATAACTGAAGGCTTTTCCCTACTAACCAGTGGTACAATAGAATATTCATAAATTTTGCTACTCATACAGATGTCTGGGGCTTTTCCTCTGATTTTGCATGAATCTCTACTGAGAAACTGCTCAGGCCTCAGATTTACCAATACCAAATGGAATAGGGAAAGATGTTCAAACTCTCAGTCATATACTAGTGAATGGTCTTTTCATTATCACCAATACCTTGCTGTCCCCACTTGATGTTCCCATGCAAATGTGGAATCTAAAGGAAATAATAGACATTGAACAGTCAGGATAATTGAATATACCTGTTCTAAATAAAGACCAAGGCTACTGTGTGTGTTATGTCGGCATGCATGTTTTCAATGAAGGTGATCAATAGGGAAAAAGAGTCCCCCATAAGAACACTGGGAGGCAAGATCATAGAGTCAAAGAATGATTTTCATATTCCAATGGAATGCTTACTGGTTTATAGATCTTGGGTAAGTCATTGCACATCTTGCTGAGAAACCGAAAGTCTGTGAAGATTAAGAATACCTGTTCTTTACCTTTTACAGAATTGTTGTGAGGAATAAACGGGATGATGATTTGATTGTGTCTAGCCATGTGACCAGCACTTAATGGGTGTTCAGTAAATATCTGTAGATTCTGAATGATGGCCCCTAAAGGGTCTGGTTTCAGCAGGCCCAGGAGCTTGAAGTCAAGCCCAGGTATACATTCTGGAGTATATAAGAGTACAAGAAATCTATGGAGGTAGGATATACTGTATTTATGCAATAAGAAGTATGATCTAAGTCACATTCAGATTTCTGTTTTTCCCAATCTTATATCATTTTTGATGGAGAATAGGAATGCTTTTCTAAAACTGAGATATTCCACTAAACCATTAAAGTACAGGCAGAGAGGAAAGAGCTTTTGGTTGAAACGAAAAGCTGATTTTTCATGTGTGTACCATGATAGGCCAGAAGTCCTAGTTATCAGGTCCTCTAAACAGCATGTTAGAAAGTTCACCAGAACATGAGCTTTATGAGAGAGGAGAGTTTTGTGTGCATTTTTCCACTGCTGTATCTCCAGAGCATAGAACAATGCCTGACACATAGTAGAAGCTCAATACCTGTGTTGCATGGATGAGTGAGTGTTCACATTCACCGTTCCAGACAGAACATCATAACTAAAACCTGTACATTGCTTTGTAGTGTAATTGTCATGGAGTGGGACTATGGACTCTAGAAAAGGCATGGTTATGAGAGGAAGAAAAGTTTACAGTAGTTTCAAAATTACAACCACAAAAAGAAAATTCGACTGGTAATGCCCTTCACTTTTGCTTAAGCTCAAGAAAAGAAATAAAAACATGTTAATGGCCAGGGGATATACCATAAGTAACATTTTACTGGGACAAGATTAACTGCTATGAATTTTACTGACAACAATACTAACATTTTCTATCTTTTATTGTTTAGCATTTATGTAGTCTGATTACAACAATGTGAAGCCCTCTGTTAAACTTGTCTGTGGGGATTGAGGAAGATTTTTTTTTTTATTTTTTATTTTTGAGACGGAGTCTCGCCCTGTCACCCAAGCTGGAGTGCAGTGGCGCGATCTCGGCTCACTGCAAGCTCTACTTCCCGGGTTCACGCCATTCTCCTGCCTCAGCCTCCCGAGTAGCTGGGACTACAGGCACCCACCACCATGCCCGGCTAATTTTTTGTATTTTTAGTACAGACGGGGTTTCACCGTGTTAGCCAGGATGGACTCGATCTCCTGACCTTGTGATCTGCAAGCGTCAGCCTCCCAAAGTGCTGGGATTACAGGCGTGAGCCACTGCGCCCAGCAGTTTTTTTTTTTGTTTTTTTTTTTTTTTTTTTTTTTTTTTTTACAAACAGGACTTAGTTACTTTAAAATTCTTTTCTGTCTCCTTTCTTTTTGGCCTTCTTTTTACAAATTTACCTCCTTCTACTGAAATCTGTTTCCAACCTCCAGCCTCTTGTGGGTTTCTCACAGTCCTTGGCAGGTACTTCTGACAAAGATCGTGATTCTGTGACTTGCAGCAATGTTGGTCCTGAACTGGCTAGATCCTGGCAAGCAGGCCCCAGACTACTATAAAAAAAGTATAAGAGGCTTCCTGTCAGAGACAGAAGTTGTCTGGTTTATAAATCTTCTTGTCTTTGGAGCCTTGTGTCAATTTATACTATTCTGACTCTTTCCTTGGACTTGGCTTGCCATTTAGCTTCTAGAGTCTGCTATTGATTACTTGTCAGGCTCTGACCTATTATCTCATTATTATCTGCAATTGCCATGAACTTCCTATATCTGGACTATTTTCCTGACATGTTCCTATATTCTGCATCTATAATCTGCCTCCATTTACAGCTATATTTCCATGTTTTTCCATGGCTTATGGTTCCCTTGCTGAATATCCTCATATATTTGCTACTCCAAACTCTGCCCAAACCCCAGCAGAGGGAAAAATGCATGGTGAGATCAGCCCAAATACATAAAAATTGAAAAGGGGGTGAGAGCAGTTCCAACTAGCAATATTACACCCCTCCCTCATTTATAGAGTTAGGGAAATGGTGCCTTCAATCTCTAGAAATCTCTTTTATAGGAACTCTGGTCTTGGAAGCTTCATCCACCTTTAAATCATCTTAAAAATGAACCTGCCTGCTTGGAGATGCTGGTCATTCTATGAGTGGAAGGACAGAAGACTAATGATTTCCCAAGTTCTATCTCCCTTTACAAAAAGAAGAGTTTCCCTCATCTTGACTGTGATGGTTAATTTTATCTGTCAACTTGACTGGGCCATAGAGTGTCCAGATATTTGGTCAAACATTATTCTGGGTGTGTCTGTGAGGGTGTTTTGGAGTGAGATTAACATTTGAATTGGTAGACTGAGTGAAGCAGATTGCCCTACCTAATGAGGATGGCCCTCATGCAATGAATTGAAGGCCTGAATAGAACAAAAGGCTGACCCTTCTGAGAGTAAGAGGGGACCCTTCCTGCCTGACTACTTGAACTAGGACATCAGTCTTTTCCTACCTGCAGACTTGAACTGAAATATCAGCTCTTCTTGGATCTCAAGCCTGTGGCTTTTGGGCCAGAACTTGTACAATCAGCTCTCTTGGTTTTCAGGACTTCAGACTTAGACTAGAACTATACCATCAGCTTTCCTAGGTCTCCAGCTTGCAGGTCTTGGGACTCTCAGCCCCCATAATCATGCAAGTCAATTTTTTAATAAGTGCCTGCAGAGGCCCCTGACTAATACACCTACCCTTCCACAGTCAAGTTGTGCTGCTCCATGAACAGCACAAGAAAAGATGAAAGAAAGTCTCAAGCAGTCTTACTAGACTTCAGAAAATATTTCAAATTAGGGTGATTTTAGAGAAAGGAAGTTTTGTGAATGATTAAGAGACCTGTAATCCTGACTCAATTTATGTGTGACATGACTTTGGGTAAGTCACCTCCCTGGGATTACTTCCATTTAATAAAGAGAGAAATTATTCTAATGAACTCTCTCACTCTATGCCTATGCCATAGTAAAGCTAAAAAAGTAAAGCAACTAAATCATCACTAGTATGCAATAATATCAACTCCCAACATTTCTTTCTTTTAGCCAAGAATCATTTGTTAATCATCCCTGAAACTATTCATACCAAATACAACACAAACCCCTTGCTTTCTTTGGTGTCTTTTAAATAGAAATGGGGATACAATGCCTTTCAGGAAGAATGGTCTTTGTGGTCATGACAATTAAACAGAATTATGTGTTGGAAGTGGGTACCCAGATATTATGAAAAAAGTCTAGCTGCAGATAATCAAAACGCACTGTAAATAATGGTATTTCAGTATATGGGATAAAATTTGGTATTTTATCTCTAAGCTTGCTGATGGATATGAAAAGAAAAATTAGCCAGTTATGCCAATTATAGAAATTATAGCTTATTAAGGTTCATACCAAAGCTGATTTGACAGAATCCTCCAGTACAGACACCATTCTGAAAAGATCAGTAGCAACAGATTTTGTCAGAATGAGAATCAAAATGTTTGGTGAGCAGGAACCATAGGTCACTAACACCATGTCGTAAATTTGTTTAATATAATCACTGCCTTGGCATTCATTTTTTTTGGCCTGACATAAGTTATTGGTAACCTAGTCATGCCCCCATCACCTTTGACCTAGTTAAAACTTCCACTCTCCATGTGTTTGTTTGTAATATAGTTCACAAATTCCGCATCTCATTAACCCCAAACCCAGCACACTCCACAGCTGGTAATCATGATAAAACCTAATGAACACCAGAGTCATGTGAATAAGATCCCTCTTCATGTGTGTTTTCTTTAAACTAGCCAATCCACAATTCTCACAGGAAAACCTAAGAGATAATGCCCATGGACCTTAATAAAGCCATAGTCCCACAGATATACCCCCTTTCTCACTCCCCATCCACTGGTTGAGCACTCTGCTATCCCCAGGCTTCCTATTAGCCTCCTGTTGGCACCCTCAACCTCTTGAACCTGTGAGTAATAAACTTCTTTCATTTCAAGCATTTTGGTTTTACTTCCTCATTGTGTCTCACCTGACACAAACACACAATAGTGTTATTCTCAATATTATTTAACAGCTTTCATAATCATACCGTTTCCACAAGAAACAGTTATAAGAGCACTCCTGGATGCATCAGTGCCCCTGCACCTTCATTTAGACTGTACTTCTGCCATGATACCCTCCTTCCAACTCTTGAAACTCTCCTCACAGGTCATAGCCCAGTTCAAGCCCAATCTCCCTTATGAAGCACTCTCTGTCCACTGAAGTCCCCCTGTGATTGTATCCACCTACATGATTTGTCTCCAGCACTTATTTGGCACTTGAAAGAAGCAGAGATGTCACAAGGTAATGTATCTTTTCTTCAACACTTCATGGCTTGGCTAGTTACAGAAAAACTTTGGACAGATTGCTGGACCCTTTCAGGGCCTTCATTTCTTTATATTTTAATTGAAGAATTTGAATAAGAGCTATGGTTTTCAAGCATTTTGTTTTGGTCATGGAACCCTTTCTGCTAACAATATAAGTAGAACTAAATAAGATAAAGTAAAAGTTAAATAAAACAATAAATAAAGTTAAATAAAAGAAGGTCATGAAGCTAGAGCCTCCTAGGTGCAAAGAAATGCCCTAGACTCTTTTTCAATAGTTTGAGGCCCTTCTATGGAACCCTAAAAAATTCTACCAAAAAGTACGAAAACCACTGGACTAGATTATCTTAACCTCTTTCAGTTCTTATAGTCTATGCTTGTTGTTTTTTAATTTTGATTTTCTCATTCCTGACCATCATGGAACCCTATAGTCAATGCTTCTATTTGTATGTGTAGAGTCCTGGCTGGATTGAAAGCTTCTTAATGGCGGTGATTGTGTATGACATTGAATTTCTAGATTATATATTGCCTTGTGGAGAGAAATTGCTACATTAAGATATTTGGCACTGCACTCCAGCCTGGGTGACAGTGAGACCATGAAAAAAAAAAAAGAAGAAGAAAAAGAAAGAAAGAAAGAAAGAAAGAAAGAAATTTGGGTCAAGGAGGACAAGCTTCCATGGAGGCATTTAGTTTTCTGTTCATCTGAAGAAATTTCTTGCCTTTTTCCTGGACTAGGGAGACAGAAGCAACAGTTACCACATTTCTGCCCTTGATCCTGAGACTCTGAACTTGCCCTTTAGTGACCTTCTCTAAGTTTTGGCCTTCTAGAAGCTCTATTCTTGGTAGTATTGGTAAATTGCTCCACCTATAGGGTGAAGATAATTCATGTGTTCTTTGAATCAAATCTTACTGATATAATTTGAAAAATAGATCCTGTCTCCTTTAGGAGGAAAGGAAAATGTGTGTGTGTATGTTGTGTGTGTATGCGCATGTGTGTGCATGATTGGGAAGTTCTGTAAGTTTAGTTATGCTTCATCTTTCAAAATACATGGGCCAAAGTTTAACTACATAGGCTTGATAATAGGAGAAAACACCCTCAGCCCTGAGAGCAGATTATGTTTAAGTTTCAGACCAAATAACAAATTATCTTTCTGGATCCTCTTTTATGAGTACATCAAAGTTATTTCTTTTCTTTTCTTTTTTTTTGACATGGAGTCTCGCTCTGTCGCCCAGGCTGGAGTACAGTGGCGCGATCTTGGCTCACTGCAAGCTCCGCCTCCCGGGTTCACGCCATTCTCCTGCCTCAGCCTCCTGAGTAGCTGGGACTACAGGCGCCCGCCACCACGCCTGGCTAATTTTTTGTATTTTTAGTAGAGACGGGGTTTCACCGTGTTAGCCATGATGGTCTCGATCTCCTGACCTCATGATCCACCCACCTTGGCCTCCCAAAGTGCTGAGATTACAGGCGTGAGCCACCGCGCCTGGCCGAGTACCTCAAAGTTATTTCATACTGCAGAGCCCATCATGTCTCAGAATATAGGTTGATTCACTGCATCAGTGCAGTGACTATTATATACTTATGATATTTGCATACTTTACTTATTCCGTACATATAAATCACAGAGGCTTACTTTCAGGGAGAAAAACCTTAGAGAACATCAACAAAGAATGTATGGGATCTCTATCCCAGGTGTCAGACTTAAATCATCCTAGCATTAAGCAAACTGGTTGACTTCTCAAGGTCCCTCAAATATCCCCATGTACATATTTCTTTTCTTCTTGCTAGCAAAGTGGTGACTTGTCTTTTATTGTTGGCCTGAATAATTAGTTTCATGCAAGTTTAAAACTGGAAGGAATACTCAAGTTCAAAGATCCTTATTCACTATATACAAACACAGGCCCAGAAAGATGCTGTGCTAGTTATTAGAAAAGCTGGGATGAAACTTAGTGCTTTTAACTTTTTTTTTTCTTTTTTTCTAAATTATGCTTTAAGTTCTAGGGTGCATGTGCATAACGTGCAGGTTTGTTACATAGGTATACATGTGCCATGTTGGTTTGCTGCACGCATCAACTCATCATTTACATTAGGTATTTCTCCTAATGCAATCGCTCCCCCAGGCCCCCACCCCATGACAGGCCCTGGTGTGTGATGTTCCCTGCCCTGTGTCCATGTGTTCTCATTGTTCAACTCCCACCTGTGAGTGAGAACATGCAGTGTTTTGTTTTCTGTCCTTGTGATAGTTTGCTTAGAATGATGGTTTCCAGCTTCATCCATGTCCGTACAAAGGACATGAACTCATCATTTTTTATGGCTGCATAGTACTCCATGGTGTATATGTGCCACATTTTCTTAATCCAGTCTAACATTGATGGACATTTGGGCTGGTTCCAAGTCTTTGCTATTGTGAATAGTGCCACAATAAACATACATGTGCATGTGTCTTTATAGTACCATGATTTATAATCCTTTGGGTATATACCCAGTAATGGGATCGCTGGGTCAAATTGTATTTCTAGTTCTAGATCCTTGAGGAATCGCCACACTGTCTTCCACAATGGTTGAACTAATTTACACTCCCACCAGCAGTGTAAAAGTGTTCCTATTTCTCCACATCCTCTCCAGCATCTGTTGTTTATCTGTTGCTTTTAACTTTTAATTTGTTGAATTTTCTGCTGACAAAAGCTTCTTGCCTTTCAACTTTTAGTTATTTTAAAATACGCAATGTATTATTGACTCTTGTCACCCTGTTGTGCTATCACATAGTAGGTCTTACTTATTTTTTCTGTTTTCTTTTTGTGCCAATTAACCATCCCCACCCTCCCTCCAACCCCCCGTTACCCTTCCCAGCCTCTGGTAATCATCCTTCTACTCTCTATGTCTGTGAGTTCAATTGTTTTGATTTTTAGATCCCACAAATAAGAGAGAATATGTAATATAATGTCTTCTGTGCCTGGATTATTTCAATTAACATAATGATCTCTAATTCTATCCATGTTGTTGCAAATGGCAGGATCTCATTCTTTTTTTCTGGCTGAGTAGTACTTTATTGTGTATATGTACCACATTTTCTTTGTCCATTCATCTGCTGATGGACACTTAGGTTGCTTCCAAATCTTGGCTATCGCTAATAGTGCTGCAACAATCATGGGAGTGCAGGCATCTGTTTGATGTACTGATTTCTTTTCTTTGGGGTCTATACCCAGCAGTGGGATGGCTGGGTTGTACAGCACCTTTATTTTAGTTTTTTGAGGAATCTCCAAGCTGATCTCCGTAGTGGTTGTACTAATTTACATTTCCACCAGCAGTGCAAGAGGGTTCCCTTTTCTCCACATCCTCACCATCATTTGTTATTGACTGTCTTTTTGGTGTAAGCCATTTTAACTGGAGTGAACTGTCTCTCAACTTTCAAATTGAGACAGAATAATAGGTAGCTATATAACCCAAAGTAGAGGACCCTTAAATGATACTCAAAATTAGAAGAAAGGTAGAATAATGAGTCGTTTTCATGAAAGCCTCATCCTTTTTTTTTTTTTTTGAGACAGAGTTTCGCTCTTGTTACCCAGACTGGAGTGCAATGGCGCGATCTCGACTCACCGCAACCTCTGCCTCCCGGGTTCAAGCGAGTCTCCTGCCTCAGCCTCCCAAGTAGCTGGGATCACAGGCTTGTGCAACCACGCCTGGCTATTTGTATTTTTAGTAGAGATTGGGTTTCTCCATGTTGGTCAGGCTGGCCTGGCACTCCCAACCTCAGGTGATCCACCCACCTCGGCCTCCCAAAGTGCTGGGATTACAGGCGTGAGCCACCGCACCCAGCTGATAGCCTCATCTTTAAAAAGAGCTCCTTTCTGTAAAACAGAGTAGAATTTTATGTGATTAAAAAGAGAGCAGAAATGAATATTTTTTGGTCATTGACTAAGTACTAGGCATTGTGCTAAGCACTTTACATGTATCATCTTGTGTAATACATACAATAACCCTACAAGCTAAGTATTATTATTTATAAATGAGAACTCTAAGCCTCGAAGATATGTGACTTGCCCGAAGTCCATAGCTAGTAAGTGAGAGATCTGGAATTTGAACCAACATCTTTCTCAACCCACACACACATTCTTGTTAATCGCTATAGCATTCCGAATCCTGGAGCCTCATAAGGAGGATAAGAAAACCATTACTCTTCTTGCTCAAATGATTGTGATGAATCTGTTTGTTGAGCTTCCCATTGCTTATGGGATGTGGATAGCTTTTGTTTCTTGTGGGGACAATAGAAAAAAACAGGAATTCTGGGATGGATTTGTCCATCAGCCTTGTCTTTCTCTCATTTTGCTGATCTCTCCTGGAGGAATCTGCTTCTATCCTTTCACACAGAATGTTTTACTATGTGAAAAAGCATTGCATCCATCACCTATATAATTGTTTAAGTATCCTTTCTAATTGAAATTTTGGCCTACTATACTTCATCATCAATCAATTCTAATTACTATTTTTGCAAGAGAGGTGGAGTGGGATGGAGAGGACATCTGTTATTTGACTGAAGAAAAATAACTAGTGTTGAGTACCCACTGTGTGCCCAGCTTTGTGCTAGGTATTTTATATCTATCTCACTTAATCCTTACAAGGATCCTGCAGGGTTATACATCTACATGTAACAGAAGGGGAAACTGAAGTTTGAGTCAGCTAAGTAAATAGCTTGACATCACATGGCTATTAAGGGGCAGAGCTGGGATTTGAAATCAGGTCTTTTTGGCTCTACAACCTAATGTCTATTCCACTATACTACTCAGCCTTCATTAAAAGCACAGTTATTGCTTTCCATAAGAGTTCTGATAAGCAGGGAAATCTCGATCTTTCTTAGTTTTTTCTAAATCCTGGCTCCAACTCTCCGGAGGTTCCCCTAGGGCAGATGAACACAATGAACTATCTTCTGCAGAAAAGAAAAGGGGACAAAACCCCCAGCTCCTTGAGACATGGAATTAAAGGATTATTTCCTGCTCCCTCCAGTCCCTGCCTTGAATGAAAGGTCTGAGTAATAGCTTCCCTGCTCTACTCAAACCAAGGACAGGCATCTGGGAATTGCTTCTTGGCTATGAAACTCAGACAGTGCTTTTATTGTCATTTTAACTGTGAGCATTCCCTCCAATCTTACTGTTTCCAATTTCTGCACCTGTTTATTGGCTAATTTTGTTTTCAGTTTGCTGAAGCTGTGTATTCTTAATTATGTTAATAGGAGTTAACTAAAAAATAAACATTTAAAATACATATTGAGCACCAGCAAAGTTTAAAAAAATAATTTATTGAGGTGAAATTCACCTATTATGGATATAGATAATATTATCATAGATATAGACATAGATAAATAGATATATATCTATATACATAGATGTATATATATCTATAGATATAGATAATATTATCACCTATTATGGATATTTCACATGAATGAAATCATACAATATGTGACCTTTTGTATCTGACTTCTTTTACTTAGCATAATGTTTTCAATGTTCATCCATGTTGTAGCATGTATCAGTAATTCATTTCATTTTAAATCTAGGTAATATTCCATTGTATATATATATATTTCATATAGACTTTGATATTACATATATATATATATAATCTCAAAAAACAATAAACAGAGCAAAGAGACAACCTGCAGAATAAGAGAATGCATTTGCAAACTATACATCTGATGAAAGGTTAATATCCAAAATAGGTAAGGAACTCAAGCAACTCACCAACAAATAAACCAATAACCTGATTTAAAAATAGGCAAAAGAGCTGAATAGAGATTTCTCCAATAAAGACATACAGGTGGCCAATAGGCATATGAAAAAATGCCCAGCATCACTAATCATCAGGGAAATGCAAATAAAAACTACAATGAGATATTACCTCACTCCAGTCAGAATGGCTACTATCAAAAAAATCAAAAGACAACAAATGTTGGCAAGGGTGTGGAGAAAAGGGAACTGTTACACACTGCTGGTGAGAAGGTGAATTAGTACAACCATTATGGACAACAGTATGAAGGTTCCTCAAAAAAAAAAAAATAGAACTCTCATATGATCCAGTAATTCCACTATTGGATATGTATCCAAAAGAAGGGAAATCAGTATGTCAAAGAGATACCTGCATTCCTATGTTTATTGAAGAACTGTTCACAATAGACAACATATGGAATCAACCAGACTTTGTTTATCCATACATAAATCCATTGATGGGCATTTGGGTTGTTTCCATCTCTTGGCTATTATAAATAGGGCTGCTAGGAATGTATGTACATATGCTTGCTTGAGTACCTGTTTTCAGTTACATAGCGTATATGCCTAGGAGTAGAAATATGGATTCATATGGCATTTCTATGTTTAACTTCCTGAAGAACTACCAAATTGCTTTTCATAGTGGCTGAACCATTTTACATTCCCACCAGCAAGGTGCAAGAGTTCCAATTTTTGTACATCTTCATCAATGCTTGTTTTTGTCTTTTTTAAAATTATGAAACATCCTGATAGGTGTGAGCTCTCTCACTGTGGTTTTGATTTTCATTTCTCTAATGACTAATGATGATAAACATCTTCTCATATGCTTTTTGGCCATACATATATCTTCTTTGGAGAAATGCATAGTCAAGTTTTTTGCCCAATTTAAAATAGAGGTTTTCAAATGTCCATCAATGATAGACTGGATTAAGAAAATGTGGCACATATACACCATGGAATACTATGCAGCCATAAAAAGGATGAGTTCATGTCCTTTGTAGGGACATGGATGAAGCTGGAAACCATCATTCTCAGCAAACTATTGCAAGGACAGAAAACCAAACACCGCATGTTCTCACTCATAGGTGGGAATTGAACAATGAGAACACTTGGACACAGGGTGGGGAACATCACACACCAGGGACTGTAGTGGGGTGGGGGGAGGGGGGAGGGATAGCATTAGGAGATATACCTAATGTAAATGACGAGTTAACGGGTGCAGCACACCAACATGGCACATGTGTAGATATGTAACAAACCTGCATGTTGTGCACATGTACCCTAGAACTTAAAGTATAATTAAAAAAATAGAGGTTTTATCTTTTTGTTATTGAGTAGCAGGAGTTCTTTATTCTGCATACCAGATCCTTATTAGAGATATGATTTGAAAATATTTTCTCTCATTCTATAGGTTGTCTTTTTACTCTCTTGATAATATCCTTTGATGCACAGAAGGTTTTAATTTTGATGAAGTCCAAATTATTTATGTTTTTCTTTTGTTGCTTATGCTTTAGGTATTCATATCTAAGAATCCTTTGTGAAATTCAACTTCATGAAGATTTTACCCTTATGTTTTCTTGTAAGAGTTTTATAGTTTTAGCTCTTATATTTAGGTTGCTGCCCCATTTTGTATATGGTGTGAAGTATGTGCAATTTCGTCTTTTTGCATGTGGATATTTAGTTATCTCAGCACCATTTGTTGAAAAGACTATTCTTGCCAGGCACAATGGCATGTGCCTGTGATTCCAACTAATAAGGAGGCTGAGGCAGGAAAATTGCTTGAGCCCACAAGCAAGTTTGAGCAAGACCCCCATCTCAATAAAAAAGAGAAGGCTATTGTTTCCCCCTTGTTAAAAAGCAATAGGCCATTGATCTATGAGTTTATTTCTGGACTCTCAATTCTATTCCATTGATGTGTATGTCTCTCCTTATGCCAGTACCACATTAGTTTTTAGGACTATGCTTTGTAGTAAGTTTTTAAAAACAGAAAATGTGAGCACACGAAACTTATTCTTATTTTTTAAGATTGTTTTGACATTTTTGGGGACCCTTGCAATTTGATATGAATTTGAGGATAAGGTTTTCCATTTCTGCCAAAAAATGCCATTGATTTTGATATAAATTGCACTGAATCTGTAGATCCTTTTAAGCAGTATTGAAATCCTAACAATATTAAGTTTTGCAATCCATGATGCAGAATGTCTTTTCATTTATTGAGATTTTCTTTAATTTCTTTTATCATTTTTTGTTTTTTTTTTTTTTAGTTTTTGGTATAACACTTGCACCTCTTTTGTTAAATTTCTTCCTAGACATTTGATTTTTTTGCATACTATGGTGAATTAAATTATTTTTATATTTTCTTTTTGGATACTTCATTGCCAATGTACAGAAACACAACTGATTTTGTATGTTGATTTTTGTTCTGAAACTTTGATGCATTTGTTTGTTAGCTTTTTCTGCATCATTTGAGATGAAGATGTGGTTTTTCTCTGTCCCTCTCTTAATGTAATGTTTTACATTGATGGATTTTTTTTTTTATGTTGAACCACACTTTCATTCCTGGGATAAATCTCATTTAGTCATAGTGTATAATGTTTTAATATATGATATTTAATATGATCTTTTTGGTAATTTGTGTGTTTCCAGTAATTTTTCCATTTTATCTAGGTCATCTAATTTGTTGTGACATAATTATTCATAGTAGTTTCTTATAATCCTTGTTATTTTCTGTAAAGTTGGTAGTAATGAAGTTGCTTTCACTTCTGATTTTTTCATTAATATCTCTTCTCGTTTTTTTTTTCAGTCTAACTAAAGATTTGTCAATATTGTTGATCTTATCAAACAACTAACTTCTGGTTTCATTGTTTCTCTTTATTATTTTTATGTCCTTAATTTTACTTCTGATTAATCATTATTAATTTCCTTCCTTCTGCTAGCTTTGGGTTTGCTTTATTCTTCTTTTTCTATTTCCTTAAGATGTAAAGTGACGCTGTTGATTTGAAGTTTTCCTTTTTTTTTTTTAAAAAAAAAAAAATGTAAGAGCTTAGAGCTATAAATCTCCCTAACAATGGACTTCCTCAGGGACAGTTTCTATTCCCCACAATCCCATGAATGGGTCATACTTACCTGTTTCTCTGTATGCTTCATGAATTTTTGTTGAAAACTGGATATTTGAATATTATAAGGTGGCTACTCTGGATATCAGGTTCTCCCCTTTCTCTAGGGTTTGCTATTTTTGATTGTGGAAAGCTAGAGTCATCCATTTGTTTAATTACTTTTCCAAACTATTTTTGTAAAGACTGTATTATCTGTCACGTGTGGTCAGTTAAGTCTTCTGTTTCTTTATCTTGTGTTTAGCTACTGCTTTGACAGAGATGTCCTTGAACTCATATATATATATATATATGTTTTGCACATACTTAGAGAAGCATATGGTTTGGTCATATCCCTATGTTTGAACATTGCAACAGAGATGATTTCTAACTCAGCAGATGCTCTTTGGGAGCTTGGGTGAAGAATATATCTTTGATTATTATCTTATGTGTATATGTTATTTATTTTATTTTATTTATTTATTTTTTGAGATGGAGTCTCGCTCTGTCACCCAGGCTGGAGTGCAGTGGTGTGATCTTGGCTCACTGCAAGCTCCGCCTCCCAGGTTCACGCCATTCTCCTGCCCCAGCCTCCCGAGTAGCTGGGACTACAGCTGCCTGCCACCATGCCTGGCTAATTTTTTGTATGTTTAGGAGAGACGGGGTTTCACCGTATTAGTCAGGATGGTCTCGATCTCGGTCTCGTGATCCACCCACCTCGGCCTCCCAAAGTGCTCGGACTACAGGCGTGAGCTATCGCGCCCGGCCTATATTATGTTATATGTTATACACACACACATATATATATATGTATATATATAAGATTAGCTCTGTGTTGGGGCATTCCTTCAACACTTAGCCAGCTGTCTGAAACTGCCTTAGCCTTCACTTCCTGCTTATACTGAGCCCAGAAAGCAGCCAGATGTGAAAGCTTAGAGTCTTCTTAAGTCTTTTCTGAACATGTGTCCTACTCTGGGGATATGCATAACTTTTTAATTCCCCAGTATACATGGGTGATTTTGAATCTCCTAATTTCCCAAAGAAAATTTATGCCCAGATTTTTCTTCTAGGCTTTAGGTGGTCTACTATTTGCCTCAACCATAATCTTTCACCCCAGTTGGGTACAGGATTTTCATTTGCCTTACAACACCTTTGAGAAATGTCCACCACTTTCACACTGAGTGACTTCTGAGTTAGGTGAAATGAAGATGAGTGCCTTGCATCAGCCCTTTGGGGAGCCCATACATAGATTAGAACAGACAAACACAATAATCCTTTGATAAGGTCTGTTCCACTCCCTCTGGAATCAGGGACCAGGGTCCCACACAAGAAATGTGATTTGCCACCTTCAAGACCACCGCCAAACTAGGGAGGAGGTGGGACAAGAGCTGGAATAAATGCCACAAAAGTTTCCTAATGTGTAGGAAGTTGCCTTTTTCTTGATTCAGCATATACCTGGTTTCTGTACATCTTTGACTATTTTCCAGAGTTTTGACAAGGTTGTGACAGTTTCTGCTTGCTTTTCAATGTTTCTGTGGAGCAATGGGAGTTTGGAGCTGCCTATTCTGCTATTTTGCTGATGTCACTCTTACCAACAAACAGTTATCTGGGCCACTGAATCCAGGGCTTGTTTTGTAAGGCTTGGCTTGAGAAGACTATCACTTCTGCCAACTACAGACCCTTCTCTCCACAGAGACCCTTATAAGCAACGCTGGTCTCCATATGTCTTCCCTACACAGAAACCCTTGCTTAGAGTTAGAGGATACTCATGGGTATTTGACTGTTGCTGAGTAGTGAGAAAGACTCTACTAATGATCAAGGCAATGGGAAAGGAAATTGAGCAAGGCTTCAAGCAAAGTCTGGTGACTAAATTGCAGTCTTCTTTCAAAATGTGTCCCCTCAAAATTGCTTTCAATGATGCATTTATTATCTCCTTGGGTCATTTTTTCTTCTTTCTTCCTTCTTTCTCTATCAATTGTAAACATTGCTTGTTCAGTGAAAAATATACTTCTTTCCTAAGCACAGCTCTGAAATGTTACATTCCTATCATCCTAGGTAATTCCTCTGGTATTCTAGGTTTACCTGGTGGATCTTCTCTTAGACCCTACTTATCCTTTTTTCACAGTTCACCTAGCTTTTCTAGTCTGGACTCCTTAACACTAAAGGCCCAGATCCATTCAAAGATTATACCTGCTGCTTCTCTAATGCCCCTATGCACCACTGTCACCAAAGATTGGCAAAAATAGTTAATCATATTTGCTCTATCCGGCTTGTACTGGCTACTTCCTCTAGAATCTGACTATTTTATTTATTGGGACATTCATACCAATTTTCTTTTGCCCTCTTGACCTTATCTTTTTCCCCCTAAATCTTTCTTCCAGCATTGCCATCCCCTATAGGTCCCTTTTTAGCCCTCACAGTAGCTTTTAGAACTAAGTTATACAATTTCTTGTCTTAATTCTGTTTCCCTCTGCTCTGGGTCTATTACTCTTACCCTTTTCTACAATCTCTGAACTGTACCTTACAAACATAGGTAGCTTCTGTTTCTTTTGCATTTTTTTAAAAAAAAGTTAGGTTATGGACTTGTCAGACAAATTGTCAAAGCTTCAGTTGGTAGAGGTGAAATGGGAACTAAGTGCTGAGTGTCCAGATGAGAAATCACACAAATTGCTGCATAATCTAACTGGGCCAACCTTCTACTGCAAAGATGCATTGTGGGTAATTTTCCTTCATTTTGGGAGGTGTCTAAATTTGCACTAGTTTTTTATTGGAAATTCACTGATAATATAAGAATGGGGACAGTTTGTGACCCCCAGAAGCATACAAAATATGCAATTAAAAATAAAGATTCCCCCTTCTTCCAAGAGTTTAAAAACTTGGCAAAACCATGCACATGTATTTTTCCACTGCAAAAGGGAGTATGAGATGCAAAATCATAGTCTTCCACCAAGAGATGACCAAGGCTGTAAATGATGAAGTCAGAACAATTGAAATTTCAGCAAGAGATGGAGCTTTTGAAAAAGGAATCTTTCTGGATAGTAGAGTTTTCTGGTGTAGAAATTTACGTCGTTACATTTCAACAAGTTTTAATTTAACTGCTTTTGTTAGAACGTTTTCTAACATGTATTGTACACTTCGTTGCCTCCTTAGGCAGACTGTATGGAATACAGTCTCATCTTTTCTTGATGACTCAAGGTCCACACTATGATTTTCAGCTTTTCAGTGTGCTGTATCCAGCAATGCCCTCAGAACCTATTACAGGCTGTAAGAATGAACGTTTGCACAAACACTGAATGTTCTCTGACTGCAGAGTTATTTTGCCAGCTTTTCCGTAGTTTTTCTCTCCCTGTGCTGTAGGTGTTCTGTTATCTTTGTTTTAACATCCACTGACTAGCTTTTAACAGGATGTCTCTAATCTTTGGTGAGACTGGAAATAAAACATTCAAACTTGGTTAAAATTATGCATACAATGCAAATGTATATAGATTCTGAATCAAGTCCTATAGGGCCTCACTTTTTTTTTATTTTTATTTTTTTTTGAGACAGAGTCTCGCTCTGTCGCCCAGGCTGGAGTGCAATGGCGCGATCTCGGCTCACTGCAAGCTCCGCCTCCTGGGTTCATACCATTCTCCTGCCTCAGCCTCCCGAGTAGCTGGGACTACAGGCGCCCACCACCATGCCCGGCTATTTTTTTTTTTTTTTTGTATTTTTAGTAGAGATGGAGTTTCACCGTGTTAGCCAGGATGGTCTTGGTCTCCTGACCTCGTGATCTGCCCACTTTGGCTTCCCAAAGTGCTGGGATTACAGGTGTGAGCCACCGCGCCCAGCCTATGGGGCCTCACTTTTAAGGAAGCACATGAGTTAAAGTGCACAGACTTGGTGCTCAGATGCCCTCTTTGCTTACCTCCTGGTTCTTAGTTATGTTACAGGTATGTAATGTTGCTATTGTTGTAAGGTAAGGTTCAGAAAGGTGAAGGGTCACGTTGTACAGTAACATTAAAGTTACTGTAAAGCCAGGAGGTAGTTGACAATGTGTTTCATGTTGCTCTCCACTGTTCTAAAATGATACTTTTATTATTTCACCTTTTTCAGAGAAATATATAAAAGGCATAGCTGAGGGAGGGCTATAATTTAAGCATACTAGTGGCTTGTAGCCATTTGCTGCAACCCCATTTTCTGATAATAGGAACACTCTGTACCTAATGCCTGGGGCTCTTAAGGCTTTCACCCGGAGGTCTTGCAGATGGAGGACATTAGACAGCAAGGGGTAGGTTGCCACTCCTTTTGTTTTTTGTTGTTTTGCAAATACTTAGAGAAGCGTATGGTTTGGTCATATCCCTAGGTTTGAACATTGCAATAGAGATGATTTCTAACTCAGCAGATGCTCTCTGGGAGCTTGGGTGAAGAACATATCTTTATTATCTTAAGGAATAACCACAACAGGAATTTTCCCTCATGTTTGCAGTAAAAATGGACATGTGCAGATCCTTTTGACAAAGCTAAGGATCAAGGATGGTCAGTTCTTTCATCTATCCAGGGTGCCTCTATTACCGTCATACAGAGCCTAAAATCAACTGGAAAAAAACAGGGACAACGAAAACAGCAGATCTCTGCTGAATCAGAGTCAGTGAGGGGCATTCAGATGTTAGCAAGTCCTGTGTCTGCCACTTAATTCAATCAGTGATTTATTTTATCCCAACCTCTGCACCCAAACCATTTTTTTATGAAAAAGACAAATAGCTCAATGTGACCTTGGCATTTACCTGACTACTGAATATCTTGGAGGAAAGGCAAGCACAGGCGAGTTTTTAACTGATGTATCTGCTCCTACATTGCTTTCTTAATTATAGTCCTTCATGGGGGACCAGATGGCCATTAATTAAGGAGGCTCTCCAAATAAGAGCCCTCAATGGGCAGAATCTTCTTGTACTCTTACATCTAACAGATGCTCTATTTAAGTAGCCTTTCAGTTATGGTACCCAGGGTTATTGGGTACCTTCCTTTTGGGTTGTGGGGGAAAGTCTTAAAAAGATAAAACAACCTTTTGTAGGTCTTTCAATCTAATAAGAATTGATGTGTTCGTACATGACCTTGAGACCAAATCATCAAAGGGACCTTAATGTGTTTTTAGTGCAACCGCTATGCTAAGTGCTACGTTAAAAACAAATCAGTTCCAGCTAATTCAGAACTTCCTTATTAGCTAGACTCTTGATGATCTAGAACAATCCATTTCCAGACTCTGGCAGATAATGTAGTGTTCATTAGGTAGAGGGCTTGTTAAGATCATACACTTAAAGTATAAACTGATAAATACGCATGTCACACATAGGGAAGTTCAGTGATAAGAGTCAGCTGGAATATGACCATTTCCTGCTTGGTCCAGACAGACTTTTCAGAGGCCAACTGATATACAATGAGGAGGAAGATAATAGGGAATTACTGACATTATTAGTCTGCATGCAGCTGGAAAAAGCTGTGATATATACTTGGTAACAGAAAAAGAACACAGTTTATCAAGAGACATGGGTTCTAGGCCAATCTCTTCTACCAACTACCCACATGAACTGCAACTCGGTTTTCTTACTGAAACTGCAAAATTATGATGTCTACCCTTAATTATCTCACAGGTTTGTGAGAAGATCTTAGTTTGGGCTCCCACAAGAATATACTCTGAGACAGGGATTCAAGTATAAGTAGTTTGTTTCAGAGTTGAAGGAAATAGTGATAGAAGAATGGAGCAGTGAAACAAGTAAGCACGTGTTAAAGACAACATTATCACATTTGCTGCCACAGACAGAGTGTCTGGGGCTTAAGTCTTCAGGGGAAAGTCTTGGAGGCAGTGTAAGACATCTCCTTCAGAGTTACCCCACCTGAGAGGTGAGAGTACGCTGACTCCTATCAGTCTTTGGTTGGGGCCATTAATTTCTCAGCATTTCCAACCTACTATACAAGTTGGCAAAACAAGTTTGGAATCCAGAAAAAGTCCCCAGGGAAAGAAATGCAGGTGCTGGCAGTAGGAATTTGGGGGTGGCAGGCACTGAAGTGGTAAGGGTAAAAAAGTATTGGTATGACAGCATCTGCTACATTTGGCACAAGAGCATAAGTGATGTCTTTTGTATAAAGAAAAGTTAATAATTATAAGCATTAGAATTATAGTTACCCGCTAAGACCTATGAAACTGATGACAAAGGGCCATATGGCTGGAAAGAAATTGAAATTATAATCATAACATCCATTGAATACTTACCGTGTGCCAGACACCATGTTATGTGTTTTAAATACATTGACTCATTTAATCCTCTTTGTGAATGAAATATTGTTATCTCCATTTTACAGAGGAGAGCACTGAGGCTCAGAGAGGTGAAATAACTTGCCCAAGCTCACACAGTTAATGGTGAGCAGACCTGAATTTGAACACCAGCAGTCAAATTCTCCAGTCCACATCCTTAAAACTGCTATACTCTACTGACAACTCTGGGGGTAAGGGGTCGACATAGTCTCCCTGGTGACCTTGAAGATCCTATCTTTTTAATTTTTCATTTGCAATGCAACCAACTGCTTCAGCTGGTAAAGAGGATTTAGGAGATCTTGCTGAAGTTTTGTTTGCCGATTTCCGGACCAGTGCCTTGAAAATGACAGAAATCTCTGATCTATTTTTTTTCCACAGGTAATATTGCTTATAGCTCTGTAGTAGGAAAGAAATCAATGTGTTTTATGAACGTGGCTCCTCTTATTTCTGAAAGGCATTTTATAGCTCGACTCTCTCTTATTCTCAATGGTTTTAGGTAAGCTGGTCAATTTGGAAAAGGTTTTTGTTTTATCATTACTTTATGGACAGTAGGCAATTACTCAAATGCAAATCAAATAAAACAAGCTTAATTTGCATGTCTCAATCCACTCAGGAGGAGCAGCATGGGAAGCTGGAGTGTTAAGGATTATAAACTAATTCTCTATGTGCAGCCTATGACGAGACTGACAGATGCTCACCGCAGATATGACAAGTACATATCTTATATGAAAATTGTCTTTTGCAAGGACTTTGGTATAAGCCTTCTGACTGGTGCCCATGAAATGACCGTGTTGCAATCAAGTTTCCCAAGCAATGTGACAGCCGTTAAATGCAGGATCCGCGAGAAAGGAAGATAAACGATGCTGAACATTTGGAGGAAAAATAAAGGGTGCCACATTGGACCTGGGGACTCTGATGTTAATGATGGGTTGTGTTTAGTTGCTCCAAGAGGCAAGGATGCTTTTTCCTTTAACTGTCTTCTTCTATGTGGGATCCCATCTTCTGTGGTTTCTTTTGTAAAGGTACTATCACTCTTAAAGACTCACCATGCCAAATAGAACTCATCACCCTTTTTAAATTTTTGTTAGGCTTCTATTCATGCTAATGGCTTTCTGATCCTTTGTAGCTTACCTCCTCAAGGTCATGGCCCCTGTCTTTTCTTCTCATCTCATGGATTAGCCCTCTTCGGTTCCCAACACCTGGCTTTTCTTCTGTCCAGTACTCCTAACTACTACTCTGGCTTAAACTTTCATTTTTAACTATTAGATCCAGCCTCTATATAGGGGCAGATGAAAAGTATTATAAACTGATCATATTTTTCAAACTCTCTACCTTTAAGACTGTAATATATCTTAGCTATATTTTTTTTTTTTACCAAATTTCCCCTCCTTCCAGGCAAGTGCCATCTGACCTTCAATCCTACCAGGTTCATTCTCAACCCCCTGCCTTCGTGAGACTTATTCTATTCCTGAACTATTCTTGCCTCTTTTATATGCTTATGCAAAATATATTCACCCTTTAAGTTCTTCTCCATGAAACCTTCCTTTCTACCATGATCCACTGTACTTCATGGTATCTGTAACCATTCTTTTGAATATGAACTTATGTACATGTTATACTGATATATAATACAAATGCATCATTTAGAAATGCCACCTCCTCAATTAGGCTGTAAATCTTTTGAGGTAGGAACTGTGGTTTACATTTCTCCTGAGTTCTCAAAGTCCCTAGTGCAGAGCCAACCCTAGATTAGTGTTACTTTTAAAGTTGACTGACAATGTGGATATTGTTTACTACAAATGCCAGTGTATCTTTAATGTAACAAATGAACATTTTCGTATAAAAAGTACTTAAATGTGCGGGTTCTTTGATTTGCTGTGTTGGTGTGAGCTGTATGTTTGTATCTCTTAGCCTTGAAAAAAGGAGCCTATCTGTGGCAGAAGCCACTGTGTGGATGTTACAGGTAGTTAAACTAGCAGCATTCCCCTTCCTAACACGTATTTCCAAAAGTAGCTACTGGCTTAGTGTAACTTGAAATTTACATGTGATAAACAGGAAGGGGAATGCTGCTAGTTGCTATCATTTTAAGACCTAGCGTGAAAACTTACTTCATTCTGATAGAAAAAAAAGTTAAAAGACTCTGTACTTTCAGTGGTAACACACTGCTGTTTGATAGTTTCTCTGTTGAGAAGAGGTAAAAAAAAAAAAAAAAAAGCTAGAGATAGGGAACTCAAGAGGAGAAATGTCCTTGCCTACTATTTCCTCATTCTTTAAGTCCTTTCCCTGAAAACTTAGAGAGAAAATGGGAAATGATAAAAGCTTTTTCCACTTGAGTAAAAGATCCCATGGCTCTTTTGTCAGTAAGTTAAATAGAAATCTTGAAGAAATTAGATTTTAAAATCTAATTTTAAAATCAGGAGGAAGTTAGATTTTAAAAATATTTAGAGTAAAGTGGAAATGAATATTCTAATTTTAGTCTCAGGATAAGACAAAACTTTAGTTTAATTGCAGTTAGCAGGAATTATTTTGAAAGACAGCAAATAACAGATTTTTATTTTCTTGAAGTTATTTTATACATTTGACCTTTAAACACATCTGAACATATTGCATAGAATAAGATAGACTAGCAACTGTAAACAATAAAACGGAAATCCTGAAAATCTACCATTTTTGTCATAGTTTAAAATAAGTATATTTAAGTTTAAATTTGTTCATTCAAATCACTTACCTAAGGCACTTACTGCCACCTGTTGTTTGTGTATCTGAATTACATGAAAAGTGCCTGAAGGGTACTGGGTCTCCTGAAGGTTGAATATAAAGTAACATTTGTCATCTATACTGATAACTCAGTAGCTATGGGTTATAACTTTATGAGACACCTGTATATATCATTCTTACATGAGGGACAATAATTAGAAAAGACAATTATCATAAAAGGAAAAAGGCTTGGATTTTATTCTAGCTTGGGAAAATCTCTTAACTCCCCAAACCTCAGTTTCCTCACCTATGAAATGGAATGATGATAATGACTGCCCTTCCATACAGAGATATTGTGAAAATTCAACCATAGACTATTTTGTTAAAGAGCTTCATAAAATTATACACAGCATATGCCCTACTCAGTGTTGCCAATGTGAAATGCTAAATAGCAGGTGAAACATTATGCTGTCATGGACTCAATGAATATTAAAAGGCTACAGTTTGCTTTCTTCTCATACCATATCATCTCCTTTCATTTTCCTTGTGCTATTCTAATATCTTGGAAAATTCTGTGTGATTTCTCACCCCTAAGCCCCTCAGAATGATATGAGGCTTTCCAGAATCCTCGCTAGCCTGTAAACTCCATCCTCTAATCCTTCATGATTATACTAACTTCACAGTGCCTTTTAACTGTTTGCTGGAGGAAGGGGAGAATAGGTTTCTATTCTTCTGGGCCATGGGTAATTCAAAAGAGGAGTCAGAAGCCCTGGATTCTTGTCCCATCTGTGCCAATCTCTCACAGCATGTAACTTCTTATAAACCATTTAACTTGTTTGTGCCACTATTTTCTCATCTATAAATATTAATCTTTGCCTGCGTCACAAGGGTGGTATAATTGGCTGATAATAGATAGTCCTTCCGTTCCCCCATATCCATATCCCTGGAGCCTGTAAATATTACCTCACATGGCAAAGAGATGGGGTGTGGGGGAAGGTCTTTACAGGTGTAATCAAATAATGAATTTAAAAACAGGGAGATTATCCTGGATTATCTGATGTGCCATAGATGCAATCACATGTACCTTATAACAGGGGGACAGAGGGAGATTTGATGACCTGTAGAAGAGGAATAGGTAAGGTTGCTTTGGAGACAGAAATGGGAGTAATGTGGTCACAAGTCAAAGGAATGCTGACAGCCACCAGAAGCTGGAAAAGGCAAGAAAATGATTTTCCCCTAGAGCCTCTGGAGGTAGTGTGGCCTTGCTGACAGTGATTTTGGCCCAGTGGTACTGACTTTGAACTTCTAGCCTTCAGAACTGTGAGACAATAAATTTATGTTGTTTTAAGCAGAATTCGTTACAGCAGTCACAGAAAACTAATATAGGTGGTATGAAAATTAAAGGCCCCTGGCACACAGAAATAACCAATGAAAGTTAAAATGAATTCAAATTGACAGATGTGTAAAACATGAATTATTATACATTTGCAAGGAGTAATCATTATAACTTGATTTTGAGTCCCTCAATTGTTGGCCCTCAGTAATTCACCTCATTGCTCTGATAATGTTGAGTTATTTAAAGTCAATGGAGGCAGTTAAGGGTTTATTATAAGTGGGAGAGAGATAACTATCCAAATTATTTTTGTGAACCGTTGAGTGGTGTCTTCTGTATTTAAACTGATTCGATTTATCAAACTGGGAAAATAAAGTCCACGTGGCTTTCCAGGGGTTAATATCTGGGATTTCTAACTGCTTTAATTTCTAGTGCTGTGGTTCTCAACTTGAGGAGATTCCCTCCCCACACTCCAGGGGACATTGGTGATGTCTGGATACATTTTTGGTTGTCACAACTTGAGGAGGAGTTACTGGCACCTAGTCAGTGGATGCCAGGGGTGCTGCCAAACCTATTACAATGCACAGCCCTATAACAAATAATTATGTTGCCTAGAATGTCAAGAGTGCAGAGATTGAGAAACCCTGCTCTAGGGGGGAAAGAAAACTAGATGCATCATAACTTCATAACTAGCCCCGTCTACCGCCACCCCCACCTTTTTTTTTTTTTTTTTTGCTTTATTTCTTTTAGATTAGAAGAAAGGATTATAAAGAGCTTGTTCAAGGCTATTGGACTTGGTGGGTGAGTGATCTCATCAGACCCCTTCTCTAGATAGCTTCCTTGATTTATAGCCAGTGGAAGGAAAAATTCTGAAGCTCTTTCCAAAGACTTTACTGCAATGAGCAGTTTTCTTGGGAAAAGAAGTGGAGCCAGAGCCTGGTGCCTCCCTCCACACCAGAGCTTGGATCAGTAGCTTAATTCCTAACTCCCTGTAGGCTGTCATGCTCTCATAGTCACCAGGGTCCCCAATATATTATTTAGAATCAGAGTATTTGTTTATGTGCCTATACAAAATGGGTCTGGCATTTCTGTTGCACTGCAGTAAAAGGTTAGAGCTTACATAAGCCAGATAAATGTGAAGTCAAGGTGACTCTATTTTATGTATCACATTAACATAGAGCTACAAATCCTTGGGGCACACTTCAGGAATCTAAGGAAGCTGAGACTATGCTGCCTAGAAAAGGGAAATGATGCATACAATTTAGAGAAATATGTGAATAATAATAACTGTGTAGGACCTTGGCATTTCTCCCATCTGGAATCTACCTCTGTTCTGGAGCAGTTTGTAGAGGAGACTCAGCAGGACCAAGATGGACAGACCATCTCTGTCCGCTTCTCTCTTTTCACTTTTGTCTCACTTATCCTGACCACAATGTGTTTATATTACCATTGTTCCATTTTCCTTGCTTTTCAAGAGTTCAAAAACAGTGCATGCTAGAACTTTCCTTGGCCGTCCATCCCACTTTGAGAAGGAATCGCTCCACTAGACGATTAGCTTTGTGAGGGCAGGGACTCTTGTCTTATTTCCTTATTAAATCTTCAGTATGTAGCAAAGTTCTTAAGCATAGTAGATGCTCAAAAATATTTGCTGGATAAATGAATGAACTCTCAGCACAAACTTTTCAGCACAAAACTCTGTTTTGTGCTTCAATTGAGGTCTATATTCTCTGATTTATGTATTTGGAGGAGCATCCTAGGATCCTAGGATGTTGGAACTGCATCCATCCACAAATATCCATTGAATATTTTCTTGAAAGTGGTTTTCAGGCTTTATAATATATCAGAATCATGTGGAGGATTTGTTAGGACAGATTGTTAGGCCTCACCCCCAGAATTTCTGATTCAGTTGGTCTGAGGTAGGCCCTGAGAATATGCATTTCTAACAAGTTCCCAAGTGATGCTGATATACTCTGGAGGTTCCAGAGGGAGCACACTTCAACAGCCATTGCCCTAGCTTTATGCTGTGGTGTATAGTAGATATGACCTCGTCACAGCAGTGAATACAGTGTTATTGATAAGCTCTTCTAGGGAGACAAAACGACATGAAGTAAGAACACATGTTCAACCTTAGAAATAATTTGTAAAATGCTAATTAAAAAATAATGAGAATCCTTTCATCCTCCAGCAGAATGGTAAAGAAAAAGGAGACTATTTATTCCATATCAGCAAGAGAGTGGGCATTTCCTGCTGTACTTGTGGGAGTCTAGTTTGGTGCAGCCTTCCCTTCACTGGCTATTTCTTTCTCATCCTTCAGATCTCAGCTTAATTACTCCTTCCTTAGAGAGCCCTTTCCTGATTGTCTAATCTAAAGAAAGACTGTTCTTATCTTTCACAGTGTTTGATATTTAATAAATCTCTACAAATATACATGAAAGTGTTCACTTGTTTAATGCCCGCTGTTTCTACTAGACTATCAACTTCTGGAGGGTTGAGTCCACATCTATTTTGTTCATTTCTCTATCTCTAGCACCCAGTATTATGTCTGGCACCTAGTATAACCTCAATTCTTCAGTGAATATCTGTCGCCAATGCTGTTTGTAGTTGGGAAAAGTTGTAAATGATTTAAATGCTCAGCAATAGGTGTTTGGTTAAAAAAAATACAGTGCAACCAATCAGTGGAGTGGTTTTGCATTCACTAAATATACTTTTGGTAGAAAAATATCTACTGACATGGCATCATGCCAAGAAATAAAAGGGAGGGGAATACAAAAATTAGCTGGGCGTCGTGGCGTGTGCCTGTAGTTCTAGCTACTTGGGAGGCTGAGGCAGGAGAATCGCTTGAACCTGGGAGGCAGAGGTTGCAGTGAGCCGCGATCGCGCCAGTGCACTTCAGCCTGGCGACAGAGCAAGACTCCGTATCAAAAAAAAAAAAAAAAAAAAAAAAAGGAGGGGAGAGTGATGAGTGATAAAAGCATGTTTCAAAACAGCAATCTGACATAATTTGGGGGAAAAATATAAGATCCCTCATGGACCCTGAGATGCCACAGTTTTAAGACACATCATCAGTATGATAACCCTAACCATATTTGTGAGGGAGGGAAGGATTACCACATCAGCTATGAACATCAATTAGAAGATACAGCCCAATTCCAGAAACACTAGAATATGAAAGAAAACGTATCATAGACTCTAACATGCATAGAAAAGTGTCTGGAACACCAAGGTGTCAACAGTAGTTGTGTCTGAATTGGTAGGTGTTTATTGGTATTTTAATTTTTTCTCCTGTTTGCTTATTTGTAGTTTCTGACCTTTCTGTAATGAGCATGGTTAACTCATGAGATTAGAAAAACAAACAATAAAAGGAAAGCTTTAAAAAAATACTCTTTGTCCCTCCCTCCCTGGAAGCAAGAGGGCAACCTCATCCCGCCTCTCCAACAGCAGAATGCTCAGCACTGTGTGGCCAATGAGTTTGGGTCATTAGAAAGCTAAGGGAGCCTTTCTGCCTTCCATCTTGGTTCATTAAAAGAAGCACTGGAAACAGAAGTTCTAGACCTGCTATTGAGTCCTGGCTCTGCTGAGTAACCTTGCAAGAGATAAATAATCTTGCTGTTTTTCATATGTAAAATGAAGATGATCCTACTGACCTCAGTTTTTAGAAATGAGATGGTTTATGTGAAAGCTCTCTGCAACTGTAAACTGCTCTTCCTTTGTGAATTGTTATTATGACAGCAACTTTTCATCTTGCCTAAACAATGCCAAATACCAAGAGACTGCCTTATCTTAAAGACATTCTGGAATGCCTATTCCTGATTTGGGTAAGGAATGATGCCTTCTTATGCTGCCCTGCCCTCCATATTCATCTGGAAGCACCACCAACTGCATGGGGCACCAAGGCAGGAACTGAGAGACAAAGCATGTATTACAGGCTACTATATACACACACGCATATATATACACACACACACACACACACACATATATATACTATACAAAATATGTAATTAATTATATAGTAATTAATAGATAATACATAAATATATATTTATATATTTAATATATATATATATTTTGAAGAGACAGGATCTCGCTATGTTGCCCAGGCTGGGCTCAAACTCCTGGGCTCAAGTGATCCTCCCACCTCAGCCTTCTGAGTAGCTGAGACTTAAAATAAAAATATATTCTTAATGTATAAATAGAACAAAATGTATTTTGGGCCTAAGCATGAATGTACAGAAAGGCTGTCTGAACATAGGATTTGGTCCAACAATTCATATCATTCCAAAGAATTTGAGGTGCTGTGGGTAGGGTGGTGGGAGGATTCTACAGTCAAATAAGTTTGGCAAATAAAAAATCCCACCATTTACTTTACTACCCTCTCAGAGATGCACAATGTACATTAGAATATTAAAGGCTAGGCTGGGCGTGGTGGCTCACGCCTGTAATGCCAGCACTTTGGGAGGCTGAGGCAGGCGGATCACCTGAGGTCAGGAGTTTGAGACCAGCCTGGCCAACATGGGGAAACCCCATCTCTACTAAAAATACAAAAATTAGCTGGGCGTGGTGGTGCGTGCCTGTAATCCCAGCTACTCAGGAGGCTGAGGCAGAAGAATTGCTTGAACCCGGTAGGCGGAGGTTTCAGTGAGCCGAGATTGTACCATTGCCTTGGTGACCAGAGCAAAACTCCATCTCAAAAACAACAACAAAAACAAACAAACAAACAAACAAACAAAGGCTGTGAGAAGTGCTGCTTTGTTATCCCAGCATTTTCGATACTGAATTGACTTTTTCCTCTTGTAACACTTGTTAACATACTGAAGGAACCCATGTTGGGCAACACTGCCTTAGGCGATTATCCCAGGAAAGGGCTCTCACATGGTATGACATGAAAGACAAAGTAGTAATTAATGCCCTGGTTCCTGCTCTCATTTATAGCAGTATTGGTTTGATGAAAGCCAAACATATAGGTTTGTGTAAATGTGTGTGTGACTTGAGGCAGAAGAAAAAGGACTGTGTGTGCGCACATGTGCATGGTCTTGTGCACATCTTGCTAACCTACTCTTCAGTAAGAAAATCATTGGAGTCAGAAAGGGCATTAATATTAACATGTAGTTCAGATATTTATAGATGTGAAAACTGAGGCTCAGAGTGCAAAAGTCACTTACTTGCTTGACATCACAGGTCTCCCACCTGCCAGTTTAGTTTTTCCTACTCTGCTATGTTGTTTCCTGACCTTCTCAGGTAGAGGAGAGAAGGACCGAGGAAAGAGTGGAAAAAACATTATTTTTCTATGTTTAATAGCACTTTGTTGGGTAGAAAGGAGTCTGTCATCCATTATTTTATTTGAGACTCACAGAGCCCATCAGCTGGGCAAGACAAGGGTTACTATGAGCAAATTTCTAAGTGGGCCAAAAATCAAAATACGTTAACTGACTTCTCTAAGTTCCCATGGTTAGCAACAGGCCTAAGACTATAATCCAAGTGTGCCACTTATTCTGTTTGTCACCCCCAACGTGTATACCCGATATCTACTCTTTGTCCTTCTCTGCCCTGCTCTGTGCTTTGAGAAACTAACTGCAGCAGAATGTATAACCTGGGTTCTTTGCTGGCTGGTTCAGCCAATGGGAGTTTTCTCCAGAAGACTGAAGGGTGGGAAGAGATAGAGGTCAGGATATTTCTTGTCTGCATTGATGCTGTTTCCTTGGTGCCAGGACTTCTGCTTCTGCCAGGTAACTCCTTCGAGGTTTCATTTCCTACTATTTCCTTCTCTTGTTCCTCCACCTCTGGGGCTGACAGTGGATACCTACTGCTGCTAGTATGTGGGTGCCTCACCACAGAGGCATTACCACAGCCCTTGGTCCATTCCCTTTATTACAATTTATTTGACTGTCTGGGGTGAATTCTGTTTTCTGCTGAAACCCTGCCTAATAACGGTGTATCTTCTCAAGATCCACTGCTTTCCCCATCCACTGTCTGCCTCAATAAGTGAGAGCAGAAATTAGAGGTGTTTTCCAGGGCAATGTTCATCTGTTCAAAAGTTGATGAAAGTGAACACAAAAGCCTAATGCTCATGAGAAAAAAAAAATGTCTTCTGCATTGCTCCAACTGATCTTGAAGCCAGCTTTGCCAGAAAACTATTTTTTAAATTGTGATAAAGTACACATCACATAAAATTTACCATCTTAACCAGTTTTAAGTACACAGTCCAGTAGTGTTAAGTACATTTCACATGGTTGTGCAATCAGTCTCTAGAACTATTTTCATCTTGCAAAACTGAAACTACACCCATTAAACAACCTCCCATTTCCCCACCCCTAGTTTTTGACAACCACCACTCTACTTTCTGTCTCTATGAATTTGGCAACACTGGGTACTTTTTATAAATTGATTCACACAGAAGTTGGCTTTTTCCGAGCGGCTTATTTCACTTAGAATGTGTCATCAAGGTTCATCCTCATTGCAGTGTGTGTCAGAATTTCCTTCCTTTTTTTAGGCTGAATAATACTCCATTGTATGTATATGTCACATTTTGTTTTCCACACATCCGTCAACAAGTGCTTGAGCTGCTTCTACCTTTTGGCTATTGTGAATAATGCTGCTATAAACATGGATGAACAAATATCTCTTTGAGACCCTGCTTTGAATTATTTTGGGTGCATACTCAGAAGCAAAACTGCTGGATTCTCTGGTAATTCTATTTTTAATCTTTTGAGGAACCACCATACTGTTTTCCATAGTGGCTGCACCACTTTACGTTCCCATCAACAGCACATAAGGGATCCAATATTTCCAATTCCCACCAATACTCTTTATTTACTGTTTTTTTTTAAATTAGCCTTCTTAATGAGTATGATGTGGTATCTCATTATGGGTTTTATTTGTATTTTCCTAATGATTAGGGATGTTGTTCATCTTTTCATGTGCTTACTGGCCATTTGTATATCTTTAGAGAAATATATATTTGAGTCCTTTGTCCATTTTTTAAAATTGATTTTTTTGGGGAATATTTTGTTGTTGAGTTGTAGGAGTTCTTTATATATTTTGGATATTAACATCTTATCAGATATGATATTTACAAATATTTTTCACTCATTCTATAGGTTGCCTTTTCACTCTGTTGAGTCCTTTGATGCACAGATGTTTTAAATTTTGATGTAGTATAATTTCTCTGTTTTTACTTTTGATTGCCTGTGCTTTTGGTGTCATATCCAAGAAACCATTTTCAAATCAATATCATGAAGCTTCCCCCCGGAGGTCTGTGCTTTTAACTCTTATATTTAGGTCTTTGATTTATTTAGAGTTAATTTTTGTACTTGGTGTAAGGTAAGGGTCCAACTTCATTCTTTTGCATATTGATATCCACTTTTCTCAACTCTATTTGTTGAAAAGACTGTTATTTCCCCATTGAATGGTCTTGGCACTCTTGTCAAAAATCATTTGGCCATATAAGTGATTCTGGGTACTCTATTCTATTCCATTGGCATATATGTCTGCCTTTGTGTGCCAGGAAAACTTTTATGAAAAGTTCTAAATAATTTTTGTGGTATAGAAGTGACTCCCCTCACCCACTGAAGTATGAAGCTGAGGGGTGGGGTAGCAATGAGTCAGGGGATAAATCAGATGGAAATATTTGACATTATGAAGAAAACCTGTTGGTTAATGACAACATTAGTGTACTCAAGGAGAAAGCAGTCTAACTGGAAGTATTAAATGGACACATTTTTCAAAGGAGTTTACTCGTGGGTATACAAATCCTTAAATGGTTCAAATTCCAGAATGTGATATTTAAATTGGTTTGGGGAACCTGGCATGCATTTTCTTGTAGAAATGAAGAGTTTGCTACTGTCTAGCTATGTGACTTCGATATTTTGAGTTTCAGTTTCATTTATAAAATGGTGACAGTGGTGCCTATGTTTCGGTGTTGTAGTGAGGACTAACTGAAGTTCTGTATGCTTAGCATCTATCACAGAACTTGGTCTGTAGTTAGTGTTAATAAATGCTGTTCCCTTACATTGAAAGGGCTTAATAGGTTAATGGCACCAGTACTAATATTAGTGTCTCAAAAGCACATTTTTTACCCCATTATTGAGAGCTAAGAGGAATGACTAGTTGGGGCTGTACAGGTGAGTGGTGAAGAGATTTTGCTGGTGGTGTAATAGATGGCCTGGTGGTGTAAGGGATGGCTTGAATGGAGATATAGGAAGGGGGAGGAAGAAAGCATGTGTGTTTGTGTGTGTGTATAAAATAATTTCTTGGTGTTATTAACTAAGTGGAAAAAAATGATGAGCACTGCAAGTGCATGCTTTCCCTGAGGTTGAAGAAAGGAGACAGCAGGGAGATAGACATGGAACCAGGTTCCAGCCTTCCCATATAGGAGTGTGCTTAACATCATAAAACAGTTTTTAAGTAACCTATTAGGTCACATATATTGAATTAGCTCACATGTACCTGATTTACATGTATCTAAAGTTGTACAAATTATAGCTTTACCAAATCTGAATAAAGCAGACATGACTAGGCTACTATTTGGTAATACTTTATGAGTCAGTGGTATGGGTGGATATATGTATTTAAAAGATACATTCCATATTCTTCAAATGTGATCTTTTTCTTCATCCATTGGAATGCTCAATTCATCTAAAATAGGTGAGGCTTGATTGTGGTACAAAGATGTTATAACACTTTGAGGTGATGTGGGATTAGAAAGTAGGCAAGGTGGAGCAGAGGAATATGGAGAGTACCTCTTTGGGGCAATGTGTTCTGAGCAGAGCCTTGAAGGGAGTGATGTGGATTGGTAGTGGAAGGGGATGAATTGTCAAAGTAGGGGATTATCATATGTTAAAGAATACTAAAAGGAGGGAATGTGTTGTGGTTGAAGGGCCCAAGGAAACATGGTAGCACACCAAGATGAGGTGGTTGCAGTTAGGGTGCTGGAGGCTGGACAGAGGATGTAACTCAATAGGTAATAGGGAGCCACTCTACAATACTGCAAGAGAGAGGGTCAAGATGTGGGTAAACATACTACATAACTATAGTTATGAACATGGTATACATGGCAGTTCTCAAAACTGCCCTAAAAAATACAGATACTCTGGTGCCATGTTCCAAAATTCTGATTCATGGGGTGGGCGTGAGAGAGGTGGGTATAGAGATTGAATAGTGACATGTGAGAGAGGTGAAGACCACAGCCAGAACTAGAGATCTGAACCCAAAAGTCTACCTGTCTTTAAAGCCTATAGAACATAACCACTCTGCTATTTATGACATTTCTCATACTGTCACCTCCTCTTGAGAAGCCCTCTCTCTCCATCTCCTTGAAAATCCTCCCCATTATTCAGCGTTCAGCTTAGATATAGCCTCCACTGAGAAGTCCTCCCTGGTTCATGTTTTCCTCCTAACTGCTGTAATGTCTCCTGTAGTTACCATAGGACAGGATATGAGGAAACTTGAGGACTCGAGTTCAGAGGGGAATTGGAGGAACTAAGCCAGTCACATGTCATGAACAATATGGGAAGGATCCTAAGGGAAGCATGGAAATTCCAGAATAAGGAGGGGTTGATGAAATTATCCTCATGCCTTCATTTACTCTCCTCATATTAAAATATATTGCAGTTTGTGTGTGCCTGCTTATGTGAAATTACATATTATACTGTCTAGTTTTAATTAACCTAATCCTCACAAATGAGCAAGTAGTTTGCAATTTTTCATGCAAGTAAATCAGGGATTGAGGAGAAACTTAGTGTAAGCACAAGAAAATAATAAGGAAATGGCAGAGCTAATGCCATTCTGCTTCTAGAAGGTTCTACTCATAGGATGAGCTCTTTGTTAGCCACATTACCAAGTCAAAACAGCACAATTCCAATTAATAAACTGATAAGAAGTAGGCGAAACAGATTTGCTGCAAGTCTTTGTGAGGTATCTTTTTTTTTGGCGGTGGGGGGTGGCTGACAGCCATTAATTCCAAGAATTGAAATTGCTGAATTTAGAATCAGGACTTCAGATTACTGCATTATGAAAGATTGAAGTTTTTTATAACAAATGAAGCTTATTAAAGAACATTTCTCTCTCTAAAGACATTAGTTTAATGTTAATTTTTTAGTGAAAGCCAAAAAGATTTTCAGACTATAATATATTTATTATATATTATTTTTAAATATGGTTAATTTCATCCTTATTACATACTTTAAATTTTCCTTTTTGCCTGTGTTAAAGGAATTTTGTGTGTTTCTAGTACAGTAGCATATGTTTAGTTATAAATATATGTTTATACATGATATACATTATTACATTTATATAATTTATATATATATATTTGTACATATATTGGGAGGGTTTTTTTAGTAATTGAGTTAGAAATCAAGAAAACTTGAAAGTCATTGCATTAAACAACTGCACAGTTGTAGTAAGGGGGAGGGAGAAATTGTACCACACATTGAAAGGGCTTTTTCTGTCCAGAGATACACAAGAGGCAACCACCAATTGAGCCTATTTCAGGAGTGGGAGAGGATTCAAAGTATATTGGAGCATCAAGATAGGGTGAAGTAGGAAGTTGCAGTGATACCTGTGAGGTGGGGAGCCAAGAATATAGTGCTGCTACTAATCCATATTGACCCTTTTCACAAAGTAGAGAAAGGCACATCTTCCTTTGAGCAGGTGCAGCCCTAAATCAGGGTGCATAGCTTGGTAAGTCTGTGCAGTGGCTCAAGTTGGGCCCCCATTCACCTCCATCAGTGGACACTCTCATGCAGTGCGTGGCCTGCACAATTGTATACAGTGGCCCTGCATGAGAATGCTTAATAGAGCTACCTTAAAAGTCTCCCCGTGTGATTCTGATAACAAGCCAAGGTTGTGAATTACTGGGATACATGTTTACTTATTTACTCTATAAACTTCGTAGAATTCTTAAAAGAAATGCATTTTAAAAAGTGGTCTGTAATTCTGACATCTCACTAAATCAAACATGCTTCCACACCAAGGAGTTCGATTTAGGGAATATTTAGAACCAATTATCCAGCTGTGTGATACTGAGATAATCACTTTCCCTCTCTGAAGCCTCAGTTTCTTCAGTTATAAAATGAAAGGAGTTGAATTAGATGATCTGGAAGGTCCTTTCCAGCCATAGCACCGTATGTTCTATGCATTTTGCTGCTTAGCAATGTATGAAAATTCTCTGCCAGGCAGCCTGTGCAGCTACATTTTACTGGCTGGTTTTGGCTCATTTTCCTAAGAGGGTTGAAGGCATATGTTCACTCTAACTCTGTTTTTAGAGAGGGGCCATTTTTACCATTAACTGCACTGTCTTCTTCTTGCCAGTGTCTAGCAGGCATCTCTAAAGTGGGGTAGCGGCATAGGCAGCATTTACAGCCAACCATTGAGTGGCAATTTCAATTGTTTGATTTTCCTTCCTATGACTACATGCTTAATTGAATATCACATTTACTCATATATCTTGTAAATTATTCAGAAAACATTTTCTTCCTTGGCTGCTCCTGTAGATAGCTGTGCAACCAAAGGTCTGGCTTCAGCAATTTTAAGGCTTGATCAGAGCAGCTGAAGATCTGTAAACACTGGTTTTTGAATCTTTTCACTTTCAGTCACGAGGGTCATTAGATCTCCTTTAGACGCTCTGCCTAAATGCTCAGAAGAGTTTCTGCTTCAGCTGACAAGCATTAAAGCCTAATTGCAAGGCAAAAATATAGTGGGAGAAACAGTGTTTTCTTCTCAAAATTGGGGGAGGGAAGGGAAATGTGGGCAGATAGGCAAATCAAGTAAGTTTTGTCTTCCCATCAATGACTGATTTAATAAAGATTTGTAACCAATCAACTAGCTATGTGACCCGGGAAAAATGACTTTCTCTTTAAACCTCAGTTTCCTTAGTGGTAAAATAAGTTTGTTTGGCTTCAAGGGACTCAAGAAATGTATACAGCACAATTAAAGGGATGTTTTTGCTTACACTTTTTTTATTATTATTCCTGGAGACAGAAATATGAACCTCCCTTCAGGTAGTTCAAGCTTCATATAGTGCAAGCTTTTCCCTGAATTACCAAACTTAGTCATCTTATTTTCAAAACAGAAATGTGTGCTGAGTTTCTACAGCTTTTATTGATTCCACGTTCCTATGTGTCTAATCACACTGCCAGAAAATCTTCCCTTTTACCCCATTCAATCATCTCCAGCTACAATTAACACTTATTTTCTGTGCATAACTAACTTGTCCATAACTGAGATCTCAAATAGATGATCATCGTTTCCAGATGGATTCAAAGAGCTGGTGATTGACTAGACCAGTGGTTCTTAAGCAAGTTTCTTAGTGGATAAATGAATCCTTAAAGGAGCTTATTAAAATTCAAATTTCTGGTCCCCACTACCACAGATTCAGATCCAGTGGGTTTGGGTGAGGCCTAGGAATCTAATATTTTAGCAAGCACCCAAGATGGCTTCATTTCAGGGGGCTAGTGGTCCACTGTTGGAGAAACATTTTATTCAAAAGATGGTAATGGAGAGAGACCACCACCTATGCCTGTTCTTGCTTGCCCTTTCTCTAGCCCTGGGTCTATTCTTGTTTCTGCTCTCTGTGTAGTGTCTTTGTGAGAGAAGGAGGGACAGTGATTGCAAACTCTGTTTTCTTCAGACTTACAAAGGTAAAGTGATTTCTCCAGAGCCCCTACCCAGTGAAGAAAGAATAATATTAGAGTTTTCTCTCCTAACTTGGAGCTCGTCACCTAGGCTTCAGAGCAGACTTACCCTGACATTCAGTATAACAGGCCAGGATGAGAAGCAAGCCAAAACTAAACTCAGTGTTTTTACTCACCAGCTGGTTTGTGTGATTCCAATGACCAGTGTCAGGTTTGATGGTGAACAAAAGGAAACACTTGATAAATAACAAATTATTCTCAGATGCTTGTTGCAGCTTTCACTCTAAAGGAAAATCTCTACTGTCCCCTAACAGCTGGTGTGAGCAGATAAGCTGGGGGCATTCCATGCCTCTGGTGTCATAGGGTTAAGAAACCAAGAAATAGCAGAGGAAAGCGTCACTCTCAGTCTTGTGGACTAAAAGTATCTAAGGCATATGTAGGATATTATTCCCTTATACCAAGATTTAAATAAAAAGAAGCATCAATTAATCTTGAATAAAAGGTTGTACTACCAAAAAAATGCTTGAAACATCTTGCCATATACTCTCATCATCCCATTTTACAGAGGATACTAAGACTCAGAAAAGCGATGTGACTTGCTTAAGATTTCTTCAAATCTTTAAACAGTGAGCATCAACTTTATTCTTATTCTTAAAAGCTTTTAAGAGGAAAGCATTTTAATAATCTTTTTGAGTACTCATTACATAATAGGCACTGTTCTATGTGCTTCATATTTAAGCCCCACAACAATACTATAGGGTGGATCTTATGATCTTCATCTTACAGATGAAGGAACTAAGTACAGAAAAGTTAAGCAAATTGCCCAAGGCCTCACAGATGACCTTAGAGTTGGAATTAGAAGAACCCAGACAGACTGGCTCGAGAGCCTCTGGGTTTAACCACTAGGCTTCCTGTCTCTCAAACACAACAGGTAGGATTACCAAGATACTCTTTATCAAACTCTCTCCATCATGTTAATTCCATTCTCAAAAAGTGACATTGAATTCTGATTTAACAATGTTAAATCTTAACTAGCTTCACTAGTTTCTGAGGAGCCCCAAATATGGTGAAATGAGAACCCCAATTCACCACCCACATCTTGCATTGCCACTCCTGGATTTTACCATCTAATGAAGCCCATTCTGCCTCTCTGGGTGGTTATTCAGCATTAATGAAATGTGTTTGGTGCTATTCTATGCACAACACATGGAATAATCTCTGCTCTACAAGAAACTGTACATCTGAAGCATCTCTGCAGCTGCATGGGCAGCAGAGCTTCTCCTTGCCTACTGTTATTTTGGTTGCTACAGTCTCTGCCACATGACGCAGTTCCATTTCTAGAACTGTTCAGATTCTTGACGTAAAACCCATTCAAAGAGCCTGGTTAAGGGTATGCACTCAGTGGACAAGGTTGTTTTCTGGAGCTTCTGAGTTATATCACCCTGGAGTTTAAGGGATGGAAGGTTAGGAAGGTGTAGAAAGGAGAGGCCAACACCAAGTCGGGGGTTTTCTGATAACCCCAAATCTCCACATCTATCCCTACCATCATAAACTCAGGCTAAAGTGTTTGTTTCCAAATTTTCACCTATGTGTTTCTCAGAATAGGACCAAGTTAGGGCATCAGCTCTATAGTCTCCAAAATGCCAGAGTAGCTCTCACAGAGAGCAGTTAGGGACCAATGTTGATGGTAAATAAAGGAAATTTTATGAAGATGTTTCAGTCAAAGGAAAACCATGCAATTTTTTTTATTCTGAAGAATAGAATAAGGGAAGTGATATTAAGGTATGAGAAAATGGATTTGTACTGAATTCCACTTAGAATCTGTCCAGTAAAGGGGTTTCTGATTGATTTGCAACATTTAATGCAAAATAAACAAATATTCCAGCTGAAAGACACTGAGGACTTATCAAGCCCATCCCTCTTTCCTTTGAGTTTTAACCAGAGATAGAAAACTAGGTGCCAGAGGTTGAGTCCAAAACTTAGAAACATATGTTTGACCAGCATGTGGCCTTAAAAAGTTTTGAATTTAAATTCTTGGTTGGGCATGCCCTCTGCTGATCACCACAGTTTTTACTACTCCCAGTTATCTCCTACCCCATAGTTTCACAGTTTTATGTTACTGCCTGACACCTGAGGATATTTACATTTGCAACTCCTGCCAAACTACCTGAGAATGACAAAATTATATACCAATTCAGGGAGAGGTGACCACCCAGGGCAACCTGCATCTATTCAGAACTTAAAACAAGAGTAAATAAAAGATATTTCCCTCACAAAATAAAGTGAGGTTGTGAGTAATAGTAATATTCTTTTGAAGGATCTAAGATGTAATGTTTTCCAATATTAATGAACATGAGGCTGCTCCTATTCATGTAATATATTTAGCATAATAAATTACTTAAATATGACCAGATTTGAAATAAAGAATCTTTTCTGAGGTTATCTGAGGTTCTTTGTCAAAAACATTGGGGTTTCCTGGTTCCTGTGTTTGGTTGGATTGATCCCTCTGATTTAACTCAGTGTTTCTCCACTGGGGGTGCACATGAACCTATCATCACTTCCCAAGCGAAGTTCTTATTGTAAATCACTTTGTGCAATATGATATGTTGCTAACTGCAGTTTGTTGTTTGCATGAATATCCTCCCCCCACCAAAATAATATATGACTGAAAACCATCAACAGAACCTAGTTGGAAAGGCTTCCCCCAAAAGGGTTGCTTTGTTAGCTGCAATATGCTTTCTCTTTGAACTCACGCCTCTACAGTTCCTCTGTGAAATGGGGAAAATAAAACCTCTCTTTCTTGGTTTTCTAATTTTGTGGACTCTTAGATGAAAATGCCTCCTGGCTCAGCCTTGGCTTTCGTCTGGACCCTCCAACAACTGGCCATTTCCTGGACCTTAATTTTCTGTTTCCTCCTTAGAAACTTCTTTCCAATGTTGGGGATAACACTTCCTGGGTTGACTGTGTCCTGATTTATCTCTGATTCAGCTTATAGGCTATTGAAGCTGTTCAACAACTGTTTATTAATTAAACATACACAGAGTTTCTTGGACTGTATCAAGCTCTGTTTACTGTATGGCCAAGATCCATTTTGATCAAATCTGTGTTGAAGGCTACAGAAAGGGTGGCAAAAGAGACAAGAGTTGAGAGAGGGTATCTTCATCTCCTACTGAACATCAGCATTCAGCCCTGTCAGATTCCCTGTGGTGTACAAGTCCTGGGGGTATCCTTGGAGATGGTCCTTGGATATAAAAACAGGCTTGTTTCATTGGGAGGCCAAGCGTGAGTTGAAACTAAGGGAGAATGAAAAGCCATGTCTGAGGAGGAATACTGAGGGGGAAAACTGAGGACCATATTAGTCTTCAGATCTGAGATGAGGGTGGGGCCTGAAACAGAGTTGAAGCAAAAGAAGAGGAGGAGCTGTGAAGGCAGAGCAGGTCAGGAAGACTCTGAGAGTCTCTGGCATTTGATTTGGGGTTAGGGCTGTGGTCCCTCCTTAACTGGAATCCTCCAAGGAGACAGAGAAGAGCAGTCTTTACAAAGGCAGCTAATACACTTGTTTACACACACACATGACTATTAAAAACGTCTGTATGTGTGTGTGTAGGGGGTCTAGTGGTAGTTGGAGATGTAGCAGGGAGAAAATAGTGGGAGAAGGAGGGAAAGGGAATAAAAGAAAAAGTCCAGAAGCAGGTTCTTCTGGTGCTGGCTACCTCTTTGCTCCTTCTTTACACTAATTTTCAATCTGCAAGGAACCGTAAAGTGAACTTATAACTGGAAGTCATTGAAAGTTTTGAATTAGTTCTCCTGTCTAAAACCAGGAGCAGTTTATTTCAATGATATAATGGTTTGATTTTCTTTTATGAGCTATAGTCATCTTTTTCTTCCTCCTATATGTTATAGGGATTCTTTATATCTCCAGGCTATTCCATTTTACTAGAACAGATGTGTTTTCCTTCTAGACTTAGAATTTAATTGTATTGGCTCCAAGAGAGCCAACTGGTTTTACTTTTACTCTGCTTCATTTAGGCTGTTTTGATGCTGATGTAGTAACTCTCTCAGGTCAACAGGATTTCTGACTGGAAATATGCTGTTATAAAAATAATTAAAATACATTTCCTTCCTACAAAATGCAAAGCAATATGTTACTTTCAGGGTGTAGAGTAAGGGGTGAGGGAAGAAAGAAATACAGAACCAAGATCCTGCTCTCAAGAAGCTTACAGTGTACTTGGGTACAAAAAACATTAAGACAAAAAAATGGCTAATAATTATATAAGAGAATCACTACGAAGGGCCAATTGTGATACTTAGACACTGCTCAATAGACTCAGAGGAGGGAGCAATAAAAGACTGGGAAAGCTAGCAAGGCTTTAAAATGCCTGGTGCATACTAGACATGCAACATATATTTATTGGGTAAGGTAGAATTTGAGCTGGATCTCAAAGGATAGATAATATTTTGAGAGGCAGTTTAGAATGGGAGCTATATTCTTGCTACAATACTGGTATAGGTAAATGCAGAGGAAGCAGAGGTTGTGTTGGGAGACACTGCAAATAGTTTTTCTAGAGCAGAGGATTTATAGAGAAAGATCATACTCAAAACGTTGTTGGTGCCAGATAATGGAAGGCCTAAGGTCCATGGGAAAAGGGTTTGAACTTTATCCTATAGGTAGTGGGGGAACTACTGAAGGTAGAAGGGTAATGTCAAGGGAGGATGAATCTAGTGACTATGTGCAGAATGGATTGACAGGGAGAGACAGTAGGCAGTTGGACCAGCTCGGAGGCTTAGCTTGCGGATAAGGGCAGTAAGTAGGGTAATAGCAGTGGAAAATGCAGTAAGATAGGCAATAACAAAATGCAGAATTCAAAAGAAGAGTGCTTAGTGACTTAATTATATATATGGGGCAAAGGAGCGGTGGAAGGTAGGATGACTTCAACTTCTAGCCCATGAGACTGAGGAATAGTGGTGGCATTACCACAGATGTCTTTTATTTCTGCTTAGAAGTTGTTTAATGATGTCTTAGGCTGGTTTGCAAAAATATTAGTCTCAGTGCATTTCATATAATTATAACCTGAGACTCTGAGGTTTGAAGGGACCTAGAGATTCTAGACTGGTTTGTTTGAACTCTGGCCTGTAGGGGTCAACCCAAACTATGACAGATCAATTCCATTGTTTCCTGATTCATCTCTCTTGCTATTTCATTCAGATTTCAAGTCCGTGGATCCTGCCCCAAATTACCTTTCTAGGCAATCCATTCAGGGGCTAAATAACTTTTATCCATTGGCATGTTTTCTTCCTTACTTTTCTGTGTGGCATAGCCTGTCTGCCTGATATTAGCTCATGTCTTCATGCTTGTTTTGGCTTTTGAGAACTGCAGACATTTCAGGGACTGTGATTTGCTGCTTTTTTATACAACCATAGACAACTAATAAAAATGTTAGTTTTGTTTTGTTAATTTAAATAAAGGAGCACTTTCTGCCTCTAGATCAGGGCACAGGAAGACATTTTTCCCCCCTTTCCTCACAGGGGACTGGGTTCAGTAGTGTATGCTTGCATGAATTCTTTGAAGAAAAAGAGATATCAGAGGAAGAGATGTGAAAGATTAAAAGAATAATGTCAGGTAGTATATAAAAACCTACTTAGCATTTTTAAGTGCTTACTTATTCTTTTGTTTGTTTGTTTGTTTTTGGTTTTTTTTGAGACAGAGTCTCGCTCTGCCGCCCAGGCTGGAGTGCAGTGGCGCGATCTCGGCTCACTGCAACCTCCGCCTCCCGGGTTCACGCCATTTTCCTGCCTTGGCCTCCCGAGCAGTTGGGACTACAGGCGCCCACCACCACGTCCGGCCAAGTGCTTACTTATTCTAAAGCCATTTATGATCATTGCATTTGTCTACAAGCCAGCACACATCCTGCCCCCCAAACATGTGCACAATCCAAAATATGAAAGGTCTATGGTCACTTCTGTCATATATAGGAAAGTAAACGAAGGCCAAGTAAAATACCATTTTTAATTGGAACAATGAAGTATTGGAAACTAGAGCCCAGAGATCTTGGTGCTTGAAATTATAATATATCTTGCTTGTAGTGTATTTTAAAAAGCATTTTAATACTCCGTGATTAATTTGATCCTCACAACTTTCTTGCTGTCAGGTAGATAGCATTATATCTCAAGCCATGGAGAGGATAAATTACTCACCCAAGTTCACTGAGCATTTTAGCAAAAATGCCCTTTTTTAAAATTCTTCTTTCTTTTTCTCTGAAAAGGAAAGCCTATTTGCCAACCTTTGCTTTGGGCCACAATAGCCAGTCAGTCGACAAGTGTAGGGGGCAACTGGAAGAAAGATATATTCCCTCCTGCAATGTGGAGACCATAGAGCTGCTACCAATTGTGCCAGCTTCATACACCTCTGACAGCTGGCTTCCAAAATGCAAAGGAAGTAAGTACCTGGAGTCTTTGGCTCAACTTCTCAGAATGGGAGCCAAGCCTCTGGCTTGTCCATAATCATTGACTGACTTTCCCTAAGCATCTAGAAATGTATCAGGAATAATCTCTCTACTGAAAAGTTTAGGAATGAGTATTTGAAAGGGAAGGCATCTCTCTTTTATCCTAAGACCTACAGAGTTTCCTTTCATCATAGGATGGATCAAATCATGATCTGTGTGAGTTTAAAAGAAAAGATTAGGCCGGGTGCAGTGGCTCACGCCTGTAATCCCAGCACTTTGGGAGGCTGAGGCGGGCGGATCACGAGGTCAGGAGATCGAGACCATCCTGGCTAACACGGTGAAACCCTGTCTCTACTAAAAATACAAAAAATTAGCCAGGCATGGTGGTGGGCACCTGTAGTCCCAGCTACTCAGGGGGCTGAGGCAGGAGAATGGCGTGAACCCGGGAGGCAGAGCTTACAGTGAGCCATGATCGCACCACTGCAGTGTACTCCAGCCTGGGAGACCAGCGAGACTACGTCTCAAAAAAAAAAAAAAAACAAAAAGGTTATTTTCATTCACACATTCACACACTTGGTTTCAATGACTGATCTTGCACAGCAATGAATCAAATCTGATTTCTTATATCTCTCTCCTGAGTTTAACATCTATGTGTCAAACTGCCTACTGAGCATCACCACTGGTATATAATCCCTCCACACATACCTTAAACTCAACATACTCAATACCAAATTTATCATCACGCTTATCTTAACCTACCTCACATATTTCGTATTCATTTTTGGCAACACCATCTATCCAGTTTCCCAGGCCAGAAAACTGGGAGTCATTCTTGAATCCTCCTTTTCCCTTATTCTTCCACATCCTATCACCAAGAGCTATCAATACAGCCTCTAACAATCTCTATCCTCGATTTAGGATATTGCCTTCAAACCTCCGTTTTCTGGTCTCCTTGGCTTCATGGTCTCTTCCATCTTTCCCTTGAGTATTATGACATTTCCATAACACAAATTTGATTGTCATAACTTTGTCCTACTTAAAAGTTTGCTGATGGGGCCAGGCCCAGTGGCTCACGCCTGTAATCCTAGCACTTTGGGAGACAGAGGCGGGTGGATTGTTTGAGGTCAGGAATTCAAGAGCAGCTAGGCCAACATGGCGAAAACTCATCTCTACAAAAAATATAAAAAATTAGCTGGGAGTGGTGGTGTGCTAAGGCTGAGGCACAAGAATTGCTTCAGCCTGGGAGGCAGAGCTTTCAGTGAGCTGAGATGGCACCACTGAATTCCAGCCTGGATGACAGAGCAAGACTCTATTTCCAAAAAGAAAAAAAAAAAAAGTTGGCTGATGGTTCTGCTCTGGCTGTAGGATCAAGTTTGAATTGACCAGTAGGTTCCTGCCTAGCTCTCCAAAGGTACCTCTGGCTACCATGTGCATATCCTAGACTCCAACCACACCAACTACCTGTCCCCAGACAGCTCTGACTTTCCTCATGCCTTTCTCTTGGCCTAGAATACCTCCACCTGATGGCCGTTCTCTGCTTGTGAATACCTACTTCTCCTTCAAGTCCCAGCTCTTATGTTACATCCCTTCTGTACAGCGTTCCCTGACTTCTTCAGGCAGAACCAAACCCTTCTGCTTCTGTGTTCCTATAGCACAGAATCATCTACAGTTCTGCACATACATTGAAAATAGCTCCTGTCTCAAACTATTGCAATTATTTTATTTGGCATTTGGTTGTTTTCATTGAATACTCATGAAATCTATATTTCATTAATGAATTCATTTAATCATTCAGCCCCTGTGTTAGGCCCTGGGAATACGGTGTACGGTGGTGAACCAGAAAGGTCTGGCCCTGGCCTTCATGGTGCCTACCATCAATGCTTAGACTGGTAGGGGATACCCACCAATAAATATCAAATATCAACAGAACATGGTAGGTGTAGAGTTTGAATGTAAGTTGTCAGGAAGCATATCATAGAGGTGAAAAGCATGGTCTCTTCTCCAGAATTGGGCTAGCCTGTGTTTGAATCCTGGTTTCACCATTTATTAGTTATGCTATTTCAGGCAATTTACCTAATGTCCCTGTCTCTTGTTTTCCTCATCTGTAAAATGGGAATTATTATAGTCTTTATCTCAGAGGGCTGTGATGAGGGTTATGAGAGTCAATATTTGTAAAGCACTTAGTGTCTGGAATATGCCAAGTGTTTAATAAAATGAATTAAATAAAATTTAGGGCAGAGTACAAAGAAACTTAAATTTCTCAGTTTGAGGGATAATGTGGCTGGCCTTGTTTTCTCCTTACCAGTTCTGATTTTACTTGTTCATACATGATCTTCCCCTTTCTGTCACTTTCAGTTCAGGGTTTATTTAATAAAAGCAAAGAGAAGGAAATCGTGAGAATGGCCTTTCAGGGTAATTATACAGCCCGGCATCTTACCACCCTCTCAACTAACTTCCCACACATATCCGGAGCTTCAGCTTTGCCCAGGGTCAGTCACCTCTGTAGTGGCTAGGGCTAAGTCATGACCTGATAAGTGGGCCTTAGGTATTTCTGTCCTATTAGCAGTCCTTTCTCTCTTCCATTCCTCACTAGAGGTGACTCTTCACCCATTCCTGCCTGCTTTCATCACAGAAGACTTTGGGGGGTCCCTGGAACTTGTAGGTAGATATTTTGCAGGGTCCCCAATAGCCTCTAGCCAGCTGGAGTCCTTGGCCCCAGCCATTCCTTCCCTTGTCACCTCTCTTACTCTGACTGCCACCCCTGTGGGGCCTCTGAATCCAGTAGTGTCAGGAAGCAGGATAGGGGAGAAGATAAAATATAGCTAATAGCCTCAGTAATTATTTATAGATTGCTTTATTTATTCCTCGAGACAACTATTTTGCCATATTGCTGGACTGTGTGTCTGCCGTCTCAGCTTTGTCAGGCCAATTATGTCACTGCTTTAATGACTCCAGAGTCTTGTCACTGAGAGGTCATCCTAATTGTCTCTGCTACCCTAGGTTGGTGGCAGGACTTCCGTATCTGTCTGGAGGCTACAGCTGGCCAGAGGGAAGGCATTCAGTCTCAGAAGAGCCTTGCCCTCTGCCAACTGCCCACCTCCACTGCTCTCAGATCAGAGCCCTTGAAACCTACTGCTGGCCCCAGGGAGAGCTACTAAATGCTTCCACTTTGCCAGAGATGAGAAGAGAGGCAGACTCAGAGAGGAAGCATGGCAGGTGCATTAAATGCTCCACTTAACAGTGAAGGGGATGGGAGGAACGCCAGGTGCATCTCTCCTGGCCATTTAGCTGTCAAGGTCACTGCATCCTCGAGCCTCCTCTGAGAAGTTAACCGAATCCTTGATGATCACTTAGATCTGGGCATTGATTTATAAGCATGTTCACACACATTTCTTTCTTCTTACACTTAGAACTATCTGGTAAGGTAGATGATATGATCACTCCATTTTACAGGTGAAGAAACTGAGGCATAGACAGGTTAGGAAATTTGCCATAATATTGGAAGTCTGACCTTGTCATTCTAAATGGATGCTCTTTTCACCATTCCAGGAATGTCTCTTCTGTCTGTCCTGCTCCTGCACTTTCAAAATGGGTAGAGATGGGCTGCTTTTGCAACCTACTCTTTATGTGCCCCTCTCTCCATTTATAATATCTTTCCTGCTGTCTGTAGTTTGTTCTAGCTATCCAGGAAGACTGAACAGTGTCCTGCACTTGAAATCTCCCTCTTTCCTGCTTCCAGAGAGAAAAAGCACTGAATAATTTAATTCATACTGTTGCTCTGATTGCTTATTCTTGGTAGCAGGCATTGTATGCATGTCATAGGGAGTTCACCTTTTGAACAAGGGCTGAAGCTTAAAAGGACAAAGCTTGAATGATAGGGATTCATACACCAAGGTTGGGTGATTGTGGGGAGAAGAAAGTATTTTGGGTATGAAGATGGCCAGAACTCTCTATTTTTGAATGCTAGTCACTTGCTACAGGGGCAAACAAAGAGCTTGAGGTTCTGGCTTCTGACATCTGCCTGCGAGGGGCCCAGTCAGCACTGCTGCCTTCTGGCTGGTGAGCATCAGGGAAACACACACATCATCAGCACAGCCTGCATTGCTGGGACCATGTGGAACACTCTATTCTGAGTACCAGACCAAACTGCTTTCAGAGAATATAATTAGGAAGAGCCCTGGGTTGCAAGTAGAGGGCCTTGGGTTCTCATTCCAGGTTTTCTGTTGCTTCACTGGGTAAATGCCTTTACCTCTCAGGTACTTTTCCCTGTCTTTAAAAAGAGATGATGCTCTCTGAAAAGGGAAATGAATACTATAGTATTCGAAAAGTATTGTATACTTTTTACACACAGTATCTTGTAGGATCAGCCAAGTCTACCTTAAACTGAGAAGAAAGAAATGGGCTCAGAGAGGTGATGTGACTTGCCCAAGGTCTTATGACTCATAAGTGTCAGAGCCAGGCTTCAAGCCTAATACATGCTTCAAGTTCTTTATATGTTAAATGAGGATGATGAGGATGAGGATGGCAGCTAATGAGAGCTTATTATGAGCCAGACTCTATGCTAAGCACTATTATTTAATCCTCCCAACAACTCTATTAGGACAACACTACTATTATCCTTAGTTTATGAATGCTAAAAGTTGAGGTTCAGAGTGGCTTAGTGTTTTGCTTAAGGTCACACTCCTAGTAAGTAGCAGGGCTAGGACTCTTGACTCCCAGTATAGTGCTTTTGACACCATACTAGTCTGCTTAAAATGCTGGATGGGAAAGTGCTTTGGGCATGTGTGTGCTATCTGAATGTAAACTGGCACTCCATATCCTTTTAGCAGACCTCCAGATGAGCCTGGAAGCCTCTAAGGGGAATGCATACTTGTCTGAGTCCCAGGACAAAAGGTCAGGGTAAGATGGGGAAATGCCTACGGGAGGCCTGTTTTCCCCAGCAGAAGGTGCATGCTCTCTAGAGGAAGTCTGAATGGAATCTTCAGAGCTGCCCTGGCTAAGTTCTAGCTGAGCTGCAAGCCTCCAGGGGGCCCAGTGGGCACCTTTTTAGGAAAACTTGTTCCATTTCTTCCTTGCCATCTCAACTTCTAGCTAAAGCATTTGTTCTCTGAATCTGTAGCCTCCTCAGACAACGTCTCCTTCCCTGACTTCTGCTCTGCCTTTAGTTTGCCCAGACAGGAGTTGGCCTGTTAGCCCTGTAACTTTACCCCTGGAGTCTCAAGGGAGCCAAACCCAGCACACCAGCCATTGTAGCATTTTATTTGGATTTATCCTGGACACCATAAAGCTTGTGTCCTGCATCTCTCAAATTAATAGGGATTTTATGGCTAGGCTCAGGGAGTCCTGAAAGGTACTCAGACTCTGTAGCACTAGCCCCCATCCTTCAGCAGTATCATTCTCTCTCCACAAAAGTCACAGTTTATGTTCCTCCTCAGAGCTTTCCAATGTACCGTCTGTCTCTGTTACGTTGCAATGAGATTTCAGGGAAAGAAATCCAGAAATGTCTGGGGAGGCTGTGCCATTGTGCAAACATAATACGACACCAGGCAGGATAAAGATGAGCAAGCTGCAGAGCCTTTTGACAAGACCAGGGTCCCAGAGGCAGTGGTTCCAATGACAGGCTGGTATGGGATTCAAATGTTTGCCAATGGTGGCATTAACTTTTCCAAGTATTTCAACACAACTAAAAGTCATGACTTAACTCACCCCTCTAGTTTCTGGATTTCTTCTTTCAGGTTTTTCAGCACTTCTAGAGTAATTCACATGGTTGTGCAGATTGACGCCGCCAAGTTCGATTTTCCAAGCTCCATCAAGCCCACAGGGCCATTTCATACATATTCCCCTTTGGAATCTCCTGGGCCAATTTCTTTCTGAAAGTTCCATAGCCAGTGTTCCATCAAGTTCCCCTATCCATGCCCCATAACAGAAAAGCTTGTCTCCAACCTTATAGAGGAAAGAGTCTTTGAGATATGAATCTCCCCCACCCCACGTAAAATCTTATATTTGCATCCAACTCGATTTTATTTCTTGAGGAAGAATTATTCCTGCTCCTTTCTAAGGTTAATCTCTGATCTCTACTCTTGATCTTCCTACCTCATCAGGTTGTTGTTTCATTTTCTTTCCTCCTAGATTCTCAATCTTCATTCACTTCTCCCTTTCCCTGAGTTCAAGTCTCTCCACTAAAACTGAAAACTGCCCCCCCCCAAAGTTACTTCCTCCTCCATCCTCAAATCCACTGTGAAAATTTTCAAAAGTATAGTTTCTATTTGTATAGACATCATCTCCAATTCCTTTTGCCACCTATTGAAATTTGGCTTCATTTCTACCATATCAAAAGTCAACAGCAGCTGACATTTATTAAGTTCTAACTATGCACCAGGCACTGTGTTAGGTCCTTTACACAAATTGTCTTATTTGATTCTCAAAAAAATCCTGTGAAGTTGGGCTTGATAAGTGACTCATTCCTGTAATCTCCACTCTTTGGGAGGCCAGGGTGGGTGGATCACTTGAGCCCAGGAGTTCAAGACCAGTCTGGACAACATGGTGTAACCCCCCTCTCTACAATAAAACAAAAACAAACAAACAAACGAAACAAAAAACCCACAATATTAGCCGGGCATGGTGTCGCATACCTGTACCTCCAGCTACTCGGGGAAGTGGGAGGATCACCTGAACCTGCGGTGGTCAAGGCCGCTGTGAGCCATGATCACACCACTGCACTCCAGCCTGGGTGGCAGATTGAGACCCTGTCTCAAAAATAAATAAATAAATAAATAAATAAATAAATAAATAAAAAGAATCCTATGAGATAAATACCATTTTAATCTCCATTTTACTGACAATGGTCATTAGAGCATTTGGTGACTTTTTCAAGGTCACATTGTGTAGTCAGTGGTAGAGTTGGGATTTGAACTGAGATAGTTTGACTTTCAGCTAATCCTTTAACCTAAGGGCTGGCTAACTTATTCTGTAAAGGGCTAAATAGAGAAGATTTTAGGGTTTTTGTGCCATATGCTCTCTGTTGCCAGGCTCTGCCATTGTAGTAGGAAAGCTGTCATAGACAATACATAAATGTATCAGAATGACAGTGTTCCAATAATATCTATAGACACTGAAATTTGAGTTTCATATAACTTTTACATCATGAAATGTATTTTCTTTTGATTTTTTCCAGGCATTAAAAATGTGAAGACCACTTTTAGCTTGAGGCCACACCAAAACAGATGGTAGGCCCAATTTTGCCCATGGCTTGTGGTTTTCTGTCCCCTGTCCTAACTACTGCATTGTTCAAAGCCCCTTGAATTGTCAAATCCAATGGCTGCAGCTCTTAATGCTGCTAATATCCATTCCCCTTTTTGGGCATTCTCTCCTCAGTGACTTTAAGGCCATCACTCACTCCTAGTTTTCCTTCTATCTCTATGATTGCTGTTATTCTCTTCTGAAAGATTCTTTTCTCCGACTTACCTCTGAAATATTGGTATTTTCAAGGATCAGTAGCTGACCTATTTTACTCTGCTCTGCTAGAGTAAGTGACTCTACTTCTAAGACTACTAACACTCACTCTTAGTATGGTAACGAGGAGCACGAACTTTGGATCTGTACTTGCCTGGGTTTGGATCTTGTCTCCAATAGATACCACTTGTGTGACCTTGGGCATGAGACCTCTCTGAGCCTTGGTTTTAGTCCTTTTGTTAGATGAGGATAAAAACAGCATTTCCTTCATAAGGTTGTTGTGAAGGTTAAATGATTTACTATTTGGAAAACTCTTAGAACCATGCCTTTGATAGAGTATATGCTTCATAAGTATTTGTCATCATCACTGCTATTATTGTCCTGTTATTATGGGATAATGACTCCCTAATCTATATCTACAGCTCAGACTTCTATTTTGAGTTCTAAACCCATTTAACTAACTGCTTGTTTAACATCTGTGCTTGGATGTCACACTGGCACCTTTACTTCAACATGTCCCAAACATAACTCATCATCCCTTTTCTACCCTCCTATCACCTCACCCTAACCTGCTATTTTTCTTCTATCACTTTATTCTTGTTAAAAGCATCACTGTCCACTCAATCACTTAACTGAGAAAGCTGGGAGTTGAGTTTTATGTCAGAAAAAAATGACATGAAACTTCCAACTTTAAAGCTAAGATGAGACTGAGTTGGGACTTGAGTTTAGCTATGTGGGTGATTTGAACATTTTTCCTCTCTTACCTTTCCTTATCTTCCTTCACTCTTGTCAGATCGATCTCTCTCTCTCTCTTAAACTTGGTGTGCCCATTTCTAACTCTTCACCTTTGATCATATAATTCTTCTCATCTGAAATGTGCTCCTTGTTATTTTTCCAAATGTCACTCATCATTCAAGGGCTAAAATACTTATGAAGACTTCCTGTCTTTTCTAGTCAACAAAATAAGGTATATTTGAAACTGATAATTTATATTTTAAAATTGAATGTCATTATTATATATTTCATACTTTATAATGCTTTCTGTCCTGAGTCTATAAGTTGTACTGAGCAGGGCGTGTTCTTCTTGTGAATTCCCTGTAGTGCCTTGCACAGGTCTCTTTTTGCCTTCAATCATTCTTCCTGTGGCTCTTCTGCCCCCACTAATCATGGGCCACAGATTAAACCTTAACTATCTGCTTTTGTCTCTCTTCTTTCTTTCTTGGAGATTTTACATGTATTTCTTAGAGATAAATTTTTGTTTGTTTGTTTGTTTGTTTTTTAGAGACGGAGTCTCACTCTGTTGCCCAGGCTGGAGTACAGTGGCATGATCTCAGCTCACTGTAACCTCCACCTCCTGAGTTCAAGCAATTCTCCTGCCTCAGCCTCCTGAGTAGCTGAGACTACAGGCACGTGCCACCATGCCCGGCTAATTTTTGTAATTTTAGTAGAGACGGGGTTTCACCATGTTGGTCAGGCTGGTCTCGAACTCCTGACCTCAGGCGATCCATCTGCCTTGGCCTCCCAAAGTGGTGGGATTACAGATGTGAGCCACCATGCCCAGCCCAGAGATAAAAATTGTTATATCTGTGACTTTCTAAATTTTCATTTCATCCCTAAACTTTCTCTTGAGCTCCAGTGTCACATCTAAAATTTTCTGGTAGTCATTTTCAAATGACTCCAAGCCTCACACTGACTCCAAGCTTCATTTTCACTAGAATGTCTCACACTGACTCCGCGCTTAATCTTATATCAAAGCTTATTACCAACTTATTATCTTCCTCGCCTTATTATCTCACCTCGCCTTCACATTTTCTTATGGCACCACTTCTCTGTTACCTAGCAAGGAGGTAAAACTTGCAGTCATCTCTGACTACCTTCATCACACATCACACAGCCATTCAACATTATTGTTTCTTTACAGTGTATTTTATACCCCATCCTTTCCAAGTGCACCACTACAGTAACAACAGCAATAACAACAGTATAACAGTTAACGTGCACATGTTTACTCTGGCCAGGTACTGGGCTAAGTGCTTTGTACATGTAACTCATTTCAACTTCACAGTATTCTTTTAAGGCAGGTACTTTTAGTTTTTTCTTTTCATAGAAGAGAAAACTAAGGCTCAGAGTGGCACAGTTAAAATCACACGTAGACGAATTTGGACCTAGATTCTGTACCTAACCACAGTGCTACTCTTCATGCCTAAATTTCCTTTTGTTTTTTTTGAAGGCCATATCAGTTATTTTTATTTGAGTAGCAAAGTTCTGTTTATCATCTTTATTTTTATTTTATTATATATATATATATATTTTTTATTGGGACATGGATGAAGCTGGAAACCATCATTCTCAGCAAACTATCGCAAGGACAAAAAGCCTAAATTTCTATAATTGCTTCCTAACTGGTATGCCTGCCATTGCTTGCTCCTCCACCAATCCGGAATTCCTACACACCATTTCCAGAATAATCATTCCCAAATGGGTTATCATTATTTCTTTTTTTAAAATCTCCAAATCCTTTCGTATCTTCCTTTCATCCACTAAATTAAATCCAGCACAGCCTGAACATCTAAAGGCCTCTACAGACTGAACTTCCCCACTCTATCTCCTGGAAGTACCTGCCTGTTTCCATGAATGGCTTAAAGCATGATGCCCTACTTGGCCACACCAGGATTTCACTTCATGTTTGCTCCCATCATCCCACTCACTTCTGACCATGTCGAAAGTTCCTAGAGGGAAAAGGAAGGGCATGCCTGTTTGCATTCCCAACAGTGCCTTCCACCTGGTGCACACTGAGCGAATATTCGCCAAGTGATTGATATTAGGGGCTCAATTACCACTTTGAGGATTGAGCTGTTTAATTACTCCTTAACACTCTCTTGTTTCTATCCTTCCAACTAGCCCTCTCATTTTCCTCTTTCTTGGCATAACTGCCCCGTAACAAATGTGAAAATCCTCTCTTTTGCAACATCAAACATCCTGCGACAATCTTCTTTACCTACCCATCACTACTTCATCAGCCTTTTCCTAGATGTATAAACAAATATACATTTTATATTCCTGTCAATCTTTCTTCATTGTTTGGTCTTTATCATTAGACTAAAAGCTACTAAAAAAATTTCTGGTGATGACCACTATGTAAAGATGACAACAATCAAAAGGATAACGTTTTCTGTTCGTTCTTGAGGTTAAATATTTTATGTGAGTTACAAACTTTCAGGCCACGTTCAGCATAATGTAGGCCAACAGGGAAAATTCAAGATTTGGAGGAAGAGTGACCTGTGTTCCAACCCTGCCTCCACCACTCACAAGCTGCGCAATGTTAAACATACCAGTTAACTTGTCTGATCCTGTTTCCTCACCTGTTAAATGGGAATAATAATAATACCTATCATATAGAAACTGTAGTGAATGTCATTTAAAACCCCATATTTGTAGCACTCAACACACAGAAGATTATGGTAGACAAGATATGGCCAACCTGTAAATATGTCAACACCCTTATCCCCAGAACCTGTGAATATGATATGTTACATGGTGAAAAAGATTTTTCAGATATAATTGAAGTTGCTAATTAGCAGACCTTAAAATAGGAGATAATCCTGGATTATGTCAGTGGGCCCAATGTAAGCACAAAACAAAGCAGAAGAGGAAGGCAGAACAGTCAACCAGAGAGAGATGCAAAGGGAGAAGAGACAGGAGTTGGCCAGCTGAGTTCCCCCTCATCAAACAGGCCCTTGCTGGCTTTGAAGTCAGAGGAATGGGGCCATGCACTAAGGAATGTGGGTTGTCTCTAGAAGTTAGGAATGATAGCCACCAAAGAAATTAGGACTTCAGTTTTGTAACATCAAGGAAGTGAATTAGGCCAACAATCTGAGTAAGTGAGGAAGTAGATTCTCTGCTAGAGCCTCCAGAAGGGAAGGCAGTCCTGCTGAAACCTTGATTTTAGCACAGTGATCCCTGTGTCAGACTTCAGAACTACAGAACTATAACGATAATAAATTTGTGTTGTTTTAAATTGATAAGGTTGTGAGAATTTGTTATGGCAGCAATAGAAAACTAATATAAAGATAGTCAATAATTGATAACACGTGCTATTGTTTATTTAGGGTGATCACAGAAATCTTAGCAATTAGATATAAATATTGTCTATTATAAGATTATTGATACCTTACTAATCTGATACTATTGAAAATCAGGGGAAGCTGGAGGTCTGGAACATACCAAAGGACTGGGATCCAGAGGTGGTAGTGTCTGTCTCTGTGTCTTTACAATCAGGTTGCCCAGATTGCACATGCCAGTCAATAAGTCTTTATAGAATCAAGTGCCTGGTGATTTCTTGGACTTTATGAGTACTACGTGTATCATATTTTACTGGTGAGAAAATTGAGCAGGTAGGTAGCACCATGGGCTGGGAAGAGGTAGGAGTTGCTCTTTTTTTTTCACCTACAAAATAGTAATAGCTATAGTATATACCTAAGCCATTAAACTGTGCAACATGAGCAAGTTACGAAGTAGAGGTTATTATTTGTGCATTTTAAAGATTTTATCAGGCAGAAACCTAGTTCTGCTCCTAGAATGTCATTTTGGCCTTGAATTATTTTATAATTTGTCCATCAAATGATGCGTCCGTGTGTGTGTATGTATGTGTGTGTTTTCATGCTGCATATATATGCAAACATGCAGAAAATGCCTCACTTTTGACTTTCTAACTTGGTAATATTTTGAGATATGCTTCATAGAACAGGGCCACTTCTGACTTCAGTCTTCTTCCATGGAGTGATTTCACTAGGGACACCTGTAATTCCTTCTGAAAAAATATTTGTTTCTAGTGGCCTCCATCATATTTAAATATATTTTACTGTTGTATATCTTAGCATTCTATCTGTAGAAAACCCAGTAAGATTCACGTCAATTAGAAATAATGCTAGGTGCCCCAATATATCACATCTAGTGGTTGGTTTTCTACCAAACTAAAATTATTAGCCAAATCGTATGAATTATATCTTCTATTTATTGATTGTTCACCATATCCCAGTGCATTATACGGTCTTATTTAATTTTTCATGACAGCCCAGTGCCAGTTGGTACTATTATTAATCCCATTTTATAGATGGGGACTGTGAGGCTTAGAGGCAAAGTGCATGTTTACACAGCTAGTAATTCGTGAGCAGGGCCAGGATTTGAACTCAGGTCTGTGTGAGTTCCCACACCCAAGTCGTCCTGGTAAATAAACAAATCCTATGATCTCACTCCCTTTACATGAACTCTCTTGCCCACACTGAAGGGTTTTACAGTGAATAATAAGATAAGTGGACCTGGAAAAAGTTTATATTTTATTTTTTAATTGATAAGCCACATGAATTGTCCCTACATGCTCAGTAGGTAATTGTTTATTTTCAAATATCTTTCAGATGCTTTTTGGATAAGCTCTAGCCCGGTGCTTCTCAAATTTTAGTATAAAAATGAATCACTGGGGATCTTCATAAAATGCAGATTCTTATTCAGTCGGTCTGGGGAAGGATTTGAGATTCTACATTTATAGATAGCTCCCAGGGGATGGTGGCAATCCTGGTGTGGGGACTACACTTGGAGTAGCAAGGCTCTAGCTCACTACATCCTAGCCTTTTCCCTATCCTTGTGATATTCTCACTCAAATGTGGAGGTTTTTCAGATCATCCTTCTGGGCTGTAGTAAACATGTTTGCATTGCTCTATTTTCTCAGATCCTAAAATAAATTAGGGTGGGATTAATGAAAATTAGGCAATAAGGCTAAAGAATGGGGGAAGGTAAGAATATCCGTCTGCAAACCTTTCCTTCTTCTTGTACTCTGCTCTAAAAACCACCTGCCTTATCTTTTCTATTTTCTTTGTTTTAATTTTTCGGAAAGAGTGTGACTGTATGTGCATGTTTGTGTGTGTGTGCATGTGTGTGTATTTGCACATGCATTTGGGGGGCTGATTCTGAGACTGAGTATACTAAACCAGAGCCATAGTCACTGGATTCTGCTAGCTTCCATTCCCCAAAACTACTATGGTGCAGAACAGACTGGGATTTCTAGATGCCTTGCTGTTGGTGGTGTGAGCCAGATCAGACACATAAATGTGAGCAGCTAAATTTTTGTCATGTTTAATTCTGCCTTCCATCTGAATACGCTAGCTATAGACACATATAATGTTTTCTTAGCTAGCAAGATAGGATTGTGTGTGTGAGTGTGTGTGTGTTAGGGGGAGGTGGTGGTCAAGAAGGTAAGTCACAAAGATATGACAGCAGCATATAATATAAACACGTATACATACATATGGAATGGAAGTAGAGGGCTGTGATCTTGGTAAACTTGACTTTAGTTACCTCTCGATTTCTTGGGAAGATCTCCACAGAACTTCAGAAAATGTATTTCGTATCAGCAAACAGTACTGGGTTGTGGTTTTGCCACTGTTGTTAGCTAGTAGTCTGTTTTAGGCAGGTCATTTCTACTCTCTAGACTTCAATTTCTCTATAGGTGAAATGAGAGGATTGACCCCTCCAAGATCCCCGCTTGTTTCTTATCGTTATTTTTTCTTTCCTTTTGCTAAGGCAAAAACCTGGGGCAATTGCATTGGCCACCACCATCCAAGGGCCAACTCCAGAATTGGTGACAGAAAACCAAACCTAAGAAACTTGCAAAGTTCCCTTCACCCAGCAAATTGCAATTTTTCTTAGCCCCTATCAGCTTTTATAATTTCTTTAAATCATCTGTGCTCACTCAGTTGAGCATGATGTACATGTTTGTTTATAAGACCACAGTTGAGTCATTCAGGAATCATTCCTTGCTGGCAGTATGGCTCTGCTGGTCTCACTGGACAAAGTTTGAGGGGCCCATCAACAGAAGAAAAGCTTCGTGAGTTTTAGAAAGGATGACACTGTGGATATGTCAGCTACTAGGCTCTGGACATGATGGCTGGCCTTAGCTTATCCCTCATCTGTGGGATGAGGAATAACTTCTGCCTAGAATGAGGCTTTATTTCTGTCTATAGGCTGCAAACTTTGTCATACCTTTCCCTGCAAACCTGGCAAATGACTGGGCCAGATTAGGCCAGTGGCACCTTGTGGCACAGAGTACTTTGGGGAGAGAGATTCTGCGCCTTATATTCTTCATCAGTTAGCAGGAGGCATCTGAACAGCTTAGTATACTAAGGTGAAAACAGGAACCTTTGGCAGAAGTAAAGCAGGCAGAAATGCTTCAATCTACCACCTTCAGTGATGGAGCCATGGCAAAAAATAAATTAGAATATTCGAAAACAGGCTACAGGAAAGCATCATGACACATTTGAAATATCCATTCAATAACTAAGCACCTGAATGGCTTGCAGATTGGAATTTAATATTGTAAGGAGAGAAATGAGACAGCAACACTGAGAATGTACTCCAAGGTTCCCAATTCCCTGGTACTATGGAATTCTATCATTGTTTACACAGTGTTTGCAAGTCAAATACAGGCAATTTTAAGATGCTTCACATATGAGTTGATTTCTGGATTAATTCCATTCCCAGTCAAAGCAAACACCTGGATAGTTTTCTTTCTGTTTGTTTCAAAACATCTTCGGTTCTCTCATATTCCTCTCATCTTCCTCCCTTCTGCATCTCTAATTTCCTGGCCTAGTCTTCTCTAAGTACTGTGGTTCTGCGTGCCATTCCGGTTTTAGTTGTTAGCTATAGAAAGAACAGAATCTTAGGATTATAGCTCTTGTGGCTGGGAAGGATGGCAGATATCTGGTTCAGGTCTCCATGTTGAGATGTACACTGAAGCCAGGTGAATTAGTATCAGTGAAGCCGGGGGCTACATTGGTTCTGAATCCCTGAACCTGCTCACATGCTTATCCCCTGGGTAACCATCAGGACTTACCTCAACAGCCAGATACTCACATCACCAAGAACAGAGCAAAACCTACACTGTAGGCTTCATTCGTGCTGATATTTTGAGTTTTTCCCCAATTATGATGCTGCCAGTTCTTTCCTACCTGTCTGCAACCCGGTCTTTAGTATATCTATTTGAAAGTGTAATTTTAACCTAAGAAAATACTTACTATGGTTGCTTTAAAAAGTAACAGAATGGGCACCTTTTCAGATCCTACTTGAGTAATCCTCATTCTGCTCTCTCTCAGCAGTGAACATTAGAAAGAATTGCCTGATGCAACATAAACAGTTTCACTTAATGCAGAATCCGTTTCTCTTATTTGCTGAGTTGGAAAGAGGCAATTCATTGCATTTTGGTAACATAGTAATAAATAGAAAGTTTAACAGACGAACCTGGGTGCTTTGGAAGCACAAATTCACCTCCTGCTCCCCTCTGTTACAAAAGCAGAGCCAAGATTGTATGGGGTTGATTGAGGTCCTTGAAAAACTACATACACACACACACACACACACACACACACACACACACACACACACAGATTTTCTCTCTCTCCCTATGTATATTGTGAAAGTTTATGAAAACAGCATCTTCCAGGGACCAAAATGTGGATTTTAGGTGACATTCAATTCTTCCTTCGACCTCACAGAGAGAGCTTCAGAGACTCCTTGACCCTGTGGGTTTCTTTTATCCCAGACTATATATTTGCTTTGAAACGAACTTCGTACTATGTAAATATATTAACATGCCTTTTGATTTAGAATAAGCAGATTTTAAAGACATGATGAAAGGTACCATGTGACATCATTTATATCTCAGTTTTTAAAGAGTTTATGGGAAAGGAGACATAATATAAATCATCAATAAAACATCAAAAAACCTATGACACCAACAATAGACAATTATGAATGCTGATATATAAATCTGTCATTCTTGTTAAATGCCATGAAGATAAATATATGGCAATAGAAAAGTGGGTCTGGGTGTGCCATGTCAATGTTGTAATCATTTCACATTTGAAGCCAAGGGTTAACATGCACAATCTCTAAAAAGAGCATTATCAATTAGTCTATGTCTCTCCTACTCTTATAATAAACTCGGGTAAAGTTCAGAGGTTCTATCTTTCAGGCTGGTTTCCCCGCTTCAGGCTTTTCCTGAGGGAGTAATAACCTTGCTAAACACTTAACCATCACCAGGTACATGACTGCGATCCAAAGAGCCCAGGTTGTAATAGGGAAAAAGCCCTTCTAGTCTCATTCTAAGAGACCATGGAGAAAGATCAGCATCTGTGAATTCAGCTCAGTACCTGCATATGTGGGACATGATCATGACCATTTGTCCGAGTCGATGTGTGTCTAGGGAGGGAGGGAGGTGTCCACTTTGAAGCAGAGATCTGACTGATGCCCCTCCATTTGCATTTCTTGGTTCCTTTAAGGAAGACAGGCAAACAAATCTGGCCATTTCTTAAGTTTGAAGGATACAAGACAAAGAAGGTAAATGGGGACCCTGGTTCCTGAACCTTCATGATCCGGCTCCTGGCTCTCTATTTCTGAAGGTGGCTTTTGACGAAGGGCAGGTATCCTTGGTCCGAGGGCCACACTAATCGATTTTAAGGAGGCCTGGGAGCAGGTTCCCCACGGATCTTAAAATCTACCCAAGAATGGAGCAAATCATTGTCCAGGGATAGGACAAAGCTGTGGTTCAGGAAAATATTCCCAGTGAAAGGATGTTTTTGGTCATCGCAGGCAGCACCTTGTCCTATCAACCCTGGAGCTTCTCCCCATTGCATTTCCTCTTCCAAAACAATCTGTTGCTGGCCTCCCTCTGCTCCCTACCACCCTGAGCCCACAGCCAGCCAGTCAATGCTTCTCCGCCTACAGCAGCCCAGCATCTTCATTCAACCCGCACTTCGCTGCCCCTTGCCCCTCAGCAGCACTCAGGCAGTGAAATGGACCGCACCGGCCGCCTGTAGACTTACCCTGAGCCAAGTGGTTTTTTCGGATAAAATCTGTGTCGTCTGGATGTCCACCGGCCAGGATGCGTGGTGCGGCGCCTTGCCGGACTCCTCTTTTGCGGCGCGAAACAGCAGCCGACTGGGACAGCCCGGGGCCTCTAGGCTGATGGGTGGGTGGGCGGATGAGCACAGGGAAAGGGGCGGGGTGTAAAGACGAGCGCAAGTACTGGCTCCTACCTTGGCTTCCCCTTTGGATGCTCAGTTATTGCCAAACTTGCCTGTAACAGATCGGCCCTCCTCACCTTTCACCTTCGCCAGTGCCCTGAAACTCTTTGCTCTACCAATGTCCCTACCCTGTTCTCCCAGCTCTCTAACCCAACCTGAGCCCCTTCAAGCGCACCCACTCCCTTCACGCAGCCAGTCACACACAATAAGAGCTAGGGAAGAAACTGACACGGGGAAACTGACAGGGGTAGCTGACACTGTAGTGTGAAGGAGAGGGAGAAGGAGGGAGGAAGGAAGGGATGGAGAGAGAGGGGAGAGAGAGAGAAAAAAAGAGAGAGAGCCGCATTCACACTCTTACACGCACACTCAAGCTCCAGCTGTTAGGTAGCGGCTGGCGGGAGCGCTGGCTACCCCTCCAAAACCCTTTTCTACACTAGAGGTTTCTGTCCCCTTCTGCTGCCGTTTCTGGAATATGCTATACAGAGAAGGGGAGAGAAAAGCAAAGAGGGGTGGGGAGGGGAAAATCAAGGAGGCACGCTCCCTTTATCCTCCCCACCCCTGTCTCCAAAAATGTCCAACCCTGAGCTCTTCCTTTTCCCTTCTTTCTGCGCCCGGCTTCCCTCTGCTCCTGTTCTTTATTCCTCCCTTTGGGGTGGCTGCGAGCTGCGGACAACCCGTCGTGGTTGTGATGTGGGGTGTGTGTGTGTGTGTGTGTGTGTGAGAGAGAGAGAGAGAGAGAGAGAGAGAGAGAGAGAAAGAGAGAGAGAGAGAGAGAGAGAGATTGAGACAACCGTGGTAGGCAAAAGCACCCCTCACCTCCCCCAGCCCCCGGGCCGAAGCCACTCTCAATCTCCTGGCGGCGGGGCGGGGCGGGGGAGGCGGGGAGGCGAGAGGGAAAGAGGGAGGACGGGGCAGGCGGCAGGGGCAGCAGCTCCTGCCTTCTTTGCAGCTCCGCGGCCAGGGGTGGAAGGAAGCCGCAGCCGCAGCCCCAAGTCAACCCCCGCTGCCCCGTCCCACCGTCTCATCTCTCCCCCCTCGGTACGGAATTTTCTGTCTCGTTTGTTTGCTTCCCCAGACCTCCCCCTCCCCTGGGTGGTGGCAGAGACGGGAGGGGAGGTGGGAGGCTAAGCGCGGGTGCGGGTAGAGGGGACAGGAGTCCCTCGGAGCATATGGCTAGCAGAGTCTCTCTTTGCCCCTTGGCCTGAATATCCCCTGCTTTGGGCAGTGACCTTTGCCCACCCCCGTCAGCCTGGGCTCTGGGCCGGTGGTGGCGAGGCTGCTCCGGCGACCATAGGTCATTCAGGAGGAAGGGGAGTTGAACCTGGGGGAGTAAGGGCGGCGGGCGGCTGGTAGGACAGGGAGACAGCGGAGCGCTGAGTCGCCAGGGACTGACCTGGGGTCCTATGGGGCAGGCTTGGATCCCTGATAGATCTAGATTAATCTAGTTGGAGCTACCTAATTCTCCCATCCGTGCCCCTCTCACCCATAGGGTCGATCTCCCAAGATCCAGCCTAGATTGATACAGGGAGGGAAAGTGATATTGTAGGATGGGGGCGGGGGGCTAGGTTGCTTAGTGGTATCTGTTGTGGAGGGAGAGGGGCGGTGTCACCGGACACTTGGGCCACTCTTTGATCTTTACGCCTTCCTTTCACATGAAGCACCTCTCCACTTCTTTCACCTTATAGCCTGGCGCTCAGAATGTCCACCCTCTTGAGCCCAACTGGAAGGGGCTAAATAGCCCCACCCCCACCACAAGCCTGAGACTTCTACCTGCAACCTGCAGGCGCATAGGTCCACTAGCTGGCAGCATTTCATGGCCTGGCCGCACAGCCCCAAATATTGGCTTTGTCTTTTATCTCCCTTCCTAGCGCTCTCAGGAAAGGGGCATGTGAGTCTCTGCCTTTCTGGACGCCGGGCTGGTACCTGAAAACCTTTCCCTACCCATTCTCAGAACAATCCCTAGCTCTGAGAAAACTCCACTGTACTTCCTGTTGCTCTTTAACCCCCTCTGCACGCCCTGGGAGCCTAAGTGTAAGCTCCCGAAAATGCCAGAATCATCTCCCTTGCCTAAATGGCCGAGTGTTTTCATTGCGGAGCCTGTGAAGCTGGTAGTAGCTATGTTTAGTGGAAGCCCTAAGCACTCTCCTCCTAGCCTACCTTGGAAAAGTCGCTCGGGGCACCAAGCAAGACAAATTTTCCCCTTGTCGTTAGTCCTCCTAGTCCCGAGGCAGTCCAATATTCTGGAGAGTATTTAGCTTTTGTATGGGAGCAAGGTATTGGAGAAAAGAAAATTATTACCCTGGGGGATGAAGAGTTTGTGTCTGGGGGGAAGGGAGTTGGGGAGGAAGAAGTGAGGGTGGAGCTTCCACCTCTTAACAACTTAAATACTTCAGGAAGTGTTTCTAAAGATTGGCCAAGAGGGTCGCTGAAAAAAAAAAATCACTTGATTCTTTGCCTTTCATTCAAAGGCAGTTTTACTGTGAACCAGCAAACTAATATACAGTCTCCCAAACAAGGGAGGTCTATGTTGTGATTAAGCCGTCTTCCCTTTGGCATGAGGGTGAGTAGAATATGTGACCGTGGATAAAACTTTGGGGGCATTTCCCTTTTTTTAGCCAAACTGCAGTCCAGCTGAGACTTCCACTCCAAGCCCAGATGCAACCAGAAGCAGTGCTCAGGGAGAGCAAAAGCCTTATTCTTGTGAGCTGTTTCCTTCAAAGGCCCTATATCCAATGCACTTGTCTTTAACATATGAGGACTGTGTGTGCTTCTGAAATTTGGAGCTTTCCCAGTGGACTGTGGATAAGGTTAAAATTTCTTTCTCTGCTCCTGCCCTATCCTGTTTCTGCCCTATCCTTCTAACCTCTTCAGATCAAGGATATATAAAGAAAAATCCTTTCAAAAGTTAAAAGCACCATACAAATGCCAGGCATTACTATACGAATTCCAAAACAAACTTAGCAGAGTATCTCCTAGTGCAATTAGAAAGCTGACTTAGGCAGGGACCCAAGCTTTGTCTAGGTTGCTTGTCAGCCTTGGGGCTGGGTGGCTCATCTTCTCTGTCAATAGGGACATATTCTGGTTTTCCACTTGGTGGCTGAGTGTGTATGTCTCCCAGGGTAGTTTGCACCTAGAGGCTACATCTGCAAAAGTGGCTCAAAGCCAAAAATGGAAGCCACTATCTGACTAATTTAAGCCCAGAACTACCTAGCTTCTAGACTAGGTTTACTTACATGGCCTGGCCTATTCAAATACCATGACAGGTATGACTGTTAAAATGTAATTGAGACATACTCTTTTCTCCTCTCTTCTTACAGCCTTGACCATAGTGGTAAATGGTATATGTAGACCAGAGTTTAATGTAACATCGTAGGTGAAGAGAAACTGTTATGAGGAATCCAGAGAGTGGGGTTTTCCCAGTCATTAAGCAGGGTTTCTCAACCTCGATGCTATTGATATTTTAGGCCAGATGATTCCTTTTGTTGGGGGGCTGCCCTGTGCATTGTAGAATGTTTAGCAGCATCCTTGGCCTCTGTCTGTTAGATTCCAGTAGGAACCCACACCCCATTTGTGACAACCAAAAATGCGTCCAGGCATGGCCAAATGTCCACTGGGGAGCAAAATTATCCCCTCACCATATAGAATGAGTGCCATTTAAGGTAATGTCACATTTCAAAGACCATATTTTAACCTTAATTCTACCCACATGGCATGTCCAGACTTTGCATTGAACAGAGTCTCAGAAAATAATGAATATTTTGTGAGGAAACGACATAAAAAGGAACCCTCACAAATTAGCTAAGTTTTGACAAATGGTGGAATTCATTGTTATCAACAATGCCATCTTCTGGTTACCATCAAATTCTTGTCAAGCACACACTATGAGTAGGGTATTGATTATAGCAAAGATCTGTAAGACATAATCCCAGCCTTCAGTATGCTAAGAAACTATTGACCTTTCTTTCCCCAAGGGGAAAGGGTTACTGATTTTCATAGATAACCAATTTCTGGATTGAATCCAACCTGGCTTTTTCCCTCTTCTATTTCCTATTTGTCCCCAAACAGTGGCTTATTGTTTGAGGTTCTGCCTTATAGAGATTGCATTTTGTTTTGCTAATTAGCATAGTCCTACAACAATTTTTTGTGACTTCTCAGCGTGTGGCATTTGTGTCATAACACTGTATCCAGCATAAAAATGACTACAACATCACAAAGGCTGTAACAAATTGAGCAATTTGAAAGCAGGTTTTTGTTTTCAAGGAAAGTTTCTAACTACTTGCATGCTAGAGAAATACTCAACAATGGCAAAAGCAAAAGAAATGGAATGTAAAAAGAGGTGATTCTTAAAATACTGTGGAGTGTTGAAAAAATATCTCAGTGTGATTATGGGTTTTAACACTCAGCACTATCTCTACCTCAGGAAGTCAAACAACACTAATGCAAGTTGTAGGATCTTGATCAGGAATTCAGCAAAGGAAAATGCAGGAGAAAGCATGGAATATCTGTTCAAATCAGTTGAGTAAGCTCCTGCCTTAGAAAATAAGTTTCCGGTGAGCCAGGCAGGACTGCATCAGTGTTACTTGCTTTGGATAATTCTTAGCCCAATACCACGTATATATATAGCAACATGTCACTTATAAAGACTAATGCAGGAACCAACAATTAGCACATTCAAACTTTACACATTCATACATTATGATGCTATTGCCAAGACTAATTATTTATTTAAATAAAAGTTTTGCCTGAATTGGGACGACGAATGACTGTAATTGAAAAATATGTTTCATTTTTCAAGAGAACATTTAAACTGTTATATCAGAATGGGATCCCTGTAATCAAGGGATAAAGCCTTACATTAATTAATGATTAATCTTAATAAAAGATGTGTAAACAGAGCTTCACTTCATGGATTAGCTAAGGACTTTGCTGTCCTCACCATTAATAGCAATGCAAATGGGGCCAGCTCTGAGCAAATTTGTAAAGTGTAATTGCAGAATCATAGGACATTGCAGAATATTGGACCATTGAGAAGCACCTTGCCTGAGGTTAGAGGATAGTGACAGAGAAGGCTCCAATTGTGTCTTGCTGGTCTGTGACTGACTCTGTGGGACCTCAGGAAGAGTAGGTTTAGTCTTTACTTTGCCTGCCCCCTCCCCAGCTTATTAAAAACTATCCCTCATGGAATGATATAATCTGTCCTAATCACTATACTAATGTGTTCCCTCTCCCAGGAGTAGATTGGTCTTCAGCTTTTTTTTTTTTTTTTTTCCAATTGTGGGGAAAAGGGCTCTATCTCTTTAATGAAAAGAGTTCAAGCATGAGGGAACATGTATGTCCTTGGGATGAGGACTTCCTGAAGCTCCTAAAAATCACCCCAACTGCAGATCATGTTTTATAAAATCTATGGAGGCTGGGAGTAGGGCCAAGAAATTTCAGCATTTCTCTCCGGAAAGTTTGTCATTGTGAAGGAGTAGTTGGTGAGCCATGCTTTATTCTTGATCAAAGACACAAGTCCTTATGGACAGAGTAATGAGAGGCGAGCTATGGGAGGTTCCTACAGAGTAGGTGGTGGTAAAGGGTGTAGGCTTTGGAGTCAGACCTGGGTTTGAATTCCAGATTCATGTTTCTTAGCTATGGAAATTAGGTTACATGGACTTTGGTTTGCTTATCTGTAAGCTGGGGACAATGACTCACAGTGTCGTTTAGTGGATTTAATTGGATAATGCATAAGCCTAGCACAGAGCCTAATATATAGCAGTAGCTCACTAACTGCTAATTTCCTTTCTTCTCCCTTTCTGCCTTTTTGTATTGAAGTGACTCATAACATAAAATTAATCATCTTAAACTATACAATTTAGTGACATTCAGTATATTCACAATGTTGTGCAACCTTCACCTCTATCTAGTTCCAAAACATTTTCTTTTTTTTTTTTGCCTTTTTTTTCCTTTTTGTGGAGAACAGGGCCTCGCTATATTGTCCAGGCACGTCTCAAACTCCTGGGCTCAAGCTATCCTCCCACCTCTGCCTCCCTAAGAACTGGGATTATAGGCATGAGACACCGCGCCTGGCTCCAAAACATTTTCATCATACCAAAAGAAGATCCTGTATCCCTGAATCAATCACTCCCCCATTTCCGCCCCCCTCCAGCTGTTGACAACTAATTTGCTTTGTGTTTCTATGGATTCAGCTATTCTGGATATCTCATAAAAAAATGGAGTCATACAATGTCTACCCTTTTGGGTCTGGCTTCTTTTTTACTTAATATAATGTTTTGAAGGTCCATCTGTGTTGTAGCATATAATCAGTACTTAATTTCTTTTTGCAACCTACTGATGTTCCATTGTATAGATATAATATATTTCACTTAGTTCATTCATCAGATGTTGGACATTTCGCTTGTTTCCACCTTTTCTATTATGAATAATGCTGCTACAAACATTAGTGTACAAGTATTCGTTTTAATACATGTTCTCAAATCTTTTGGAGACCTACCTAAGAGAGGAATTGCTGGATTATGTGGTAATTCTATATTTAACTATTTGAGGAACCACCAAATTGTTTTCCATAGTGGTTGTACCATTTTACATTTCTATCAATAATGTACAAGGGTTCCAGTTTCTCCACATCCTCACCAACACTGGTTATTTTCCATTTTGTTGATTACAGCCATCCTAGCATGTGTGAAGTGGTATCTCATTGCGGATTTGGTTTGCATTTCCTCAGTGACAAAAGTGATGATGAACATCTTTTCACATGCTTATGCACCTATCATATATCTTTTTTGGAGAAATGTCTGTTCAAGTCCTTTGCCCACTTTTGAAACTGGGTTGACTGTCCTTTTGTTGTTGAGTTATAAATGTTCTTTAAATGTTCCATAAACTAGTCCCTTATCCAATATATCTAAATATTGCAAATATTTTATCTCATTCTCTAGGTTGTCTTTTTATTTTTATGATAGTGTCCTCTGATGTACAAAAGTATTAAAGCTTATTGAAGCCCAATTTATCTGTTTTTCTTTTTTTTATTTTTCTTTTTTTATTATTATTATACTTTAAGTTTTAAGGTACATGTGCACAATGTGCAGGTTAGTTACATATGTATACATGTGCCATGCTGCGGTGCTGCACCCATTAACTCGTAATTTAGCATTAGGTATATCTCCTAATGCTATCCCTCCCCCCTGGAATCTGTTTTTCTTTTGTTACTTATGCTTTCAGTGTTATATTTAAGAAACCATAGCACAATCTAAGGTCATAAAGATTTACTCTTGTGTTTTCTTTTAAGTTTTATGGTTTTAGCTCTTATATTTAGGTCTTTAAACCACTTCGAGTTAATTTTTGTTTATGGTGTGAGATGGGGTCTAACTTCATTCTTTGGTGTGTGAATATCTAGTTGTCCCAGTATCACTTGTTGAAGAGACCATTCTTTCCTGATCGAATGATACTGGCACCTTGTAAAAAATCAATTGGCCATAGACATATGGGCTTATTTTTGAACCTTCAATTCTATTCTACTGTTCTATAGATCCACCTTTATGCCATACCACACCGTTTTTATTACTATTATCTTTGAATTAAGTTTTGAAAATGGGAAGTGTGAGTCCTCCAACATTGGTCTTCTTTTTCAAGACTGTTAAGATTGTTTTGGCTGTTCAGGGTTCCTTAAATCCAAATGCAGATCAGCATTTCCATTTCTTCAAAAAAATCCTTTAGGCTTTCAATAGTGAGTACATTGAATCTGTTGATAGTTTTGGGAAATATTTCCATCTCAACAATGTTGTATTCTAATCCATGACACAATGATGTCTTTCCATTTATTTAGTTCTTCCTTAATTACTTTCAGCAGTGTTTTGTAGTTTTCAGTGTGGAAGTCTTGCACCTTCTTGATTAAATTTATTCCCAAATATCTTATTCTTTTTGATACTATTGATTACTAAATTGTTTTCTGAAATTCATTTTTTGATTTTCCATTACTAGTTTACAGAAACAAATGATCGTGTACTCTGCAACTTTGCCAAATTTTTTCATTAGTTCTAATAGTTGTTTTATGGATTCTTTAGGATTTCTTATATATAAGACCATATATATATATAAGATCTTATATATAAGATCTGTGAATAGAGGTAGTTTTACTTCTTCCTAATTTAGATGCCATTTATTATTTCTTGTCTAATTGCTCTTGATAGAACTTCCAGTACCATGTTAAATAGGAGGAAAAATGTGGATAACCTTGTCTTGTTCCTGATCTTAGGGGAAAAGATTTAAATTTTTCACTACTGACTATGATGTTAACTGTGGGTTTTTAATAAACATCCTTTATCAGGTTGAAGGAGTTGCTTTCGGTTCATACTTTGTTGAGTGGTTTAATCATAAAAGGGTGTTGAGTTTTGTCAGATCTTTTTTTTCCTCATTGAGATGTTCATATGGTTTTTTCCTTCATTCTATTAATTTGTATATCACATTGATATTAATAGATTTTTAAAGATGTTTAATCAACCATACATTCCTGGGATTAATCCCACTTAGTCATGGTGTATAATCTTTTTAATGTGTGACTAGATTTGGTTTACTAGTATTTTTTTGGGGATTTTTGTACCTGTATAAATAAGTAATATTGGTCTGTAGTTTTGTTTCTTGTGCTATCTTGGTCTGGCTTTGGTATCAGAGTAATGGTGGCCTTGTAGGAGGAGTTAGGAAGTATCCTCTCCTATTAAAATTTTTTTAGAAGATTTAGACAAGAATTGCTGTTAATTATTCTTTAAATATCTGATAGAATTCACCAATGAAGTTATTTGGTTCTGGGCTTCTTAAGGGGGCAAGGGGTGGACTGATCAGTCATTCAATCACCTTACTTGTTATAGATATTTTCAGAATTTCTATTTCTTCTTGTGTCAATTTTAATAGTTTGTGTGTTTTTAGTAATTTTTCCATTTCATCAAGGTTATCTAATTTCTTGTTGTATAATTGTTCATTGTTTTCTCTTATGATTATTTTTATTTCTTTAATATTGGCAGTAATGTCCCCACTTTCATTTCTGATTTTATAATTTGAATCTTTCCTTCTTTTTCTGTCAGTCTAGCTAAATGTTCTTAATATTGTTAATCTTTTCAAAGAATTAACTTTTACTTTTGTTAATATTCTGTAATGTTTTTCTAATATCTGTTTTATTTATCTCTTGTCTCATAATTACTACTTTCTACCTACAGCTAGCTGTGGGTTTAATTTGTTCTATTACTAGTTCCTTAAATGTAAGTTAGGTTATTAATTTAGGTGTTCTTTTTAATGTATGCATGTATAATATAAATATCAGTTGGAATATTGCTTTCACTGTATCACATAAGTTTGGTAGATTGAATTTTCATCTTCATTCTTCTCAAAGTGTTTTTAAATTTTTCTTGTGATTTCTTCTTTGATACGTTTGTCGTTTAAGGGTTTGTTGTTTAATGTCCACATATTTGTGAAATTTTGTTTTTCTTCTGTTATTGATTTCTGTTTCTAGCTTTACTTCATCATGGTCAGATAGGATACTTTGTATTATTTCAGTCTTTGTAAATTGAGGACTTGTTTTGTGACCTAACATACAGTCTATTCTGGAGCATGTTCCACGTGCACTTAAAAATAATGTTTATTCTGCTGTTTTGGGGTGACATGTTCTATCTGTTACATCTAGTTGGCTTATAGCTTTCTCCGAGTCTTCTATTTTCTTAATGATTTTCTGTCTTCATCTATCTATTATTGAAAGTGGGGTATCGAAGTATCCAACTTTTATTGTAGAACTGCATATTTCTCCCTTTAATCCTTGCTTTGTATATTTGGGTTTTCTGTTGTTTGGTGCCTGTATGTTTATAATTGCTGTTTTCTTGATTAATTGACCCTTTTACCAATATATAACATCTTTCTTTGTCTCTTGTAATAATTTTTGACTTACAGTTAATTTTGTAAGATATTATTATAGGTATCCTAAGCCTTTTTTGTTAGCTATTTGCATGCAATATCTTTTTTGTCCTTTCACTTTCGTTTCTTTGGATCTAAAGTCTACTCCTTTTAGATAGCGTATAGTTGAATCTTGCTTTTAAAGTCTGTTCTGCCTATCTCTGCCTTTTAATTGGACAGTTTAATCAATTTATGTTTAAAGTAATTACTGTAAGAAATAACTTACTTCTGCCATGTTGCTGTCTTTGTCTATATGTAAAATATTTTTTGTTCTTCAATTTCTCATTTGCTTGCTTTTGGGTTTGATTGATTTTCTCTTCTGCTTTGGGATTCTGCTTTGTAAAGGACCAATATGGGAAAGCTGTAAATCTATTCTTGCTCATATATTCATGCAATAACTATGAAATAGAAAACCCTCACTTCTATATGTACTTCCTCATTTTTTCTCAGAGACATGCAAATCTGCCTCTCACTCCCATATCTATTCACTTAAATGTTAAACCATCAGTTCAAACTCACTGGTTCTTGAAATTGATTGCATCTCATCAGTGGTTCTGAAATTGATTACATCTCATCAGATGATATGATTTGGTTTTGTGTCCCTACCCAGATCTCATCTTGTAGCTCCCATAAGTCCCACGTGTTGTGGGAGGGACCTGGTGGGAGATGATTCAGTCATGGGGGTGGGTTTTTCCTGTATTGTTCTCATGATAGTGAATGGGTCTCATGAGATCTGATGGTTTTAAGAATGGGAGTTTCTCTGCACAAGCTCTCTCTTTGCCTACTGCCATCCACATAAGATGTGACTTGCTCTTCCTTACATTCTGCCATGATTGTGAGGCCTCCCCAGCCAGGTGGAACTGTAAGTCCAATTAAACCTCTAAATTGCCCAGTCTCAGGTATGTCTTTATCAGCAGCGTGAAAATGGACTAATACACCAGAAAATTCATTTCACTTTAGTAAGTGAAATATAACTAGGAGTTCTATTATCCCAGTCCTCAAGGCTTAAGGTTATCTTGGCCTCCTCCCTCTCCCTTAGTCAGTCCCCCACTCCCATACAGCCACTAAGTGCAATTGCCAGTTCCTCTCTGTCACTTGGATTAAATTTATTCTATTCATTTCCACTACTACTCCTATATTCATTGCTCCACACCTGGATAATTGCAGAAGACTTCTGAATCATTTCTTTGCCTTGGGTTTTGGCACCTCCAATATATCCTGCTTGAGTAATCTTCTGAAAGTATCCTTTTAAATCAAGACACTTCCCTACTTAAGAACTCATAATAACTATTAATACATGGCCTATCAGTTCAAGTGATGGAACCTCCCAGCCCTCTCTAATCAGGTTCAAGTTTATGTAACCTTCTCCCCAACCACTGTTAAGGTATGTTGAACTTCTCATGTCATGTAAGAGTCCATCACTGACCAGCCAACATTCATTGTTTATGCTAATTAGAGTATCCCTCTTCCTTTGCCTCTTTAATCATCTTTCAAGAGAGTTTTCTTCCTTCCCCAAATATTTGTTGGATACCTCTTGTGTGCCAAGGCATATGCTAGATACTGTGGATATAGCTGTTATTGGTACCTGCTATCATAGACCTTATAATCTGTTGCAGAAGATAAACAATAAATTAGTAATTTAAATACTGTATGATAGTTGTTAAAATAGAGGAAGGATTTGATGACAGGATTTAGTCCAGAGACCTGGAAAAACTTTCCTACCAAAGTTATTATAAAGTGAAACATAAATAATGAGTAAAAGTTAGCCAGGTAGAGAGGATTTGGGATGATATTCCAGACAAAGGTAATAGCGTATGTGAGAACACCTAGGCAAAAGCACAATCTGTTCTAGGAAGTGAAATAAAAGAAATGCAGCTGCCACATAGATTCTACAGAGAAAGATTAACAGCAATAATAGTCAGGGGCTGTTATGCAATTATGTGTGGTCATGTGAGGGCTTGTTGCCATGCTAAGTTCATCCTAAGAACAATGAGAAGCCATTGAAGAAGGAGACTTATATGACTAGGAATTCATGTTAGAAGGATCACTCTAGCTATGAAGAATGGATTGGTGGGGAAGAAGAGTAGAAGCAGAGAGACTAGTTAGGAGTGTATTGAAATAATATCAGAAATAAGTAATGGTGACTTAGAATAAGCCAGTCACCACTGGGATGTAGAAAAGATGACAAGCTCATGAGATAATTAAGAAATACAATCAACAAAACTTAGTGATGGATCGAATATGGTGGGTAAGCCAGGGGGATGTGTCAAACATGGCTTCCAAGTTTCTGGCTTGAACAAGTAGGTAAATAGTGATACCATTTCACTGAAATGGGGAAACTGAAGGATATGTGTATCTTAGGGGGAGAATATGAGTTCAGTTTAGGATGTGGAGAGTATAAGATGTGAGACATCCAAGGGGAGATGTTAGAGAGTTGGTCGTATAAGTCTGGAATGCAGAAGAGGGGTCAAGGTCAGTGACAAGATTTGGAAGTTGTCACCATATAGATAGTAAAGCCATGTGATTGAATTATATCACCTAGGGAGAGAGAATAAATAGAAGAGAGAGGAGGACTGAGCTGTGGAGTTGTTCAGTGTTTAAAGATCAGGTAGTGAAATAAAGGCCATCAAAGGAGACTGAAAATACCAGGGAGAAAGGAGAAAACTCAGAATAGTTTGATATTCACACAACATTTGAATATGGTGACCAAGGGAAGAATGTTTCAAGAGAGAGTAATCGACAGTATTTGATGCTGCTAAGAAGTCTGGCAAAATAAGGACACAAAGTGACTACTAGGGTTAATAACACAATGGTGATTGATTCCCTGATTTTAGTTATAATGAGCTGGACTGAGGAGTGAGAGGGAGGTGAGGAAATAGAAACAGTGTAAATAACTAGTTCAAGAGATTCTGCAGAAAAGAGGAAGTGGAGAGACTAGCTAGTGCGGATGTAGGGTCAAGAGAGGTTGGGTTTTCTTGTTTTTAAGATGAGAAAACATTTGATACGTTTATATGCTGACATAAAAGAACTAGTAGAAAAGGAGAGGAGAAGGAAAGAGAAGATAATATGATGGCATCAAGAAAAAGGCAGGATTAACCTTAGAAAGGAGGGAGGACACCTCTTCCATTATAACATGAAGAAAGGAGCAAAAAGTATCCACGTGGATTCAGATAAGTTTGTAGGTTTCATGGCACAAAGCTGGGGCCATTTCCTTCTGACCCTTTTATATTTTCTGTATAGTAGTAGGAGATGAGATCATTTATTGAGGGAGGGTTCAAGGTGTGAAAGCTAGGAGGTTTGATGAGAGTGGATAAAATAATTTTGAGAATGAGAGAGCAAGCTAAGTAAAAATTGGAATCACCAGGCAGTGTTGAGAGCAGGTTGGTGGTTCTTCTGACACTACTCTACAGACTGAGTGCAGATACAGTGAAGGAAAATGGTTAATTTATCCAGGGTTTTACCAAGTGGATATGATAGGAGTTCCATGGATCCAGGGAGCTGGGAATGTGATGGATCATTGAATCCAATACCAATATATAGAGAAATGATGGCAGGGGAAATCTATGGATAGGGTAAAAATAGAGAGCTCAATATACAGGTGGTCCCAATGAGATGGAAGAGCCTCATTGTCTTGAGAATGATAGAGTGCATGCAATGGAAGTGTAGGAACTTGTAGTAAGAGAGTAGGGCCAGAATTTATCATTTTAGAGAAGGATCAGATTCTGATACTGACCAAGTCAAGGGTATGGCTGTAAGAGTGGGTGGCTGAGGTACAGTGGTGAAAGAAGAGATAATTGGAAATATAACTGAAGGGTCAGGGCATTGGCTGGATTATCTATACTGCCATAGATGTCACCCAAGGTGATGGAAGGATTTGGTGTGTAGAGGAAGTTGAGCACTTAAAGTTTCTAATGAACAGCAGAAGATAGAGATGGTGGAGTGGTAGTGAGAAAGTGACAGAGATATTGGTGTATGACAACAACAAGAAAGTTAGGAGGCTATTTAGCCAAATGACAGGTGCCTTAAAGTATCAGAGCTTATATGGGATCCAGAGTCAAACTGCCCAAGCTTGAATTTTGGCTCCATCCACCCTGAGTGATGATTGCCAAGTTATGTAGCCTCTGTGCTTCAGATTTTTTACCTGTAAAATTGGTATGATAATAGAGTCTGCCTTATAGAGTTGTTAAGAAGATTAAATGAATTAATAGCTGAAGAACACTTAGAACAGTAGCTGGGTTATAGTAACTGCCACACAATTGCCAATTTTCATGTAGGGTTCTACTTTACAGAAGGCTGGGTGCCCAGCTCTGATTATATTCACATAGAAGGTTGCAACCAACTATAGGCATCCCATTTGTCAATAAGGGATTTTGTTTCAGTTATATGTGACCTAGTTTTATCACAGATATGTTAACTATATCAGTAGTGGCCCATTCCAGTAATGGGTCCTCAGATCCAGGCACGTCAACAGCATAGATGCCATGCTTTCTGAAGCCCACTTTTATTGAGCAAGGGACTGATGGGAAATGTATCAGCTATCTCGCCAAAGGCTATATTGATAGTGACATTAGACTTATTATATACAGAATGACCCAACAGGAGCTTCATCAGCAGCTTTACATCTACACTAAACAATATGGTATAGTCATTCCTATTGGGAAATCACAAATCACAAACCAACTAGCCATCCCCACACTATGAGAGCCCTGCACTACATAGCAAAGCAAGGATGTTGGAAAGGAAGATAAGAGGATGAAGCCACACCCAAGTAGATACTCTGTGAGAGAGAGTTACACATCACTATAAATCAGTAACTGTCCTGGAGGGTACAATTGGAAGATGCCATCATGACTTAACATTTTAGGGCATGTCCCAAAGTAAGCGTTTATTCTTTAGTGTTCCCTAACAGATACCACCATGAGGTGATTCTAATAATAGAATGATAGACTCTGAGATGTAGAAGAAGGCTTAGAGATTAAAGTGTGCCTTTATTGGGAAATTGGGAAGGTTATATAACAGAATGCAACATCTTTGACTGCTGAGGTGTATGGGAACTCTGAAATCAAATAATGTAACCAACCTTAACCCCACCCTCACATACATTCATTTATTCATTCACATATCCATTTGACAAATAATTATTTACTGGGATATATTAGTGAACAAACCAAACAAAAATCCCTGTCACTGTGGAATTTACAGTCTAGTTAGTGTGAAGAAAGGAGGAGGGACTACATAGCAGTGTATTCAACCAAAAGAATCATGGTAATTTATTTAAAAATAATGAGTTACTTCATTTTTACCTGCCAAGATGACACAAGACTATATTGAAAGAGAAACAGGCCAGGCATGGTGGCTCAAGCCTGTAACCTGAGCACTTTGGAAGCCCGAGATGAGAGGATCACTTTAGCCCAGGAGTTCAAGACCATCCTGGGCAACATTGCAAAGCCTCACCTCTACAAAAAATACAAAAATTAGCCAGGTGTGATGGTACACATCTGTAGTCCCAGTTACTTGGAAGGCTGAGGCAGGAGGATTGCTTGAGCCTGTCAGGTAGAGGTTGCAATAAGCTGAGATTACGCCATCACGCTCTAGCCTGGGTGACAGACCGAGAAAGAGAAACAAAGACTCTGCCAACAAAGTATAATGTCTGTTTCCCCCCATTTCCCTAATAAATGCCCAGTGCTGAAAATGCACTTTTTAAATACCCCTTTGGAAAATGTCTGATAAAATGACAATGAGCACTTCTGGCCCATTCTGGAGACATCTATTAACAATGGTGAGTGCCTTAAGCCAAAGGTGGAAAGGTAGAATTTTAACATTAGTGAGCTGGAAGGGGCTGGGTGTTTTGAGGACCAGGAATCTTTTTTTCAATTTGGCCCTGGCTATTGGTCCTCTTTTTTGAGCTAGACACTGTGCTAAGATTCTAGATTTAAATAAGTTAGTTCTTTTTTTTATTACTATACTTTAAGTTTTAGGGTACATGTGCACAACGTGCAGGTTAGTTACATATGTATACATGTGCCATGTTGGTGTGCTGCACACATTAACTCGCCATTTAACATTAGGTATATCTCCTAATGCTATCTCTCCCCCCTCCCCCCACCCCACAACAGGCCCCGGTGTGTGATGTTCCCCTTCCTGTGTCCATGTGTTCTCATTGTTCAATTCCCACCTATGAGTGAGAACATGCAGTGTTTGGTTTTTTCTCCTTGTGATAGTTTGCTGAGAATGATGGTTTCCAGCTTCATCCATGTCCCTACAAAGGACATGAACTCATCATTTTTTATGGCTGCATAGTATTCCATGGTGTATATGTGCCACATTTTCTTAATCTAGTCTATCATTGTTAGACATTTGGGTTGGTTCCAAGTCCTTGCTATTGTGAATACTGCCACAATAAACATACGTGTGCATGTGTCTTTATAGCAGCATGATTTATAATCCTTTGGGTATATACCCAGTAATGGGACTGCTGGGTCAAATGGTATTTCTAGTTCTAGATCCCTGAGGAATGACCACACCGACTTCCACAATGGTTGAACTAGTTTACAGTCCCACCAACAGTGTAAAAGTGTTCCTATTTCTCCACATGCTTTCCAGCACCTGTTGTTTCCTGACTTTTTAATGATCACCATTCTAACTGGTGTGAGATGATATCTCATTGTGGTTTTGATTTGCATTTCTCTGATGGCCAGTGATGATGAGCATTTTTTCATGTGTCTTTTGGCTGCATAAATGTCTTCTTTTGAGAAAAACAAGAAATGGGGAAACGATTCCCTATTTAATAAATGGTGCTGGGAAAACTGGCTAGCCATATGTAGAAAGCTGAAACTGGATCCCTTCCTTACACCTTATACAAAAATTAATTCAAGATGGATTAAAGACTTACATGTTAGACCTAAAACCATAAAAACACTAGAAGAAAACCTAGGCAATACCATTCAGGACATAGGCATGGGCAAGGACTTCATGTCTAAAACACCAAAAGCAATGGCAACAAAAGCCAAAATTGACAAATGGGATCTAATTAAACTAAAGAGCTTCTGCACAGCAAAAGAAACCACCATCAGAGTGAACAGGCAACCTACACAATGGGAGAAAATTTTTGCAATCTACTCATCTGACAAAGAGCTAATATCCAGAATCTACAATAAACTCAAACAAATTTACCAGAAAAAAACAAACAACCCCATCAAAAAGTGGGTGAAGGATGTGAACAGTTCCTGGTTTTGAGTAGCTCATGGCCTATAGGAGGGAAATAGATGCTACGAAAGATAGTCACTACATGCATTAGTGCTATAGCAGTGGTGTGGGCAGCATAGTGAGAGTCTAGAGCACAGAGAGAGAATGACTAATTTCTAACTCAGTCTGTCAGTCAGGGTAGGCTTCATGGAATAGGTGAAATTTTAACTGGGACTTGAAGGATGAATCAAAGTGTGCCAAAGAAAGACTATAGAGAAAGTACTCTATCCAGAGGGAACAGCACGTGCAAAACTATGAAGCCATAAAAGGATTTACTGAAAGCAAATTTTTAGTGGTGTGAGAAATCTACTGTGCTGGAGCCTAGGAAGTGGGTGGGGAAGGTGTGGTAGGATATAGAGTAGGAGAGAGAGTGTGTCCGATTGTCAAAGAATTTGTACACCCTACTACAGAGCTTGGCAGTGGGGAATCAACAGATTCTTTTTAAAGGAAAATGAATATGTGATCAAATATGTTTGGTTTTATTTTTCAGAGAATGGGATTGGTATAGTTTTACGGAGAATGAAAGACAGACTAGAGGCATGGAGATAAGATTTTGGAGTAGTCCAAGCAAAAGACAATAAAGGTCTGACCTAAAATAGAAATTTAAGAAAATTTGCGATACATATTTGAGGTAGGATTGACAAGATTTGATAACTAGTTGGAAATACAGAGTGAGGCAGAAAGAAAAATGAAGGATGACATCAAGCATGGCTGTGTAGACATTAACCAAAATGAAGCATACTGAAGAAAGTAGGTTTCAGAGGCGATAAAATCAACTCAATTTTGGGATGGCCATGAGACATTCATCTAGGCAGTTAAAATATGGCTCTGGGCTTCAAGAAGAAAACCAGAAGAAAATAATAACATCTTGAAACACAAGAGTGCGAAATGTTCCAGAAAGATAAAGTATAATGAAGATTGAAAACAGGCCACTGGAGTTTAGCAATGAAGGGACCTTAACAAGAGCACTTTCAGTGCAGTGGTGGGAGCAGACATGAGATTGCATCTGTTTGAAATTTAGAAGAGAAAACTTAGAATCAAAGAGATTCTCAAAGAATAAAAATGAGAGATACTAAAGTTAATATTGGATGAATTAAATGAAAAAGCAAGACACAGATTGTTAGGAAAATGAGGGTTATTTTTTACTGACAAAAGCTAAAGTCTACAATAAACATGAGTCATGAATGTATATACGTGGAATGATGCAGCATGACAGTTTATAAAACAAAGACTGTTACAAGAAAACATTGGCAGCATTATAATCCTAATTGGAGACATTATCATACCTGTATTAGTTAAGATTTATTTTAGCTTCATGCAAGGAAAAACCTAAAATATCAGGGGCATAAACTAGATAGTGGCTTATTTTTCTTCCATGGAAAAAAGAGTCTGGATGTATTCATTCCAGAGCTGTATATCTTGCTATTCTGCCATCATTAATGTATTACTTCTTGAAGTCTAGCTATCATATCTACATTCCATGTGGGAGGAAGGAGGAAGAGGAGCTACCCTCACCACACACACTTAAATCATAGTAGCCAGAACCTAGTCAGATGGGAGCTGTGAGGGAGGCTGGAAAATGTAGTCTTTTATTTTGGGTGTCAATATGCCCATGTAAAAATCAGGCAGGCCCTCTGTTATCAAGAAGAAAGGTAAGATCAGATGTTGGGTTGATAACTAGCAGCTTCTGCCTTACAACTGTCTTAGTTTTTGACAGACCAAATAGACAAAAAAAGAACAGGTCAATTGAATAATCCAATTAGTAAGTTTGACTCTATACATATATCTATAACTACATCTTTGTGGCCTACATGGAACACATATTTTTACTAAATTTTCATGAAACGTTAAAAAAATTTTCATATTTCAGACCACAAAGGAAACAATATATTACAGAAAGCAGAAATAGTTTAGGCCATAATTTCGTAGTTTGTGATCACAATTCAATCAGGCTAGACATTAAAATCCAAAGGGAAATAAATGAAATCAAACCATGCAGAACATTAAAAAACCACTCTACTGAATAATTTTTGAGTCAAAGATAGAAATAGAAACTTCAAGCATATTCTATTTAAACAGTAATGGTGAATGAAGCATGTTAACAATTTAGGGAACATCTCCAGTGCTTTATTCAAAGGAAAAGCTACATGACTTTTTGTCAAACAAAAAAGGAGAAAAATAAATCATGAAGGTAGAAGAGGCAAAATAAAGGAAAATTTGGAAAGCCTAAATTATTATAGCTGAAAGAAGAAATGAAACAGAAAACAGAAACCCAGAAAAACTGATGAATAAATATTAGAACCAGTTTTTGAAATGACCCATAGGTGACAAATTCCTGGCAAGAGTAATCAAGAATATAAGAAAAAAAGAATTTTGAAAAGCATATTAGAAATGTAATACAGTGAAGTGAATAGTGTCCCCCTCAAATTTATGTCCATCTTGAAGCTCAGAATGTGACTTTATTAATAATAGGATATTTGCAAATGTAATTAAGATAAGAGGAGGTCATACTGGATTAGGGTGGACTCTAAATACAATGATGAATGTCCTTATAAATAGAGGGGACATATAGAAAAGCACAGAGACATAAGGAAGAAGCCCATGTGAAAATGGAGCTAAAGATTAGAGTTATGCTGACACACACCAAGAACTGCCTGGAGCCCCCAAAAGATGGAAGAGGAAAGAAAGAACCCTTCCCCTACAGCCTTTCAAGAGACTGTGGCCTTATAGACTTTGATTTTAGACTTCTGGCCTCCAAAACTGTAAAAGAATATGTTTCTTTTGTTTTAAGCCCCTCAGGGTGTCATACTTTGTATGACAGCCCTAGGAAACAAATATACATGAAAGCTTAATAATTGATGACACAATATAGTATAGGGACTCTCTATGTGTTTTACACTTTTATATACATTAACTAATTTCATCCATACAAGAATCTAATGAAGTGGGTGCTATTTTGTAGATAAACGCATGAGAGTTTAAGCAATTTGTCCAAGCAAATAATTCAAACTTAGATTGACTTCAAAGCCTGTGGTCTAAATCACCACATGTAACTTCCTATCTTATATAGTAAAACATAGTAGATTTTTAAAAGAGAGAGAATGTTATAAATTTAATCCTAGGGAAATTATAAAAAGTGACTCAAGAAAAGTAGAAAACTAATAACCATAAAAAGTTGTTAAACAACTGTCAATTCTTCCATCACAAAGCAAACAACAGAACAAAACAAACAGCAATAACACCTCATAAAATTCCATAGGTGAGTTATTTCAAAGAAAGAGAAATTTTAGTTGTTCCAGAAATAAGGAATGTCTCTCAAATCTTTTATAAAATTAGCCTATCTGGGAAAATCATATCCAACAAAGACAGAACCAAAAAGAAAAAGAAAAGCACAACCTGCAGAATGGGAGAAAAAGTTTGCAATCTATCCACTTACCAAAGGACTAATATCCAGAGTCTACAAGGAACTTACATTTACAAGAAAAAAACAACCCCATTAAAAAGTGGGCAAAGGACATGAACAGACACTTCCCAAAAGAAGACATATATGTGGACAACAAACATATGAATAAAAGGTCAACATCACTGATCATTAGAGAAATGCAAATCAAAACCACAATGAGATACCATCTCACACTAGTCAGAATGGCTATTATTAAGAAGTCCAGAAACAACAGATGGTGGCAAGGCTGTGGAGAAAAAAGAACGCTTTTACATTGTTGGTAGGAGTGTAAATTAGTTCAACCATTGTGGAAGACAGTGTGGCAATTCCTCAAGGATCTAGAGGCAGAAATACCATTTGAACCAGCAATCCCATTACTGGGTATATACCCAAAGGAATACAAATTATTCTGTTATAAAGATATATGCACACATGTGTTCATTGCAGCACTATTCACAATGGCAAAGATATGGAATCAACCCAAATGCCCATCAATGATAGACTAGATAAAAAAAAATGTGTTACATATACTATGCAGCCATAAAAATAATGAGACCCTGTCCTTTGCAGGGACATGGATTGAGCTGGGAGCCATTATCCTCAGCAAACTGACACAGGAACAGAAAACCAAATATTGCATGTTCTTACTTGTAAGTGGAAGTTGAATGATGAGAACACATGAACACATGAGGAGGGAAACAACACACACTAGGGCCTGTTGGCTATGGGGGTGGAGGGAGGGAGAGCCTCAGAAAGAATAGTTAAGGGATGCTGGGCTTAATACGTAGGTGTTGGGTTGATTTGTGCAGCAAACCACCAAGGCACACGTTTACCTATTTAACAAACCTGCACATCCTACACATGTACCCTGGAACTGAACGAAAAAAAAAAGAAAAGAAAGCAGACGGACTTCACTTATGAATATGGATTTAAAATTCTAGGTAATATGATACTCAAGTGAATATAACAGGGATGAAAAGAATAATAACTAATGACCTAGAAGGATTCCTTTCAAGAATGCAGACAGTTTATTAGGAAATATTTTATTATTATTTATTATTTATTTTTAAATATACAGGTAAAATTATATGTATTTATTGTTTACAACATGATGTTTTGAAATATATATACATTGTGGAATGGCTAAATCTAGCTAATTAAATTAACACATGCATTACCTCATATATGTATCAATTTTGTAATGATAACATTTAAAATTTATATTTTAGCATTTTCAAAAACACAATATATTATCATTACAGTCACCATGTTGTACAATAGATTGCTTGAACCTATTCCTCCTATATAACTGAAATTTTGTATCCTTTGAGCAACATTTCTCCAAGCCTCTACCTCTCTCCATTGCCCTAGATCCTATTAACCACCATTCTATTCTGTACTTCTCGAAGAACAAATTTTTAGATTCCACAAAGTAGTGTAATCATTCAGTATTTGTCTTTCTGTGCCTAGCTTATTTTATCTAACATATTGTCCTCCAGGTTTTATCCATGTTATCACAAATGACAGGATTTCTTTATTTTATTGCTGAATAGTATTCCATTGTGTATATATACCACATTTTCTGTATCCATTCATCTCTTGATGGACACATAGGTTGATTCCATATTTTAGCTATTGTGAATAATGCTGCAGTAAACATTGGAGTGGAGATAGCTCTTCAGCATACTGATTTCATTCCCTTTGGAAATACACCCAGTAATGGGATCACTGGCTCATATGGTAATTTTATTTTTTTTTGTGAGGAACCTCCACACTGTGTTTCATAATGGCTATACTAATTTATCTTCCTACCAATGGTGTGCAAGCGTTCTCTGTTCTCCACAGCCTTGCCCACACTTTTCACCTTTTGTCTTTTTGATAGTAGCCATTGTAGCATGTGTGAGGTAACACTTCATTGTGGTTTAAATTTGCATTTCTCTAATGATTAGTGACTTTGAGCATTTTTTCATGTACTTGTTGGCCATTTATATGTCTTCTTTTGAGAAATGCCTATTTTCATTCTTTTCCCATTTTTAATTGGGTTATATGTTTTCTTACTATTGAGTTGTTTGAGTTTCTTATATATCTTGAATATTAATCCCTTATCAGATCCATGGTTTAAAAATACTTTCTCCCATTCTGTAGATTGTCTCTTCACATTGCTGTTTCTTTGGCTCTGCAGAACCTTTCAGTTTGAAATAATTCCACTGTGTATGTTAGATTTTGTTGCCTGTACTTTTGGATTTATATCTAACAAATAATTGCCCAGACCAATTTCATCAAGCTTTCCTCCTATGTTTTCTTTAATAGGTTTCCAGGTTCAGATCGTACATTTAATTCTGTATCCATTTTGAGTTTACTTTTGTGTATGGTGTGAGCCAGTGGTCTAATGTTACTCTTTTTCATGTTAGTTATCCAGTTTTCTCATCATAATTTATTGAAGAGACCATGCTTTCTTTCTGTGTATGCTTGGTAGTTTTGTCCAAAATCAGTTGGCTGTAAATACTTGTACTTATTTCTGGGCTTTCTATTCTGTTCCATCGGTCTGTCTGTTTTTATGCCAGTACCATATTGTTTTGATTACTATAGCTTTATAGCATATTTTGAAATTAAGTACAGTGTGATAGCTGTAGCTTTGTTCTTTTGCTCAAGATTGCTTTCATTATTCTGGTTTTTTTGTGGTTCTGTACAAATTTTTAGTATTATTTGTTATATTTCTGTGAGGGATATCATTGGTATTTTGATAGGAATTGCATTGAATTTATGGATTTCTTTGTGTAGTATGGAGATTTTAACAAGACTAATTCTTCCAATGCATGATTGTTGGCTATCTTTCCATTTATTTGTACCTTCTTCAGTTTCTTTCATCAGTATCCTATAGTTTTTAGAATATAGATTTTTCACCTCCTTGGTTACATTGATTCCTAAATTTATTTTTTTGGAGCTATTGTAAATGAGACTATTTTCTTGATTTTCTCTCTGAAAATTTTCTGTTAGTGTATAGAAATGCTACTGATTTTGTATGTTGATTTTGTATCCTACAACTTTACTAAATTTATTAGTTCCAATAGGTTTTTGGTGGAGTCTTTAGAGTTTTCTGTATGTAAGTTTATGTCATCTGCAAATAGAAACAGTTGAACTTCTTCCTTTCCAACTCATACGTCTTTTTATTTTTTAATCTTGCCTAACTATTCAGACTAGGACTTCCAGTTTTATGTTGAATGGAAGCAGTGAGAGTGGGCATCCTCATTTTGTTCCTGATCTTACAGAAAAAGTTTTCAACTTTTCCTTGTTAAATATGATATTATCCATGGGTTTGTCATAGGTTAACTTTGTTGTGTTGAAGCACATGTCTTCTACTCCTTCTTTGGAGTTTTTATCATGAAAGGGTTTTGAATTTTGCCAAATGCTTTTTGTGTACCTATTGAAATGGTTATATGGTTTGGTCATTCAGTTAATGTGGTGTATCACGTTTGTGGATTTGTGTATGTTGCATCAACCTTGAATTCCTGGGATGAATCTCACTTGATAATGGTGAATAATCTTTTTAATGTGCTATTGAATTCAGATTACTAGTATTTTGTTGAGAAGTTTTGCATCTATCTTCATCAGGTCTTTGTTTGGCTTTGGTATCAGGGTAATGCTGGCCTCATAAAGTGAGTTTGAAAGTATACCCTAGACTTCCATTTTCTAGAGTAGCTTGAGAGGGATAGGTATTAATTCTTTAAATGTTTGGTAGAATGTAGCAGTGATGCTACCATAAACATGGGAGTGGAATAAATGTGCAAGTGCAGATATCTCTTCAATATACCAATTTCATTTCTTTTGTAAATATATCCAGCAGTGGGATTACTGGATCACATGGTGGTTCTATTTTTAGTTTTTTGAGTAACCTCCATACTGTTTTCCATAATGGATGTACTACTTTATACTTCCACCAGCAGTCTATGAGCACTCTCCTTTCTCTGCATCCATTTGTTATTTTTTGTTTTTTTTGCTAATAGCCCTCTAACTGCAGTGAAATTATGTCTCGTGATTTTTATTTGCATTTCCATGATGATTAGTGATCTTGAGCACTTTAAAAATATACCTATTGGTCATTTGTATGTCTTCTTTTGAGAAATGTCTTTTCTGGTCTTTTGCCCTTTTTAAATCAGATTATTTTTTCTTTGTTTTGCTATTTAGTTGTTTGAGTTCCATTTATATTCTGGATATTAATGCCTTGTTGGATAGATAGTTTGCAAATATTTTTCCCACTCTGCAGGCTGTCTCCACACTTTGTTGATTGATTTCTTTGCTGTGCAGAAGTTTTTTAGTTTGATGTAATTCTATTTCTCTATTTTTGCTTTTGTTGCCTGTGGTTTTGAGTTCTTATCAAAAAAATTACTATAGGTTTTTGCTTTGTGGTTACTATGAGTCTTACAAGAAACCTCTTACAGATATGACAGGTTATTTTAAGCTGATGACAAATTAACTTTGATCACACAAGAAGAAACTCTACACTTTTACTCTACTTCCCCTCAATTTGGAATTTTTGATGTCAGAATTTACATCTTTTTATAATGCTTATATTTTAACAAATTTTTGTAACTGTTATTATTTTAATGGTTTTGTCTTTTAACCTTTGTACTAAAGATATAGGTGATTTTCACACCATTATTAGAGTATTCTGAATTTGACTGTATTATACATACTTTTTTCAGCATGTTTTAAACTTCTTGATATTTTCTGGTTGCTCATTAGTATCATTTTCTTTTATCTTGATGATCTCTCTTTAGCATTTCTTATAAAACAAATATGTTGTTGATGAACTCATTCAATTTTTGTTTGTCTGGGAAATTGTATCTCTCCTTCATTTCTGAATGCCAGCTTTGCTGGGAACAGTATTTTTGGTTGAAGGTTTTCTTCTTTCAGCACTTTGAATATATCATCCCACTCTCTCCTGGCCTGTGAAATTTCAGCTGATAAATCTGCCTTTAGCCATGTTGGAACTTCCCTTATGTTGTTTACTTCTTTTCTCTTGCTGCTTTCAGTGTGTTCTCTTTGTCTTTGATTTTTGATGGTTTTAGTATAATATGTCCTGAGGTCGTCTTTTTTTGACTGAAACTGATTAGAAATCTTTGGCTGTCCTATACTTGAATTCTTACATCTTCCTCCAGATTGGAAGGTTTTCTCCTATGGTTTCTTTAAATAACCTTTCTACTTCCTTTTCTTTCACTTTTGTATCTTTTTTACCTCTAACATTTGCTCTATTTTGATGCTGTCCTGTAAATCTTATAAGCTTTCTTCCTTCCGTTTTTTTCTTGTTTCTTTTTTCTTATCTTAATGTGTATTTTCAAATAACCTGTCTTCAAGTTCACAGATTGTTTCTGCTTGATCAGTTCTGCTGTGGATGCTCTCTGCTGCATTTCTTATTTCATTCATTGTACTTTGCAGCTTCAGAATTTTTATTTGTTAATTATTTTAATCTCTCCATTAAATTTATCATTTTTGTCACCTACTGTTTTCCTCATTTCATTGAATTGTTTCTTTGTATTTTCTTGAAGTTCACTGAGCTTTCTTAAAACAGTTATTTTGAATTCTTTGTGTAGCAGTTTATGCATCTCTATTTTTAGGGTCAGTCACTGATGTTTTATATTTTCTCTTTGGTGACGTCATGTTTCCATGATTATTCTTGCTCTTTGATTGGGATCTGCAAATTTTCAGAGGTAGATACCTGCTCCAGTCTTTTCAGACTGCCTTTGTCTGGGAGAGCCCTTTAACAGTCTGCCTCTCCAGAGATTCTCAGCAGGCTATCTGGTGTGGTCCATGGAAAGGCTTGCTGCTGGAGTCTTTGGGCTGTCTGGCATGGGTCAACAGGTGGGCAGGCCTGGAACTGGACCTACTCGGGTAGATCTATTGATTGACTCTTCCGGTATAGGCCTGTAGCCTATATCCTTGGGGGCTTGCCTGAAGCCCCTGTCCACTGGGGCAGTACTGAAACCCAGAGCTGCTGAGGCCAGCATAGCTCTGGGATGGACCTCAAGTCTTCAGCCACTTGGGCTGACATGCTGCTGAGTGCTGTTTGAAACCTGGGCCATCCGAATTCATCCTGGTAGTAGTGCAGACTGGAGATAAAGTCCACTGTGCAGGCCTAAAACCTGGGGCTGTGGGGTCTGGCCTGGCCCTGAGACAGGTCTGAAGGCTCAGTCTGTGGATACCAACCTAAGCTGTGGGGCTATGTGGGCTTACCCAGTGCTGGGTTTTACTGTGGCAGGCCCAGTATTGAGGTCTATGATCATTTTTTTCTCTTTCCCTCAAGCAGATGGTATCTCTCTTCAGGCTGTGCTGCCTGGGGTTGAGGGAGGGGTGATGTAGGAAATGTATAACTGTTCTTACTCCTCTCTTTAATGTGTCTTTTCTTATTGCTGTGCTACATCCAGGTGTTTTGCTCTCTTACCTGATTTCTTTAGCACTGGTAAAGGTATTTTTGTGCATAGAAGGCTGTTCAAATTAATGCTTCTGTGAGGAGACAATCTCTGGAGAGTGCTATTGTGTCCGTAGTTGGTTCCTTCCAGTGGATTCTTGGTCTCGCTGACTTCAAGAATGAAGCCGCAGACCTTTGTGGTGAGTGTCACAGCTCTTAAAAGTGGCCTGGACACAAAGAGTGAGCAACAGCAAGATTTATTGTGAAGAGGGAAAGAACAAAGCTTCCACAGTGTGAAAGGGGACCCGAGCAGGTTGCTGCTGCTGGATGGGGTGGCCAGCTTTTATTCCCTTATTTGTCCCCACCCACCTCCTGCTGATTGGTCCATTTTAAGAGAGTGCTGATTGGTCCATTTTACAGAGTGCTGATTGGTTCATTTTGCAAACCTCTAGCTAGCCACAGAGTGCTGATTGGTGCTTTTTTACAGAGCACTGACAAACCTCTAGCTAGCTACAGAGGGCTGGTTGGTGCATTTTACAATCCTAGCTATAGAGTGCTGATTGGCACATTTTACAATCCTCTTGTATGACAGAAAATTTTTCCAAGTCCCCACCCAACCCAGAAGTCCAGCTGGCTTCACCTCTCAATCCCCCCTCTAAACAGGACACCCCAACTGCTGCTGGGAATTGGGCGATGACCACTCTAGCTACTTTCTGCTGGATAGGGGCGAAGAAGGGGCCCTACAGTTGTAATGTCCTCCCCAGGGGAACTCTAGGCCAGTCAAAGAGCCAGTGGGTTGGTCCAGAGGTCCTTGGTAGAAGTTGTTAGTTGAGTTCATTTCGGGTTTCATTTGCAAGACCATCTGTAGCTTACTGGCCTTGATCCTGGAGGAAACAGATTTGACAAGGAGGTTAAAAATAGGGCCCGAAGGCGAGTAATAGCAAGATGGATGTCACGGGACCTAGAAAGGGGAGAAGCCATGTCACCCAACTCCAGAGGGTGGTATAAGAGTTTGAAAGGCGTTGTCTGATTTCGGAATCCTTTTCCTGTAAATGCCAGGCAGTGTCTCATACTATCCCTGACTGGTTAGTGTAAAAGCAACACTCTTCCTTTAAGAAGGTGCAAAGTCCTCCTTTCTCAGCAGTGAGGAGGTCTAGGCCTTGGTGGTTTTGGAGAGTCACTGCTGCCAAAGAGTCTATTTGGGATTGTAGAGTAAGAATAGATTTTGTTATTTCTTGTAAACTGTCCAAGAAATCCTTTGATAGTGTGTGGTAGTAGGATAGTGAAGTAGATAAACTGGCTATTCTGGTTCCTGTAGCAGTGGCCATTCCTAACCCTATAAGTAGGGGTATTAGTTGTATGGCCCTGTGCTGATGGACTTGAGCTCTGAGGGGCACTGATAGGGTCTGATTACCACAAGATTAGAACTTAGGATAATACATGTTACACTGTTAACTTTTAGCAAACTTTACTTTTGTAAAAACTTACCTTGTAAGTTTGGGATTTCAATTATTCTTTGCTATTAATAAGACCTCATTCAGTCCATATTAACTTAGAATTGGTATAGATGACTCCTTCCTGATTCTGTAAGTACTTTAAGGTTTAGCTGAGTGCTAACAGCTCTCACGTTTGAGCAGACCAATTATTAGGCAGCTTTCCTAACTCTGCTTTTACAAGAGTTTCCTTATCACTTATTGAATACCCATTGTGTCTTTTTCCCTTAATCACCCAGGAGGAACCATCTATCGTTCTGTCCTGAAGGGAGTTCCTCCTAGATCTGGTTGTACCTTTGTATGGTAATTAATTAAGATTTAGATCCCTTGTTAGGAAACCTGCTGGGTTAAGGATTTTTGATGGGAAGGCTATGGGTTGTCAGTGGCCTCAGTGCTGACAACAAGGTGGTATTGGAGTGTTACAGGGTCACGGAGAAGACCTTCAATTATCAATTAATAGGTTTTAAATTTTAAATTTACCCTGACTTTTAAAGGAATAGGATACACTGTTCTTTCTTTACTACTTTTCTCTTTCTCTTTCTCTTTGACTTTCTTTCTCTCTCTCTTTGTCTCTGTCTCTTCCTCTCTCTGTCTCTCTCTTTGACTCCCTCTTTGTCTCTCTGTCTCTTCCTCTCTGTCTCCTTCTCTTTGACTTTGTCTCTTTCTCTCTTTCTTTCTCTCCGACTCCCTCTTTGTCTCTGTCTCTTCCTCTCTGTCTCCTTCTCTCATTGACTTCCTGTCTTTCTCTTTCTCTCTGTCTTTCCTCTCTGCTGGTCTTTCCCTGTCTCTGCTAGCCACTTATGCTGCTGTTCTCCTCTCTCCTTCCCCTTTTGATGGCTTTGGCAGTGTAAGACTGCGACCTCCTTGGATTTTTGCACTGTGTGCAATAACTCCATGATTTCCTTGTGGTATTTAAAGGGGGTTCCCCCAGAGGTTAGGAACTCCCTTTCTTTCCATGTTGCAGCATGGGCATGTAGGATTAGATAAGCATACTTGCTATCTGTGTAAACATTTATTCTTTTTCCCTTTCCCAGTTCTAAGGCTTGGGTAAGTGCCACTAGTTCTGCTAACTGGGCACTGGTCCCTGGGGGAAGAGGCTTACTTTTAGGTACTGTTACATCACTAACGATGGCATAACCTGCCTTTCATATCCCATTCTCCACAAATGAACTTCCATCAGTATATAGGTTAAGGTCAGGATTAGCTAAGGGGACTTCTAAGAGATCCTCTCAGGCGGCATAAGTCTGGACTATAATTTGTTGGCAGTCATGCTCAATTGGTTCTCTATCCTCTGGGAGAAAAGTAGCAGGGTTGAGGGCCGCACACATGTGTATTTGAAGCACCGGTTCCTCAAGGAGTAGTGCCTGGTATCTGAGCAGGCAGTTGTCTAATAGCCATAAACTTCCTTTGGCACCTAGTATGCCATTTACATCATGAGTATTCCAGACAATGAGATCCTTTCCTTGTATTATTTTGATAGCCTCTGACACTAAGATGGCTACTGCCACAACTATCCATAAACAGGGAAGCCAGCCTTTTGCTACTATATCAATTTCCTTACTTAGGTATGCCACTGGTTGTGGGGTTGTCCCACGAGTCTAAGAACTCCAAGAGCTATTCCTGCTCTCTCTGTGATGTATAAAGAGAAGTTTTGTCCTGTGGGAAGGCTTAAGGCTGGAGCTTGTACTAGTGCTTGCTTTAAGGTTTTGAAGGCTGTTTCTGCCTCTGGTTGTCATTCTACTAGATGAGTATTTGCCCTCTGGGTCTCCTTGATTAGAGTATAGAGGGGCCTGGCTATCTTGCTGTATCCAGGGATTCATAGTCGGCAAAAGCCAGTGATTCCAAGGAACCCCCGCAACTGTTTTAATGTCTTAGCGTGAGGATAAGCCAGTATAGGCTGTATTCATTCCTTGTTGAGGGCCCTGGTTCCTCTGGCTAAGATTTGGCCTAGATATTTGAATTGCTGTAAGCAGACCTGGGCCTTTGATTTAGATGCCTTGTATCCTTAATTAGCTAGAAAGTTCAAGAGATCTAGAGTACCCTGCCAGCATAAGGCTTCCAAACTGGTAGCCAAAAGTAAATCATTCACATACTGAAGGACTAGAGTGCCTGGACTTGAGAAGTGGCCTAGATCTTGGGCCAGTGCCTGACCAAACAGATGAGGGCTATCCCTAAACCCTTGGGGCAAGACCATCCACGTAAGTTGGGACGTGTGGTCTCTGAGATCCTTGAAGGCAAAGAGAAACTGGGAGTCAGAGTGCAGGGGAATACAGAAGAAGGCATCCTTGAGGTCCAGAACAGTGAACCATTCTGCTTTCTCTGGTATTTGAGAGAGCAGGGTATAGGGGTTGGGTACAACTGGATATAGAGGAATTACTGCCTCATTGATGAGTCTAAGATCTTGCACTAATCTCCACTGACCTTTCAGTTTTTGTACTCCTAGAATTGGGGTGTTGCAGGGACTGCTGCATTTTCTTACAAAGCCTTGAACTTTTAAATGTCTAACAGTATCCTGTAATCCTTTATGAGCTTCAGGCCTTAAGGGTTATTGCTTTTGATAAGGAAAAGTGGTGGGGTCTTTTAGCCTGATTTAGACTGGGCGGGCATTTTTTGCCCTTCCAAATTGTCCTTCCAATGCCCAAACTTCAGGGTTCATTCCCTCCTCAAGCAGGGGACAACAAATGGGTAACTTGTTACCCACATTCATGTAGATAATAGCTCCAGCTTTGGCTAATATGTCCCTCCCTAATAAGGGTGTGAGACTTTCAGGCATAATGAGAAAGGCATGTGAAAAGAGCAAAGTCTCCCAATTACAACTGAGGAGGTGGGAGAAATACCTGGTTACAGCTATCCCAGGATTCCTTGGATGGTAACGGACTTTGAGGACAGCTGTCCCGGACAGGAGAGTAACACTGAGAAAGCCATGCCAGTGTCCAGGGGGAAGTCAATTTCCTAGCCCTCAATGGTTAAATGTACCCAGGGCCCAGTGAGGGTGGTGACATGAGCTGGCGCTTGCTCCGGGCACCCTCAGTCCTATTGTTGAATCATCTGGTTGTGGGCTCCTGGCCCAGAGAACCTTTGTCTTCTGGGGCAGTGCGCCTTCTAGTGATTACTTCAGCATAGTGGGCAAGGGCAAGGGGGCAGCTTGTTTCTTGTTGGACAATCTTTTTTAAAGTATCCTTGCCAACCACACTGATAACAAGCCACACCAGTTGATTGGCCTGCTCCATTTTCTATCCTCTCTGAACCAGCAAGGTTTGTTTGTCTGAGGGCTATGACTTAGGCTGCAGCCTTTCTCTGATCTCGCTTTTCCTTTTTGGCCTGTTCCTCTTGGTCCCTATTATAGAACACCGAGGTTGCCAGTTTTAATAATTCCTCCAGATTTTGTTCAGGGCCCAGTGCTTGCTTTTGGAGCTTTTTCCTGATATCTGTGGCTGATTGGGTAATAAACTTATCTTTTAGGCTCAATTGACCCTCAAGGGAGTCAGGTGATACGGGAGTGTATTTTTCTAAGGCCTTCCATAGCCACTCGAGGAAGGCAGAAGGATTTGCTTCCTTTCCCTGAGTTATGGTGGACATCATTGAATAATTTATGGGCTTTTTCCTAATTCTCCTTAGTCCTTCTATAACACAGGTCAGCAGGTGTTTATGACTCCAGTCCCCATGATCTGAGTCGAGGTCCCAGTGGGGATCCATACTGGGGACGGCTTGCTGACCAGTAGGGAATTTGTCCCTTTCTTTGGTTATCATTCTATCATTTACTTGACTAAGATACCGGGTATCTCCAAACTCTTGGGCTGCAGCTAAATCCGCATTCTTTTCATTAAAGGCCAGGGTTTGATCTAACAATAGCATGACATCTCTCCATGTGAGGTCGAAGCTTTGCCCTAGACCATGTAGGACATCTATATACCTATCAGGATTGTCTGAAAACTTCCCCAGGTCTACCCTGATCTGCTTTAAATCAGAGAGAGAGAAGGGGACATGTACCCTGGTTGGGCCAAATTCCCCTCCCCCTACAGCTTGAAGGGGACAAAACTGATAGACAGGAGGTTTTGTGGTCCTTTGGAGATTTCTTTGTTTGTTTCCTTCTGGGCAGGGGAGATTAGAGGAGGAGTATCATCAATAGGAAGGGGAGCTATCGGGAGGCTAGGATATGGGAGTAAGTTGAGAGGTCCTCTTGTGGGATGTAAATTGCAAGCTTTGCATAGTTGTGGATTATCCTTCAATGAAAAGAAAGCTTGGACAGAAGGTAGTTAACTCCATTTGCCTTCCCTCTTACAGAAAAGGTCAAGCTGCAGGATAGTATTGTAATTTATACTTCCCTCAGGTGGCCATTTTTCCCCATCAGAGAGCGAATATTGGGGCCAGGCCATAGTGCAGAAAAAAATAAGCTGCTTCTTTTTCAGGGTTTTTGGGTCAAATTGGTCCCAATGGCATAGGATGCATTTCAAGGGTGAGCCTGTTGATGCCTGAGTGTTTCCCATCTGAAAGAAAAAACTGCCTGCGGTTCTGATTTGTTTTTCCCCCACCACCCAAGAACCCACAACAGTCTTTGGACCCTGCTCACAGGAATAGTTGCGCTCACTGACACAGCAGCAGAAACCCCTCTCCGCTTAGACCACAAAGAGGACTGAGGAAGGTCGGATTTAGTGGCCCTTACCAATGCATTCTCAAAAAACCTGCACCCTTGCCTTTCCTGTTAGACCACAAACAGGACCAAGAAAAATCAGATTTAGTGGCCCTTACCGACATATTCTCAAAAACCTGTTAGAGTCCTAAGCATTTTTTCCTGCTAGTATTGGGACCTTACCCTTGTCCTATAAAGATGTTAGGCCTCAAAATGGAGGGGAGGGCCATACCCTGAGGGAAGGAAGGGATCTCCAGGGTTGGAAGAGTGACACCTTTTGTCCTCACTTCTCATCATATGAATAGGAAGGATATCATTTCTGAGGCTCACCATATCCTAGCTTTGGGAATAGCCTTTGTTAAGACTGCTACTTTGAGGAGGGATCCTAAAATTCCAGATAGTAACCCTGCCCCCACCCCCCCGACAGGGCTTTGGGCAAAAATTATGCCTTTCTGATTGGTAAGCCCAGGTGCCTAAGGAAGGGAACAGAGTTCTGAAATTTACAGTAGAAATCATTCTTATAGGAGAAACTAGAAAAGCACCAGAAACAGGCAGTGGTTTTTAGAAGCGGGACTAGCCTCGGAGAATAGAGGTGGGAGGAAGTTTGTCTGACAGGCATTAGGACCCAGGAGCCAAGGGTCAGGATAGGTAGGATAGATGGGCGAGTCTCGCTTGGGCGAGTGACTTTGAGAGTTCCTCTCATGGCTGCAGGGTCAACCATCTTTTTGTCCAGACCCCGGAGCTGAATGGCTTTCCTCTCCGTTGACCTTTGGCTCAGCCCAGAAGTACAGGAAAAGTGGAAGCTGGTTAGAGGCAAACCAGGCTCCCAACTTCGAAGAGTCAGGGGTTGTTAGAGAGCCCTTTCCCAGAAAGCCTGACATCCGTGTCTTTAGTCTGGCAGCTGCACTAGTTGCTTCTAACTGGCTGACAGATGCCCGGCCTTTAGCCCCCAAATTCTAAGGAAAAATAGGACAGAATAGCAAGCAAAAGTGTTCCAATGGTACTCACCACTTGGCGATAGTCCCTTTGTGGTCGCCAAGATGTGTCTGGAGTTGGTTCCTTCTGGTGGGTTCTTGGTCTTGCTGACTTCAAGAGTGAAGCTGTGGACCTTCGCAGTGAGTGTTACAGCTCTTAAAGGTGGCATGGACCCAAAGGGTGAGCAGCAGCAAGATTTATTGTGAAGAGAGAAAGAACAAAGCTTCCACAGCGTGGAAGGGGACCCAAGCAGGTTGCCACTACTCGCTGGGGTGACCAGCTTTTATTCCCTTATTTGTCCCTGCCCACATCCTACTGATTGGTCCATTTTACAGAGTGCTGATTGGTCCATTTTACAAACCTCTAGCTAGCCACAGAGTGCTGAGTGGTGCGTTTTTACAAAGCACAGATTGGCACATTTTACAGACCTCTAGCTAGCTACAGAGCACTGATTGGTGCGTTTTATAATCCTAGCTACAGAGTGCTGATTGGTCCATTTTACAATTCTCTCGTAAGACAGAAAAGTTCTCCAAGTTGCCACCCTACCCAGAAGTCCAACTGGCTTCACCTCACTAAGAGTCCAACAAAGTGGCAAAAATCAGCATATTGCCTGTAGAACAGCAGAAATCACTGAGGGTATATGATGGACCTGTTCAATTCATGCTAATATGAAATTAAAATACCTGGAAATAAAATTATAGAGGGCCTACATGAAGATAGATGTCACAAAGACCATATGTCACTAAAGGCCATACAAGGAGTTCTGGTTATACATTTAAACATAAAATGAAAACATAGATTGACTAAAAGAAACATAAGTAAATATTTTTGTAATCTCAGGATGGATAACTGTATCATACTTCTAAGTGTTACAAAAAGCATATGTTAAAAAGCAAAAACTAATAGATTTGACTACATAATCTTAAAAATCGTTATATGGTACATACACTATTTACCACATAATCGTTATATGGTAAATACACTATTTACCACATAATCGTTATATGGTAAATACACTATTTACCACATAATCGTTATATGGTAAATACACTATTTACCATATAATCGTTATATGGTAAATACAAAATTTGAAAAGATGGGGAAAATATTTTCAACATATATGTCAACTAATAGATTTGACTACATAATCTTAAAAATCGTTATATGGTAAATACACTATTTACCATATAATCGTTATATGGTAAATACAAAATTTCAAAAGATGGGGAAAATATTTTCAACATATATGTCAAAAATGGTGTTAATACCCTTAACATATACTAAGCTCTTATAAATCAATAAAAAGCTAATTATTCTTATATGGAAATGGGTAAACAATCTTAATAAGCAATTCACAAGAAAGAAAATAAATGCAAATTACTAGAAATCATATGAGAAAAATGTTCAACCTTACTTGAAATCAGATAAATGTATTTTTTTAAAAAAAGACAACAGGCTAAAGAGAACAGCAGTATGTAGTATTGGCATAGGAATGGGGAAATGGGCACGTGTACAATTAGTGGGTAATAAAGTCAGGCAAGCTTTGTGTAAGACATTTTGACTATGTCTTTAAAAAGTTTAAAAACATATTTATAGTCTTTAAAGGAATAATTCCATTTTCACTAATTTATCCCAAGGAAATAATTCTATAAATATGCAATGTGTAATGTACAGGTATATTAATCATAATTATAATATTGTTTCTAATAGTAAACATTTGGAAACAACCTAAGTGTGCAGCAGTAGAGGACTGTCTAGGCAAATTATGGTATAACTTTAAAATAAGATATAATACAGTCATTAAAAATAATAATGTAGGGCTTATATTTATGGAAATGGAAATATGTACTTGACAGATTATTAATTGAGAGAACAAGTTCCAGAGCACTATTATATTAATTATCTTTTGCTTTCATAAGAAATCACACCAAAACTTAGCAGTTTAAAACAACAAACATTTATTACACAGCTTTTGAGGGTCAGTAATCTGGGAGTTGCTTAGCTGGGTAGTTCTGGCTCAGAGTCCTTCATCAGTTCGCAGACAAGATGTTGATCTGTTCTGTAAGCAATATGTTGGGTTGATGTTGATTTCAAGGCTTGACTTGTGTTGAAGAAACCACTTCCAAACTCATTCACATGGTTGTTGGCAGGTTTCAGTTTCTCTCCAGCTATTGGCCAGAGTCTTCTTTTCCTTGCCACATGAGGCAAGTAATAGGCTACCTGATTGTCCTCATGACATGGCAGCTGACAACCCCTAGAGTTAGGAATCCAAAAGAGAGTAGGGACACGGTCAAAGAAGGAAGCCACAGTCTTCTATAATTTAATCTCCTAAGGATCATGACATTACTTCATTTATATGATATTTGTCACACAGATCAACCCTGTTACAATGTGGGAGGGAATTATACAAGGGTGTTAATACCAGGAGATGGGATCATGGGGAGTCACCTTGAAGGCTGGACGCTACAACTATGTGTGCTATGATATAATTTTGTAGAAAAATATGCACATATTTATGAGTATGAAGATGTAGAGGAAAAAGAGACATCAAAATGTCAAGAATGTTTATGATGAGATTATAGATATTTTAAAACTTAGTTTCTTTTTTATCAGTTTTCCAATTTTTATGATGAAAATGGATTACTGATGTTTGATAAAACCAGCAACCATTTATTTTGTACTATTTTATTTTATTTTCCGAGATGGAGTCTCGCTCTGTCACCCAGACTGGAGTGCAGTTGTGCAATCTCAGCTCACTACAACCTCCGCCTCCCAGACTACAGGCATGTGCCACCACACCCAGCTAATTTTTTTTTTTTTTTTTTTGTATTTTTAGTAGAGACGGGGTTTCGCCATGTTGACCAGACTGGTCTTGAACTCCTGGGCTCAAGTGATCCACCTGCCTCAGCCTCCCAAAGTGGTGGGATTACAGACCCATTTTGTACTTTTTTTTCTAAAGAAAAAGGAGCTGGGCGTGGAAATACAGTGTGTATAGACTATTCTTTCAAAAGGTCTGGTAGTCAAGGGAAGACAGAGAGGTAAAGTCTTTAGTTTTGGAAATAGTCATGGTTGATTACTGTGTTTTTTTAAAGGAAAAATGTGTTTGTGGGCTGAGGGGAAGGATCTGCAGGAGAGGTCAAGGTCAGAAACAGGAGAGAAAAGGGATCATTGATGGATTTGTGAGGGAGTATGCTTCAACGTAGAGGTGGAGACAGTTGTCACGATTGCAGTGAGCAATAATGAAAGGGTAGATATGTAAACCCATTGGCCTTACACATGAGAATGTGTACGACTTGGACAGGACATACTAGCATTGGTCAACAATAGTTAGGCTTGAATTGGAGTGGAAACACACATGCCTCTCAAATATGAAAGGAGGAAAAAATTGAGTGCCATTATAAATGTTAGAGTATTAAGGCAGGAAAGTTGATGACGTTTACACTTAATGGTTCCCTTTTCTTCACTGATAAAGGAAGCAAAGCATTCTGTGGAGTCTAACTGTGATGGGTAAAAGACCTAGAGAGGGTTTTGCAAATTTAAAACATCTGTTGTTTGTAATGGGAAAGAGCACCAACCAGGGAAAGGATTGTAGAAAAAACTTGAGAGCCCAGATGATAATATTTGTGTCTCTCTCGTGTCATCTTTAAATTCAAAGAACATTACTAACTCTAATGTGTAATAATGTTCATCTGTTAATCATTAAAATGTTTGCTACCTTTCATGTTATTGGCAAGCCTCTGGGGTGGCTTTACGTATTTTTGAAAATTATAATGAGTTAATGTAACATGTTTTCATAGCATTTCTCCTTACTACTTGCTAGGTTGGCTTTCTTGAATTATATTTATAGAAGGCCCATGATGTATCTAACTTTAATTTTACAATGAGAGTTATTAGTCCCTATTTGGAGCCAAACCAAAAGCAAAGTTGTGGTCTTCTTTTCCAAATGGCCACCAATATAGGATCTTTTCAAGGATACTTTATGTAGGCAACATGAAATAGTTTCAGGTGGAAAAGCCTGCGTTACACAGATCAAGAGTTTGCACATAAGTACATAAAACTTAAGGTTTTGTTTGTTTGTTTGTTTTGTTTTTGAGACGGAGTCTGGCTCTGTCGCCCAGGCTGTAGTGCAGTGGCGCTATCTCAGCTCACTGCAAGCTCCGCCTCCCAGGTTCATGCCAATCTCCTGCCTCAGCCTCCCAAGTAGCTGGGACTACAGGCGCCCGCCACCACGCCTGGCTAAGTTTTTGTATTTTTAGTAGAGACGGGGTTTCACTGTGTTAGCCAGGATAGTCTCGATCTCCTGACCTCGTGATCTGCCCACCTTGGCCTCCCAAAGTTCTGGGATTAACAGGCGTGAGCCACCACGCCCGGCTGGGGTTTTTTTTTTTTTTTTAGCACTTGGAAGATCATAAGCATTTAAGACAAGTCCTCAAGGTTAGTAGTTTCCATTTTTCTAGAAAAAAAAACACGCCAAAACCTTATGTTACTGAAGAACACAAAAGACACTAAATACCTAAGTGTAGTGGCCGAAAAGTATGTTAAAAATTCTTTTCAGCAAATTGAAACATCACTCTTTTCCTGCCGCATAAAGACATGGAATTTGACATACAGTGAAAATTATGTATGTGCATTTCAGTCCCTCTGTAAAACTTACTGGCTGATGCCCAGGGCACTCTGAATGCTTACACTTAGTAAGTGCCTCTTTATTAAGCCAGAATGCTCTTGCTGCCACTAGTTGAGAGATATGAGTCAACATACAGTTATATAAACTGGGGCCTACCAGAGGGTGGAGGTTGGGAGGAGGGATAGGATCAGAAAAAAATAACTAATGGGTACTGGGCTTAATACATGGGTGATGAAATAATCTGTAAAACAAATGCCCATGACACAGGTTTACCTATATAACAAACCTGCACATGTACCCCTGAACTTAACATAAAAGTTAAAAAAGATAGTTGTATTTATTCCCAAAGTTAAGTCAATTGAACCTAATTTTGTAATTCTATACTTCAATTTTAGTATTATGAAAACCAATGAAACCATGACTATGAAAATGAAATTATTGTTTCTATAAAAACTAAGTTGAATGAAAAATTTAGGAATGAATAAAATAATGGGCTTATAATACAGCAGAAATTAATAAGATAATTTTATGAAGTACCTTATGCTGATACACTAACAACAAAAAGAACAAATTTCTAGAAAAGTATAAATTATGAAAGATAACTAAATAAATTTATTAACTATGATAACATTTAAGGAACTTATTCACTGGTTGAAAATCTCTCCATAGGTAAAACAGGAGATCAGAAGGTTTAATAATTGTACATAAAGTATTTTAGAGGACAGAAAAAGAGGCAACCCTTCTCAAATTATTTTATGAGGTTAGTATGTAACCATGATAACAAATCAGAGAAGTACAATATATGTTAGAGGAATTATAGGTTAAACTCACCCATTAATATAGGTAAAATATTTTTTAAAATATTAACAAATTGATTTCAGTAACATCTTAAAAGATAGTTCATTAAGATCCAGATGGGCTTATTTCAGACATGCATGGTCTTATTTCAGAACTGCTAGGAAAAGAAACTTTAGGTTCCTTTGTGAGAATTCTTTATCTATGCAATTAATACATTAGAAAATCTATTAATATAATTCACCACATATTATCACAATAGATACAGTAAAAGCATTTAATAAAATTTAACATATATTCATAATAAAAATCAGCCCTTAGCAAGCTAGGCATAGAAGGAAATATTTTAAATTTGATTAAGGAGATTTTAAAAACCTAATACAAACATTATACTTAATGTTTGAATTCCAAATGCATCCGTTTGAGACAGGGATGCCACTAACTCCACTTCTATCCAATAGTTTATAGGAAGAAAGGAAATCAGTATATCAAAGAGATATCTGCACTCCCATGTGTTTTGCAGCACTGTTCATAATAGCCAAAGTATGGAATCAACCTAAGTGTCCATCAACAGATGAATGGATAAAGAAAATGTAGTACATATACATAATGGAGTAGTATTCAGCCATAAAAATAATGAGATCCTGTTATTTGCAACAACATGGATTGAACTGGAGGTCATTATGTTAAGTGAAGTAAGCCAGGCACAGAAAGACAAATATCACATGTTTTCACTTGTCTGTGGGAGTTAAAAATTAAAACAATTGAACTCATGGAGATTGAAAGTAGAAAGATGGTTACCAGAGCCTGGGAAGGGGAGTGGGGAGGTGAGGGAAGGCGAGGGATGGTTAAGGGGTACAAAAAATAGTTAGAAAGAATAAATAAGACCTAGTATTTGATAGCATAAACAATTTTTTACTATAGGTGACTATAGTAAAAAATACTTGTACATTTTAAAATAATTAAGACTATAATTGGATTATATGAAACACAAAGGAAAAATGGTTGAGGTGAATAAATACCCTAAAAATATAGTTGATAGGATATGCAAGCCAGAAGAGTAAGACAAGGTAAAGAAACGGAAGTTATAACAAAGTTCAAAAGAAACAAAACTATTTTTTCTAAGATTGTATCCATTAGAGATTATATTAGATTATACCTGAGAAAATTAGTATATCTATCAATTTTATGTGTTTATATGCCTGTATATTGTATGACACCTTATTTTCTAGAAATAATGACTGTCAATTTATTATTTATTTTTAAATTTTTCAATATCTATTGTAATTTTAATTGGTAGAGGTAAAATTTTAACCTTTGTTAATTAGGAGAAACTTGCTTTCTATAAAGTCAGTATATTTTTCTTTCATAATAGTAAAGTAAAAATATATAAATATACAAAGCACTAATGGCTCTGTGGAAGAATAACTTACAGCAGTTCAAGTTGCAATACACTGATTTTTAAAAACCCAATATATTCCCTTCTTTTTCAAACATTAGAGCCTGAGACCAAGAAAGGGTCATAATAAAATATTATCCAACCAAATCAGAACTAAACTCTTCTTTGCCAATAATGTTTTTGTAGCCTCTTAGCAGTTACCAAATGCTACTTACATACATTCAACATCTAACTTACTGGCATGATTTCAAATTTGTTTATAAAAATGAGAAACTTTGAAGATATGCAACTACAAGTTACACAAATTGCATTAAATTAAACACAAACACAGTGTGATCCTTATAGGACAAGTCAAGTCAGGTAGAAATGTTCTATAAAAATGTGTCACATTTCCTAGGCTTTCTTCTAGAGCTTTTGTGGTTTGGGGTTTCACATTTAAGTCTTTAATCCATCTTGAGTTAATTTTTGTATACAGTGTAAAGAAGGGGTCCAGTTTCAGTTTTCTGCATATGGCTAGCCAGTTTTCCCAGCACCATTTACTGAATAGGAGATCCTTTCCCCATTGCTTGTTTTTGTCAGGTTTGTCAAAGATCAAAGGTTGTAGATGTGTGGTGTTATTTCTGAGGTCTGTGTTCTCTTCCATTGGACTGTATGTCTGTTTTGGTACCAGTACCATGCTGTTTTGGTTACTGTAGCCTTGTAGTATAGCTTGAAGTCGGGTAGCATGATGCTCCAGCTTCAGGACATAGGCATGGACAAAGACTTTATGACGAAAGCACCAAAAGCTAGTGTAACAAAAGCCAAAATTGACAAATGGAATCTAATTAAACTAAACAGCTTCTCACAGCAAAAGAAACTATCATCAGAGTGAACAGGCAATGTACACAATGGGAGAAAAATTTTCAAGTCTACCCATCTGACAAAGGTCTAATATCCAGAATTAACAAGGACCTTAAACAAATTTACAAGAAAAAAAAAACCTCATAAAAAAGTGGGCAAAGGATATGAACAGACACTTCTCAAAAGAAGACATACATATGAAAAAAGCTCAAAATCATTGACCATTAGAGATATGGAAATCAAAACCACAATCAGATACCATCTTATGCCAGTCAGAAAGAATGGTGATTATTAAAAGTCAAGAAACAATAGATGCTGGCGAGGCTGTGGAGAAATAGGAACACTTTTACACTGTTGGTGGGAATATAAATTAGTCCAACCATTGTGGAAGACAGTATGGCAATTCCTCAAGGATCTAGAACCAGAAATACCATTTAACCTAGCAATCTCATTACTGGGTATATACCCAAAGTAATATAAATCATTTTACTATAAAGATGCATGCACACGTATGTTTATTGCAGCACTATTTACAATAGCACAGTCATGGAACCAACCCAAACGCCCATCAATGATAGACTGGATAAAAAAAAATGTGGTACATATACACCATGGAATATTATGCAACCATAAAATGGAATGAGATCATGTCCTTTGCAGGGACATTTTGGATGAAGCTGGAAGCCATCATTCTCAGCAAAATAAGACGGGAACAGAAAACCAATCATCTCATGTTCTCACTCATAAGTGGGAGTTGAACAATGAGAACACATGGACACAGGGAGGGGAACAACTCACACCGGGCCGGTTGTTGGGGGGGAGGGGATTTGAGGGGAGGGAATTAGAGGACGGGTCAATAGGCACAGCAAACCACCATGGCACACCTATACCTATGTAACAAACCTGCACGTTCTGCGCACGTATCCTGGAACTTAAAGAAAAAAAAATAAGTGTCACATTGAAGCGTCAGTATTTTCTGTCAATTATCTGCCCTTGATGTATTTTCTTGGAGTATGTAATCTATTAAGAGTTCAGTTTTGTCTTGTTTTGTTTTGTTTAGAGACAGTCTTTCTGTCTTACCCAGGCTGGAGTGCAGTGGTGCGATCTCAGCTCACTGAAACCTCCAACTTCCAGGTTCAAGCGATTCTCCTGCCTCAGCCTCCCAAGTAGCAGGGACTACAGGTGCATGCCACCACACCTGGCTAATTTTTTTTTTTTTTTTTTATTAGAGATGGGGTTTCACCATATTGGTCAGGCTGGTCTCGAACTCCTGATCTCACGTGATCTGCCCACCTTGGCCTCCCAAAGTACTGGGATTACAGGCATGAGACTTAAGATTTCTTAATCCAAAATATCTGACTGAATTTAGTTAAATCTAGAAAACAATTGCAAGGGTTTCCCTTATAGTCTGACATCACAGAAAGTGGATTAAGAAATCTTTCTTTACTTGAAGATGTACTGTTCTGCTTCCGTTATCAGCTCACAAAGGAAAAAGAAAAAAGTACCAATTAAAACCTTACCTCACACACACAATTCCACACAAGTTAAACAAAAACCACCACTCTCCCCACAAAACCGCAGCACCAAAGTGTCAATCATTCTTGGAAAATAGAACATGCCCCTTGGATTATCTGATTTGTTAGTTGTTCAAACTTTAAGGACAGAAATGTCCTATGTCCTTATGGGGAAGAGAGAAGACATGTTAATAATGACTACAGAGCCATTGAGAAAGTCCTTTATCAATTGCACAATTAACTTAGACCCCTGCCCGCCCATGGAGGTGGTCACAACTTCATTTAAATTCCTCAGTAATTGAACATTTACGTCTTTGGGATAAAGGAGATAGGGAAAAACAGAGCTACCAGTAGGGTGAATTTATTTAAACCAACCCCCCATTTAAAGAATTAAAAACTGTGTATAAAATGCTGTTTAAAATCATGAAGGCAACCAAGGGATGACTAGATATCAATACTCTACAAGGCCAACATCTACGATAACACTGGAACAGAGAGCTATAAGCTGAGCTCCAAAGCCACTTTTGTCCTTAAGAGATTTGTCAAACTGGGGGTCTGGAGCTTTTGTTTTTCACAGCTTCATGGTGACAGGTGAGAGAGAAGTTACACAGGGCCGGCGGCCTAAGGTGGGGAGTTTAGTACGATACTATCCCTATTAAAGTGAATCATAAGAGGCTAGGCCCTTGAGTAAGGGTGATCATCCCATCCCAGCAATTCCACCCCTGCAGAAGACTGCATGAAAAGTTGCCTTAACCTTGAACAAAATATGGGGATAAGATGACTAGTCCCTAAGAAGTTGTTAACACAAGCTGGTCCTCACACATATTTGCAATTGAATTTATCACCTGGTTGGACAAAACTCGTCAAGAAATGAATGTAGAAAAAAAATTGAAGAAAAGAATGTAATTTAAAGTAGTACCTTAAAGGTACCTAAGTGCTTTGCAAGGCAAACACAAATACTCTCTGGAGGAAAGTACCTTCATCCTAACTCCCAAAGAATATCCACAAATGAAAACACAACATACTGAATTTATGGGATGAAGAAAAGCAGTGCTCAGAGGAATATTTGTAGCTGTAAAAACCCGCATTATAAAAGACAGATCTCAAATCAATAACCTAACTTTGCACAGCAAGGATATAGAGAAAGAAGAGCAAACTAAATCCAAGCTGGCAGAAGGAAAGAAATAATAAAAGTTAAAGATAAAACAAATAGAGAATAGAAAAACAATGGAATCAATGAAGCCAAAATTGGTTAATGGAAAAGATCAACAAAACTGACAAGCATTTAAGTAGGCTGACTAAAATAAAAAGACAGATGAAAAGAACTAAAACTAGAAATAAAAGTGAAGACAATACTACTAACCTTAAAAGAATAAATGAATTATAAGACAATACTGTGAACAATTATACCCCAACAAATTAGATAACCTAGATGAAATGGACAAATTCCTAGAAACACACAAACTACCAATTCTGACTCAAAAAGAAATAGAAATTCTGAATAGACCTATAAAAAGTTTTTTAAAAACCCATAAAAAGACTGAAGCAGTAATCAAAAACATCCCAAAAAAGAAAAGTCCAGGAACAGATGGCTTCACTGGTGAATTCTACAAAACATTTAAAGAAAAATTAACACCAATCCTTGTTAAACTTCCAAAAAATAGAGGAGGAGCGAACACTTTTAATTTATTTTATGATACCAGCATTACCCTTATACCAAAGCCAAATATATCATAAGAAAATAAAACTACAGACCAATATCCTTTATGAACATAGGTGCAAAAATCCTCAGCCAAATAATATCAAACTAAATCTAACAGTATATTAAAAGGGTTATACACCATGGCAAAGTGGGGTTTATTCCAGAAATGCAAGAGTGAGTGGTTCATTCTAAGAAAATCAGTCAATGTAATACACCAAATTAATAGAATGAAGGGTATAAAAATCACATGATCATCTGAACTGATGCAGGAAAAGCACTTGTCAAAATTCAACAACCATTCATGATTCCAAAAAAAAAATGCCCAGAAAGCTGGCAATAGAGGGGAATTTTCTCAACATCATAAAGGGTATTCATGAAAACCCACAGTTCATCACATGTTTAATGGAGAAAGACTGAAAGCTTTCTTCCTATGATCAGTAACGGGGGTGTTTGCTGTCACCACTGCTATTTAACATTGTAGTGGAAGTTCTAACCAGAGCCATTAGGTAAGATGAAGAAATAAAAGGCATCCAAATTGGAAAGGATGAAGTAAAACTCTGTTTACATATGACATGATTGTATATATAGAAAATCTCAAAGGAATTGCCCCATAAAAATTGCTAGAACTAATAAACTAATTCTACAAAGTTTCAGAGCACAAAATCAATACAGAAAAATTCGTGTTTCTGTATACCCACACTAAGCAATATGAAGAGTAATTTAAGAAAATAATTCAATTTATAACATCATCAAAAATAGTAAAATACAAAGGAATAAATGTTTAACCAAGGAAGGAAAAGACTTGTACAATGAAAACTACAAAACATTGCTTAGGAAATTAAAGAATACCTAAATAAATGGAAAGATATTCCATGGATTAGAAGATTTAATATCATTAAAGTGACAATATAAACTGAAATAGTCTACAAATTCAATGTAATATATATCAAAATTCCATTGCCCTTTTTTGTAGAAATGGAAAAGCTGACCTACAAATGCTTAAGGATTTACAAGGGGCCTTAATTATCCTAAATATCCCTTAAAAAGAAGAAAAAAGGTGGGAAGACTCATATTTCCAAATTTAAAATCTTATTAAAAAGCTAGAGGAATCAAAACAGTGTGGTACTGGCATAAGGACATATCTGTAGACTAGTGTAATAGAATTGAGACTCCAGAAATAAACCTGTACATTTAGAGCCGATTGATTTGACAAGGGTGCCAAGGCCATCAATAAGGAGAGAATATTCTCTTCGACAAGAAATGCTGGCGTGACTGGATATCCACGTTTAAAAGAATGAACTTGGGGCCCGGCGCGGTGGCTCACGCCTCTAATCCTGGCACTTTGGGAGGCCGAGGCGGGCGGATTATCTGAGGAGTTCGAGACCAGCCTGGCCAACATGGTGAAACCCTGTCGCTACTAAAAATACAAAAAGTAGCCAGGCGCAGTGGCACGCGCCTGTAGTCCCAGCTACTTGGGAGACTGAGGCAGGAGACTCGCTTGAACCCGGAAGTGGAGGTTGCAGTGAGCAGAGATTTTGTCACTGCACTCCAGCCTGGGAGACAGAGTGAGACTCTGTCTCACAAAAAAAAAAAAAAAAAAAGTAAAAGAACTTAGAAGTTGGGTCCCTACCTTCTATTATGTACAAAAATTAACCCAAATTAAGTCTAATCCTAATATAAGAGATAAACTATAAAACTCTTAGAATAAAACTTTGGCTATGACACCAAAAGCTTAGGCAATAAACAAATAAATAAATTAGACTTCATCAAAATTAGTCTTCTGTCTTCTGTGCATCAAAGGACATTATCAACAAATGTAAAAGATAGCCTACTCAATAGGAGAAATTTATAAATCATATGTCTGATAAGGATCTAATGTCAACAATGTATAAAGAACACTTAGAACTCAACAACAAAAGGGCAAACAATCCACTTAAATGTAGTCAAAAGAATTGAATAGACGTTTACCCAAAGAAGATGTAAAAAGGGCCAAGAAGGAAATAAAAAGATATTCAACATCATTAGTTATTAGGGAACTACACATCAATACCACAATGAGATACCACTTTACACTTTACACCCATAAGGATGACTATAATTTTTTTAATGGAAAATAAGTGTTGGCAAGGATGATGAAGAAATTAGAACCCTTTTGTATTGCTGATGGGAATGTAATGTGTTTCATACATTTTTTAATACAGTTGGCAGCTCCTCAAAAAGTAAAATGTAGAATTACCTGATGATCCAGCAATTTTACTCATAGGTATATACCTAACAGAATTGAAAACATTTACCCACACAAAAACTTTTAAATGAAATGAATGTTCATAGCAACATTATGCATAACATCCAACATCTATTTCTGATAAAAATTCTCATCATAATGGGACCAAAGGACATTCTAATAACCCGATAAAATGTATTAGCAAAAAACAAACAAACAAACAAAAACACACCAACTACAGCTAACATTTTAGTTAAAGGTGAAAGCCTCAATGTGTTTGCTTTGAAGTCATGAACAATGCAAGGATATAATTTTTCACCACTTATTTCACCAGCAGACTTGCAGTTGTATCCATTATTGTATAGCAAGAAAGAGGCATCCAGATGGGAAACAAAGAACTAAAGCTGAAACTGTCTTTATTTTTCAGACTATATGATCTTCTATGTAGAAAATTTGATGGAATATACCAAAAAAGCTACTAAAAGTAATAAGTGAATTTAGCAAGGGTACAGGATAGAAGATCAACATACAAAATCAGTTATATTTATATTTACCAAAAACGATCCAAAATTAAAATGGAAAAAATATCATTAACAGTAGCATAAAAATGTTAAATTCTTGGGGATTATTCTGACAACAGATATATAAGACCCATTCAATGAAAATGAAAAACCGTTGTTGGGAAAAATTAAATAAGTAGAGAGATATATTGTTTTTATGAATCAGAAGGAAGACTCAATATTACTAAGATGCCAATTATTTCCACGCTTATCTACAGATTTACCACAATCCAAACAAAAATGCTAGGGTTTTTTTGAAATTGACAAGCTGATTCTCAAATTTACATGGAAATGTAAAGGGCCTAGATTAGCCAAAACAACTTCAAAAAATTACAGAGTTGGAGGAAAAATCTGCACTAGTTGATTTTTCTTTTCTTTTCTTTTCTTTTTTTTTTTTTTGAGACGGAGTCGATTTTTCTAATCTTCTTATAATGCTACAGTAATCAAGACAGTATGCCATTAGTGTAGATAGACAATTAGATCAGTTTTTGCCAGCATCCATGCAACTGTGGTAGGCCAACTTGCCAGCTTGCGAGGTGGGTAAAAAATCTCAGACCCTTTACTTTTCCTGACACAAGAGCCTTCAAAGTTATTTGTAATGATGTATTTCTTACAGTAGGTTGGTAGGTTGTGAATGCATGCATGCTTATTTAATATTTACTCTTTAGATACATTTATATTATTTTTATGTATGACATCGTTAATAATACAAAAAATACTAAGTAAAATGATTTAGAAATACTCAGTAAATTAATGTTACTAAAAATATTTCTGTCAAACTAAATGGGAGTATGACAACTATAAATTCAGAACAAGATTGTAAAATTTAGAAGGCGTTTTTACTCAATATATTCTACAAGTACTGTATGTCTTTACTCCATGTGAAAGGAACTGAAACTAGATATCATTGATGACACTTATGGGTGTGGGTTTTTTTTTTTTTTTTTTGTAAGACTGAGTCTCGCTCTGTCGCCCAGTCTGGAATGCAGTGGTGCGATCTCAGCTCACTGCAACCTCCTCCTCCCGGGTTCATGCCATTCTCCTGCTTCAGTCTCCCGAGTAGCTGGGACTACAGGCTCCCGCCACCATGCCCGGCTAATTTTTTTTGTATTTTTTTTTAGCAGAGACGGGGTTTCACCATGTTAGCCAGGATGGTCTCGATCTCCTGACCTCGTGATCCACCTGCCTCGGCCTCCCAAACTGCTGGGATTACAGGCGTGAGCCACTGCGCCCTGCCTGGGTGAGTTTTATAAAAGAAAAATTGTAGTATAGGTCTTGGCCTTACATAAAAATATTGAGAAGTGAATGTACATTTATGTTTTAAATTAGAATAAAAACATCTAAGGTATGTAAATACCTTTTTTTTTTTTTACCAGTTTCTGCTTTAAAGGAGACTTTTAAGTTAGTCAAGCAATTCCATTGATAAGGGAACTTGTACTGTATTTTAATTAATGTAGCAAACAAATCCCTGAGTAAATATTGCTTGGATATTTGGCTTTTCATTTAAGTAAAAGCTCAAGAGCTCTGGGAGAACTTCAAATCTCCATGGCACCCATGGCCTCATTTTTAGCTCTGAGTACAACTGGAAGACTGATATTGACAGGCTGAGATTGAGCCATATAAGGGGACAGCATAAGTTTAGCAGTTATTGCATATTGTATATGAGATTTCAGATGAAGATGCAGGACTTCAATAATGAGACCTGGTATTTCTTGAAATCTGACTTAACAAATGCCTTTTTTCCCCCTTCACTATTCGTACTATTAAATCTCTCAAGTTGCTTCATGTGTTCCTCTTTCTGGCAGGTGGATAGCAGGGGAGAGAGAGTGGGTGTGAGGAAAAGACGCATATTAAACAGAGAAAGGGAGAAATTGGAAAAGAAAGAGGGGTAAGTAAAGAGAGAAGGAACAGGTCCAAATAGGAAAATAAATAGAGATAGTGAGATGGAGAGAAATAAATAGAGGGAATACAAAACAGGAGAAAGAAGATTGTATCTATGGTGATAACAGTAAATTCTAATACAAATCCCTACTATTATGTTCCTGTTTACCAGCTATTTTGCTATACGTCTAATCTGAAGTAGTACCTATGAAGTAGTACCTATTATTCCCATTTTATAAACGAAGAAAGAGGCTTAATTAAAGAAGTTAAGAAACTAGCTCCAAGGAGACAGAGTCTGGATCTGAATCCAGGTCTGCTTGTCTCTAGAGCCCATAATTTTCCCACTGTATCAGGTTACCTCTATATGATACTGAAACAACAGGTTAATAGACAAAAACGTAAGTTAAACAGGTTATTTGGCATCATATAAACATACCACACAACACAAAATAACCTATCATCATCCCTAGCTTTTATTTTCCTTAACTACCTCTCCTCAGGGTCCCCACCACTTACAAAGATTCAATTTGATTAGTGTGCTTTGAGAGGAAGATAAGCAGGCAGGCAGGCAGAAAAATATTGCCATATCCTCAGTTTTCCCTTTTCCTGGAGTTTTCAGGTCAATCAGACAGCTTACCTCCCTCTGATCTCACAAAGGGCATAAAGCCCATTCCACTCATAAAAACTAGGTCCAAACCAGCATGTCCTAATTTTCTGGACCCCTTTGAGATTCTGAAGAAGGCTAGGACCCTCTCTCCAGAAAAATACACATACATACATACATACATACAAATTTTGCATGACAAGTCTGGAGTTTCACTGACCCCCTCAAAGTCCTGAGGTTTGCACCTGAGATGAGTCTTAGAGTCTGGAACTAGAAAGAGAATTACAGTGAATTCTGAGACAGAAGATGAGCACCAACCCTAGCACCCTGGCTCTGCCAGGACTTTCTTGAATCCTTTTCAAATACAAAGTTGGATATGGTTGTCTTCTCTCCCATTTTAAGTCATGTCTCTATGAAAAGTTTTATGTAAGAAGGTTAAATTTTTTCCTATACTCAAATTTATTGATTGATTTGCACTACAATAAGGTAAGTTCCATACTTCCAACATGGCATTACATTCTTTATACACTCCAGTGCCCACTGGCGGTCAAAGACAAATCTTTTGCCTTGAGTATTTGAATGTTATAGATGGCTATTACCTCCTGGAGGAGGCTAGCCCACTCTTAATTTCAAAATAGAGTCTTCTTTCTAGACATTTCTTACATTCAATTTTAATTTCTTAAAACTCTTGTATTCCACTAAAATTTTGATGAGGCCTTGTTGGGGTTCATGGTGAAATAGCGGCATATAGGAAAGAATGTTGGACAAAGAAGAGCCAAAACTTCCACTAATTTGCTGTGTTATTGTTACTGCAGGTAAAAGACATTTCCTTTGTACCCTCAGTATTTTCTTCTGTAACATGAAGTGATTGCTACTGCTATAAGTGCTTTTCAAATCTCTTTAAAAATTCTTTAGTAGTGTAAATCTTCGTTTCAGTGGAAATCTTGAGCAGAATGCCAATATGTAGTTTGATATACCAAGAATAATAATGATAAAATAATGATAAAATGTTTTCTTTGACTACTGTCAGGGGGAAATGAAATGCTCAATTGTATTAAAATGAACAAACTTTTCAGAGGAAAATAAAGATAAAAATAGAACTGCTGGGATCAAAAGGCGATGAAGCGATGGCAAGGGACCGACTCCCTCCCTTCTTATCCTTCTCTCATACCACTGACACACCCATGAAGCACATCCATGCAGTTTGAAAACAGTTGATCAAGAGAGCAACACACTAATAATAGTCAAAAGAATGTGATTTGGAGTTTAGCATTTATGGGTTCTAGCTCTGGCTTCTCACACTTAATAGCTCAGGGCCTTTGGCAAACTGCTTAATCCCTCTGTGCCTCATTTTCTATGTCTGAAAAATAAGGGTATTTAACATAGTTCTTATCACATAAGGTTGTGAAAATTTAGTGAATTAATATATGTAAAGTGATTATCCCAGTGCCTGCTACATGATAATTGTTCAATAAATGTTGGCTGTATTCTCATTATTGATCTATATAGTTTTAAACAAAGGCTTTGCTCATGAAGAATTAGTTTACCTAGCTTTCCCATTCTGCTCTCTTGCTCAGTAATTTCTTCTTTCCTAATCCATGCTAGAGCTAATATAACTAGACTATTAAGCAGGACCTCCCAATCTCTCTAATATTTTAGCCACACTGCAATAAACAAATGTAGTGAAAAATTAGTCGCATAGCAGACTGATTGAGCTATACCTGTGATTTTCAAATTCTTCTTTTTAGTTGTGGAGTGCTTTTAATTTTTAAGTAAATTGTCACTCTGAGACTCAGTATATAAAGCAGATAATAGTGGAGCCTCTCTGATTGAAGCAGGATTACCTTCTGTGTCTTTTAAATCCTCTACAACACCAGATTCCCACCCCTCCAACCATATACTCTTGAGAAATCAGAGAAACTCCAGTGCTTTGTGGAGTGGAGCAAAGCACTGGAAAACCACTGGACCGCTAACACTCTTACAAATATTAGATTCTGTGGGACTAAATTATTTCAGACTTGGACATACAGTTTGGTATTTTCCTTACTCCCATGATTTTAAGAAAAATGCAAATTGCAGAAACGGACATCTCACTCCTATAGATCATTCTTACACTCACTGGAAAGAAAAGGTAGGCCTTCATGTCCTATGATTGTGATCCATCTAGAGTCTACTTCCACTGAACTCCCATAGTACTTTTAAAAAATAGCTTTATAGAGGCATAATTGATACAATATCAACTGTATAATCTAAACTGTACAATTAGACACATTATTACATATGTGTACACCCAGTGAAACTGTTATTACCATAAGGATAATGAAACATAGCCATCAGTCCCCAGAATTTCAGCAAGCTCCTTTGGATTTTCCTCCTAGCCCTCAGAAACTGCTGAATGGCTTTTGGTCATTATAAACTAGTTTATATTTCCTAGATTTTTATGTAAGTGGAATCTTATTATATGTACTTTTTTTTGGTCTGGTCTCTTAACTCAATGTAATTATTTTGAAGTACATCTATGTTGTAATGTGTATCAACAACTTATTCCTTTTCATAGATGAGCAGTATTTTATTGTATGGATGTAGCACATTGTCTATTAGCACATGGATGGACAGTTGAGTTGTTTCCAATGTCTAAGTATTACAAATAAAGTTGTTATGAACATTCATATGCAAATGTTTGTAAAGACATGCTCTCCTTTCTCTTAGATAAACATGTAGGAATAGAATGACTAAATCATATGTGTATGTTTAACTTTTAACATTTTAAGAAATTGCCAAATTATTTACCAAAGTTACTGCACCACTTTACATTTCCATCAACATTATATGAGATTTCTAATTGCTTTGCATCCTTACCAACACTTAGTAAGGTCAACCTTTTTAATTTTAGGCATTCTCATAGCTGTGTAGCAATATCTCATTATGGTTTGAGTCTGCATTTCCTTAATGACTAATGATGTTAAGCATCTTTTCATGTACTTATCAGTCATCTGTATGCTTTCTTTGTTGAAGTGACTATTTAAATTTTTTGTCAATTTAAAAATATGGGCAATTGTTTTCCTTATTATTGAGTTTTGTGGTTCATTTATTAGATATACTTCGCAATGATTTTCTCCCAGTCTATAGCTTGTCTTTTCATTCTCTTATCAGCCTCTTTCAAAGAGAAGGAGTTGTAATTTTGATAAAGTCTGATTTATCAATTGTTTTGTATGGGTTTTATGGTTTATAATGTACCTAAGAAATCTCTGCCTAAAAATATTCTCCTATATTTTCTTCTAGAAGTTTTAAAGTTTTAGGTTTACATTCACATCTGTGATTCATTTTGAGTTAGTTTTTGTATATGATGTGAGATACGGATTAAAGTCATTTTTTTGCATATGCATATCCAAGTTTTAGAGCACCACTTACTGAAAATACATTTTCCCACTGAATTTCTTTTGACTCTTTGCCAAAAATTAATTGACTATATAATTAATTTTTGGCAAATGTATTTATATACATATATTTATATATGAGTATATATATACACATACATATAATACATACATATATATATATATATGTATACCTTGGCTCTCTACTGGGCTCCATTGACCCATTTATTCATTCATACATGAATATCATACTGGCTTGATTATTTTAGCTTTATAAAGGGTCTTGAGTGTTTCATAGTCCTCATTGTACAAGTATTTTATCACTTTGGTTAAGTTTATTCCTAAGTGTTTTATTCTTTTTGATACTATTGTAAATGGGATTATTTTCTTCATTTCCATTTTGGATAGTTTGTTGTTAGTCTATAGAAACACAATTTATTTTTGTGTGTTGATTTTGTATCTTGCAACTTTACTGAATTTGTTTATTTGTTACAACAATTTTGTGCTATCATTAGGTTTTTCTACATATAAGATTATTTCATCTATGAACAGAGATAATTGTCCTTCTTACTTTCTAATTTGAATGTATTTTATTTCCTTTTCTTACCTGATTGCTTTGACTAGGACTTCCAGTACTACATGGAATAGCAGTGGTGAGAGTGGATATCCATGCCTTTTTCCAGATCATACAGTAAAAGCTTTCAGCTTTTCACCATTAAGTATGATGTTAGCTGCAGTGTTTTCATAAGCTTAACCAAGGAAGTGGAAGACTTGTACACTGAAAACTGTAAAAACATTTATGAAAAAACTAAAGCAGACACAAATAAATGGAAAAACATCCCATATTCGTGGACTGTAAAAGTAATATTATTAAAATGTCCACACTACCCAAAGTGATCTACAGATTAAATGCAATTCCTATCAAAATCCCAGTAGCATTTTTACAGAACTGGAAAAAACTGTCCAAAAATTCAAATGGAATCAGCAAAGATCCCAGCTACTCAAAGCAGATTGGAGGAAGAATAACAAAGCTAGAGGCACCATACTTCCTGATTTCAAAATATATTGCAAAGCTGTAGTAATTAAAACTGTTTTTATGCCAGTTTTATACCAGTATGGCATTGACAATAAAAACAGACATATAGACCAATGGAACAAAATGGAGACCTGAAACTGTAAAAGTTCTAGAAGAAAACATAAGGAAAATCTTCTTGACATTGGCCTTAGCAATGATTTCTTCAATAGGACACTAAAAGCATAGGCAACAAAAGCAAAAATAGACAAGTGAAATTATATCAAACTAAAATGCTCTGCACAACAAAGGAAACAATTAACAAAATGTAAAGGCAAACTCCAGAATGGGGAAAAGTATTTTCAACCCATACATCTGATAAATATATAGGAATTCCTAGAACTCAATATTTAAAAAAAAAGAAACCCACAAATACTTGTATTAAAGTGGGCAAAAAACTGCAGATGCATTTCTCCAAGGAAGACATACAAATAGCCAACAGGTATATGAAAATGTGCTCAACATCACTGATCATCAAGGAAATTCAAATCAAAACCACAATGAGATAATCACCTTATACCAGTGAGGATAGTGTATTAGTCCGTTTCACACTGTTTGTCAAAGACTAGGTAATTTACGAAGGAAAGAGGTTAACTGACTCACAGTTCTGCATGGCTCTGGGGGCCTCAGGAAACTTGCAATTATGGAGGAAGGGGAAGCAGGCACATCCTTCACAAGGTGGCAGGAGAGTGAGTGTGTGAAGGAGGAACTGTCAAACACCACACATCTTGTGAGAACTCACTTACTATCATGAAAACAGCATAGAAGAAACCACCCCCATGATCCAATTGCCTCTCTTTCTCCACACATGGAGATTACAGGTCCCTCCCTCGACATGTGGGGATTACAGGTCCCTTCCTCCACACGTGGGGATTACAATTTGAGATGAGATTTGGGTGGGGACACAGAGCCAAACCATAACAGATGGCTATTATATATTAAAAAGATAACAAGTGTTAGCAAGAATGTGGAGAAAGGGGTAATCTTGTACATCATTGGTGGGAATGTAAATTGTTCCAGCCAATATTGAGAACAGTATGGAGATTTCTGAAAACATTAAAAATAGAACCACCATTTGATCTAGTAATCTTACTTCAGGGTGTATACCCAAAGGAATTAATATCAGAATCCCAAAGAGATATCTGCGTAGCCATGTTCATTGTAGCATTGTTCACAATAGCCAAGACATGGAAGCAATCTAAATGTCCACTGACAGATGGATTTAAAAAATGCAGTATATACATACAATGGAATACTATTCAGCCTTAAAAAAGAAGAAAATCCTGCCTTTTGCAACAATATGGATGAACCTGTAGGACATTATGCTAAGTGAAATAAGCCATATACAGAAGGAGAAATACTGCATCATACTACTTATATGATACTGCTTTTTAAAATAGTCAAACTCATAGAAGCAGAGATTAGAATGGCGGTAGCCAGGGGATTGAAGGAGAGGGAAACAGGGAGTTATTTATCCAAGGGTATAAAATTTCAGTTATGAAAGCTGGGTAATTCCTAGATATCTACTGTATAGCATAGTGTCTATAGTTAGCAATACTGTTTTACACACTTCAAAATTGGGTAAGAAAGTAAATATTACATTAATGTTCTTATAAAATAATAATAATAATAAAGACAGTGAGAGAAAAGTTTTGGAGGTGATAGATACGTTTATGCAATAGATTGTAATGATGGTTTCACTAGAGTGTACTTATCTAGGAACTCATCTAGTTGTATACATTCAATCTGTACAGTTTTTTATAACATCAATCATACCTCAGTAAAGTGTTTTTTTTAAGTCTTGAAATTACATGGTGTTTATCCTCCAGTTTTGGTCTTATTATCCAAAGTTGTTTTAACTATTTCAGGTCATTTGTATTTGCAAATAAATTTTAGAATCAGTTTGTCAAATTTTAGAATTAGCTTTATATACAATAAATCTTGCAATACTTTTTAAATTATTAACAAATAACTTCCGAGAAAAGAGTTGCAAAAATCGTACATAATATTTCTATCTACACTTTGCCCAAGTTTTCCTAATGTTAACATCTTACATAACCATGGTACAATGACCAAAATTAAGAAATTAACATTGGTACAATACTATTAACTATAGACTTTATTCAGATTCTCTTTGTTTTTAAATAATGTCTGTTTATTGTTTCAGGATCCAAACCAGGATATCACATTGTATTTAGTTGTCCTTCCAATCTGTGACGGCTCCTCAATCTCTCATGTTTCTCATGACCTTAACACTTTTGAAGCATATTTGTCAAGCATTTTGTAGAGTATCCTTCAGTTTGAGTTTTTCTGATGTTTTCTCATTATTAGACTGAGCGTATGGATTTTGGGGAGGAATACCATAGAGATAAAGTGCCATACACATCACATAATATCAGGGGTTGCATGATATCAAGATGACTTATCGTGGGTGATATTAACCTTGATCACTTGGTTAAGGTTGTGTCTGATGGATTTCTCCACTGTAAACTTGTATTTTTCTGTTTCCATACTCCATTCTTTAAAAAGAAAGTCACGGAATTCAGCCAACACACAAGGGGAGATAAATTAAATTCCCTCCATCTCCAGAAGGTAGGAATATTTAAAAAAATTGTGGGTACATGTTAAAACTACCACAGTAATTAATAAATATTTTGGAAGATACACTTTGAGGTTATGTTAATACCCAATTTCAATTTCACTTTAAAGTTTTATCTACTCATTTTAGCATTTATCAGTGTATTTTGCCTGCAGCAACTGGTACTGTGGTGTTCTAAAAGTTATTTTCTACTTTCCCCATTCCTTCTACATTTATTAATTTGAATTATTCGGTAAGGAAGAGTTGTTACTTCTCTCTCATTTCTTTATTTATTGAATCATTTATCTCAGCATAGAATAACAGATATTTATTCTTTGGGTTATTGATATGGTTTGGCTCTGTGCCCCCACCCAAATGTCATCTTGAATTGTACTCCCATAATTCCCACATGTTGTGGGAGGAACCCAGTGGGAGATAATTTGAATCATGAGTGCAGTTTCCCCCGTATTGTTCTCTTGGTAGTCAATAAGTCTCACGAGATCTGATGGTTTCATGAGGCATTTCTGCTTTTGCATCCTTCTCCTTTTTCTCTTGCCACCACCATGTAAGAAGTGCCTTTCACCTGCAGCCATGATTTTGAGGCCTTCCCAGCCACGTGGAACTGTAAGTCCAGTTAAACCTCTTTTTCTTCCCAGTCTTGGCTTTGTCTTTATCAGCAGCATGAAAACGGACTAATACAGCTATAATCCAATAATATTATTATATAGTTTATTGCTCAAATTGTTCAAATTTTGGCCATTGAAAGCTTTTTCAGGTTGACTAATGTTTTCTTTTGACATGCCCCATGTTTTGTTTTTTTAAGAACTTCTTTACTTTCTGGCACTACAAGATGCTCCAGGATCACCTAGTGATTTCCCTGTCCCAGCCTCAAAATCAGACACTTCTCCAAGTATCCCTGGTTCCTTTGATGGGAAAATGGTATGAAAAATGAATATCTGGGCTCTAAGTGTGCTCATTGCTGCTAGGTTGTCACTGCTTCTATCTGTTAGTGGACAGAGCTAGAAATGTATATGTCTTAGTCCATTTGTGGCTGCTGCTATAACAAAATACCTTAGAGTGGGTAATTAAAAGCAACAGAAATGTATTGCTCACAGTTTCTAGAGATTGGGAAGTCCATGATTAAGGGTCTACAGATTCAGTGTCTGGTTAGGGCTTGCTCTGCCTTACAGATGGCACCTTCTTGCTGAGTCCTCATGTGGTGAAAAGGGCAAACAGGCTTCCTCAAGCCTTTTTTAAAAAGGCACTAATCCCATTCATGAGGGCTCTGTCCTCATGAACTAACCAAGTCCTAAAGGCTTCACCTCTTAATACTATCACACTGGGGATTTAGTTCCAACATTTAATTTTTGGAGAGATACCAATATTGATACCATAGCAATATGTCTGTATACTAACCCATTTTTGAAAATTTTTAAAAGTAAAATTCACTCTTTGTGTTATACATTTCTATGAGGTTTGACAATGCACAGACATGCATCCACAACCACAGAATACAGAATATAATACAGAATAGCTGTAGCCAAGTTCTGTCCCTTTGTAGTAAATTCCTTCTCTACAACTACAGTCTCATGCTGGAATTTTGCTTGTGATTGCATTGATTTTATAAATCAGTTTGGGGAGAACTGACATTTTCACAATATTGATTCTATCTCAGAAATGCAGTATGTGTTTCCATTTATTTAGGTCTCTAATTTCTCTCAGCAATATTTTGTTGTTTTTAGTGCATAGCTCTTTTACATCTTTTGTCAAATTTATTCCTAAGTACTTAAATATATGTTAATGTTATGGTAAACAGTATTTCTATTTTTGTTTCAGTTTATGATTGTTCATTGCTAATCTGTATAAGTACAGTTTTTATATTGATATTTTATCTTCAACCTTACTAAGCCCATTCATTCATTCTTGTTGTTTTTTTGTAGATTGAATTGAATTTTCTACATAAATATTTTCTACATGTTATCCACAAATAAAAGATAGTTTAACAACTTTCTTTTCAATCTCAATAACTTTTCTTGCTTTTTCTTGCCTAAATATAGTTGCTATATCCTCTGGCACAATGTTTCCTGATCTCAGGGGAAAAAAAACTCAGTCTTTCACTATTAAGTATGATGGTAGATGTCTACAGTGTAAGCTTTCAGTGCACTGCCTTCAAATATCAACTCTGTCCCCTCTAATTCTGCTTTTGGAGATCCAATTCTGTTGGTATTGAAGGTTATTTGTGGCCTCAAGAATTCTTTTTTAAATGCCACGGTGTCTTGGAGGGTTCACATATTATGTGGTCTAGAGATATCTCGTATATCAAGTAATACCTAAGCTAGGACACTATCAGGCTGCCTTGAGGGAATAAGGGAAATGTACTGAAAAAAAAGGAAATAAATGTTGGTGGAGACATGGGTAGCTTCAGTGACACATTTGTTTAATTTTTATTTTGTTTAGACTTAATAAATTCCATTACTTTGGAAATTGGTAGTTGATGTCTAATATCTTTAAAGTTTAATAACTAAGGGTTTTGGAATCTTTATCACTGGTGATTTTTTGAAAGAGAAGAGATATTATTTATTTTTATGGTTCTCTAGACATATTAGACATATACCTTTTAGGAGACAAGGAACCGGGAAGATAATCTCTTGCATTCTCTTCTGGTACTACAATATTGCCATCTGTACTTGCCAACACTAAATAAGGATGCTGAATGAAGCTGAGGGTCATATAGCCAAATCAGAGAAGATGGCAACTTGGTCTTTCATACAAATCAATAGAACTACCAAAGAGAACAAATCAAATAAAACCTTTGAAGACAAGAAAAGACCAGCACTATCACTGGGCTGCCTCATCGACTGACTTTGGGTTGTCCCCATGAGGGTGAGGAGAGCAGAGAAGGATAGGGCAGACTACATTGCATGACAGATTCCTGTCCTCAGTGTGTCTGTCTTAGTGAACTCAAAATCTCTTTCAGGCTCAACTTCATGGGAAGAAGCCACAAAATATAATCCACAGGGACTATAATCTTCCTATCCTGATGGTGGAAGGATTTAATGGGTTGATTGTTTAATTCTACCTATGATCACTTATTAATATAGGTATCTGGAACCATCTCCTTCTTCCCCAATAATTTTTTTTCCCTGATACCATGTGTAGGCAAAGATCAGAGCCTGAACAATTGCCTAGGTTGGCCATGCCCAAAGCAGGGTTCTGAGGACACTAAACAATGGCCATGGTCTAAAACAATAAATGAGTTGTCTATGTTCTAATCAGTATCCAAACCATGGAATGGGAGACTACAAAGGTGCATGGAGTTTGAAAGTCCTGTAATAGGGGTGTGTGTAACTAGGATGTGGCAGTATTTCTTGTTTAAGCTGAATGGTAGGCTATTTCATCTTCCATTTATGGCTTATGTTAGCATACAGCCAGGCACATCCTGAAGACAAAGGAGAAATTTTTTTTCTTTTTTTGAGACAGAATCTCATTCTGTCACCCAGGCTAGAGTGCACTGATGTGATCTTGGGTCACTGCAACCTCCACCTCCCGGCTTCAAGAGATTCTTCTACCTAAGCCTCCCGAGTAGCTGGGATTACAGGCATGCACCACTACACTCGGCAAATTTTTGTAGTTTTAGTAGAGAGGGGGTTTCGCCATATTGGCCAGGCTGGTTTCAAACTCCTGACCTCAAGTGATCCGCCTGCCTCGGCCTCCCAAAGTGCTGGGATTACAGACGTGAGCCACCGCACCCGGCCTGGAGAAAGTTTTAGATATTATATTGCTATTACTGAATATTTATATAGCAATAGTTAGAGCTGAAGATGTATGGTATTAGGCTGCCGTAGGATAAGTCAGTCAGTAGCTGTGACCTCTTTATGCCTTTACATGTTTTGAGGTATTAAAAAAACACTTCAAAATTACTCTCAGATGAACTTAGGCATTTTTTTTCATAGATTTTAAATAAGTAGGTCTCAAGTAAGAATAGAAAATATAAAGCAAGCTGCAGTCACCTTCCACATGATCACCTTGTGGGTTTTGCTTTTGCCATTACTATTGTTACTCTGTATTCCTGGGGATGTAGATTCAGCACTCAAGATTCGCTGTTTTCTGTCAGTTTCCTTGTTCCCAATTAGGATACAGTCATTAGAATGATTCCAGGAGGTGTCTTTATTTGCAAGGTCACATGATTAAATCTATGAGGCATCACGTTTCATCTAGATCACTGACATTAGTTTTCAATCAGAATTTTTTTTATCAGCCATTAATAAAGCAGATGAAGTTCATATAGAACAGCATTTCTTAAAGCTTGGTAAGAGGTCCACCTACTATAGAATCACCTAAAAGCCTTATTAATGTAAATTTCTAGGCTCCACTCCAGACCTGCAAAATCAGAATTTCTGGGTATGGGTCCCAGGAATCTACATTTTTAACAAACTGACCATAGATCTCTGTTGCAAGCTAACAATTTCTTAAAGCACATCTTTAGAACTAGTTTTTAAGATGTTTCCCCAGTTTTATTAAGGCATAACTGACAAATAAAAATCGTACATATCTGCAACGTAAAACATGTTTTGATAATGCATACACTGTGAAATAATTAAATCAAGATAATTAACATATTCATCACCTCACATAGAACTACTTATTTTTTATAAAGAAAAGAATCTTCTGTGTACAAATCAGTACATTTCTTGTTAATCTTAAATATTTCCAGGTATATCATCTTCTAACCTTGGATTTAACCTTAGAGTTGCATTTTGGTTCAGTGCTCATTTAATTTGCTAACATCTTCTCTTGGGGTGGGATCCCTAAAAAAAACAGCTCTGGCTGCAGTACTTCAGTGCCGTTTGGAGTCAAATTGCCTCTAGTCGCTCCTTTTAGCTCCAGCTGCTTAACTCCATTATAGTCAGAGTGGGTATATTTATTTAATCTGTTACTGCTGGTTAAAGCAGTGGTTCTTCCACTTGAGGGTGCATCATTTTCACCTGGAAGGCTCGTTAAAACACAAATTGCTGAGCCCTGTCCCCAGAGTTTCTGATTCAGTAGATCTGAGGAGGGACCACATAATTTGCATTTCTGATAGGTTCCTGAGTAATGTTACTGCATGTATGGGGATCATACTTTGAGAACCACTGAGTTCTCAAAGGAAAAAACGTAGGCTGCCTGCCTAAGATTTGGACCAGCTAAAAATGGCTCTCAAACCTGACTGCACATTGGAATCACCTAGGAAGCGTAAACAACATACTAGTGCCTGGGACTTGCTCCGGATTAATTAAATCAGAATAACTGGAAGTGAAGCCTAGGTATGAGTGTCTCTTAATATCCCCAGGTGATTCTAATGTGAATTCAATGTTACATCCCACTTTGCTAGAAGCTCCAGGCCAAACGCTCTTCTGTTCCTCCACATATCTCCCATGTAGCTGAATAACAAATGGAAAAGGTGAAAAACCCCTGCAGCCATTACTTCCTCCCTAGGACAAGTTCCCTCACTTAACTATATTGCTAAAGGCCAATCTTGATTTCTAATCCCAAATATGACCTGTTTTCAAGGCTCCTGATGCTTGATCAGGGTGACATTGTGCATCAGCATGCTCTTCCCCTCCTTCTCTGTATCTATGGTTCTACAAGTCCTTTTTTTTTCCTGTAGCAATAAGCCATTCATCATCAGACCTATTATCCTGAAGGGTTCTGTTCAGGAGCTCTTTTCCTTTAGAATGTTTGCAACAGGTGATGTTTCGAACTTCTTCATTTATAGCATCCTACTTAACTGGAGTGTGTCAAGCAAATGACACTAGTTGGAATACCTCAATTATTGTACATTCATTATGAGCACAGGAGCAATACTTTTTGATCATGATGGATCCTTCTTAATTACTCTATTTTGTAGACTGGAAAAATCATTTTGCCATGAAAAGAATATTTTCAGAGAGCTCTATCGATGCTTAATTCACCAGAGTGAATTAATGTCAGGGTGTGAGTGGGGTGGAGAACAAGTTCTTCCCTGACTTTCTCTGGACTAATCTAGAATGAAAGTTCATTTGGAAAGGGGACTTCACAGACACAGTCAAGGGGGATGTTGAGAAGGAGTCAAGTTGAGTCTCTAAGTTTCTTTTCTCTTTCTTGTATTCAACAAATATTTGCTGAGGGTCTACTGTGCAGGCACTGTTTTAGGTGCTGGGGATACAGTAGTGGACTAGGTAAAGTTTCTGCCTTTATGGCAATGACATTCTATTGGTTAGTGTGTGAGGAGGAGACATTAAAAGTGTAAACAAGTAAAAAAAGTGTCTATATAATTTTTAGTTGTGATAAGTGCTATGACGAAAAGAAGTGGGGCAATGGGATAGAGAATACACTGGGAATGGGGACAGACACTTGTTCCTTTACCTAGGGAAAAAGAAACTCTGTGAAAGTGACATCTGAACTGAGACCTGAATGATGAGAAAGAAGGAATCCCAGCAGAAGAAACAAGTGTAAATTCAAGGGACACACCCTCAAAAAAAGCCAACAAGCAAAGGAGAGAGCAGTCTCAAGCCAAATCATATATGCGCTTGTAGGCTGTGCTAAAGAGTTTGAATTTTATTACAAGTTCAATGAGAAGGCACTGTGGGATGTTTTAAGCAGAGGAATCAAATTGCTTGACTATTGATTTTAAAACGATCACTCTGGCTGCCGCATGAAGAGTGGTCTCCAGAAATGGTGGCAAGAGTGAATTCAGGGAGATCAGATTGGAGGCTGTTGTGGTAATTTAGGCCAAAGATAATGCTGGCTTAGCCTAAGATTTTAGCAATGCAGGGGGTGAGAATTAGGCAAATTTGTGAAGATTGCGAATTTTGGAGGCATAACAAGACATGCTGATGAATTGGAGATGGGATGGAAGGAAGAGAGAAAGGTGCCTGTTTTTGGTTTGAACAACTTGGGGGAAGTTGGGAGCATTTACTGAAATGAGGAACAATAGGGAAAGGAAAAAATTTGGGAGGGAAATCAGAAATTCTATTATGATCACATTTACTTTGAGATAGGCCTATAACATAGTAAAGATGCTGAGTTGGCATCGCAATTCTGGAGCCCAGGAAAGAGCTTTTGGGCTGGAGATAATACATTTATGATTTTTGAACATACGGAGATAATTTAAAATCTGAGTGAGTTAGACAGTTAGCATAGAAGAGGGAAGAGAGATCTGAAGCCCGAGCTCTGAGGCAATCCAAAGGCTAATGGTCAGGGAAATGAGGAGGAAGCAGGGAAATGAGGAGGAAGCAGGAGGTCAGTGAGGTAGGAGGACAAATCAGTGAGTGTGTTTCCCTGAAATATTAATGAATCAAGTGAATCCAGGAGGAGGGGATGGTCAATTGTGTCAGGTCATGCAGACAAGTTCTGCTGAAAGACCTGCGCTGAGAGAGTGTGATGTATGGAAAAGAATGCTGGCTTGCAACGCAGAGAACTTCAGTTTTAAGGACTAACTGGAACTACTGTATAATCATCATCATTATTATCACTATCATCATCATCATCATCATCAAAATGGTAATAGTAAGCAATATTTGTCCATATCTAGTATGTTTCAGGCATTGTGCTAAGTGTTTGCCTGCATTATTTCAATGAATCCTCCCAACAACCAGATGAGGTACACACTATTATTCTCGTTTCAGAGATGGGGGAGCTGAGTGAGGCTCGCAGATGTACAGTCCCTTGCTCCAAAGTCACACAGTGTGATCTGGGCCAAATTATTTCCCTTCTTTGAGGGAATTTCTCTCGTCTCTAAAATGAGCAAGTGAATTACTTTACTTTTTTTTTCAGCAACGATACCCTCTCATCTCAAACAAAAGTAAGTACAGAAACTCAGTTCATAAAACAGCAGAGTTGCACTGTTTCAAGCTTGAGTGTAGGATCTGTAGTCCTATCTACCGAACTGGACTTCTCTCCCCTCTTCCCCTTCTCTGCCCTGTGGCTTGCAAAGCACTCAACTGGATGGATTCTATGTGAATTTCAGCTTTTAGAATCCTAGAATTCAGATTCTCAGCTACCCCCTCCCCCTTGTGACCAAGTGCTGAAATTACAGCGTGGTTGGTCAGTGTTAGGAAATTCTGTGGCTCTGGATCACAGACCACAGAGCCACTAGTCCATATGGGACAGAGTTGTGGCCACTGCACTTCAGTGAACTGGTCACAATGTAAGCTCCTCACTGCTCCCATTTTGAAGTAAACCTCTGGGTGAATACAGCCCAATACCATACCTTAAAACAAATTGGGTTTATCTGACTGATTAAAAAAGAATCAAATGGCTCTGGCCTGGGTGTTGTGGCTCACACCTGTAATCCCAGCACTTTGGGAGGCCGAGATGGGTGGATCACTTGACGTCACGAGTTCAAGACCAGCCTGGCCAACATGGTGAAAACCCATCTTTACTAAAAAATACAAAAAATTAGCCAGGTGTGGTGGGGTGCACCTGTAATCTCAGTTACTTGGGAGGCTGAGGCAGGCTCTTCATCATCTCTTTAGGAAAACCTGTCTTTATGTAGCCTGTAAAAGTCAGACCTCCCCCTCTCTATGTGTTCCCTGAACTCTCTTCCTAACCCCACCATAGTCTTTGCCACATTGGGTGGTAATTCATCATCTGATTACAAGTCTATTTTCTCCACTAGTTGGAATCACATTCACCTTTCTGTCACATTCACCTAGCACAGGACCTGGTCAGCCAACATACATTGAATGAATAACAGACTCTCCTTTTGGGGAGAAGGTGCTTGTAAGAATGGGAAGAGCATTATTTGACAGATATCACAGGATCTTGGTGCTTCCTGCTCATTTGCTGTTCAGTGGAATATTTTGTCTCTGGAAACTTGCTCTGTACAGTGATGTGAACTTGGGATTCCTTCAAACCTATTAACATGCCACAACCAAGCAGAAATACGTGTTCCTCTTCTCCCAATGTGATCTAACTGCCATGTGACTGAGTGCAAAAAAAAAAAAAAAAAATCTGGGTTTGATCTCAGAGCTCCAGCTATGCTAATGGAATGAAATACAGGCAATAGCCTGCAAGGGAGAACACTGATATTTGTTCTGATATGCTTCAGGGGATGGAGCAGGGCCACAATTTAATTCCTGACAGTTCAGAGGCCTTATGTAGTTGGAAACTGAAAATACTCACTGAAAATGCCAAGTAATGTCAAGTCTGAGGAGTTTGACCTACTGGTCAGAATGGAAACCTCAGATAAAGATACATATCCTCCCTTCACCTGCAGCAGCACAATAAGGCAGAGAGAACAGAGTCTCTGTATACTTTTGACCTGGGTTTGAAACCCAGTTCTGAATAGTTCTAGGCATGAGACTTTTTGATAGTTACTCGATTTCTCTGAGTGTTACTTTCCTCTTCTATAAAATGAGAATAATAATATCTATCTTGATAAGTTAGTGTGAGAATTTTGCGTGGTTGTATAAAGGGCCTGGCACATAGTAACTTCTCAATTTGTGATAGCATAAAATAATTAAACTTCTTTTACCTGTGCCAGAAGCAGTCCTTTCGTCTCATCCCATTGATGTGTCATTTCCACTAAGGACCTCAGGTAGAGGGAGTGGGTGTTAATGGTGCCTCTAAGGACAAGGGGGGAAGGCAGTCTCCTATCCCTCAGGTATCTTAGAATCTCCTGTATCTGTCTGTATATGGAAGTATATGTATTTTCACTGGTTAAACAATTTAGTCATTTTTTTCTCCTGGAAAGAAAAGAAAACCCAGCTGATTATTACTTTAGCTTAGTGTATAAGAGGAATCATTTGCTTGTTTTCTTGTTACTTCCTTTAACAGATATTTAATAGGTGCCTGCTATGAGTGAGACCTTTTTCGAGGCACTAGGGATAGAAGAGAGACAACAGTTCTCACTTTCCTACAGCTGACAGTCTTTTTGAGGGAAATAGACAATAAAAATGATAAGTAAAATATATTATTATATGTGAGATGATGATAAGTGCTAGGAAAAGAAATAAAGCAGGAAGAGGTGATAGGAAGTATTACATCAGAAGTATCTTAAGTGACAAAGTTACAGTTTTAGATAGACCAGAGAAGGGATCACTGAGAAGGTGAGATTTGAGTAAAAGGCTGAAGGACACACAAATATCTGGGGAAGAACATTCTAGGCAGAGGGTATAGGACAAGCACAAAGGCCCTCAAGCAGGAGAATGACTGGTGCATGTACAGGGTAGCAAAGGGGCCAGCATGGCAGAAGTTGAGTAAACAACAGAAGCAATAGTAGGAACACCTTTGATATTGAACCCTTTGCTCATCATTTCCTGCTCTTGTTCATTCAGCAACTATTATCAAGTACCTACTATGTGCTAGGCATTGTGCTAGGTACTGGTATAAGGTGCAATGAATAAGGCAGATGGTGTTTCTGCCTTCATATGGAGTTTACAGTCAGTCTAGTGGGAGGAGAAAAGAATAATTACATTTCAGGTGGTGAGACATGCTAAAAAGAAAAATGAAACAAGGCAAGGGGGAAAGGGAAATCTGGGGTGAGGGTTAGTCACTATTTTAAGAAGTAAGGTGGACAGAAAAGCCCTTTCTAAGAAGGTGATATTTAAGTAGAGAAATGAAGAAAGTAAGAGAGCCAGCTTTGGGGATTTCTGGTAGACGATTGTTTCTAGATAGAGGGAGCAACCAATGACCAATATAAAGGATATTAGGCTGGAACGTGCTTGTGTGTTTTAAGAACAGTGAGGAGGCCAGTGTGGTGGGAGCAGCATGAGCCAGGTGGAGGATGGCAGAAGGTGAGGTCAGAAAAATAGTGGGTGGAAGGGGAATGCTAGCCTGTAAACCTTGTGGTCATTGTAAGGAGTTTGGCTTTTTATTTATCTGCTGAAATAAATGATGGTGATCCTCTAAGAAAATGCTTGTCTGTATTGGAGTTGGAGATTTCTTTCTCTCTGGAAAGAGCAGAGGGAATGGAGAAGACAGGAATCTTAAAGAGATTAAAAAACACGGCAGAGACCTAGGAAGTGGATCGATCTCTTTTTAATTATCCCAACCAATTGGTTCTGACTGAGATGAATTGCCGTCTCACCTGTCCAGACACAACTATTGTGAGGTCCCACTTTCCTTTCTTTTATTTTCCCTTTTCTTTGCTTTTTCTTCTTTTCTTTTTTACCCCTTCCCTTTAAATCTGCTGAAATTCAAGAGGAAAAATATACAAATGTTCAGTAATGGTGGCATGTAAGATTATGATTTTTAAAATTTTCAGAGTAAAAAATCCCATTGAAAATCTGATACAATCTATGAAATCTCTGTATTTAGAAAAGCACCTATGGACATATGCATGTGAATTGTTGCTTAGTATTTGCATAGATTCATAGACCTCCTCAGTACCCACAGCCCATCCATGGATGGAATTCCGGTTAAATAACTGTGCAAAGAGATCAGCCAGGGTTTTTGCTTTAATAGAGGCAAATGTAGGACATGGAGAACTATGAGAGGAAATAGTAGAGAACCACTACTCTCTTAGCATTAATTGAGGTTATTTTCCCACCTATCCATTTTCTCTGGACTCAGAAAAGCACTGTTTGTTTCTGCTCTTCTTGTCACTGACCATCTGGTTTACACAAGAGACTTGTAGAGGGAGATCAGGCAGGAGCTTCTGAGGATCCCTCTTTCTCTCCTTCCCATGGAAAAGAGATCTAGCCACGCTGTCTGAAATAAAGTCAAGAAACAGAGGAGTGGTCACAGTACATCAAAGAATTTAAATCTCCTCCTTTTATAACTTTTCCAAATGGAAGGATATCATTCTCAACCAGGTTCAGGCACACAAGACAGTTTCAGACTGGCTGTGAATACTGATATCAGTGCACGGTCTCACAGAGCATGGTCTCACATTGGGGATACATTTTATTTTTTGTCTAGAAGCTTCCTTTTTTGTGCATATATTTAAGCCTCTCAGCAAATATTCAATGGAAAAAGCTCAAGGCCGAGCCAAAGGCAATTATGAAGCACTTATAGAGTTGGAGACTGACAAGTGGTAATTATTTGGAGATGCTTATTTTCCTTGTCTTTCCACTCCTCTCCCCAACTCCATCCCACAACCTGGTGTGCACTAACCATTCAGTTTATATTGGCTCATTACCAAAATCTGCCTTTATCATGTCAATGTTGTGTAGAGAAATATCAGTAACAAAAACATTTGTGCTACTCCTCCAGCAATGAAGTTAGCTAGAAGTTTAATGATTTCATGTCAGTGCTGAATGTCTTTTCACTATTTCCATTCATTAGTCTCTCAGAAGAGGGAGAAAGAGATTTGATGATGTTCAGTTTGCCCTATACGTTCCCCTGGAAGTAAGGTGAGTTTAATTTATTCCTACAGTCTCACCTTTTGTCCCCTCAGCATGGAAGGCGTTCATGCTGCTTTAATCCGTTCAAAGCAATGACTAATCTAACTATTTTTCAGCAATTCTGTTTCAAGCCCTGACCCCATAGCTCCTTTGATCACAAAGTTTTCATGTTGACAGCCATGCATGTTTACAAATGGAATGCTACAGGGAAACAAAGGAAGGGGAAGTAGCCCCTGTGGGACAACACAGTTGTTCATGTGCTTATTGAGAGTCTGATTAAATTCAAAATACAAAATACCATTTGGGAGCGGGGCAGTTCTATCTGTCAGATTTCTAGGCTTCCAAGGACAAGTCAGAAATAACAACAGGATAACGTTATGATAACTTGACCGGGATACTTTCTTCTGTAGTTGAAATGTTGAAATGAGAGGGCTACCTTCAGACTAGGCCTAGGAGGAACAAGCAAAACAGCCATAGTTACCCCTAACAGCTTTGCAGGATATAGTACTACGATCTTCAGGGCTGTAAATTGGGCTGAGGTAGGAATGAAAGTTTCTAATTTTTGCACAACATTCTACGACTTGAAATGTGCCATGAAATCATTTCATTCTTGACTCCAGATTTCAGTGGTTAGTGGCTAACATAGATTTAAAGTGGACTTTGAAAAGCATTTCGGAAACTCAATGGAAGTTTGTATAGTTGGGAGCTTGGAGAATAATGATTATTCCTCACTAGACTGTAACCTCTATAATGGTGGACCTGTGTCTGTTTATGTTCACCAATGTATCCACAAGACCTAGTTGTAGTGCCTGGCCCATCATAGCTTTCTACTATATAATTATTGGATGAATGACTTACCGCCCTGATAGCAACTTGACCTTTTCTCCTCTTCTGCTCTGTCACACATTTAGGAAGGAAACTATTGTTCTCTAGATAAACACAGCTAGGTAGTAGTCCCGTTAAAGAAGTTTGGAAGAATTGGCCTCTGCCTGCTTCATGTCCTATAAACTTTCTGACATATTTTCCCAACAGGTTTATACTACCCTTTTCTCCACTAGAGCGCTAGGCTTAATAAACGTAAGGCTTTAGGTCTTTATTGTATTTTTTTCAATAAAGTTCTGTTCTTTCAAACCATTTGACATAGGTTCTTCTGTTACATCAAAGTCTTACTAGCTTTAAGGAAGATGCCTTAGGAAGTTACATGAACTTATTCATGTCCCTCATATCTCCATAGGTTCTTAAAGATCCTAAGCAAAAGCCTATAAACTCTGCCCTAGTTGCCTAAAAGCATTCTAGAGTGCTTAATTTATAGCCAGGTACAACAATTGTTTATGTATCTGAAGTCCAAACCATGGAAAAGGTCAAATAAATAATAAATAATTTGTTGGCATTTTCTGCCCTCTATTTTGATGAAAAAGAGTAAACAATCTGACATCAGAATTGATTTTCTTTGAACACAATATCCAGGACTTGGGACTTAGTGCATATTCTGTCCAAGTTTCTAAAACTGGTTATATCTCTAGTACTGGATGATGAGAAATTATGTTCTCCATGGGAACATTAAAGCCATAAACAGAAACCAATCACTGAAGAAAAAATAGTCATTCATAGTAGATTTTCTGCTTTCCATGTAATTGTTATATCCTGATTATTTGACAAATGTCAATTTATGTAAAGTAGGAAGAGCTGATAACTTTTAGCTGCCCAGAGTGATCAATTAAGAAATATTCCATTTCCCAATCAATCAAAGTGAATAAATGAAAGTTGATTGTTGAGACATTTTTGTCATACTTTTTACATTTTTATTTACTGACTATTTAAGGTTCTTTTATTTCCCTCTGAGATAATTTGCTGTCTGCAAGAATTTTGACTATGCATCCACGATCCAAACATTTAGGCTTTCTGTAAGCTAATATAATAACAGAAAAATAAGTGCAATTTCCCATACAAGTATTCATTTTCAGAAAAGTGAGACTTCTTTCAAGTGTGTGTTTGGCTGTTTCAGTATAGAATGACCTAGATAATCCCAAAGTATATATTTTTACACAAAAAATAGGTAGAGGAAACTAGGTACCATAATTTCTAGATTTTCTTTTTGTACCGTTCGATTGTGGTATGTATAGGTGTGGATCTCTTTGAGTTTATCCTACCTGTAGTTAATTGAGCTTTTTAGATGTGTGAAGTTAAGATTTCTCATCAAATTACGGAAGGTTTCAGTCATTATTTCTCCAAATATTCTTTCTGTTCCCTTTTCTTTCTCCTGTTCTTCTGCAACCCCCATTATGTATATGTTGATATACTTGGTGGTGTCCACAGGCCTGTTAGTCTCTGTTCATTTTTCATTCTTATTTTCTTTGTGTTCCTTAGAGTGGATAATCTCAATGGACCTACCTTCAAGTTTGCTGATTCTTTCTTCCACCTTTTCAAATCTGATGCTGAGCCCTCTAGTGAATTTCTCCTTTTATTTACCGTACTTTTCAATTCCAGAATTTCTATTTGGTTCTTTTATACTCTTTTAACTCTTTATTGACATTCTCTGATAAGGAATCATTTTCATACTTTCCTTTAGTTCTCTATACCTGATTTTCTTTGGATTTTAAATATACTTAAAGTAGTTGATTTAAATTTTTTTGTCTAATAAAGCCAACATTTGAGCTTCCTCAGGGACAATTTCTACTGATCGCTTCTTTCATATGTATAAGCCATAATTTCTTATTTATTTGCATGTGCTATAAACTTCTGTTGAAAACCTGACTTGTATGTGGCAAGTCTGGAAATCAGACCCCACCCAGGATTTGTTGTTGTTGCCATTTATTTTTGTTAATCCTGCTGTTTATTTGATGACTTTCCTGGACTAATTCCATACAGCATGTATTTTGTGTCATGTGTGATCACTAAAGTCTCTGCTCAGTTATTCTAGTGGTCAGCTAATGATGAAACAGAGATTTCCTTAAATAACTGGAACCAAATATTGTCTCAGCCTTTGCAGAGGGGCTTTGTAAAATCGTTGGGACATGCCTTCAGCCATTCAGCAATTTACAACTCTTTCTTAGCCTTTACCTCCTGCTTTCAAATGAAGAACCACAAGATCAGCAAAGATGAGAGATTAGGACCTTATTAGGTATTTTTTTGGGCAAGCACACAGTCCTAGCCATTTGCATGACTGCTATGGTCTGAATGTCCTCCAAAATTCATGTATTGAAATTTAATTGCCAATATGATAGTATTAAGATGTGGGTCCATCATTAGTGGGATTTAGACCCTTATAAAAGAGGCTTCACACAGCATTCAGCCCTTTATGTTTTTCTGCCATATGAGGACATAACATTCATTCATTTGACCCTCCACCTCCTGCCATGTGAGGATGCCTCTTCAAGAAGATGTCATCAATGGAGCAGACCCTCACCAGACACCAAATCTGTTGGTGCCTCGATCTTAGACTTCCTAGCCTCCAGAACTGAGAAATAAATTTCTGTTTTTTGTAAATTACCCAGTCTCAGATATTTTATTATAGCAGCACAAGGGGACTATGAAAATGGCCTTCTAGATAACTAGGAAAATGTTGAAGCTTTTCAAAGCTTACTGTGGATATCTTATTCCCTGGCTTTTCTTTTTAAATTTTTTGATCAGCTTCTTAATTGCCCCAAGTTTTATTGCTGTCTTAGGCAATTGCAATATTAAACAATTGCCACTGATTGTTTTCAATACTCCAAGGAAAAGGCTATTTGCACTGAGCGAGGTCTGAGTTAGGTAAAATAAAGATAAGCCCTGTGAATTGGGGTTTTAATGGAAATGCCATACAGGTCAAATAATGACAGTTCTAAGAATAGTTGTTTTGGGAGGTGCTAAACTCATTCTTTCCCTTCCAGTGGCCACTAGCCTGCTGATCTTCACCATGATTATGAGGCTTTTGGTTTTCAAAGCTACTGTGGAGCTGGGAATGGGGTGGGACTGTGAAAAAGGCAAGTTTAAATGCCACAAAACTCACAGTTTTTAACTGAGATTCAGCCACTTTTCTTGAATAAATGCTTCTTAGATTGTTGCAAGTCTATGGTTAATTTCTAGAGTTCTGGAAAAATTGATTTTGCCATTTTTTTCCAGTGTTCTTATTGCTTTTATGGAGGAGTGGCTTTTTGGATATCCTTACTTTACATTATCACCAACAATCATTCCCCTAAGTATACCCTAGGTATTACTAATCTTGTTATTAATATTGATTAATATGTCATGGTTTAACTTTAGACTTCAAGGAAATGTTTCTTTTGGCTAATTCTGGATGGCTCTGGTAGTTTTAGGCCAAGTTTCTAGCAGCTCAGCGTCAAATTGTACTTACAGCATTTAGTGGCTATTGGCCATTGTGTTGGCTATTGTGTGTCAGTCCAAGGAATCATTGTGGGATCATTGAGGATATTATCCTCCTTCAAAGCCTGTTCTGAAAGAATTCCATAGTATTTTCACCTTCTTTTTTTGAGTCTTCCTTTTCAATCCATTTCACTATTTCTGAAGAGAGAGACAGCAATGTCCTTACTTCAGACACGAACTCCAGAAGGAATTTTTCTTTCAGTTATTTTACATATTACCCAAGAGTTGCAAGTCAAAAAGCTAACTTATTTGAAAATCAAGTAACAGAAATAAAAGTAAATGAAAGACACTTCAGGAGGCATTCAAAATGGCATCGTTATTTCATATTTGGAGAATCCTTCTGCTAACAGATATCAATGCTGGATAAAATTTAGAGGAAATTTAGAAGACATAACTGTACTCTAAAAAGATACATATCTCAATGGTGGAAAATCTGGACAGAAACACAGGAAACTGAAAGCAAGGTTGATATCACAGGGCCATAGTACTCCTGGTCCAGATGTAGGCAGAGGTGGTTAAGTGGTTGAGTTTTGGAATAGCAGACACTAAATGTGTTTGATAGGATGAAAGACTAAAGTTAGGCTTGCTGCTCAGAAGCAGAGGCTGGAGTGGGTGGGGGTTGGTTAGTCTTTCCTGCATTAGAAAAAAGTTAAAAACAGCTTCACCACTGCTTGTCATTATGACTTGTATAAAGCTGTATACCAAGGAAATGGGAAGAAGCAGACACAGCCTAGCGACTCAGTCTAAATTCCTGGATGGCTCAATAATTATATCTGCAATACCACCAATATCACATCAGGACAAGAGACTTAAGCCACTGGGTTATGGACTGGAGGGTGGAGACTGGGGTGTTAGTGAGTAGAAGCAACTACAAATTTACTAAGAAGAGAGGTTTGATAAAACAAATTGATTGCTCCAATTTAAATTGAGACTGCAAACTAACATTCAAAAAACCAAAGCTGGCAGGGTATTAAAATTTGTTAGATGCGAGTGTTGAGTACATGGTGTCTGTTATACTGTTTGTGTGTGTGTGTGTGTGTGTGTGTGTGTGTGTGTGTTTCTGTGTTTTAGCGATTTAATACCTGAAAAGATACCCAGAATATCAGCTTTAATATATTGACCTCAATTTTTCACCAAATATTTAGAAATATGTTTTACCAATGTATGCAGGACATGGGGCTGTTGAGCAAACTTGATTATTTTCTCCCCATTTTTTAAAGTGAAACCTTAAATATGTTCCTTTATTTCTTAGGGCCTCAATTTTCTCATGTATAAATCTAAGATGTTTGGCCTAAATGATCCCTAAGTATAGTTCTAGCTCCGATGTTTTGTGAGATTAGGATGTTTTCCACAGGGCGGAAGCTGAAAGAAAGAGAAGTTATATAGCTGCAGCCTAAGGCCTATGAACTTTGGAAAAACCTGTGATCTCCCCTACCCCACCCTAAACTCTCAGCTCGTCTGCTCTCGTTTCTTCTCTCCTTATCATCTTCAGTTCGGTCAATAGCTTAGCTGGTCTAGTACAGTTGGGTAATCATAGAAAGGTGCCATACATTTGTCTTTGCAACAATTACCTCTCATACATATCCTAGTGAGCACTGCATTCAGATAGGTAACAGACATCTGGCAACATTTTTATGTTTATGCACAGCAGGGAGCAGTGTGTTACTCAAATCTGGCACAGAAAGCCTCAACACTCACATCTTCCTTTGCTGCTTCCTGAGCTGCTGTCCCTGTTCAATCTGACTAGTCTCTGTTCTTCAGCTATTCTTTCTTGCTTGATCTGAAGCCTTGACCTTGGACCTTCCTTTAAATGCAGACTCTGCTCCTGCCTTTATAGTTTAGTCCAGTCTGGCTGTTTAAAAACTCACCTTTGCCAGTCTCCCCTGCTGAGATCTTGCTTTTAGCCTGTTCGCTCTGGATCTGTGGGACACTACTTTTGACTGCTCTGCCCCCTGTCCCTGGCTCCCTGAGGCCATACAGTTCTTGGGATCTAGCTTGCCTTTACCACACTGGCCTGGCCCAACCTGCCATGTCCTACTGCTTCCTAGGTGGCTGTGTAGAAAGGAAAATTGACTCTCATTTGGCTCCAGCCTCCAATGATGAAGGAAGCTCCCTGCCTTTGATAAAAACAAGAAGTCATGTAATCTCAGCCTAAAGCAGAAAGTCTTCTAAAAGAGCTAATATCTTTCCAAACAACAGCCACTTTAATGAATATTTAAAAGGCACCTAATATGATTTTAAAATAGTCTTTTAAAAATGTAATAGTAGTTTTTACTGTGTAAAATGTAGAATACAGAGTAGTGAAAAGAAAATAATAAAAAGTACTTGCAATACTATTTCACTGAGAGACGACTGCTATCCAGGTACATATGTTTTGGTGTTCTCTCTCTCTCTTCATATATACATAATACATATATATATATGATATATATATAAAGGTCATTATATATATGTGTGTGTACATATACATATGTGCACATACATACACACATAGAATACGAATTTTTTTACCAAACAGGATTGGCTTGTATATAATATTTTCCCAAACATCATACTAAATTATGATATATGATGTCCACATTTCCATGTCATTATGCATGCCTCTATAACATTTTCAATAGCTGCATAGTATTCTACTCTCAACCTAAGAAGATATAATTTAACCACAGTTTTATTGTTGAATATGTAAATTGTTTGCAGTTTTTTGCTATTATAAATAATTATGGAATTAATCTCCCTCTGGCTAAATATTTGTATCATTCTCTGACAATTTTCTGAGGATCAATTCCTAGAAGCAAAAACACTGGATTAAAGAATATGCATATTTTGAAGGCCATTGAAAGGTATAGCCAGACTGACTTTCGAAAGGTTTACAGAGATATACACTCTAACCAGCATATTGGAGGAAGGCTATTTTGGGGGAACTCTTGACATCCTGAATATTATCTGTGTTTTAAAATTTTACAAACTTGTTAGAAAAAAATTGCTATTTCATTCTTGCTTTAATTTGCATTCATTGATTACCATTGAGGTTTTTAATTTTGCTATACATTTATTGGCCACTTGTATTTCTTTTTCTATGAATTTCCTTTTTGTGTTTTTCTGCCCATTTCTCCATTAGTGTGTTTGCCTCTGTCACATTGATTGCAATATCTTCTAATGAGATTTTGAAAACAGAGGTATAAAGTGGTTTCACTACAACTGTCCTAGCCAATTTCAGTTATAGGCAGGAGTAGAGTCTTTTGCTCATTTATTATTTCAGCATCACTGCAAGTCAGAACTGGAGCCCACAGGCAGGATAGACATGTTTGAGAGCATGAAAATAAGTCCCAGAGAGGTTCAGTGGCTTACCCAGCATCGCTGTGAAGTTCAGTGGCTGATCTGAGATGTGACATCCATCTTCCCAAATATCGTCATTTTACGGTGCCAATCTCAGGTACCAAAGACATCCAGCGGGGAAATAGCAAAAATACCTCTTTCTTGATGCCAGCATATTTAGATTCAAGTAAACCCAGAAGCTCAGTTATACACAAGGTATTTAATGATTGACTGGCCAAGGTAAGGTGAACACTTGATCATTTTATTCACCTTGTTTTATTACTTTATTCTTCTTTACACAAACCTCTGGTCGTTCTTCATTGTCTCCAATCAAGTCTAAGATTCCCCACCTCAGCATTGAAGACTCTTAATCTGCTTCCACACAGCTGCATGCCCGTCTCCCCACTCTTCCAAATGCATTCCATTCAGATTGGTCTTCTCAGGGATCCCATGTGTGCCATTCTCTGTAGCAGCCCCTACACCTCTGTTTTTCTCCACACTTGCAACGCTCTTTCCCCTCCTCTTTCTCATGCCTATATAAATACTTCCTGTCCTCCAGGGTCCACATGGAGGGCCACTTCCATGGAGTCTCTCTTTCTCAGCTTTCATAGATCCTTTCCTCCTCACATCTACCTCTTAAAGCCTAATTACCAACTGTTGCTTTGTTGTGTGTTGTCCTGTCTCTTAGGGCTGCATGTTGTTTGTCTTATGTCCCCGAAGCAGAGGATAAGTATTAATATTTTGGAGTTATACAGGGATTAGTGTTGCGGCAGAATCTGAATACATCTTGCCTATCAGTATGAGTTAACCTGGAGCAGAGGTGTATAAATTGGTAGCTGTTTATTGGTATTTGCGGAGTTGACAGTTTCATTGAAATATGTACTAAACACTTACTGTGTGTCCCTACTTTGCTAGATATGTGTTAAGAGGTTTGAGCCTTCAAGGAACTCACAGTCCACTGGGGGAGGTTGATCTAGGTTTTAGACTTGTCTCTGCAAGTAACTTAATAGTGTACCTTGGGAAAGTCACATAATCATCTTATTTATTCATTCCACAAGCTTTATCTAAACTTCTTATGCGTCAAGCAATGCGCTTAGCATTGGGAATACAGAGATGTATGAGATAAATCAGTCTCTGCCCTCCAAAAGCGTATATATGTGCAGCTATTTATGATACAATATGATAAGTACTGTAGTGAAAGTACATAAAAAATGCCATGGGGAAGGGAGGGTAAGTCACACTTAAGGGCTTACTAGGTGGCAAGTACTATGTAAATGCTTTCAGCTTGGGTGGTATGAGGCATGGAGGCAGGACTTTGCAGAAGGTGGGCATTTAGACTGGACAAGTTTGTTACTGAATTAGAAGGTGGAGGGAGAAAGAAGGCAAAACTTCAAAATGTTACAGGAACTGAGGGAGTGTGTATCTATGTATGTTTTGTATGTTGGGAGAGTGTGAGAGAGTTGAAGGAGAGCTCTGAGAGTTAGGCTAGCAATGGATTGCAAAGGGTCTTGAATGCCATGTTAAGGAATTTAGGGAAAGGGATAAAGGTTTAGAATGTTAACTGTGTGGAAACAGAAAGGAAATGATAAATAGGAGTGAATAAAAAAGCATGCCGCTCCCCCAGCCCCAAGCAGGGTGACTATAGTCAATAATATGTGTTTCAAAATAACTAACAGAGTAAATTTTAAATGTCTCACAGTAAAAATGATAGGCAAGCTAGGTGATGGATATGTTAATTAGCTTGATTTAATCATGCTGCATTGTATACATACCTCAAAACATTACACTGTACTTCATAAATGTATACAATTATGCTTTGTCAATCAAAAATAATATTAATAAGTTTTTTGAAAAATCATGTTCCTTTCAAGAAATTTAAATGCTTAGGCTGTTCTTATAGGTGCCTATGTGGTGGTGTATGTAAAGGAGTTTGCTGAATTCTAAAGTCTTGCAATGACATTGTCCTTGTTGTTGCTAAAGTGGAAAACACTCAGTCCCTATTCTCAAATCAAAAATCTCTTTCCAGTTGTTCAGTATATCAGCTGTTAACATGTTACCATAAAGGATTCATTCCTTTGGCAAAATCATTCCCCCTTCTTGGCCATCCTCCCTTCAAAATGCAAATATCTCTGTGACAGTAAACACATCAACCCCTCACCCTTCAGTATGAATGAGTTTTAGTTTTGCTTTATCTTGAGGGATGCAGAGAACAGCATGGGGGAGAGAACCTTGGAGGACAGAGAACATAGAGCTGTCTCTGCCATTGAAGCAAAAGCAGACAGGCAACAGCCCAAACACATATAACAGAGACAACAGCACCACTGATTTGTTGATCACCTATTATGTGCCATGAACTATGCTAAGAATATATTCTTTATCTTTTAAAAATCGCACTCTATTAGGCCTTGGGCTTGCCAGGTTGCTTTTCTTCCTTCCTTCCTTCCTTCCTTCCTTCCTTCCTTCCTTCCTTCCTTCCTTCCTTCCTTTCTTTCTTTCTTTCTTTCTTTCTTTCCTTCTTTCTTCTTTCTTTCTTCTTTTTTACTTTGAGGAAAAATCCGTTCTAATATCCCCTCCCATTCCAGATCAATATCTTCTTCCACATGCAAACAAGAACTTCACGCAATAATGCCCTAATAACCAGCAACTTTTATAATTTGCTTCAACAGGCTGGATTTTTTAGAAATAACTTATATTTCTTCCAATTAAACACCGTTACATTTGCTATTTACAAAGGAAAGTTTTGGAGAGAAATTGTAGATAGTTGTGTTATGAGGAGTATTGGTATATGATCTGTGGAAAACTAAACCTAGTTTAATGACAATAACAACAACAATAACAACAAAACCATAAAGCTATAGGAAACATTTGTTTCACTATGAATCAACCCTGCCTGAAGGAAACCTTTCTAAGGCAACACAAATGGCTCTGTAAGGACTCAGGTTTTCTGCTCCTAACTACTAGGAAAACTCTTTTTTTGTTTTTTCTCACTCTTCTCATTGGTACATTACTTTCTGGTATGAATGTGGTAAGGACAGTGTAAAACCAATAAAAGCTGTCAGGTATTCTTTTCCAGTTGAGAGGACATTAGCCTTGCACAGGTCCCCATTAATGAAAGGAGAAATGATTTGCCTGACACTGTTATGACAGGGTTTGGTTTAGAATCTCCTGTCTACAGTACTTTCCAGCATACTGTATTTCCTAGTAGGCCTGACCTGCCCCAATTAAATGGAAATAATTCTTTAGATAACATCATATGGGGAAGGATAAGACTAAGGGCAAAATGTGATTTTAGCAATCAGCTACTAGGAAACCTTTGTTAATTATTATTAACTCTATCACAGAAATTTGTGGATTCACTTCATGCCCTTTGCCATCTACAACAGACGAGTCTCCCCTAAGTATAGTTTATTCAGGTATTCCTACTGTGGATTTGCTTTCTCCAATTTTGTTCAGTATTTTCTGCTCCGGAGGATCCTAAGGCGGGTAGTCTTGTCTTGAAAAGTCAGGAGACTTTATTACTATTACTGTCATACCAGAGAAAGGAGATGAATTTATTTAGCGGCATCTGAAAATAGAATTGCCTCAATGTTGACGCCTGCTGCTGATGCTAAATGATGAATACTAAGCACCTGGCACACAGTGTTCAGTTCTCCTCATTTATCTGTTCTTCGTATTTCAGTGCTTTAAGATGCATGGATCACATTTTCACTGTGTTCTACTCTTGGTTGGGAGCCAGGCAGTAGATGTCACTGATTATTTGTGGATCATTCATACCATGTGTGGAGCTGTACAAAGCACAGAATGGAGTTGTAGAAAGAGCCCAAGTGTGTAGAATTCAGCCCGAAAACCTGTATTTGAATGTTGGCTCTGTCAAGCTCTTGACTTTGTGACTTTGGCAAATTATTTAATTTCCTAAGGCTTACTATCCTTAGCTCTGTAAAATGGGAGTAATAGTAGCAGTCCTGTGTACCTTTGGTTGTTGGTGGGAGGTTCTAATGCATTATTGCTTGGCCTAGAGTTCTGCAAATTGTGGTATTCACATCTGATCAAGGGGTTGTATTCTGAGTCCAATCTCATCTCTGCATGCTCTAGGCAAAAGACAGCCCTTACCAGAGGGATCGTGGGGAACATCCTGTTTGCTTCACAGAGTACTTCTACCATAGAATCCCTGAGGCCTACATGTCTTTTTCTTGAGGATAAAGCCTTTTGTTGCATAACCAGAAACTGCTTTACAATGGTGGTCACATTTGGAGTGAAAATTCTGTGCATAAACTTTGGAGTCAGACATCTTCAAATACCAGCTTTGTGATCTTAGCAGAGACACATAACCTCTCTGAGCTTTACTTTCCTCAACTATAAAATAGAGATGAAGAATAATACCTACCTGCATAGAGTTTTGAGGAGGTTTGAATGAGATGAAGTATGCAAAGTACCTAGCAGAGGATAGGTTGTCACTAAATGGTAGTTCCCTTGAAAACAGGAGAGTGGGGTGGGTGTTCACAATGCTCTCCCACTCTGAGGTTTTAATCTGTTCTTTTAAGGCTGGCAGGAATTGCATGAGCCTCTGGGAATGGCGCAAGTAGTTGTCTTTCTCTGCAGTCATGGGGAGATAGTTTAGTGACAGATAAAAAAACATGACATGCCTCCCTTTGCAACCTCAACTATTCCATCAGTAAAATGCTGTTAATTTTATAGCGAAGAAAACTCAAATCCAGAGGTCTAAAGTGATTTGCTCATAGTGAGTCAATTAGTACGTGGTAGAGCTGGAATTAAGCCCAGACAGCCTAACCCCAAAGCCTGTACAATTTCCACTGGCTCAAAACAGCCTCTTGTAGCTAGAATTTCATGATACTGCTTCTGTTGTCAGTTGATGGGGAGAAGAGTGCATGGTAAACCCTTCCCACAGGTATCCCAGCCCCTGGCCTCCAGGTGTGTCATCTACTGAGAGTGTTTCCTAAAAATGGTAGTTTCGCCTTAGCTGTCCTTCCCTCCACAGTCATCCTGCTGAAGTTCCCAGTGGCTGCAGAACTTTTGGCTGAGGAAAACCACTTTTATTTTATTTTTCTGGAAGAAAGTATTAGGTAAGCCAAATCTCAATACTTTAGTCAGCTGCTAAGACCATGCGGAGATGGAATAGGTAGCTCTGGTTTCTCTCTGACTTTCCCGCACACTTGTTAGGCTTTGACTGCCCACAGACAGCCCAGGCAGGCATGCCACTGTGGTAGTGCTGCTGGCTAAGGCTGTTGCCAGAGGAGGCTGAGTGTCACTGTCTTTCTCACTTCCTTATTCTACCTATCAAGATTCAAGAACCTGTCTATAATGTGCTTCCAGCCTACTCTTTCCTGTTGGTTTATAACCCCTGAACTCTGACTCTGGTGTATTTCCTGGCTTCCCATCTGTTTCCTTACAGCTGTATAGGACTCTCAAAGGCTCACTCTCTTAAAAGAATCACCTCTGGGTGCCTCCCTCAATAAGCTCACTTCCTGCCTAAGAGTATTTGGATATAGGACACCTCATATTGTAGACCTCCTGGAAAGAGCAAGGCCTACCTATTTCTCCTGCCGGATCTCCTACTAGTTCTGTAAACAACTTCATCTCCAGCCAGGTTTCCCTGCTAATTAGCAGGCCGCATTCATTCCTGTACCTGACCTTATTTGTGCCATTTCTCTGTCCTTTCCCATCCCCCACACCAGGGGTGTCTCCTCCTCTCCGCCAATCAAATCCTATTGCACTCATTGTTTGGGTCCCTGATCAGATACTGCCTCGCGCGGTCATGGCTATCCTTCACATTGAGATTACAGAGATTGTTCTCATTTCAGACACTCAGAATCCATATAGCATATTTCCATCCTTCTAAGATGCACCATTGATTTCAAAAACAACTTTTCAGAAAATAAAACAAAATACTGAAGCACTACATACAATGTAAACAGCAACTGTAAGCCTTTATTTTCAGAAGCAGTAAAATGCCAAAAGAAATACATTGGTCTTAGTCTTGAGAAAAGACAATAGACTGTACCATCCTATCCAACACTTGATTACAGATTGAGATGAACTGCCCTCTGTCACTCCACCCTCCTGTTCTAGGCACATAGTAGGTCCTTAACAAATCCTGGGGAATTGGAATAATTGACTCCAATCAGCTTGAATCACCTATTTCCTGCTGGGCCAAGACCCATATGAAATCTTATCCCCTGCAGACAGAGTCCACTGACTTAAATCTCTCTCTCTCTCTCTTTCCCGTTTTGGCCTCCCCTTATTTTTAATATTTTTGACTCTAATATATTCCCTGTACTTTTTATTACTTTGGCATTTTATTCACATCACCCCTCCTGGACCAGCAGGTAACAGCCAAAAGAGACCTTTTAGGAACACTGTGAATGAGGAGTCACTGTAAATATTTTCTTCCTCTGCCTTTAGATGCTCTTCTAGCCCCAAGATAGGTGGGTCCTGAAGGTGTATTGTGAGGAGCCTTCTAAGGTTTATTTCCTGTCAAGGAGAGGCAGTATTGTGGCACTTTGCCTTTCATTCAAATGCCATTAATGGAGAATGTAATCATTAGAAATGGAACATGTGTTCATTAAAATCAATTCATAGAGAAAAATACAGCACTCTTAAAGAGGAAGGAGATTTGCAACCAGAGAAATAATTGACTTGCTGACACCTCCTCCATCCAAAGGATCAGTCCTTTCTTAGAACCCCTACTGAGTAATTGATATGGTGCTCTTGACAAAGGTGCTGATTAGCAATGGCGTAAGAATCCATGTTGTTCAGCAAAGTCTTTCAGAGACCCCGTCCAGTGAAAACACTCCAAGTGCCAGTGTAGACTCTGAGTCCACTAATTGGGAATGTAAAGATAGGATGCAGTGCTTTCTTTGGGTATTCTTTAATTATTTTGGTTCCCTTTTTCATTTCCTAGAAATACCATGCTTTTAAATGGGCAAAAGGAAGAAGAGTAGTAGGTGCACACGAGACAGAAACAATTTTTGTATGTTGGTAACTAGCAAGGGGACAAGAGTCAGTGAGCTCAGATGAATGAAAAACCAGGGAAGAGGTAAAGGATTAATTTTTACAACTTTTTACAGGGAGATAATGCCCTGTTGAAAGTTCTTTTTGGAGATCCCAACTATCAATGAATGTGGGTGAGAATAACTGCAAGCTAGAGGAAGTGAGAAAGCAGGGGTAAAGATGGATGTTTGGAAAGAAAAACTGCCTGGAAAAAACAGAAGGAATGCTTAGGGGGTTTCTCTTTTACTCAGGTTAACTGCAGCCTGTGCTTGAAAGTACTTTGTTTCCTAGAGAGGCGAAGTGTAGTATTTATGAGCAAAGACCACAGAATCAGACTGCCTGGTTTTACCACTTACTAGCTGAATTATCTGAGTGTGTCTGTGCCTCAGTTTCTTTATCTGCAAAAGGAATAACAAAAGTACGCACTGCATGAGGTTATGTGAAGATTAAATGAGTTGATGTATACCAGGTATTAAGAACAGGGCCTAACATATATTAACATAAATAACATAAGTAATTTTGATTATGTTTTTTGAACTAAGATGACTTTCTAAGTCCATTCTCTTTCTATTGTAGCTGCCTATCTTCTGCTGTGGGCTTGGCAGGCATTCCCTATTCTGCTCCCTTAAGTGACTTCTTGTATTTAAAGGTAAACACACTGAAAGCATCTATCTTTGTGTACCTAACAGGAAGAATGAGATGAGACAAAAACCTCCTTAAAGCAAAAAATGGACCATGAGTTTGCATGTGCAAAGGATCAAGTTGGCCCAAACCAAATCCCTTGTCCATTTAAGATTCTCAGATTGTTATGGTCAGTGACAAAAGGGACAGATTTCCATCTAACAAAATAGATCTTTCAGTGACATACTTGTGGACGCTGGTTAGGTTTACTAATTCTTTCATATCATCTGGGAAAGGAAAAATAGAGGGGTAAAAGCAAGATGGGAATAAGTAGTGGCCAAGCAAATTGTGTTGGTAGAACTTGGGTAAGTTTCCTCCTTGGGCAAAAGGTTCTACGTTTTACCTGACTTGTTTTATCTGTTGCTTTTTCCTGACCTCTAGAGGCACAGGAAGCTAAATACTTTGACCTTGAATTCAAGGGCTTCTCTTGTTTTACTTTTTGCAGAAACCACCTCATATTTACATCACTGAAACCCCTTTCAGAAGGCTTTCTTGTTTTTGAAAGAAATGCTTATTGAGTTTCTGCAATGTGCCTGCTACTCTTTCTTTTGATCTTTATAGCAACCTGTAAGGCACTGATACTATCTCTATTTTATAGGTGGGAAACCAAGTTTAAGTGAGGTGTTTTTTTTTTTTCCTTTTCTTTGTTTTTCAATCCTGCTCATACTGTGTAAATGAGATATTGAAATGTCCAAGGTCATGTAGTATGTAATTTTGTTGTGGTGGTATCTTCCAAAATGAAAATAGCTTTGTTGATGTCATTTTTTATTCTAAGACAAATGCATACCCAATGTCAAAATAAATGAGATGATACAGAAAGGCCAAAAGAAAAAAAAAAACACGGTCAACATTTTAGTATGTAGCCTTCCAAGACAGTTTTTCTTTTATCTATCTTTGTATTTATTTCTTTATCACTTCATTTGTATTTGGGTGACCTCAAGATATCAGTCCATGTCTATTATGGCTGATCTGACTGACACAAATATTGCAGCAAAGGTTCACCTATTTGCTGATAGGCTTATTTCTTCTTGTGCCTCTAATATGCAAGCTGAGCAAAGGATCTGTCAAGAGATCTGGAATTGTTCTATAAGGCTAAGCACCACTGCACTTTGTGTGTCATCAGTTTTCCTAATTCTGGGTGGACTCTGCTTCTCTTCCATACTTCCTCTAATACCCTACTCAAACCCTCTGAAAGGCACCCTGAGCCTCTGACATCACAGCAGACTAGGAGACAAAAGAAGTTACAAATTGTGTATAAGGCATGACATTTTTGGTGGCCAGGATATCTCTTTAGCCATCTTCAACAACATTGTTTCCCAAACCCATGCACTGCTTTCACAGGCATTTGAACCATAGCAACTCCATCTTGAATAGGAACTGGGTAAAATAAGGCTGAGAGCTACTGGGCTGCATTCCCAGGAGGTGAAAGTATTCTTAGTCACATGATGAGATAGGATAAAAGGATGCAGTAAAGAAGCAGGCCCAAACCCACCAAAACCAAGATGGTGATGAAAGTGACCTCTGGTCATCCTCACTGTTCATTATATGCTAATTATAATACATTAGCATGCTAAAAGACACTCCCATCAGCACCCTGACAGTTTACAAATGCCATGGAAACATCAGAAGGTTACCCTATATGGTCTAAAAAGGGGAGGAACTCTCAGTTCCGGGAATTGCCCATCCCTTTCCTGAAAAACTCATGAATAATCCACCCTGTGTTTAGCATATAATTGAGAAGTAATAATAAGTATAAGCAGGTGAGGAGCCCATGCCTCTGCTCTGCCTATGGAGTAGCCATTCTTTTATTCCTTTACTTTCTTAATATACTTGCTTTCATTTTACCCTTTGGATTGATTTGCCTTTAATTCTTTCTTTCTTTCTTTCTTTTTCTTTCTTTCTTTCTTTCTTTCTTTTTCTTTCTTTCTTTCCTTTCTTTCTTTCCTTTCTTTCCTTTCTTTCTTTCTTTCTCTTTCTCTTTCTTTCTTTCTTTCTTTCTTTCTTTCTTTCTTTCTTTCTTTTTTCTTTCTTTCTTTTCTTTCTTTCTTTCTTTCTTTCTTTTTTGGGTTTTATTTTTTTTTGACAATGTTTCGCTCTTGTTGCCCAGGCTGGAGTGTGCAATGGTGCGTTCTCGGCTCACTGCAACCTTCGTCTCCCAGGTTTAAGTGATTCTCCTGCCTCAGCCTCTCTAGTAGCTGAGATTACAGGCATGTGCCACTACGCCTGTCTAATTTTTTATTTTTAGTAGAGACGGGGTTTCTCCATGTTTGTCAGGGTGGTCTCGAACTCCTGACCTCAGGTGATCCACCCGCCTCGGCCTCCCAAAGTGCTGGGATTACAGGCGTGAGCCACTGCACCTGGCCCTTGAATTATTTCTTGCAAGAGATCCAAGAACCCTCTCTTGGGGTCTGAATTAAGACCACTTTCTGATAAAACTGCCATGTTGGTATGAGTAGAAAATATTTCTGTAGAATCTTGGTGTAAAAAAAGAGCGAGACTTGTGGCACCAGAGTTAATAAGGGACCTTGGGCTGAGGGATCAATACGTCATCAATCTACTGGCAAACTTATAACTCCAAGCACTGGGGCAGACTTATTTGGAAGCAGGCTTATTCAGTTGCTGTTTAACAACATCCTCCTAGGCACACCTCATCTAGTTCTCCTGGTTATATTTCTTTTGACCTCTCCTGGTTTCAACTTCCATATAGCTTCTGATAGATGTTCTGTCAGATGAGAATTGGCCTAAGGACTATTATTACATTGCTGATGACAATGTCTTGACTCCAAAAAAGAGGAGTGGGTGGGTGACACATGCTGCCAGAATATCAAATAAGCCTGTGAAATCCCTCCTGCCCCTACAGACACATCAGGAATTTGCATTAGGTACTTTAAGAAAGTGCATGATCCAGTTTCACGTTTCTGCATATGGCTAGCCAGTTCTCCCAGCACCATTTATTAAATAGAGAATCCTTTCCCCATTGTTTGTTTTTGTCAGGTTTGTTGAAGATCAGAAGGTTGTAGGTGTGTGGTATTATTTCTGAATTCTTTATTCTATTCCATTGGTCTTTGTGTCTGTTTTTGTACCAGTACCATGCTGTTTTGGTTCCTGTAGCCTTGTAGTATAGTTTGAAGTCAGGTAGCATGATGTCTCCAGCTTTGTTCATTGTGTTTAAGATTGTCTTGGCTATATGGCCTCCTTTTTGATATCATATGAATTGTGAAGTAGTTTTTTTCTAAATCTGTGAAATGTCAATGGTAGTTTAATGAAAATAACATTGAATCTGTAAATTACTTCGGGCATTTTCCACAATATTGATTCTTCCTATCCATGAGTATGGAAGATTTTGCCACTTGTTTGTGTCCTCTCTGATTTCCTTGAGCAGTGGTTTGTAGTTCTCCTCAAAGAGCTCCTTCGCTTCCCTTGTTAGTTGTATTCCTAGGTATTTTATTCTCTTTGTAGCAATTGTGAACAAGAGTTCATTCATAATTTGGCTGTCTGCATGCCTGTTGTTGGTGTACAGGAATGGTAGTAATTTTGCACATTGATTTTGTATCTTGAGACTTTGCTGAAGTTGCTTATCAGCTTAAGATTTTGGGCTGAGATTATGGGGTTTTCTAGATACAGGATCATGTTATTTGCAAACAGAGACAGCTTGACCTCCTCTCTTGCTATCTGAATACCCTTTATTTCTTTCTGTTGCCTGATTTTCCTGGCCAGGACTTCCAATACTATGTTGAATATGAATAGTGAGAGAGGGCATCCTTGTCTTGTGCTGCTTTTCAAGGCGTATGCTTCCAGCTTTTGCCCATTCAGTATGATATCGGCTGTGGGTTTGTCACACATGGCTCTCATTATTTTGATGTATGTTCCTTCTATACCTAGTTTATTGAGAGTTTTTAACATGAAGCATGTTGAATTTTATAGAAGGCCACTTTTGCGTCTATTGAGATAATTATGTGGTTTTTGTCTTTGGTTCTGTTTATGTAATTAATTACATTTATTGATTTGCATATGTCGAACCAATCTTGCATCCCAGGAATGAAGCCATCTTGATCATGGTGGATAAGCTCTTTGATGTGATGCTGGATTTGGTTTGCCAGTATTTTATTGAGGTTTTTTTTGCATCAATGTTCATCAGGGATATTGGCCTGAAGTTTTCTTTTTTTGATTGTTGTTGTATCTCTGTCAGGTTTTGGTAGCAGGATGATATTGGCCTCATAAAATGACTTAGGGAGAAGTCCCTCCTTTTCAGTTGTTTGGAATAGTTTCAGTAGAAATGGTACCAGATCCTCTGTACCTCTGAATGAATACAGCTATAAGTCCATCTGGTCCTGGGCTTCTTTTGGTTAGTAGGCAGTTTATTAATGCCTCAATTTCAGAACTCTTTATTGGTCTATTTGGGGATTCATTTTTTTTTCCTGGTTCAGTCTTGGAAGGGTGTATGTGTCCAGGAATTTACCCATTGCTTCTAGATTTTCTAGTTTATATGCACAGAGCTGTTTATAGTATTCTCTGATTGTTGTTTGTATATCTGTGGGGTCAGTGGTGATATCCCCCTTATCATTTCCGATTGTGTCTATTTGGTTCTTCTCTCTTTTCTTATCTATTAGTCTAGCTAGTGGTCTATCTATTCCTTACACCTTGTATAAAAATTAACTCAACATAGATTAAAGACTTAAATATAAATCCCAAAACAATAAAAAACCCTAGAAGAAAATCTAAGCAATACCATTCAGGACATAGGCATGGGCAAAGATTTCATGATGAAAATGCTAAAAGCAACTGCAACAACAGAAAAAATTGACACATGTGATCTAATTAAATTAAAGAGCTTCTGCATGGCAAAATAAACTATCATCAGAGTGAACAGACAACCTATAGAATGAGAGAGAACTTTTGCAATTTATCCATCTGACAAAGGTCTGATATCCAGAGTGTAGAAGGAACTTAAACAAATTTACAAGAAAAAAACAAACAACTCCATTAAAAAATGGGCAAAAAGGCTGGGCGTGGTGGCTCACGCCTGTAATCTCAGCACTTTGGGAGGCCGAGGCAGATCACTTGAGGAGTTCAAATCCAGCCTGGCCAACATGGTGAAAACCCATCTCTACTAAAAATGCAAAAATTAGCTGGGTGTAGCAGCGGGCACCTGTAATCCCAGCTACTAGGGAGGCTGAGACAGGATAGTTGCTTGAACCTGGGAGGCTGAGGGTACAGTGAGTGGAGATCCTGCCACTGCACTCCAGCCTGGGTGACAGAGTAAGACTCTGTCAAAAAAAAATGGGCAAAGGCCATGAACAGATGCTTCTGAGTAGAAGACATTCACAAAGCCAGCAAACATATGAAAAAAAACCTCAATATTGCTGATTATTAGAGAAATGCGTATGAAAACCACAATGAGATACCATCTCATGCCACTCAGAATGGTGATTATTAAAGTCAAGAAACAACAAGATGCTGGTGAGCTTGTGTAGAAAAAGGAATGCTTTTACACTGTCGGTGGGAATGTAAATTATTAATAGTTCAACCACGGTGGAAGACAGTGTGGCAATTCCTCAAAGATCTAGAAGCAGAAATACTATTTGGCCCAGCAATTCCATTCCTGGGTATAGACCCCAAGAAATATAAGTCACTCTATTATAAAGATATGTTATGTTCATTGCAGCACTACTCACAATAGCAAAGACATGGAATCAACCCATATCAACCCATGTGCCCATCAATGATAGACTGGATAAAGAAAATGTGGTACATATACTACATGGAATACTATGCAGCCATAAAAAGAGATCATGTCATTTGCAGGGACATGGATAGAGCTGGAAGCCATTATCCTCAGCAAACTAATGCAGGAACAGAAAACCAAACACCACATGTTCTCATTTATAAGTGGGAGCTGAGCAATGAGAACACATGGACACATGGAGGGGGAACAACACACACTGGGGCCTGTTGGGGGGGTCGGGGGAGGGACATCATCAGGAAGAATGGCTAATAGATGCTGGTCTTAATACCTAAGTGATAGGTTCATTAGTGCAGCAAACCATCAAGGCACACGTTTACCTATGTAACAAATCAGCACATTCTGCACATGTATCCTGAAACTTAAAAGTTGATGAAAAAAAAACAATGAAAGACCAAGTTCTCAAGAAAAAACAAATAAATAAATAAGTGCAGGGTAATATTGGGAAAAAAATAAAGTACAGGATCCTAGATTTTTAAAAATTCTATTGTTTCTTAGATGTTTCACCTTTAGCATCAAGTGATGATGGAGGATTATGGAGGATCTGCAAGACTCTCTAGTGTGGTTGTAAAGAGCATGATGCTCCCATCATTCTCATCTGGGTCCTAATCCCAGCTCTGCCGCTTACTGGCTGTGTGGCCTTGGGAAAGTTACTTGGCTTCTCTAAGCCTCAGTTTTCTCATTACTAAAATGGGGACAATAAAAGCAATCGTGGCCATAAGATTTCTGAAGTATGTGGGAATAAACACCCTACTCTTGAGAGAGCTTAAAGGGATGCAGGGTTCTGGTGGTGGAGCCAGATTTCAGTTAAAAAAAGAGTTGTTATGTGAGGAGGTTAAGCATGTCGGGGAGTTTGCTTACCTTGAAATGGTGTCTCCAGAGGGCATAGTAGCCCTCTGGAGTTGGAAGGATGCCATAGGGAAAGGAAGGACTGAGTCATCCTAGGAGTGAGAAAGGATTGAGACTAAATGGAGACATTTAGATGTTTTGATACTTTATTGTAGTTTTATAATAGGTGGTTGAGTGCATGTGTTTTCTTTCCAACTAAAATCATAAGACACAGACTGGGTTTAACGTCTTTTTGAAATCCCACAGGGCAGTAGATAAACTAAGTATTCAATAATGACTTGAGTAATTAAAATATTCTGTCATCTTATGATAATCTAATAATTTAAAGTCATCCTAAATATACAATATTGTCAAAGGAAAGTATGAAAATATCTAAATAGATTATGCCCATGGGTTGTCTTATTTTCGTTTCTTTTTTTTTTTTTTGAGCTTCTTTTTTTTAATTATTATTATTATACTTTAAGTTTTAGGATACATGTGCACAATGTGCCAGTTAGTTACATATGTATACATGTGCCATGCTGGTGTGCTGCACCCACTAACTCACCATCTAGCATTAGGTATATCTCCCAATGCTATCCCTCCCCCCTCCCCCCACCCCACAACAGTCCCCAGAGTGTGATGTTCTCCTTCCTGTGTCCATGTGTTCTCATTGTTCAATTCCCATCTATGAGTGAGAACATGCAGTGTTTGGTTTTTTGTCCTTGCGATAGTTTACTGAGAATGATGATTTCCAATTTCATCCATGTCCCTACAAAGGACATGAACTCATCATTTTTTATGGCTGCATAGTATTCCATGGTGTATATGTGCCACATTTTCTTAATCCAGTCTATCATTGATGGACATTTGGGTTGGTTCCAAGTCTTTGCTATTGTGAATAGTGCCACAATAAGCATACATGTGCATGTGTCTTTATAGCAGCATGATTTATAGTCCTTTGGGTATATACCCAGTAATGGGATGGCTGGGTCAAATGGTATTTCTAGTTCTAGATCCCTGAGGAATGGCCACACTGACTTCCACAATGGTTGAACTAGTTTACAGTCCCACCAACAGTGTAAAAGTGTTCCTATTTCTCCACATCCTCTCCAGCACCTGTCGTTTCCTGACTTTTTAATGATTGCCATTCTAACTGGTGTGAGATGATATCTCATTGTGGTTTTGATTTGCATTTCTCTGATGGCCAGTGATGATGAGCATTTTTTCATGTGTCTTTTGGCTGCATAAATGTCTTCTTTTGAGAAGTGTCTGTTCATATCCTTTGCCCACTTTTTGATGGGGTTGTTTTTTTTCTTGTAAATTTGTTTGAGTTCATTGTAGATTCTGGATATGAGCCCTTTGTCAGATGAGTAGGTTGCAAAAATTTTCTCCCATTTTGTAGGTTGCCTGTTCACTCTGATGGTAGTTTCTTTTGCTGTGCAGAAGCTCTTTAGTTTAATTAGATCCCATTTGTCAATTTTGGCTTTTGTTGCCATTGCCTTTGGTATTTTAGACATGAAGTCCTTGCCCATGCCTATGTCCTGAATGGCAATGCCTAGGTTTTCTTCTAGGGTTTTTATGGTTTTAGGTCTAACGTTTAAGTCTTTAATCCGTCTTGAATTAATTTTTGTATAAGGTGTAAGGAAGGGATCCAGTTTCAGCTTTCTACATATGGCTAGCCAGTTTTCCCAGCACCATTTATTAAATAGGGAATCCTTTCCCCATTGCTTGTTTTTCTCAGGTTTGTCAAAGATCAGATAGTTGTAGATATGTGGCGTTATTTCTGAGGGCTCTGTTCTGTTCCATTGATCTATATCTCTGTGTTTGTACCAGTACCATGCTGTTTTGGTTACTGTAGCCTTGTAGTATAGTTTGAAGTCAGGTAGTGTGATGCCTCCAGCTTTGTTCTTTTGGCTTAGGATTGACTTGGCAATGCGGGCTCTTTTTTGGTTCCATATGAACTTTAAAGTAGTTTTTTCCAATTCTGTGAAGAAAGTCATTGGTAGCTTGATTATCTCAATAGATGCAGAAAAGGCCTTTGACAAAATTCAACAACGCTTCATGCTAAAAACTCTCAATAAATTAGGTATTGATGGGAAGTATCTCAAAAAAATAAGAGCTATCTATCACAAACCCACAGCCAATATCATACTGAATGGGCAAAAACTGGAAGCATTCCCTTTGAAAACTGGCACAAGCAGGGATGCCGTCTCTCACCACTCCTACTCAGCATACTGTTGGAAGTTCTGGCCAGAGCAGTTAGGCAGGAGAAGGAAATAAAGGGTATTCAATTAGGAAAAGAGGAAGTCAAATTGTCCCTGTTTGCAGATGACATGATTGTATATCTAGAAAACCCCATTGTCTCAGCCCAAAATCTCCTTAAGCTGATAAGCAACTTCAGCAAAGTCTCAGGATACAAAATCAATGTACAAAAATCACGAGCATTCTTATACACCAATAACAGACAAACAGAGAGCCAAATCATGAGTGAACTCCCATTCACAATTGCTTCAAAGAGAATACTTAGGAATCCAACTTACAAGGGATGTGAAGGACCTCTTCAAGGAGAACTACAAACCACTGCTCGATGAAATAAAAGAGGATACAAACAAATGGAAGAACATTCCATGCTCATGGGTAGGAAGAATCAATATCGTGAAAATGGCCATACTGCCCAAGGTAATTTATAGATTCAATTTTCGTTTCTCAGTATTAGCTTACAAGAAAGAATTCTCAGAGCATTAGTAAGAAGTGATTTCCCCCTTTCCACAACCAACTAGCTTTTCCGTGGTTTAGTGATCTCCCCTTAATTAGAAATTTCAGGAGCTGGGCCTGGGGTAGAAGCCACATTCAGCAGTGTGATGTTCACAGAATCTCCAAGGAAGCCTCACTCATTACTGGGTGTGTCACTGGCCAGGCACTAGACTTCTTTTTTTAAATTGATATAACATATTTTTGAGGTATATGTGATATTTTGATACATGTGTACAGTATGTAACGACCTCATCAGGGTAATTGGGATATCCATCACCTCAAACATTTATCTTTGCGTTGGGAACATTACAGTTCTTCAAGCTATTTTGAAATATAAGATTAATTATTGATAACTATAATTTTCCTATTGTACTATTGAATACTAATATGTATTACTTGTATTTAATTGGTTTTTTTTACTCATTATCCAACTTCTCTTCATCCCCCTTCCCCACTTCCCTTTTCAGCCTCTAGTAACTACCATTCTACTTGCTACCTCCATGAGATCCACTTTTTTAGCTCCCATATAGAGTGAGCACATGAAGTATTTGTTGTTCTGTGCCTGGCTAATTTCGCTTAACATAATGACATCCAGTTCCATCCATGTTGCAGCAAGTGAGAGGATTTTATTTTTTTGTGGCTGTATTCCACTGTTTATATATACTATGGTGTTGGTTTTTTTTTTTGTCCGAATGGACAAAAAGTGTCTGTTGATGGACACTTAGGTTGATTCCAGTCTTTTCCATTGTGAATAGTTCTGCAATAAACATGGGAGTACAGATATCTCTTTCATATATTTATTTTATTTTATTTGGGTATGTACCCAGCAGTGGCATTGCTGGATCATATGGTTGTTCTATTTTTAGGTCTTTGAGAAACCTCCATAGAGTGTATATTAATTTACATGTCCACCAACAGTATATAAGTGTTCCCTTTTCTCTGCATCCTTTCCAGCATTTGTTGTTTTTTGTCTTTTTGATAATAGCCATTCAGACTGGGGTGAGGTCATACCCCATAGTGGTTTTAATTTGCATTTTCCTGATGATTTGTGACATTGAGTATTTTTTCATATACTTGGCAATTTATATGTCTTCTTTTGGGAAATGTCTATTCAGGTCTTTTGCCCATTTAAAATTAGATTATTTGGGATTTTTTTTTTTTTTGCTATTGAGTTGTTTGAGTTTTGTATGTACTCTGGTTATTAATCCCTTGTTGGACGGGTAGTTTGCAAATATTTTCTGCCGTTCTGTGGACTGTCTCTTCACTTTATCAGTTGTTTCCTTTGTTGTGCAGAAGCTTGTTAGCTTGATATAATTCCATGCCCCAGCCTTCTGACATAGGTTGTACATGTTGTCTAACAGTTTTGCAGCTTCTACTAGGTACAGACCATCCAGTTTCTTATTTCTCTACCTGGTAATCACATTTAGATAACTATTTCCACAAAGAGCCAGATGGTAAATATTTCAGACTTTATGGGCCACACAGTCTCTGTCTCAACTATTCTACTCTGTCTTTGTAGTGCAAACACAGCCATAGACAACACATAAAGAAACAGGAGTGTCTAAGTATTCCAATAAATAGCTTCATTAAAAAAAAAAAAACAGTCAACAGCAAAGTTTGGCCTGTAAGGCTGCAGTTTGTCAACCCCCAGTCTAGACTGTCCCATGTGTTTGACATGTTTAACATAGTGACTCTAACATGTCTACTTCATAATACAGATTTGTCATTCTTAATAGCGCTGAAGGTAGGAAATCCAATCAATGTGGCAGTACTCCCCTTTTGATGCCTGAGCATACCCCTGCTGTTTAGCCAAGCTCCCCTTGCCTATACCATACAGTGCAGATTAACCAGGACTTGTAGTCAGGAACAAAAGAGCCCAGCCCCATGTAAGCAGCTTTCCCCGATGATTCTGGGCCTAGGCTTGGCTTCTTGAGTAGATCTTCTCACATGATGCCAAAAAGCTATCTCTTAGATGCAATGTGGAATCCTGCATTGGACCGTGAAACAGAAAAGGATTTTAGTGGAAAAATGAGTGAAATCTAGTAGCTTAGTAACAGCAATATATCAATGTTAATTTCTTGCCTCTGACAACTGTACCATAGTTATGTAAGCTGTGAACACTAGGGGAAACTGAGTGAAGGGTGTTTGTGAAGAGTTTGTAATATCTTTACAACTTTTCAGTAAATTAAAAATTATTCTAAAATACATAGTTTTTAAAAAACTGTTTGCTTAACTGATTTCCCATCCTCATCTCTTCTGTTTTATTGTCAGGTATCACAGATACTGATTTATGATTATCTCATCTGTGATAGCACCTGCGAATTGCAACTCCCCTTACCTCAACCCTAACTCCTATATTGCTTCCCTAGAATCACATCATATATGCCAGGGACACTTCCAAAGCAGAAAGAAATGAAAGAAATGCAGTGCTCATTCTATCTCTCCCCTCTGACCACACACCTCTTAGAAAATAAATCCACGACACACAGAGGGAGCAAAAAGAGTGTGAAGAGTCTCTTGAATTGTCAATTTAAAAAAAAAGAGTCCTCTTGGGTTTCTGGTCTAACAGACATAACTAAGGTAGTTGGCAAAGAAAAACGTGATTGGTTGAATTGAACTCTCTTTGAGGAACAGATTCTTAGTATTCAATGTTTCCTAAACTCTTTGTCAAGCATGGCCTACCCAATGTGGCTGTGGAAGAAGGGGCCAGACAGAGTCACATTACAGGAGGTAAAAAGGCCCTGGTTGTTGTTGCCCCCTAATTAATGTGGCCCACAGTTCTTCATTCCTGTGAGTTAGGCCTAGGGAATATTAAAATGCTAATACTGAGGAGGGAGAATAAATCAAGTAAGGCTATACAACCTGAATGAAGGGTGGGGGTCTAGAGGGAATCTGTGGTGGGTAGTAATGCTTCTGCTCCATATGTTAAGGGCAAAACCATTTTACGTACTCACATATATAGGGACATAAAAAAAAAGCAGCTTTAAGGACAAATGAAAAAAAAACCAAGTAGTTTTGTGTGTGGGTACTTGTGTATGCAAAAATGCTTTGAATTGGCTATTTTCCTCTCTGGGTTATATGTTGGGTCGGTTCACCAAGCCGAATCTGGTATGTCAGGTAGGACAAGCCTGAAGGATTAATGCCAGAGGAATAGTAGGATCAGGTTTCTGCTGTAGATCTTAGATAAATGTGGGCTTGAGGCCCAAAGAGTCAATTAAGGTGAAAAGGAACAAGCAGGTATCACTCATTCATTCATTTATTCATCACATTTTTGAGGGCTTAACTATGAGCCAGGTGCTATTCTAGGCATTGAGTGAACAAAACAAACAAACTTCCCTGTCTTCATGGGGCTTCAACAGATTACAAACAGCATATATAATATTTCAAATATAATATATTAGGAGATGATAAGGGATATGACATTTAAAAATCAAGGAAAGGGAATAGATAGAGACAGAAAAGTCCAGTATAGCAGCAAACTAGCACTAGTGGGCAAGAGATGCTGAAGACAAATGCTAGTGCTAGGGTAGAAGCATTTGGTGTTCACTCTGGTTTATTCTTTGTTGGATGTGGCAAACTTGAATCCACAGGTATTGATCAGAGTCCTAAAGGAGTCTGAAGAACATGGGCGTATTTTGCATCTAATTGAGGGTGAGGTACAGTGCTGTATATGGTCACTAAAATGCCTTGACACTTGGAAGCATTCCTTTATATGCCAACTGTGGTTTGCACTTATGATATCTTGTATGACACAGCCCCTCTTCCACTTTTCTGATAGCCTGTGTGTGAATAAAAGGGGTTTGTTGGAGGAAAACCAGAAAGGGAGAAAATTCCCAAGCAAAGCAAAAAATCTTAAAATTGACATTGAAGTCCCAGCTCTGGAGGCTCGACATCTAAATGCAGCTTGTAAAAATCCAAGAGTCAAAGAGGTAAGCCAATACTTAGCATGGTACCTGATACAAAACCCATACATAACAGATATTTGAATGAACAAATGCTACAATAAAAGGAGCAACTAGAACTGAAAAGGAGATAAAAATGGCATTCTGTGATACAACCTTTTCTCTAAACACAAATTCCCACTGTGGATTTTGCATTTTTTGAAATAAGGCCACTTACAAGGGGTTAGTTAAGCCTTTCTTTTTCTATTAAAAACAACCTCAAGCTTATTAAATGGGGTTGGTTCATTTAAATAACTAGTTAATGTGCGTTATTGATGTAGGTCAAAGAAATGTGATCTCATCCCATCCTTATACTTTGAGGACCTTAGTCTTCATGGACCTAAGAGCAATCTCTTTAAATTGTCTCATTCTCCTTAAATATAAGAGGAATACCTTTTCCCCCCAGTTTTACAGTTATCTGATTCAGATGCTTCAGGATATCAGACTAAATCTGAAGTTGTTATTTTTCTTCATGTAAGAGATGGCTGCCTAAATTATAAACTTAGCCATGCTACATGAACTTCTCACTTGTTTAAAACTCTATCAGAAATTTAATTAGGATGGCTGGCAAGATGGCCGAATCGGGACAGCTCCAGTCTGCAGCTCCCAGTGAAATCAACACAGAAGGCAGGTGATTTCCGCATTTCCAACTGAGGTACCCGGCTCATCTCATTGGGACTGGTTAGACAGTGGGTGCAGCCCACGGAGGGTGAGCAGAAGCAGGGTGGGGCGTTGCCTCACCCGGGAAGTGCAAGGCGTCAGGGAACTCCCTCCCCTAGCCAAGGGAAGCCATGAGGGACTGTGCTGTGAGGAACGGTGCCTTCCTGCCCAGATACTACGCTTTTACCGTGGTCTTCACAACCTGCAGACCAGGAGATTTGCTTGGGTACCTACAACACCAGGGCCCTGGGTTTCAAGCACAGAACTGGGTGGCCATTTGGGCAGACACCGAGCTAGCTGCAGGAGTTTTTTTCCATACCCCAGTGGCACCTGGAATGCCAGCGAGACAGAACTGTTCACTCCCCTGAAAAGGGGGCTGAAGCCAGGGAGCCAAGTGGTCTAGCTCAGCGGATCCCACCATCACGGAGCCCAGCAAGCTAAAATCCACTGGCTTGAAATTCTCAATGCCAGCACAGCAGTCTGAAGTCAACCTGGGATGATCAAGCTTGGTGGGGGGAAGGGGGTCTGCCATTACTGAGACTTGAGTAGGAAGTTTTCTCCTCACAGTGTAAACAAAGCCTCCAGGAAGCTCAAACTGCGGGGAGCCCACTGCAGCACAGCAAAGCTGCTGTAGCCAGACTGCCTCTCTAGATTCCTCCTCTCTGGGCAGGGCATCTCTGAAAGAAAGGCAGCAGCCCCAGTCAGGGACTTACAGATAAAATTCCCATGTTTCTGTGACAGAACACCTGGGGAAAGGGGTGGCTATGGGCACAGCTTCAGCAGACTTAAAAGTTCCTGCCTGCTGGCTCTGAAGAGAGCAGCAGATTTCCCAGCACAGCACTCGAGCTCTGCTAAGGGAGAGACTGCCTCCTCAAGTGGGTCCCTGACCCGTGCTCCTCCTGACTGGGAGACACCTTGCAGCAGGGATTGACAGGCACTTCATACAGGAGAGATCTAGCTGGCATCTGGCAGGTGCCCCTCTGGGATGAAGTTTCCAGAGGAAGGAACAGGCAGGAATCTTTGCTGTTCTAGAGACCCCGCTGGTGATACCCAGGCAAACAGGGTCTGGGGTGGACCTCCAGCAAACTCCAGCAGACCTGCAGCAGACGGGCCTGACTGTTAGAAGGAAAACTAACAAACAGAAAGGAATAGCATCAACATCAACAAAAACGACATCCACACAGAAACCCCATCCAAAGGTCACCAACATCAAAGACCAAAGGTAGCTAAATCCAGGAAGATGAGGAAAAACCAGCACAAAAAGGCTGACAATTCCAAAAACCAGAACACCTCTTCTCCTCCAAAGGATCATAACTCCTTACAAGCAAGGGAACAAAACTGGACAGAGAATGAGTTTGACGAATTGACAGAAGTAGGCTTCAGAAGGTGTGTAATAACAAACTCCTCCTAGCTAAAGGAGCATGTTCTAACCCAATGCAAGGAAGCTAAGAACCTTGAAAAAAGGTTATAGGAATTGCTAACTAGAATAACCAGTTTAGAGAAGAGCATAAATGACCTGATAGACCTGAACAACACAGCATGAGAACTTCATGAACCCAAATCAATCAAGTGGAAGAAATGATATCAGAGATTGAAGATCAACTTAATTAAATAAAGTGTGAAGACAAGATTAGACAAAAAAAGAATGAAAAGGAACAAACAAAGCCTTCAGGAAATATGGGACTATGTGAAAAGACCAAACCTACATTTGATTGGTATACCTGAAAGTGACAGGGAGAATGGAACCAAGTTGGAAAACACTCTTCAGGATATTATCCAGAACTTTCCCAACCTAGCAAGACAGACCAATATTCAAATTCAGGAAATAGAGAGAATACCCCAAAGATATTCCTGGAGAACAGCAACCACAAGGCACATAATCATCAGATTCATCAAGGTCGAAATGAAGGAAAAAATGTTAAGGGCAGCCAGAGAGAAAGGTTGGGTTATCCACAATGGGAAGCCCATCAGACTAACAGCGGATCTCTGCAGATACCCTACAAGCCAGAAGAGACTGGGAGCCAATATTCCACATTCTTAAAGAAAAGAATTTTCAACGCAGAATTTCATATCCAGCCGAACTAAGCTTCATAAGCGAAGGAGAAATAAAATCCTTTACAGACAAGCAAATGCTGAGATATTTTGTCACCACCAGGCCTGCCTTACAAGATCTGCTGAAGGAAGCACTAAATATGGAAAGGAAAAACTGGTTCCAGCCACTGCAAAAACATACCAAATTGCAAAGACCATTGACACTATGAAGAAACTGCATCAACTAACGGGCAAAATAACCAGCTAGCATCATAATGACAGGATGAAATTCACACATAACAATATTAACCTTAAATGTAAATGGGCTAAATGCCCCAATTAAAAGACACAGACTTGCAAACTGGATAAAGAGCCAAGACCAATCAGTGTGCTGTATTCAGGAGAACGATCTCGTGCAAAGTCACACATAGGCTCAAAATAAAGGGATGGAAGAATATTTACCAAGCAAATGGAAAGCAAAAAAAAAGCAGGGGTTGCAATCCTAGTCTCTGATAAAACAGGCTTTAAACCAACAAAGGTCAAAAAGGACAAAGAAGGGCATTACATAATCGTAAAGGGATCAATTCAACAAGAAGAGCTAACTATCCTAAATATATATGCACCCAGTACAGGAGCACCCAGATTCATAAAGCAAGTTCTTAGAGACCTACCAAGAGACTTAGACTCCTCTTAAACAAATGTAGATGGCGGGTTGATGGGTGCAGCAAACCACCATGGCACATGTATACCCATGTAACAAACCTGCACATTCTGCACATGTATCCCAGAACTTAAAGTATAATAAAAAATTTAATTAGAAAATAAGTGTATTTGTGCCACATTTTCTTAATCCAGTCTATCATTGATGGACATTTGGGTTGGTTCCAAGTCTTTGCTATTGTGAATATTGCAGCAATAAGCAGACCTGTGCATGTGTCTTTTTGGCAGCATGATTTATAATCCTCTGGGTATATACCCAGTAATGGGATCACTGGCTCAAATGGTATTTCTAGTTCTAGATCCCATTTCATGTCCTTTGTAGGGACATGGATGAAGCTGGAAACCATCACTCTCAGCAAACTATTGCAAGGACAAAAAACCAAACACCACATGTTCTCACTCATAGGTAGGAATTGAACAATGAGAACACTTGGACACAGGAAGGGGAACATCACACACCAGGGCCTGTTATGGGGTGGGGGGAGGGGGCAGGGATAGCATTAGGAGATATATCTAATGTAAATGACAAGTTAATGGGTGCAGCACACTGACATGGCACATGTATACATATGCAACAAACCTGCACGTTGTGCACATGTACCCTGGAACTTAAAGTATAATAAAAAAAATTAAAATTAAAAAAAGGAAAAGAATTGTATTCAATTCAAACTGCAAAACAACAGACATTGAACAGGACAAGTATTTTATTTATCTTAACTCTCACATATCTATAAAGTACAAAGATTTTAATCCAAACTTTTCAAAATGGGATTTCTAATGCCCTCACTCCCACTTTCTCCCAAGAGAAGAGAGGAAATCAATTCTAGTCCACGTTTCCTTCCTGGCCAAGGTAAAAAGTATTCATCATTCTCTTGGTAGAAGGTCATGTGGTTTCCTTGAATCATGCTGTGCTTCCACATTCTGCTATTTGGTAAAAGTTCCCCTGGAGACTTTTGGAATGAAGAGACCATCTCTTCAAAATGAATGTGTTAATCTTTTTTTATTGCAACACAAGAATTCGTCAGAGATCTTGGTAAGAAAAATGGTGTATAGCCTACAGTGATTGCCAGACTGATTTATGACTAGGTAAAGCAGCTCTACCATCCCTTCTTTCTCTTCATGAATTCCAACAAAACTACCTAAATATCAGCTATCTTGTTTTCTTTTGAGACTGCAAATAATCACCCAGGAATCCCAGGTTTATTATCCAAACTGCTTTCTTGAATTATCTGAAAACCTGGACAGCCCCTAATTTCACAGGCCAATGGTTATAGTCTCCTAGCAGATTAGAAGGAGTCTTAGAGATCGTAGAGTTCAATCATATCATATCAGAGAGAGGAAATGGACACTCACAGAATGGAAATCACTTGCCCAGTGTTACACAGCAAATCAGTGGCAGAGCTAAAATCATAAGGCAAGTTTCTTGATTCCCAATCTAGTGTACTTTATACTATCCCCTCATCAATGTTTAGCACTGCAAACAACTTCTGCATTATGCTCTCAGTAGGGTAGTTTCCCTGTTATGGAGTAGACAACACTTTGTCCAAATAGTGATGTCAGGAGAAGGGAAGGGCTCCTGCTTTTTCTTCACTTTTACCCAAATTTACGCAGGTTAGGCTTTTCTTCCTGCATCAGCTATTTTATTAATATATATATATATATATATATATATACACACACACACATATATTAGTAGATAGATAGATGATAGGACTGATATGTAGGCAGAGAGATAGATAATCTAATACAAGATACTTTGTTATATGCTGTGCTCTCGTAGAATTGTGTTTCTTTTCTCATGGTATTTATCTACTTCTGCATAATTACCTGTGCATAATTACAAACAGATTTGAAAGGTAGATATTAATAGTATGGTGGTTAATCTCTCTCTCTCCCTCTCTCTCTCTCACACACACACGCACACACACACACTCTTTCTCTCTTATGCTAAACTGCTTGGATTCAAAACTTGGCTTTCTCTATTTATTAATTGTTTGACATTGGGCAAGTTGCTTAATCTTTCTGTGTCTTAGTATAATCTTTAATATGGAGATAATAATGGTACCTATCTCAGTCTCAATTAAGGTTTGATCAAAGAAGCAGAACCACTATAGTTTATAGATAGTAAGGGATTTTATTTTAGGAATTGACATTATGCAATTGTGGGAGCTAATTAGTTTCCATAAGGTTAATTTCAGTGTTTGGTGTTGGGCCTAAGGTCACAAAGGGAAGTGGGGGATAACAAAGACAAATTGGAACCTAGCAAGACAAACTGGATCCCATGAGGATATCTGAAACCCATGCTTACCTTTCATCACCTCCATTCTTGATGATGTAGGTGACCTGCAGGAGAAGCTGTCACCCTTCAGCACTCCTTCTTCATGCTAGCAGATTAGCGGCCATGTTCATAAACTGAAACAGCACCTGCCACCACAATGACCTTCAGAGTATTACAAATGGCTGCTCCTTCACTTTTGCCTTTCAAATCTTGTGCACATGTCTCCTGGGACCAATTCTAACTTGGTGTAATATAGGGAAAGTAATTTTGGGAAACATAGCTCCAGATTCTAACCAGTTAGACACAAAGTCACCACACAGTGCCTAGCATACTATAAGCACTCAGTAAATATTAGTTCTTAATGTCTGCTTCCTAATGTGTTTTTAGATTCGTGTTTTTCTTTTCTGCTAGATTGTAAGTGCCATGAGAGGAGAGAATGTATATGTTTTTATGTACCATTGTATCCCCACCATCTAACACAGTCGCTGATGTATGGTGGAGCTTATGAAATATTGTTGAATGAAGAGAGAGGCAGACAGAAAGAAAACGGGAAAAACTGTAACATTTGCCAAACAGTGCATCAGTAAGTTTTTATGATGTTACGGGGGAATATAGACAGATGTATAAGATCTAGTCTCTGGCATAATTTGCAGTTGAGGAGTGGGAAATTGAATGCTGGGATGTCAGAAACCTCAGTAGCACCAAGAAAGTTTGAGCAGGATATGAGTTGTGATTGTAGAACTGGTCGAACTGTGGGGTAGTCTCCAACAGAAGTACCTGCCTTTACTGAATATTTTCCATTTGTCCCTTTACATCTAGCCCTTACCTTTCTGCATTCTTCTTTGTGTCCCAGGAGGCTGACCTTTATGGATATATCAACTGAGTTATTTTGCCTTTTGACTTATTGGTTGGATACAGCCAATTGGAGACAGTGGTGGTGAATGAGAGGAGAGAGAAGTCAAGATATTTTTTCTCCCAGGTTGATGTTAGTTGTCAGTGGCTGAATTCCTCCCCCAAAGGCAACATTTGTTGGATAGGGAGTGTCATCTCTTACAGCCACAGCTATGGGTCTTTTTCCCTCTGGGATCCAGTAACTACGCCCTCCATTTATGCTTTTAGGCCTAGGAATGATAAAGGCTCTGCTGATATTGCAAACTTTGGGGTGTTCACCATCCTTTGTTGGTTTCTTTTAACCCTTCTCAAATTATTTAAATAGCTCTTTCATTAAACTCTCCTCAATTACTCTCTTTGAGTGAGGCTTCTGTTTCCTTCTGCGGCCTTGAGTGAAATATTATCAGTCCAATACAGTTCTCAAAGGGATGTCCTGGGATTTGTGAGACATGAAAGCAAGAAGATCTAGGTGACAGACAACATTCAAAATTCGTTGTGTCTTGGTATCCTGGTTCTCAATCATCAGTCTTTTATTAAGAACCCCAGGCATAGCTGGGGGCACCGTGGTACAGAACCCAACATTCTGTGGTTGGATCTGGGCAGAAAGACAAGATAAGCCTTCATTCTAGGGAAGCTAAGACAAAACTCAATTATCTAGACTGAATCAAATTACCATGGGTTAGGACCCGATATGCCATAGGGATATAAGTCCAGGGACTACTCCAGGCTCACTGAATACCATGCATGGGGCATAGTAACTAAGGACAAACCTACCCACGGAAGGATATAAAGCTCCCAATATATCCCCCAGCCATGGTTAGAATTTGTAGCATAATTGAGCAGGCCTGGGAGTGAAGTGCAGGTGAATAACCTCCAAAACTAATGATATGGAAGGGACTGGATGAGGCTAATTGTGGAGGACATCAACTGCCAAACAAAAGAGTTTGGATTTGAAACCATAGAAAATGAGCAGCCATTGATGATTTCTGAGCATTTAATATCAATGATCTTTGATAAGTCATTTGTTATCTTAATTATTTAGGAATGTCTTTACTGCCAGTATGGAGAGAAATCGATGATGATGATAATGATGATCATGGCTATGTTAATTAATGTTAGCAGTTACCATTTATTGAGCATCTACTAGGCGCCAGACACATGTGCCCACTCCTTACATACAATATTTTATTTAATCTTTATAATAATCATTGTAGAATCAGTATTATTATTATCTTCATTTTGCACATGAAATAACTGAGGCTCAAAAAATGTTTAAATACTTAAGCTCAAGGTGATGGTGCTGGAATTGAGCCTAGGACTGAATGACTCCAAACCCTCTGCTCATAATCTCCATAAAAGACCATCTCCATTATTCCACTACCTTCTCTTCATCTCTAGTCTACTGATGGTCTTTTGTCTTGAATGTGGCATTGCCTCCTCAGCAATGTTACAAAGAATAGCAATTTACAAGCCTTATTCATGGGCACCAAACACTGCCTCCATCCCCAGGCAGACACTGGGCTCTCTGCCAAAGTAATGGGTCTGATAGAAATCTTATTATAATCCTTCTGCATTTGGACAGCAAATGATGAAAAAGGAAAGTCTGGAAACTTTGAAGCTGACTTTGGAGTTGCCCTCTACAATTTCCCTGAGGAGGTCTTACTTAGAATGAGTCACCAACTTTCCTGACTGCATTTTACTGATCCTTGGAGAGAAAATGTTCCCTAGTTCTGGCATTAGGCTTTTACGGCCTTCCACTTTCAGTGACTCCAAAGCATTGGGAAGATACCTTGTGTCCTTGGAATAGAAAACAAACAAACAAACAAACACTCACCCTCAAAAAAAACTAAATCCTCTTTAGGATGGGATGCTCAACTATCCCCCCCGCCTCCCATTTTCCTATACTCATTACTTTTAAGTAATGTCGGAGTTGGGAAAGCATTTAAGGATCTAGTTTAACCTTCTCAGCTTACAAATGGGAAAAGTGGGGCCAATAGAGAAAAAAGGACTTACCCATGGTCACACAGCCACCTGTTAGAGCCAGGACTAGAGCCCAGGTATCCTGGGCTCCAGACCAATTGTCCTTTCCTGATTCCTTTTACCATCTATTTATGTTTTATTTTTATAGCTAGTGTGTAAACTCTGAAAGAGTCAATCATAATTTTGAAAGACACAATCCCAAGCGCCATAATCCTGAATGTTGAAATCCTGATGCTGAGCATGGTGGCTTACACCTATAATCCCAGCAGTTTGGGAGGCCAAGGTAGGAAGATTGCTTGAAGCCAGGAGCTAGAGACCAGCCTGGGCAACATAGCGAGACCCCAACTCAATTTTTTAAAAAGGAAAGAGAAAAAGAAACCCTGAAAGATCAAAATCCCTAAAATATAATTCTGGAAAAAAATAACTTTTAAATTCCTAAAAAGAATATTTATTTACATTTTAAAAAGGGCATTTATTTGAAAAACATAAAAACGTGACACTTCACAGACCACATTACACAATAAAATAAGCAATAATAACATACATATTGTTGCAAGCATAAACATTCAGTTATACTAATGACAACTGAACATGTGTAACAGTTATGAGCAGATGAACTATATTAATAAAGAAATAGCTTTGGGAGGCCGAGGCAGGCAGATCACCTCAGGTCAGGAGTTCGACACCAGCCTGCCTAACATGGTGAAACCCCATCTCTACTAAAAATACAAAAAATTAGCCAGGCGTGGTGGCAGGTGCCTGTAATCCCAGCCACTTGGGAGGCTGAGGCAGGAGAATCTCTTGAACCCAGGAGGCAGAGGTTGCAGTGAGCCAAGATCATGCCACTGCACTCCAGGCTGAGTGACAAGAGCGAAACTCCATCTCAAAAAAAAAAAGAAATAGCTTTTATAACTGTGGTCATCTGAAATGCTGTGATGAACAATGTAAGTCTTTTAATGAGATTGATCAGAAACCTCAGTGGGTCATCACTGTATATGGACTCACCCAAATAACAACAACAACAACAACAAAACAGACCTTGAGAAATTCAGTTATCTCAAAAAACTTTATTTTTCAGAATTGCTGATATACAAGATAAGCCTTCTCTCTTCATTTATTGAGGAATTTTCAACATTTTTACATGCATGCACAATGCTTAAACACAAAGTCAGTAATGCGATAATGCATCTTTGTGGAGTCAAATTTGCAAGAAAAATGCATAAAATGAACTAGAATTCTCCTTAAAATAGTAGCCTGTCCCTTTCTTTCTTTCTTTCTTTCTTTCTTTCTTTCTTTCTTTCTTTCTTTCTTTCTTTCTTTCTTTCTTTTTTCTATACCTATGAAATTCTTAAAGGATCTTGTCATACAGTGGATTCTCAGTAAATGTTTATTTATTAAACTTTTTTTTTTGTTCAGTTGACCATGTATGATTGAAGCAAAACAGATCTCTTTCTGGTTTGGGCCATTGGCTGCATTTGGAAACATCTTTTCCACTTTAATTTCATTTTGGTCCAGTAGAAAGGCCACATGGGAATCTTTTCACTTAGCAAAGGGCCTATCAAAGAGGCCCAGCTCCCCAAAGGACAATGTCTAATTCTCAGAAAAGATTCTCAAAACACAAACTTTCTAACAGAGCCTGACTCTATTTCTTTCTTTGAGAGCCAAGAGTTGGTAAAGTCTCATTGGAGATTCATTCTTATAGTATTTATGCCACAGGAGGTGCTCCTGATTTGCCATTTCACATGGAAAATTCATAAATGTTATTAACACTTTTCTACTAATTTTTTTGTCTGTCTTCTCTCATCAGGAGCCATAATTAGATATAATATCCGTTTGATTTCCTTCTTCCTGGGGCTAGGGAGTCTGAGAGTGGTTTAGAAGCACTGCCAGAGGCATTGTAAATGAAATAGCTGTCTGATGGAAGGAACTCTCATCCCCTTTTGAGGTCAACTCCCTGCCTGTGGTTAGTCGCTGACATGGTAATTGATGGTGGTAACTCGGTGCTACGGCAATAGTATCCATGTACTGATCTTCTGGCCAGACTCCTGAGCTAGAGGGTCACAATTTGACTTCCACTCAAACAGAAAAATCCCTTTCCCTATACTCTAAGAATGGACTGATATGATTATCTGGAGCAGGCCTGGCAAAATGCCATAATACCCAGTCACTGGATTTGGCAGGATTGTGTCTTGGAAGGTAGGGATGGTATATAACAATGAACTAGTGAGTGGCAAAATAGCAAAAATGTCAAGCATGGCCTTCATGCTTACTTGCTTGGCATTTCTGCCTCCTTATAACCATTGCTTCTTCTCGAAGTTCCCCATCCTGGCCTGTTCTCTTGAATGGTTGTATGTGTCCTTTCATGATACTTCCCTCCCATAAAAAAAGGTCCTAGTTTCTGACATATTCCCATTAGAAGACATACATGTGCCACGGACAGAACAACAAACTTGGAAATGGCATATCTAGAGTCTTCATTAACTTTAAAGACTATAAATGAAATGGCTCCTGAAAGCCCTTTTCTTGCCTTCTGCTCTCTACCACTGCCCACAACCACCACTCTGTATCTGTGGCTTTGTTGGCATCCTAGGGTATCATACAGAAAAGCCTAGACCCATTTGGCTTGAAAAAATTTTAGAAATTTTGTTGATTTTATGCTTACTGTCACTATGGGCTTAGGCATTAAGTATCTTAAGCACAAATTATACTGAAATTCTGACTGCATTTTGTAAAGACGAATTTCCTTTCTCCCCACTATAATATTTTCCTCTACTTTAGTCATCTCCTGTCACCAAAGAAAAAGGGCATAGGTAGTTAAAGAAAGACTGATGGAAAGAGTAGGCCTGCAAATGTGACCTTCATCCCTAATTCATACATGTTATACTCAGTGAACTCATCAAGTGATTTTTGAATTGTCTTGATGCAAACTTTATCGAATCTGTAGATCAGTTTGAGAAGATTGTTATCTTAACAGTATTAAGTGTTCCAACCCACAAACATGGAATGTCTTTCACATGTTTCTCAGTCTTCTTTAATTTCTTTCAATAATGTTTCATAGTTTTTTGTGTCCAAGTCTTATACTTCTTGAGTTAAATTTCTTCCTAGGTATTTCATTATTTTTGGTGCTATTATAAAGGGAATTGTTTTCTTAATTTAGTTTAGGAGTTTTTATTGTTAGTGCAGAGAAATACTAGGGTTTTTTTTTTTTTTTTTGCATATTGATCATGTATCCTGCAAATATGCTGCACTCATTTAGTACCTTTAATAGGTTTTTTTTTGTGGATTCTTTAGGTTTTTCTATATGCAAGATTATGTCATCTTTAAGTAGACAGAGTTTTACTTCTTCCTTTCCAATCTACATAACTCCTATTTCTTTCCTTGCCTAATTGTCCTACCTAGACCCTCCAGTACAATGTTGAGTAGAAATGATGAGACTGTATATCTTTGTCTTATTTCCAATCTTAGGGGAAAAGCTTTTAGTCTTTCACCATTAAGTATGATGTTAGCTGTGTGTTTTATGTCTGACATTTTGCTATTTGTTTTCTATATGTCTTACGTCATTTTTGTTCCTCAGTTCATACAGCACTGCCTTTTTTGTGTTAAGTAGATATATTCCAGTGTATCATTTTAATTTCTTTGTAGTTTTTCTTATGTTTTTGTGTTATTTTCTATGTGATTAATTTAGGAATTATCATTAACACTTTAATTATAACAATCCATTTCAGATTAATACTAAATTAATTTTAGTAATATACAAAATTTTTGTTCTTCTATAGCTCCATTCTCTCTCTTCCATTATGTTGTTTTTGTCACAAATGACATCTTTATATATTGTATGGCCATGAACAGAGATTTATAATGATTGCTTTGTGCAGTTGTCTTATATAGAAAAAAAATGAAGAATGTACTAACAACAAAAATATTGATACTATCTTTTGTATTTACCTATGTATTTACCCTTATGAGTTCTTTATTTCTTCATGTGGACTCAAGTTACTGTCTAGTGTCTTTCATTTAGCCTGAAGGAACTCCTTTAGTATTTCTTTGTAGAGAAGGTATACTAGTAATGAACTTTCTCTGCTCTTGTTTATGTGGGGATATTTTAATTTGTACTTCCTATTTGAAAGATAGTTTTTCCATATATAAAATCCTTGGTTGACAGGTTTTTTATTCGTCAGTATTTTGATTATGTCATCTCATTGCCTTTGGCATTTATGGTTTCTGGTGAGAAATCAGTTGCTGATCTTTTAAAATAATTTAAATTTTTAATTTTTATGGATAACATAATTGTAGTGTATATTTACGGGGTACATTTGATATTTTGATACATGCATAAAATATGTAATGATCAAATCTGGGTAATTGGATATTCATTACCTCAAACATTTATTATTTCTTTGTGTTGGGAATATTCCAAATCTACTATTCTAGTTATTTTGAAATATACAATAAATTATTATTAATTATAGTTACCCTATTTTGCTACTGAATCTAGATCTTATTTCTTCTGTCTAACTGTATCTTGACCCATTAACCAATCCCTATTTATCCTCCCCCTGACTACCTTTCTGATGTTTTGTATGTGATGAGCTTCTCTCTTGTTGCTTTCAAAATTTTCTCTTTGTATTTGCTTTCAACAGTTTATTATAAAGTATATAAATATAGATCCCTGAGTTTATCCTTCTTGGACTTGGTTCTGCTTCTCAAATGTATAAATTCATGTCTTTCATCAAATTTTGGAAGTTTTTGACCATTGTTTCTGCAAATATTCTTTCTGTATCTTTTTCTCCTTCTGAGACTCCCTTTATGCATACTTGATGGCATCCCACTTCTGTGAGGCTCTGTCTATTTTCTTCTATTATTGCCTTTCTGTTCCTCGGATTGGATAATTTCAATTGACCTATCTTCAAGTTGTCTGAGTCATTCTTATGCTTTCTTACATTTGCTATTGAACTCTTCTAATGATTAGACACTCAGAACCTCTTCTATCTTTAAAGAAAAGCAGGACACTCATTGAGAATATCCTGAATATAAACAAATTTTCATTCTGGTTTATAAAGCAGGTCTCATGAGCTTCCTTAGTATTTAATCAGTCCCCTATGGCTGGAACACTCTGAGGTAAATGGATAAAATCAAGCTCTTGAACACACAAAGCTGAATCCAGACTGATACTGATCCTGTGAGGGTCCACTCAAGGAAGGGCACTTTGAGAGATACAGCCTGAGTAGCCTGCTAGCTCTCTGCTCTCCAGTGAGTGATTATTGCATAACCAATAGTTTATCTCTAATTTAATGTAATTATTTTAGTTACTTTAGTTATAATTATTAGGTCTCTCATTATATGCCTCTGTTATAGACTAAATATTTGTGTTCCCTCAAAATTCATATGTTGAAGCCCTAATCCCCAATGTGATAGTATTTAGAAATGGGGCCTTTGAGTGGTAATTAGGGTTAGATGGGGTCATGAGGGTTGGGCTCAAGATGGGAAGAATGCCCTTTTATGAAGAGACGTCAGAGAGTTTGCTTCCCCTCTCTGTACCATATGAAGACATAGTGAGAAAGCAGCCATTCACAAGCCATGAAGGGAGCCCTCACCATAACTCAACTATGCTGGCACCCTGATCTTGGACTTCCAGCCTCTAGAGCTATGAGAGAATTAATTTCTGTAGTTTAAACCACCAAGTCTGTGGCATTTTGTTATGGCAGCCCTAGCTGACAAATTAGCCTTCTTTTCCTAATATTATGACTCTGACCTTAACCTGAAAATGTACTAGAGCCAAATAGTGAACATCAACAGACCAACCCTCTTCCAGAGCAGAGTGGGAACAGGAAACCACACACTGAAAGGCATATGCTAATTAAATCATAACAATTATCGTGTAGCCTTTCCCATTGTTTTTATATAATGTTGTGAACACCTGAAAAGATAACTACGGAAGTACTAACTCACATGCCAAACAGAATATACTAAGTTTAGAATGAAAGCTATAAGCCACGGGGTGCTGAAGGAAAGAGAGCTTAATGGAGCATATGCCATTTAATTTAGAGCTTGAAGAATAAGTAAGGTTTAGATGGAAGATAAAGCATGCCAAACACTGTTAATGGCATGAGCAAAAGCATGGAAGTAGGATAATGCAAGATTTCTGTTTTTAGGAAAAGTGAACAGACCAGTTTGATTGGACAAGATAATCAACATAGGAGTAGTAAGAATAGATGAGGCTTGAAAGAAAGGTTGAGGCAGAATGTGGATGGTCCTAAAGATGAAGCATGTGAACTTTGTCCTGCAGGAAGTACAGAGCCATTTCAGTTGTTTTAGTTGGTGGAAGAGAAGAGTTGACATGGTGACTATCATATTCCCTAGTGAAGATGATCATTCACTTCAAGCATAGAGACAGGAAGCTATTTGAAAAATTGAAACAGTGAAGTAAATAAATGTTCAGGTCTATGAATTGGGACTAGGAACATATTATTATAGAAGACATTCAGTTAGTCGCATTCTCTTTCACTTCAGCCATTTCATTTATTGCTTTGTCCCATCTGTCTACTCATTTAAACAATCAACTCATTCCTCCATCATTCCCCAATTAAGTTGGAAAGTCCCACTTGATTCCTAATTGTGAATAAGCTCTAGGCTTGGTGAGCCTGAAGTTATCCTCTTTGGGGTCTTGGGTATTTAAAAAATAGACCCTCTAACTCAAAACACTACGGCTGTGAAGTACTGGTCTGCTGATTGGGAGATAAGTAGTACTGAGGTTGCTGCATGAGATTTATATTTTGCTTGAGTATTTCACATAGGATTCTAGTTAATGGAGCCTAGAAATTGCCCCACAGTAACTGTATTAATTGGTATGTATCTTTCAATGTACAATATCCTGATTCCTAGGATTTGTCTGTTGGCATTTTGTGTTTAGTTCTGGTACCTCATTAGACAGACATGATAGAAAGACAATAAATACTTACAATGATAAAAGTGATAGAAACACAACTTTGAGGGGAAAAGAAGCAAACGATTTTTTTTGAGTGGCCCAAATTCGTTTTCTAAACTTTTTATTTTGAGACAATTATAGATTTACATATGATTACCAGAAACAGTAGGGAGAGATCTAACGCACTCTTTACCCATTTTCTGCCATTGTAACATCTTGCAGTCTATTGTGTAATATCACAACCAGGATATTGATAGGGATACAGTCAAGTTAAATAATGTTTCCATTGCCACTAGAATCCCTCATGTTGCTCTTTCATAGACACTCCCACTTCTCCCATCTCTATCTCCACCTTAATCACTAGCATATACTAATCTGTTCTCTATTTCTATAATTCTGTCATTTCAAGAATGTTATATAAAGGAAGTCATGCAGTATGTAACCATTGGGATTTTTTTTTCACTCGACGTAATTTTCTCGATTCATCTAAGTTGTTGCATGCATTAATAGTTTATTCCTTCTTATTGCTGAGTAGTAGTCCGTGGTATGAATGTTACATAGTTTGTGTAACCATTTACCTGTTGAAGGGAATTTGGATTGTTTATAGTTTTTAGCTATCATGAATAAAGCTGCTATGAGCATGTATATACAGGTTTTTGTGTGAACATTACTCTCTGTTTCTCTGGGATAAATGCCCAGGAGTGCAATTGCTGGATCATATTGTATTTGCATACTAGTTTTTTTTTAAATAGCTAAACTGTTTTCCAAAATGACTGTACTGTTTTATAGTCTAACCAGCAATGTATGAGTACAGTTCTTCTGCATCCTTGCCAACATTTGGTGTTGTCACAATTTTTAATTGTCAATTTTATGGGTGTGTAGTGACATCTCCTTGTGGTTTTAATTTGCATTTCCCTGATGACTAATGACATTAAACATCTTTTCATGAAATAATTTTAATCTGTATATACTCTTTAGTAGAATGTCTCTTCATGTCTTTTGCCTATGTTATAATCAGATTGTTCTAGCGTTTTTCTTAAACTGTTGAATTATAAAATTTCTTCATATACTTTAGACGCTAGTCCTTAGTCTTCACATCCTCACCAACACTAGTTGTCTTTTGTCTTTTTGATAATGGCCATGCTAACAGCAATGAGGTGATATCTCATTGCAGTTTTGTTTCACGTTTCCCTGATGATTAGTGATGTTGAGCATTTTTCATATAACTATTTATATGTTTGTATGTCTTCTTTTGGGAATTGCCTAGTCAGGTCCTTTGCCCATTTAAAAAACAACAACTCAATAGCAAGAATACAAATAATCCATTTTTTAAATGGGCAAAGGACCTGACTAGGCAATTCCCAAAAGAAGACATACAAATGGTCAACAGTTGTTATATGAAAAAAAAAAAAGCTCAATATCACTAATGTACTCTGCACTTGTTAGGTGGAGTGAAGAGAGGGATAGGTCCTTATTAATGCTGGGGTGGAGTGGAAGTCCAAGTTCCCCATCTGGTCTTCACTGATACTGTGGAGGGGCAGCTCATTCTTGGCTGCCCAGTGATGAAATTCTCAGCTTCTTGCTTGGCCTTATCTGGTACAACTTCAGCATGGCGGATGGACCACCTCATTACAACCTTGGGAGTGTGGAAATCCAGCTCTCTATGTAATGTAGCCTTTACTGGTGTGGGGGCATGAAGTCACAATTTTTCTCTGTGGTGTATGGCTGGAATGGAGTAGTATTGTATAAAAGTCTTTTCTCTTGCTAAGCTTCTTTACTGGTGAGAGAGACAAAGCTTTTGGAGGGCCTTTTTTTTATCTGCACCATTGACATTACTGGCTTTTCAGCCACAAGTCTGAGGTATATGAGGCAAAACAAAAACCAGGTGCCCTCCCCTCCGTGTCATTGCTTGGGTCCCAAGGTGTTTCACTGCTGTGCTTTCTTCTCTCTACCCTTCAGAATTTTCTTATATTTGTTTTTCTTTGTATTTTTGCATTTGTTTGTCTTTGTATTTTTGTATTTTTCAGGATTGTAGTTGACTTAGTGGGGGAAATAAAGAAAATTACATGTACTGAATATTCCTGGAAACAGAAGTCCCAAATTAGTTTCTGTAGACGTCATTTTTATGATCTTTTTCTTCACAGCCTCATAAATAGCTAATCTCTAACTGCTTTTCTGTATAGTACAGGGATACAGAAGAAGATAAGTTCAGAGCAGAAGGCCTCGTCTGAGAGTCTGATACTGAGCATCTGGTGGGAGATTAGGACTCACCAAAAAAAATGTGACTAAGCAGATAATGGAGCACTAAAGAAATCTGAGGTTGTTACTGTCCACGGGGGGAAGCATGCTCTGAAGAAAATACTTTCATGCATAGATAAATGGTACAGTGGGAAAGAAACTGGGACATTCTACTTTCTAACACATATCAGAGTTACCTGTCTGGTTTATTATCTCTCTCTCTCCCCACTAGTATATAAGCTTCATGAAGTCAGAGATTTTTCTCTGATTTATTTGTCAGATACAGATTTATTTATTATCATGTGTCCCCAGAGCCTAAAATGGTACGTGTCATATAGTAGGCTCCCAGTAAACATTTGTTGAATGAATGTATGAATGAATAAATGGCTCGAAGTTGGGAGAACTAGCATTCTGGTCCTGACTTTGCCACTAACTAGAGATCTTAACCAGGCCGCATTCTTTTGCTGGGCTCAGTTTCTAATGTTACAAAAGATGAGAGCTGCAGTAAAAGATCATTCATGTCCTTTTGTCCTCTATTATTCAATAGTTCTGTGAATATTTATACCCTTTGTATAAATTATCTAAAATATCTATTTATCTATTTACCCATTCATCTGCCCTTCCAGTCACCCATCCATCCATCTCCCCATCGATCTATTTAACTATCCATCCCTCCATTCAACATTTCTTGAATGCTGACTATGTGCCAAGGCCTTTAAGATATACAAGGATTTATATCAGAGATAGAGCATGTGATGAAAATTGTGCAGATTGTTACTATGGAGAAATGCGGAGTGTCATGGAGTATATAGCTGTACATAACCTCTAAGCTAAGGGGCTAGGTACTGTTCTTTGTGCCGCAACTTGAAGGAAGATTAAGAGTTAACTAGGTGAGAGCAGTAGAATTGCAGAAGTGGGTAGAACATTACAAGCAGAGGTAACAACAGATATAAAGACCTGAAGCAGGCTGGCGCGGTGGCTCACGCCTGTAATCCCAGCACTTTGGGAGGCCGAGGTGAGTGGATCACGAGGTCAGGAGATCGAGACCATCCTGGCTAACATGGTGAAACCCTGTCTCTACTAAAAAATAGAAAAAATTAGCCAGACGTGGTGGCAGACACCTGTAGTCCCAGCTACTTGGGAGGCTGAGGCAGGAGAATGGTGTGAACCCAGGAGGTGGAGCTTGCAGTGAGCCAAGATCGTGCCACTGCACTCCAGCCTGGGCGACGGAGCGAGGCTCCGTCTCAAAAAAAAAAAAAAAAAAAAGACCTGAGGCAGAAAAGTGCTTTACCTGTGTAAGGGAAAGAAAGATGTGTTGGAGGGATTTAGTCAGCTAAGGGCAGAGTGGTATTGAGGTAAGATTCAAGAGACTGAAAGGCACCAGTAAGGCCTTGAAAGAGTGCTAAGAAACCAAATATGGGCACATCTTGTCCTTCCTTTTAGCTACTTGAGAAAGAATGGATGAATGGTGGGTGGAGGAGGCCCCATTAACCTCATTCTATCTCCCCTTTCTGCTTTTGTATTTCATTATTGGAGACTTTGTATACAATGAGAGAGTGGTAGATGACATTGTTAGATTAGATTCAAGAAAGGATTATTTGGTTAAAAGTTATTAGGCTTGTCACAAGACTAACTGCTGTGTAGGTCACTCCTCATAAGACCATTTGGATGAAACTCACTTCCTAGAAGGGGCCCGCAAGCTCATTAAACAGTACCAGAAAATTACTCAAACATTTTATCAATAATGATAGATACTTTTCAAAAGGAGCTATTAGTCACATTGCACAGCAAAGGTCTGCTCTGGATCATCCTCACATTTTAATAATTTCCTTTCTTAATTGTAAAAAGACTAGTAATGGTAGTAGTCATAATAGTTAAATTTTATTGAGCATTTATTCTGTGGTGGGCACATTATTAATGGCGTTCTATGCAGTATTTTATTTGTTATGTGCCGGGCACTCTTCTATGCGTTTTATATAACTCATTAAATTCATACCACAACCTAGAGGTAGGAATCATTATCATCCCCATTCTACAGCTGAGGAAACTCAAACCTAGAGGAAGGAGTAAGTTTGTTGTTTAAGATCCCCCAGATAGTTAGTAGGGAACCCATAATTCAAACTTAGGTAGTCTAACTTCAGGAATTGGGCCTAAAACTACTTGGCTTTGTTGTGACCTAAGTCAACACAGACTGTCCGTGCCAACATGCAATGTGACAGGGGGAAAGAGACTGGGATATTCTACTTTCTCACACATATCAGAGTTCCCTATCTGATTTATTCTCTCTCTCCCCACTAGTACATAAGCTTCATGAAGTCAGAGATTTTGGCTGATTTATTTATCAGATACATGATTTATTTATTATCATGTGTCCCCAGAGGCTAGAACTGTGTCTGTCATATAGTAGGCTCCCAATAAATATTTGTTGAATGAATGTATGAGAGAATAAATGGCTTGAAGTTGGGAGAACTAGAATTCCGGCCAAAAACTAACGAAGGGGTCAAAAATGCCAGGACTTGACAAGTAGACACCAGAATCCAGTTATTGAATTAAGAATTGGTGAGAAGGACAGGTTCAGGTACTGGGGTGAATTACCCAGGGCATCCTAACCTGAATGGGGCTGATTTGAACACCAAAGTTAGTGAGGTGATCCTGAGTTAAAAGCCAATAGGAACAAACCAGAAGTCAGGGTGGAAACACCATTATTATCCATGAGTCTGCAATCATTCGGATTAGCTCTGGTGGTTTGAAGACATGCTCCCTTTGAAATCCTGGTGCTGCTGCCCCATGTAAAGGTAGGCTTTTGTATTTGTCAGGGGCAGGATAGAAAAGCAAAAGAGTTGGAATTCAGAGAGTGTACAAAGCAAGACGAGGGAAAGGAATAATGAGGAAGGATCTCTTCTATTACCATTATTTGAATCCTACCTTGTATTAGTCCATTTTCATACTGCTATAAAGAATTGCTTGAGATTGGGTAATTTATAAAGAAAAGAGGTTTAATTGACTTACAGTTCAGCACTGCCGAGGAGACCTGAGCAAACTTACAATCATGACAGAAGGAGAAGCAAGGCACCTTCTTCACAAGGCGGCAAGAAGAAGTGCTGAGCGAAGGGAGAAGAGTCCCTTATAAAACCATCAGGTTTCGTAAGAACTCACTCACTATCATGAGAACTGCATGGGGGAAACCACCCCCATGATTCAATTACCTCCACCTGGTCTCTCCATTGACACATGAGGATTATGGGGATTACAATTCAAGATGAGATTTGGGTGGGGACACAAAGCCTAACCTTTTCACACCTCCTTCTTGTTATACCATTCTACTATTTGTAGTTTGTTGTATGTGTATGTTGTATATTGTAAGTGATGTACATCACTTACATCCAGTCTTAGAGTCCTCAAGTGGAATTCTCTTCCACTCACCTATATCTCAAAGTCATCTTTAAGAGAGTAAGTGCCTTCATTCATGGTTATAGTGCACTTGAAATATGTCAAGGACCTGAGAAATACAAGTAATAAACAATGAAGTAGAGGAGGACTGAAGAGCACCTAACCCACCGGGAGCACAGTTGAGAACCAGATAATAAGGGGAAAATAGCTTCTGAAAAAAAAATTAGGTTGAAATGAGAGCCTGCAGGAGAGCCTCCTTTTGTGTGAGAAATGCATTTTTTTTAGAACTTGGGTTTTACATTATCTATTTACTTTTTAAATATGCATTGATTTTAAAAACATTTTATTTGGGGATAATTGAAGCTACGTGCTGTTGTAAGAAATAATACAGAGATATCCCAAGTACACTACCTAGTTTCCCCAATAATGACATCTTGCATAACTACAGAACATGTCACGCCAGGAAATTAATATTGATAAAATCCACTTATTAAATTTAGATTTCCTCAGTTTTACTTGGACTCAGTAGTTTGTGTGTGTTTGTGTGTGTGTGTGTGTGTGTGTGTGTTTACTTCTATGCAGTTTCATCACATGAGCATATTTGTGTAACCACCACCACAGTCAAGATACAGTACAGTTCCATGACTACAAGGATCCTCTGTGTTGCCCTTTAATAACCAAACTCACCTCCCTCTCATAATCTTCACCCCTTCCGCAACCCCTGTCTATAACAAATATGTGCGTCATTTCTGTAATTTTGTCATTTCAAAAAGTTATTCAAATCATTCAGTGTGTTACCTTTTGGAGTTGGCTTTTCTTCACCTATCATAATTCTCTGGAGAGTCATCCAAGTTGTTGCTTCTTTCAATAGCTCACTCCTTTTTATTTTTGAGTAATATTCCATTTTGCAGACATAACATGGTTTGTATAACCTTTTACCTGCACAAGACCATCTGTGTTACTTCTGGTTTGTGGCTATTATAAATAAAGCTGGTATGGAAATCTGTACAGGTTTTTAAGTGCATATGAATTTTTAGTTATCTGAGATAAATGCCCAAGAGTGCTCTTGTTGAGTCATATGGTAGTTGCATGTTTAGTTTTATTCATTATTATTATTATTATTATTATTATTATTATTATTATTATGAGACAGAGCCTCACTCTATCACCCAGGCTGGAGTGAAGTGGCGCGATCTCAGCTCACTGCAACCTCCGCCTCCTGGGTTCAAGCGATTCTCCTGCCTCAGCCTCCCAAGTAGCTGGGATTACAGGCCCATGCCATCATGCCTGGCTAATTTTTATATTTTTAGTAGAAACAGGGTTTCACCATGTTGGCCAGGCTGGTCTTGAACTCCTGACCTCAAGTGATCTGCCTGCCTCAGTATGTTTAGTTTTATAAAAAAACTGTCAAACTGTTTTCCAGAGTGATTGTACCATTTTAAATCCCAATGGCAATATATAAGTGATCCAGTTTCACTGCATCTTCCCTGGTATATGCTGTTTTCACTATTTTTCAATTTTTGTCATTCTGATAGGTGTGTAGTGATATGTCGTTGTTTTAATTTGCATTTTTCTGCTGATTAATAATGTCGAACATCTTTTCATGTGCTTATTTATCCTCTGCATATCTTTTTCAGAGAACTGTCTCTTCGTATCTCTTGCCCATGTTCTACTTGGATGGTTTGTATTTTTATTGTTGAGTTTTGAGAGTTCTAAATACTAGTCCTTTGTTGAACATAGGGGTTGCGAATATTTTCTCTCCACCTGTAATTTGTCATTGCATCCTCTTAAGTTCTTTCACAAAGAAAAAGTATTTAATTTTGATGGAGTCCAGTTTATCACATTTTTCTTTTCTGAATTGCTTTTGTAGATGATTAAAGCTAAGACATCTTTGCCTATTCCTAGAGTATGAAGATTTCCTCTTATTTTTTATTCTTCAAAATTACATTTTTAGTTTTATATTTAAGTCTATAATCCATTTGGAGATACTTTCTGTATAGGGAGTGAGGTTTAGGTCAGGATTCATTTTTATGCCCTAGTGTCCAAGTGTTCTAGCACCACTTGTTAAAAAGACTTCTTTTCCTCCTTTGATTGAATTTTCTTCCTTTTTCTCATATGTTGGGCATATTCATATGGGTCGATTTCTGGCTTCTCTGTTCTGTTCCATTGATCTATGTGTCTGTCCCTCCACTGATACAACTCTGTCTTGGTTGTATCAGCTATATAGCTATATAGTAAGCCTTCATATCAGGTAGAGTGATTCCTCCCACTTTATTCTTCTTTGTTGAGGTTATTTTAGCTATTCTAGGGCCTATGACTTCCCATGTACATTTTAGAATAAGCTCGTCCATGTCTAAAATAATTTTGCTAGGATTTTGATAATAATTGCTTAAACACAAAATAAAACAATTCAGGGAAAACTGACATCTTTACTAGTTGAATCTCCCAATCCATAAATGTGATATGTCTTTCCAATTATTGAGGTCTTTGATTTCTTTCACCAGCATTTTGTAGTTTTGAGTATGGAAATGCTATACATGTTGTTATGTCTACATCTTAGTATTGCATTGTCATTGGAGCAATTGCAAATGGCATTGTGTTTTTAATTTTAGTTTCTAAATGCCAAAAGGCATAAGAAAAGGTGCTCAACATAATTGATCATCAGAGAAATGCAAACCAAAACTACAATGAGATATCATCTCGCACCAGTTAAAATGCCTTATATCAAAAGACAAGCAATAAGGAATGCTAACAAGGATGTGGAGAAAAGGGAACGCTTGCGCACTGTTGGTGGGAATGTACAACCACTATGGAGATCGGTTTGAAGGTTTCTCAATAAACTAAAAATTGAGCTACAATATGATCTAGCAATCTCATTGCTGGCTATATACCCAAAAAAAAGGAAACCAGTGTATCGAAGGGATATCTGCATGTCTATGTTTGTTGCAGCACTGTTCACAATAGCCAAGATTTGGAAGCAACCTAAGTGTTCATCAACAGGTGAATGGATAAAGAATATGTAGTACTTATATACAATGGAGTACTGTTCAGTCATAAAACAGAATGAGATCTGGTCATTTCTAACAACATAGATGGAAATGGAGATCATTATGTTAAGTGAAATAAGCTAGGTGCAGAAAGACAAACATCTCATGTTCTCACTTATCTTTGGGAACTAAAAATCAAAACAATTGAACTCATGGACATAGAGAGTAGAAGGATGGTTACCAGAGGCTGGGATGGGTAGTGAGGGGTTGCAAGGGAGGTGAGGGTGGTTAAAAAATAGCCAGAAGAATGAATAAGACCTACTATTTGACAGCACAACAGAGTGACTGTAGTAAATAATAACTGTACATTTTAAAATAACTTATAGAGTATAATTGAGTTGTTTGCAACTCAATGGATAAATGCTTGAGGGGATGAATACCCCATTCTTCATGATGTGCTTATTTTACATCGCATGCCTGGATTGAAACATCTCATTTCCCCATAAATATATACACATATGTACGCACAACTTAAAAAAAAATAGTTTCCACATATTCATGGTTTGTATGTAAAAAATGTGATTGATTCTCCTGTGTTGATCTTTTATTTTGCAACCTTGCTGATATCTGTTTACTTTTATTCCACTTATAGTTTCAACAGCTTCTGAATCCTGTTTCCAAACTTGCAGATAATTAGGAGGGAGAGGGATTGCTTTAGGCAGATGCACTTACAGCAGTGCAATACTGACATGAGAGGAAGAGGATACAATGGATACAATTTTATTAGATAGATGTAAAAACCCCAAAAGCACAGAGCTCTGAGGCTCTTTGGCAAAGGGACATACAAATTATACTCCCTCAAAACATCCTTGTATAATTAAGGTTCTTATACAAGGTCATTAAGATTTACCTTGTATAAGAGTCATTGATGACCTCTTAGGTCATAAAATGAGGTTCTTAACAGACCTAAGAAAAAATGTTGAAGCTATACAAATGTATTTTACCTTAAAAAAAGGAAGCATATATCAAATAATTGTATATACCTATACAAAACAAAGTTTGAATCCAATTCTTGGTCTTTAAGTGAGGTAAATGCCGCTTGATTGATCATCCTGAATATCTCATTTCCCAAATGTGCAGTGTGCCTGGATTTTAGAGTGTGTGTTCACAGATACACGTGTGCATGTACACACACACACACACACACGCACACACACAGGCACACATACACATACCTCTCTCCATTGAGGAATTTGGACCAACAGTTGTAAAAGGACTCTTTATTTTTGGATTGGCCAGTAATGAGTGCCCAATGGTAATTATAAATCTATTTCACTAGTATAGATCACAAGTCTTATCTCTACCATGTGTTAGCGGATATATACAGGGGAAACAGCCAAGTCAATGAGAAAAGATCTGATTAAACATGGTCTAGCAAGATAGGCAAGGCATCAGGGATAATTATATGCTGCAATATTAATAAGGGACTGGAGCTTTTAGGATATGTTCTTTAAATATAGGTCATGGTTTTAAATTGCGTACACATCTTTCTGCTGAAACGATTTAAATGTTTGCACACAGTTAATATTGACTTTTCCCTGTGCACATTTTGAATGTCTTTTTATTGACTTGTGCTCTTCTCTTAAGCTGGTAGAGGAAGTACATTTTTCTCTAGGCACATCTATGGTGATGTTATTGTCTTTAGCTCCCCAGAAATCAAAGACTTTTAATCGTTTAAACTTTGCTGGGCTGGATGTCATCTCCAGTGACAATATTAAACAATTGGGAAAAAAGATGTTTATTTGCAATGCTTTCTCTTTACAACTTCCTCTCCAGTTCTTTGATGCAGTACTCTACTACTCATGGCTGTTCTTATACCTCAAAATATAGGAGCCAGCCAGGTGACAGGATTTTACAGAGTGGAAAGACTGTAATTCATTGCCCCTCCTCAAATCTTCCTACCCATTGGCCAAATCCTGAAATGCCAGCATTACTTTTCTGTATTTATCTTACTCTATCTGTCAGAAACTTTGACAGAGGTAACCACACTCTCCTTCCCAAAACACTCTCCTCTCTAGACTTTCATGACACCATGCTCTCCTGGTTTTCCTCCTATCTGACAGTGTTTCCTCTCTGCTCCTTTGTTATCTCCCCCTTTCCCTGGCTTCTAAAGTTGGGGTTCCTCAGGGCTTCATTGTGGCCTGCCTTCTCTTCTCCATCTACACTCATTACATAGGTGATCACGTTTTGGTTTGTGGCTTTTATACCATTTCTATGCTGATAATTTCCAAATTTGTGCCTCTCTAGTACTCCAGACACCTTTATCCAATTGGTTTCTGGACATGTCTTGAGTATCCAGTAAGTATTATCATATGCTCAAAACATAATTCAGTTGATTCTGACCCCTACTCCTCCCATTGGCCTTGGTCAAATGTATCTGTTCATTACACAATATTTGTCATCTCACTTAATGGCACTACTAAGCACTCAGATGCTTAATACTAAAACCCAAGAATCATCCTTGATTTCTGTTTTCCTCTCACAATTCACATGCAATCCATCATCAAATGCTCTCAACTTTACTTCTGAAGGTGTATCCCACATGTCTACTTTTCTCAATCTCTCCTGTTACCAATCTAGTTCAAGTTACCATCATTGCTCACCTGAGTTATTATAATAGTCTCCTTAATGCTTTTCCCAATTCCTCTCTTGCCCTCTTCCACAACCAGCCCCAGGACTAATCCTTTACAAATATTAATCAATCCATGCTTAAACTCATTTAGTGGGTGCAGGAACCACTTCTCTTAACTCCATTTGTCTACATTTCTTGCACTGGCTCACTGAGTTCCAGCTGCATTGTTTTTCTCTCTATATCATCTCATCCCTAGCATCACCTTTCTGGGGGATTTTCCTCAACCCACACCCTATCTAAAATAGTTCTTAAACCTGCTACTCTGGTCACTCTATCCCATTACCCTATTTTATTTTCTTCTTTGGACTTACGACTATCTGAAAATGCTTACCTTTGTTTCAGGCTGAAAAATTTGTTTCAAAATGGATGTGATAAATTAATGGATTGCAAATTTAACCATGTATTTTTGAGCAGGAAGCTTTCTTTGACATGCCAGTTTCACTACTTGGAGATTCCGTCCATGCTCATGGTCAACTGTGTAGATAGATTTCAGTAATGGCTTATGAATTTTGTTTTCTAGTGGCATTGTTTTTTTTTTTTTTTCAAATTAAATCTTCTGTGGAACCCCAATATATCACATAGATAAAAATAAAATTGCTCTGGTGAAGCGGGAGATAGAGTGGGATCCTGAACTGCCCAGTCAGTCTTTCTCTTTAAAACTCCTCCAGAGGCCCCTAAGACTCACCATGGAATCCTGGGGCTCTGAAGCACAGCTTGAGCCACTGGATTGGAGGTTTAATAGAATGGAATGCAGGACTCTACTGCACACAACACTGGGCCCTAGTGTTCTAGCTTATGCTCATTCTAAATATATATTTAACAGTAGTAATGGACACCAGAGACCCTACATAAATTGACCCCATTGAGTTGCATGGCCTGAGAACATGTCCCATTTTGATAGATATTAGACCAGGGCATTGTTCAATTTGCTAAGAATAGGGACTTGTGGCATTGAGACCAAAGGTTAAATCAAAGCATCTACTGCAAAGCCAGGGGAAATTACCCTTGAGACTAATGGATGATGCCATGATTTCAAACTGCTATTAGCTGAAAAGGAGTTCAGTGGAGAAGGTTGGCCAATAATTGTTTGTGTAGAGAAGATGTTCATGTTCCTCTGTTTTTTAATAAATCACTGATGCTTAGACAGATGATGACTTCTGTGGTGCTGGGAAATAGGTCCTACCAGGAGTAACCAGTTCACAAGACATGTTTGATCTAAAAGGCCTCACCATCATTATTCAAACTCAGTCATTTCTGCTTTCAGAATCATGTCCCTGTAAGAGTGCATAGTTCTGAGGCCAAGTTCTCAGACTGGTCATAGTTTATCTGTATTGTTTTAGTAATTGGTTCATAAAATAAGATCCCTGAGCTCTTTGCTAAGATTGTTTCCAGGAACTAGGATACTATTCAATAGAAAGGGCCATTTGGAGAGACTGAAAAAGTCAATATAGCGATCATCTATCTATGGCCTCAATTAAGCTGGCATTCTAATCAAGGAAGAAAGTCAGCTTCAATATCTGTCTCACTAGCTAGATGAGGGAACCTTTTAAACTGCTTAAAAAACAGGTCAAACTATCAGAAATTCTAGGTGTGTATGTAAAGACACAGCTATAATTACTCTAGCCTGTTTTCAGGTCAGGGACTGACCTCAGGAGCATAGTTCAACTGCATTCAGAAGTCCTTGGGAGAAAGGGCTATTTTTTGGTCTGTTTCAAGAACCTTACAGGTGTGGAATGCAGCCAAGCTCCAATGTGGTATCACAGCTGAAGGACTGTACTTTGTTCTGTCCATACTCTAAGACCTTTGTTATCTGCTGCTGGCAAACTGGGCACTCAGCAGTGGCCATAGCCAGGTCAGCCTTGGTGGGTGGAAGTCCATGTTACTGAGCCCATGCTTAACCTCCATCCCTGCCACCGTGGCCACTTTGTTCATGGGCCTATTGGACGATGACAGGAATGGCTGGGGAAAGACTGAGTGGTGTCCATAGAATAAGTCATCCTATCCACTTGATTATTAAAATCCTCCTCTGCTGAGGTCATCCGTTGGTGAGCACTCACATAGGATACAAATATCTTCACAGTTTTTGACCACTCAGAGAGGTCCATCCACATACCTCTTCCTCAAATTTCTTTGTCACCAATTTTCCAATCATGCTTCTTCTAAGTCCCTGACCATCCAGCCAAACCATTGGCTACAGCCCATGAATCAGTATATAATTGCACATCTGGCCATTTCTCCTTCCATGCAAAGTGCAAAACAAGGTGCACTGCTCAAAGTTCTGCCAACTGGGAAGATTTCCCTACACCGCTGTCCTTCAGGGATGTCCTAGAAAGGGGCTGTAGTGCTGCAGCTGTCCACTTTCGGGTGGACCCTTCATGTCATGCAGAACCATCTGTGAACCAGGCCCTAGTCTTCTTTTCCTCTGTTAACTGATCATAGGGAACGCCCCATGAGGCCATCGTTGCAGGCTGGGGAAGAGAAGGCAGGGTGGCAGGAGTGGAGACGATGGGCATTTGAGCCACTTCCTCATGTAACTTACTTGTGCCTTCAGGACCTACTCAAGGCCGATCACGTATATACCACTTCCATTTGACGATGGAATGCTGCTGGACCCGTGACCCACTTTATGGCTAGCTGGCTCAGAAAGCACCTAGTTTATGATAGGCAGTTCAGGTTGCATGGTGACTTGATGACCCATAGCCAAATGTTCAGTTTCCACCAAAGCCCAGTAACAGTCCAAGAGCTGTCTTGCAAAAGGAGAGTAGTTATCTGCAGAAGATGGCAGGGCCTTGCTCCAAAATCCTAGAAGCCTCCGCTGTGATTCACCTATGGGGGCCTGACAAAGGCTCCAAACAGTATCCCTATCTGCCACTGACACCCCCAACACCATTGGATCTGCTGGGTCATATGGTCCAAGTGGCAGAGCAGCTTGCACAGCAGCCTGGACCTGTTGCAGAGCCTTCTCCTGTTCTGGACCCCACTCAACAATGGCAGCCTTTCAATCCAATCAATCCAATTGGATTGCATCTTTCAGTGCAATCAAGTTGACACTCAGCATTAACCATCAAACCCAGCCTTCTTAAATACTTTCTCCTTGCCTTACCTGAGAACCATTTTAGGATAGTGGTTAATAATGTGATGTTTAAAGTCAGACAGACCTGCATTATAATCTCAGTTCTGTCACTTACAAAGTCTGTGATTATGGGGCAAGTTATTTACCGCTCTGTACTTCAGCTTCCTCACGTACAAAATGAGAATAGTAATAGCACCTTCTTTACAGTGTTGTTGTTAAGATTAAGTAACTGAATAAATGGAAAAAAAACACATGGCATAGTGCCATGGCAGGTTCTGTATGACTTTAGCCATAAGAACATTGAAAATATTGATATACAGAGCTAATATTTGAGTTTCTTGTACATTAGCACATTTTCATTATATCATGCAAAATTCAGGTTGATTACTTTCCTCCAGATCAGAAATCCCTGGATCTTGTCATCTCAGATTCAAGCTGATCCCTCCTAAGCCTGTGGGTACTCCACAAAGACAGCAACACAAACCAGTTAATCTAGTCAGTTGATTTGCATTTTGTAAAGTCCCAGCTGAAATTTTCAGATGGGTTTTAGGGCATCCCGTCCAAGGGAAAAAAGGGGTCTTGTTAGCAGGCCTTAGATTTTTTTAGCTCTTGTGAGAACTTAAGAAAAAATGTTTGCCTTTTAGCCTGGATTTTACAAAGTCCCAGAGAACAAGTTTTCCCCAAAGGAGAGTGATTTTTCCACGAGAACTGTCTCCACTATAACATAAGATATGTGTTTATTCTTCACCAATAGAATCCAGTAATAGGAATGGCAAGAACAGAAGGAAGCTATTCGTTCAAAACAGTTGGTTTATGTGTTCTAAAACTCTGTATAAAAGAATAGTAAAGCAGTGGAGCTGAGACTTCGCCCCCTTCAGAAAATGACACCACATGGAATGCTGAATACATCTCTCTCTGCATGAGATGATATTAGTGGCCTAGAAATAGAACTTGGTAAAATGAAGCTCACAGTCATAAATAGACAACTGAAGGCTTGGAAATGCAGGGAGGGGATTTAATCAGAAAAATGTTCATTTAATTTTAACGGTTTTTCATAGCAGAGCCACAGAGGAGCTTAGAAAGAGGACTAATTAAAACAAGAGGACAGAGGGTAAAATAGATGACTGTGTACCAAGACTGCTGAAATGCAGATGAGTGTATTGACATATCTGATTTTCAAGAAAGTTGTGGGTTTGCTTGTGTGAACCATAATTTTAATGCCTGCCCTATGTGGTAGGATGCTTTGTTAGAATGTGCATTCGAACATTTGCAACAATGCTGCCTAGAATTGGACCATGAGCGTGGCAAACAGAGTAAGATGGTATTTAATATATTGTCTTAAGGAGCTCTGCCTGTTGTTGCTTTGGCTGCTTTGCACAGCACAGGGAGCTAGGTTTGTTGTGAACTTTACAGATGACTAAACCAGGGTGTTGGCGAAAATTTGGTGCTGGCAGCCCACAATGACTCAACAGTGTAATTGTAGTGGTTAAGAGCACAGGCTCTGGAGTTAGATCTTACCTAGATGTTAGTTCCTCCCTTCCTCTTTGCTTCCCTCTCTCCCACAAGTGTTAGTTGAATGCTAAGTTATATACAGGCACTGTGCTAGACACGTTGATAGAATGTGGAACAGTAATAGACATGATTCCTGACCCTTTGGGGTTCACAGTTTAGTTGGGGAATGATGAAACAAATAAAATAAATACAAATTGTGGGAATTGCTACGGAAGAAACAAACAGGGTTGGGTGATAGAGGTGAACAGGGAGTGTGTAATCAGACAGCATGGTATCTTTACTACCTACTCACTGTGCAAACTTACCCTTTCTTATCCTAAAATTATCTCACCTGTAAACTAGGGATAACAATAGTACCTTCTTTATAGAATTAAGTTTTGTAAAAATTAAAAGAAGTGGGCCGGGCGCGGTGGCTCACGCCTGTAATCCCAGCACTTTGGGAGGCCGAGGCGGGCGGATCACGAGGTCGGGAGATCAAGACCATCCTGGCGAACACGGTGAAACCCCGTGTCTACTAAAAATACAAAAAAATTAGCCAGGCATGGTGGCGGGCGCCTGTAGTCCCAGATGCTCGGGAGGCTGAGGCAGGAGAATGGCGTGAACCCAGGAGGCGGAGCTTGCAGTGAGCCGAGACGCGCCACTGCACTCCAGCCTGGGCGACAGAGCGAGACTCCGTCTCAAAAAAAAAATAAAATAAAAAATAAAAGAAGTGAAGTACATGCAGTGCCTAGGTCAGTTCTTAGCACTTAGTAAAATCATTGCTACTGCTATTAGGACAAGGCCTAGTGGCCCCAAACCTTCTCTTCTCCAAACAAAACATCCTGGCTTCCCTCAGGCACTTTCCTAAAATGCTTTCCTGATCTCTCACTGTTTTGATTGTCTTCCTACCTGACACAAAGGCTGGGATTTTGAGTATTATGTTTACAATCTTATAAACTAGAACTGAAAGAGGACCCATCTGAGGTTCTGAGAGAGGGTTGCTAATGGCAAAGTTGAAATGCAAACACATTGGCAGGGTGGGCCTGAAGCAAAAAAAGCTAGCAACACAATCAGTGTTTAATATTCCTCTAGTCACCTTTTGATGTCCCTCACTTAATCAGTGGATGTTTTTCTTTCCAAGTTCAACCAAGACTGTCTCTCGCTACTGAAACCTATTCCCATTGAAGCTGCTATACATAATTACGGTGCTATATAAATGAGTAAGTTAGCTTACAAAGTGGGTTGTAGAGGCTGACTGCCACCCCCGCCCCACCCTGCAATATTGCTTTTAGACACCAAATAACCCTGGAGGAGATATACTTGCGTGTTATGGGAGTAGTAATATTTGTTCTCTTTAATATGTTTTCCCTATGGGAGATTTGATAAGCTCACTTTTGTATCTCTATTCCAAGTTGGGAGGAATAGCCAGTAAAATACATAACAGAATCATGAGTCGCAGCAATGGGGAACAAATGCCTAGGCAGCTACTTGCGGGAAAGAAAAAATATCTGGGAGTTTATGATGGGCCACAAGTTTACTATGTATTATATTTTTAGGAGTCACATAATGTTGTTGGCTCTTCATGATTTAGTTTCTTCTTTGGTAAAATAAGGCCAATAACATTTACTTCACAGGATTATGGGGAAGATTAAATGAGTTAATAAATGGGTGGTGCTTGGAGCAATGCTTTGCCTATTGTAAGCATTCAGGAAGTACCACTATCATAGTATGAGATTAAGCCTATGCTTATCAAAATCTCTGATCCAGATCAAGAAATATGACAAGGTCTGCTATACTTGGCGCTGGCCAGACCACAGTTGAATAGCTGAGTCCAGTGCTTGGTGTCATACAAACATATTTTGTTTTATTTGTACCATTGAGTGTTTTGTTTGTTTGTTTTTACTATTAAGTGAGCTCCAGACTATATGGATTTCACCATTTTTAAAATTGTGGTATAATATACATAACATAAAACTTACAGTGTTCACCATTTTTAAGCATACAGTTCAATGGGATTAGGTATATTCCAATTGTTGTATAACCATCATGACCATCCATCGCCAGAAGTTTTTTGTCTTTCCAAACTGAAACTCTGTACCAATTAAACAACTCCCCATGACTTTCTTCCTGAGCCCCTGGCCACCACCGTTTTACCTTCTTTTTTTTTTTTTAAAGTACCACTTCACTGTGATATTTATTCACATAAAAAGAGCTGTATATATTTAATGTATACAACTTAATGAATTTGGGGATAAGTATACACGTGTGAAACCATCACTACAATCTATGCCATAAACTTATTCATCTCCCAAAGTTTCCCCTTGCCCTATTTATTTATTTATATTTTGGGATAAGAACAATTAACATAAGGTCTACCCTCTTAGCAAATTAAGTATAAAATACAGTATTGTTAACTATAGGCACAATGCTGTATAGTAGATCTCTAGGATGTATTTATCTTGTGTAACTAAAACTTTGTGCTCTAATACCACTCAATTTCCCCCTCAGCCTCTAGAAACTGCCATTCTACTCTCTTTCTCTATGAATGTAACTATTTTGGATTCCTCTTATAAGTGGTGTCATGTATTATTTGTCTTTTTGTGTCTGGATTATTTTTCTTAGCACAATGTTCTCCAGGTTCATCTGCATTGTCACAAATGGCAGGATCTCCTTCTTCTGTAAAGCTGAATAATACCTCATTACATTCATATTCCACATTTTATTTATCCATTCATTTGCACATGGAAATTTAGGGTTGCTCTCATGTCTTGGCTACTAGGAATAATGCTGCAATGAATATGAGCAGGCAGATATCTTTTCGGATCCTGATTTCAATTCTTTTGGACATATAGACAGAAGTGAGATTGCTGGATCATATGGTAGTTCTATTTTTAAATTTTTGAGGAACCTCTATACTGTTTTCTATAGTGGTTGCATCAATTTACATTTCTACCAACAGAATATAAGGCTTCTCTTTTCTCTACATCTTTGCTAACACTTGTTTTTTGTTTTGTTTTGTTTTGTTCATAATAGCCATTCTAACAACGTGAGGTGATATCTGATTGTGGTTTTGATTTGCATTTCCCTGATGATTAGTGTTTTTTTTGTTTGTTTGTTTTGTTTTTTTTTGTGAGACGGAGTCTCTCTCTGTTGCCCAGGCTGGAGTACAGTGGTGCGATCTTGGCTCACTGCAAACTCCGCCTCCCACATTCATGCCATTCTCCTGCCTCAGCCTCCCGAGTAGCTGGGACTACACGCACCCACCACCACACCCGGCTAATTTTTTGTATTTTTAGTAGAGACGAGGTTTCACCATGTTAGCCAGGATGGTCTCGATCTCCTGACCTTGTGATCCACCCACCTCGGCCTCCCAAAGTGCTGGGATTACAGGCGTCAGCCACTGTGCCCAGCTGATTAGTGATTTTTAAAAGATTATTTATTTATTTATTTTTATATTATTCGATATATAACAGTTGTGCATATTTGGGGGGTTCATGTATCATGTTGATACCTGTGTACAATGTTTAGTGATCAAATCAGGGTAATTGGGATATCTATAACCTCAAACATTATCTTTTCTTTGTGTTGGGCACATCACAATTCTTCTCTTCTAGCTATTTTGAAATCTATAATAATTGTTATTAGCAATAATTTCCTTACTGCACTATTTCGAGTACCTTTTCACATACCTGTTGACAATTTGCATATCTTCTTTTGAGAAATGCCTATTCAGTTCCTTTGCCCATTTTTCATATGATTATCTGTGTTTATTTACTATTGAGTTGTGGGAGTTCCTTATATATTTTGGATATTAACTCTTTATTATCAATTTGACTATTCTAGATATTTCATATAAGTGGAGTCACACAATATATGTCCTTTTTAGTTTGTCTTATTTCATTCAGTGCTGTCTTCAAGGTTCATCCATATTGTAGCATGTGTCAGAATTTCATTCTTTTTTAAGGCTGAATAATATTCCATTGTATGTCTATACCATACTTTGGTTATCCACTCATCTGTTGATAGATATTTGGGATGTTTCTTCCTTTTGGCTATTGTGAATGAAACTAATATGAACATGGATGTACAAATACCTGTTCAAGCCCTACTTTCAGTGCTTTTTGGTATATCTCCAGAAGTGATATTGCTGCATCATATGGTAATTCTAAGCTTAGTTTTTTTAAGAACTGCTCTACCATACTGTTTTCCATGGTGGCTGCACCATTTTACATTCCTATCAGCAATGCACAGGGGTTCTAATTTCTCACCACTGAGTATTTTTTAAAGGTTTTCAAATTAGTTGCCAACATATAAAAATCAGGGGGTTGCACGTTGTATCTGTCAAATGTTTTCCTTTATGTTAAGGGATGGGGAGAGGGAATGGTATTTTCTTTCATTGTATAAATAAATAATCTTTAAAAATTATAGCTTCAGAAGGAAGCATCAACACCAAGGAGTAGAGGTTCCAGCTAGGTCAATCCAGACTCAGTTTGAAACACCTACTGCCTTGCAAAGTAAAATTTCCCATAACCCTTTGGAGCTCTGTCTGTCAGGGACAATGCAGAGGAGAGCTGAGTGGAAGTTTGAAGTAGAACTCTTTGGCCTCTCAAAATCAATTATTCCACCAACGTAAACACTAACACTACCATTAAATAGAAGTGTGGTTTTCATAAATGTTTTAGAATATCACTAATTTATAATCACCATACTCCTAACCATAGAATACGTGTATTTTAATAGTTGTCATAGCCATAAACCCCAATAGTGAAGCTATCTTTAAAGAAAGGATGTTTGGGGATTAACATCTGGGCACTGGAGGACTATTTTGCCCACCCTAGCCTGTTACCTACTAATAGTTTGTCCATGAATTCTAGTTGCAGGAACTTATATAAAAACTACTTTAAAATTCTGGGTTACATTTGGGGTCTGTAGTCTTTTCTTCTACTTTCTTTGCCTCCCTATAAAAAGCTTTCCTACAATGTAGATGGCTCTCCAACTCCCCTCTTTTAAAGGATTTGTAAATGGTATGATTGGCTTAGAGAGACCTGGAATAGAATTTTCTTCTCAAGCGTGTTTATTTTAGTACAGAGGAAGTAAGAAGTTCTCTCCAGCATCTGTAGGATGAGGAATTGGCTCATTTCCCCCAGTGGTAGTGGAACAGACCATTAAAATCTACCCATATATTGAGGTCATCTTGTTGCTTATTCCAAAGTCTTTGGCTTCTACATACTTAATGAGAAATTTAATCCAACAGTCCTTTGCTAGCTGTGCAAATAGTGAGTGATCCATTTTTGACAACAGGGATCATCCAGAACATTATCAGCCCTGAAATCAATGGCTCTCATTAACATTAGAAAAATAGACATTCCTTGGCTAGAGGTTAGCACTGGTTGATGCTACCATAGGTGAAAGGAGATTAGAGAATGAGAGGGGAGAATAGATACAAAGTTCTCATTATTTCTGATTGGAGGGAAGGAAGCTGGGCAATGTGAGCAGAAATGCCACAAGAGGGACAGAGCCTTCTTGTCCTCTTAACTTCCTATAGGGTTCTGAAATAGTGACATAGGCAGTGTCCTGAGTGTTCTAAAAATTAAGAGCTTTGAGAATGCCCCAAATCAACTGGGCACATGAAGAGAGTTGGTGGTTATCAGAGGAGGCATTATACTTTATGAAAGGAAGATTCTGCCTCTTCCATTGCAAGTGGCTTATTGTCAACAGCACTAGCAACTTCTTTTCTTTTCTTGCTAATTCCTAATAGGGAGTAGAATCCAGTTTTAAGAACATGAACTCCAGAAATCACCTGGGCTCCAGTGTCAATTCTGCCAATTACTTTCTGTATGCTCTCACTCAATTCATTGATCTCCTTGGATTTTAATTTAGTCATTTCTTAGTGGTGGGGGAGTCATAACAGGAGATCACATGAGATTGTCGTGAGTAGTAAATGTGATGATGTACATAATAAACAATCAAATGTTGGGTAAGGAGAAAAGAATATGTCAGTAATATTTTCTGCCAATAGCATATGCACAATAAATATGTAATTGTTCTGCTTAACATAGAGTTGGCCTTAAAGGATCCTAGGTGGCGTAATTCGAATGGTTGAGCAGAGCCCCTGAATGAAATATTTCCCTCATTCTTTATCATGGTGTCTGAAATTTCATTAAGACTTAATTCTCTTTTCTGCAGGAGACTTTCTAGTTTTTAGGAGTACCTTGCAAAAATGGAAATCAAAAAGATAAAAAAAGAACCTCTGGGAAAAGGAATACTGTAAGCCATCACTAGACATTTAATCAACTAAACAACAAATCTTATTGAGAGTTAGTTGACAACCAAAAGAAACAAGCTCTTTGGGAACAAAGTCTAAGCAGGTATAGGAAGAGTCAGGGTACCTGGAATGGGGCAAGGGAAACAAAAACGGAAGTAGGGAATATTAAAAGCAATTATTATCAATGGGTTAATTTTGCCTAGTAGCTTGTCAAGAGTTCAGGATACTTAGTAATAGTAGTAACTTTGGTAGGGACAAAAGTGAACAGCAGACTGCATATATGCAATAGGCACAAGCTCTGGCTCTGTGTCATCCCTTCCTTGGCTGAAGTGAACTAAACTCTAATTGTCCTGGTTTCCCTATCTCTGTGATGCTGGCCTCCATCAGGTCTTCTACCAAACTGTCAACTAATCATGACATGTGTTGTTAACTGGTGCCAAAGTTAAGAGCCAGTTTGTGATTAGGTTGCCTCATGCCCTTTCTCCATAGGCTCTCTCCTTGAAAACACTATTGTCCTTTATTTGTTTCCCAGTCTTCCATTGTCTGCCCACTGGCAACTGGCATTCCCATTCTGTCTGCACCCAATTTCGAGATCCTTTAGTTAAAGACCAAGTAATTTAAGCCAGTTCTCAGCACATTCTAGCTAACTGCTGCCCCCTACCATACTCTCATACACAGCTCTAGATGTGGTATGATCACCACTTTCTAGTTCTTTCTAGTTCTTGCCTCTGATTGTGATTCGGGATTTGGTTTTTCAATAGCCCGTAAGACTATTGGATATTCTGTTGTGTTCTGTTAGATACGAGACTATTAGATATTCTGTCTGCAATTTAAGTAGCTACCACCATGTAGACAAACCTGTGGTTTGAAGACCTGAGTGCCTGGAAATTGCCATAGTTGTGGGTGACTGATTGACTTTGTCCAGGATTTATGTTACTTCTAAGAGAAATTACATTTTAAACATTTTATCAATAAGTGAGAAAAGAAAGGAAGTTTGCCTTCTTAAATGCATTTTAGGATTCATATAGGTGATAGAGTTGTTTTGATTTTAAGAAGTAGCCAGAATTGTTCCTGATAGCACAATAGACCCATCTAGCAAATAATAAATGGGACTTGACTTAGGCCTCTTATAATGGTACATGTCTATGTGTTGTGCTGAGGAAGGTTCTAGAGCAGTGATCTCCAAAATGGTGATATCTTAACATCATTATAAGAAAATAATCAGAATGTACTTATATTTAATTCTCAGATTGGCATTGGTGCCCTTATTCAGTATCTATGTCACAGGATCTCATGCCATGCCATCTGAGATTTACAAGGCATCTCAAGGGAATAAGAATTCCAGAAATAGAAACTCATTTATTTGCTTTCAAAACATTGCCATGCATTGAAGTTCACATATGCCCAGATCAGTGTATTTATGAGTATTATTTATTTATTCTTTAAACAGATCCTCAAAAAACGGACATGTGGTTTAATAAATATTTCTTCAAAGCAACTTTGGCTTGAAGATCATGCTAATAATTTTAGCACAAACAAATATCACTAAAATGGCAGAGCTAACACCTCTCCTCTTTCAGGTATGAGCTTTTCATCAGCTATTGATTTATTGGGTAAAAACAGTTGTGATTTAAATAGTTTAGAAAAGCTGTCATTCAAAAACAAAGCAAAACAAACCAAAATTATCAAGGAGACTATTTGAAAAAATGATGTCCATTATCATTAGTGATAATTTCTCATCCTAGTGAATATTTTGCCTTGAGATATTAGTGAATCACAACAAAACATGTACATTATTTATAGATAAGTAATTTTACATACATTTGGATATATTCTCAAATTTTTTTTGTAATGTGGTACATGATTAAAAAAACTGGAGATAACTGGTCTAGAGCCTCTGCCCCTTATACTGGGCCTGGCTCTGGTTAGACGCTTGGAGCCCTAATCTAATAATTGCTTAAGATAGAAAAACCTTTCTTTCTCCACGCCTTGCTTTCTGTTCTTTAGGCTTGATTAACCTCACCTTCTCCTCCTCTGGGTGTTTCCCTAGTTGTTTAGATCCAGATCCAAATCATGCCAGTATTCCTATTCTCACCTCTATATAATCAGTTATGCTTATTCATTAAAAGTTCTCATAGAAGTTTTAAAGCCTGGCTTTTGACACTAATATATCTCTTCAAAGGGACTCTGCCCCTTTTTCCTAGAACACAATTGGGCTTTAAAATAATCCTATAAAATAATGACTTATTTAAGAATAAGGTCAAATTATTTTGCTAGTCTAAATTGTATTTCCTGAATTGAAAAATATATTTGTTCTTTTGGGCTCACAATATATATATTTTTAAAAAGGACTACAGTAAAGTTGAATTCCACTCAAATTGAGTCAAAGATAACACTATTAACTACCCAAGTAAAAGCAGCTAGGATGCAGGGCACCAAGTCCCAAGGCTGCACACAGTAGGGGGCCCTGGGCCCAGCCCATGAAACCATTTTTCCCTCCCAAGCCTCTGGGCAAGTGATGGGAGTGGCTGCTGCCAATATCTCTGACATGCCCCGGAGACATTTTCCCCATTATCCTGGCAATTAACATTTGGCTCCTGGTTACTTATACAAATTTCTGCAGCAGGCTTGAATTTCTTTCCAGAAAATGGGTTGTTTTTTTCTATTGCATTGTCAGGCTGCAAGTTTTCCAAACTTTTAAGATCTGCTTTCCTTTTAAACATAAGTTCCAATTTCAGATAATCTCTCTCAAGTTCAAAGTTCCACAGATCTCTAGGGCAGGGGCAAAATGCTTCCAGTCTCTTTGCTAAAGCATAGCAAGAGTGACCTTTACTCTAGTTCCCAACAAGTTCCTCATCTCCATCTGAGATCGCCTCAGCCTAGACTTCATTGTCAACATCACTATCAGCATTTTGGTCAAAACCATTCAACAAGTCTCTAGGAAGTTCCAAACTTTCCCCCATCTTCCAGTCTTCTTTTGAGCCCTCCAAACTGTTCCAACCTCTGCCTGTTATCCAGTTCCAAAGTTGCTTCCACATTTTCAAGTATCTTTATAGCAATACCCTACTCTCAGTACCAATTTTCTTTATTAGTCCATTCTCACACTGATATAAAGAACTGCCTGAGACTGGGTAATTTATACAGAAAAGAGGTTTAATTGACTCACAGTTCTGCATGGCTGGGGAGGCCTCAGGAAACTTACAATTATGGCGATAGGGAAAGCACACACACCTTACATGGTGCCAGGTGAGAGACAGCATGCAAGAGCAGGGAAAATTACCTTATAAAACCATCAGATCTTGTGAGAACTCACTCACTATCATAAGAACAGCATGAGGGAAACTGCCCACATGATCCAATCATCTCTCACTGAGTCTCTCCCTCAACACCTGGGGATTACAATTCAAGATGCAATTTAGGTGGGGACACAAAGCCTTAACCTTATCATAACTGAACAGTTCAGGGAGGTATTTGGTATCAGCATCAAGGTGCTCCAGCCAGGTCATGAGGAACCTGTCTCTATCTCTTGGTTCTTTCTCTATGTTGGTGTTGTTCTCAGCCAAGCTCTTTCCAAATGATAGGAAAGATGGGCACCAACAGCACTAGGCTTGAATCCTGCCACCTTAGCAACCCTAGAAGGAAAATACTTTCTTTACCAATAATTTTAGTTTATAGCTTGAGGGTCATTCTTGTTGACCAAGCCTGGGTCATCTGCCTTTCTGTGGAATCAGAGGGATGGCTTCAGTCTCATGTAAATCACGTAAACTGAGAATGATGGAGAGGTTGTTTTCTGAAGGAAATTCAGGGTGTTATTACCAAAGGAAGGGGTAACGGACTAACAAACACAAAGATTTAGCTTCCTTATTGTGGCATCACATAGGCTGAATGACTCCTTTTGGGTTGGTCAATTACTTTCATTGTTTGGATGGTCTTGTTACCTGTGAGCTTCCTAGCTTTTGTTAAAAATAGGGCCTTGCCCTTCTTGTTTTCACTGTGTTGTAGACAACAGGATTGAATGTGAAATAATAAAAGATCTTGAGTTCATTCTCAGGTTCATTTTGTGCCCCTCATTCTCTCACCTTATACACAATAAATATTCTCTCAGTATGAAGGGTAAGTTCTATGATATCACTGTGAGAACAGTATAGTGTCATGAAGAGCTAAGGACAATTATTTTCTTGAATATATGGAGGCCCACTAGACCCACAAGATCTAGTCATGACCAGAAAAACAGTTGATGGGAAGACAATTCTCTCCATGTGTTATCTTGGAGACTAGAACTAAAATTTTTACCACCTCTTCAGAAATCTCCTATCTATTTTCTACCCTACTTATTACAGTGAGTCTTCATGCAATGGGGGACAGGATATACATTCTAAAGTCTGGAAGATCAAATAGGATTATGGACTTGTGGAATCAGGGATAGGTCCAGCTCCAGTACCCACAGCCACTGGAGCACACTTTTCATATCTTCTGCAATAGTAAAGATATTCCTAGCTGGACACTCTGGCTCATGCCTGTAATCCACAAATCTTGGGAGGGCTGAGGAGGCTGAGGCAGGAGGATCTCTTGAGCACAGAAGTTCAAGACCAGCCTAGGCAACATAGTGAGACCTCATCTCTACTAAAAATTGAAAAAAAAAAATAGCTGGGTGTGGTGATTCATGTCTGTGATCCTAGCTGCTCAGGAGGCTGAGGCGGGAGGATCACTTGGGCCCAGGGAGTTGAGGATACAGTGAGCTGTGATCATGCCACTGGACTCCAGCCTGGAAAACAGAGCAAGACCGTGACTTAAGAAAGAAAAAAAAAAAGATATTCCTTTCATTCGTAAGGATCCAGTCAAGGAAATGCCGAATGGGGCTGATGCCATGTAGTTGGCAAGAAGATCCCCTGCCCCTGGTATACTGCTGACAACTGTCTTGTTGCCAGTGAAAGAAGTGTGGGTGAGGGAAGGGAAATCATTACCAATGGTTTCACCTTCATTTAGACCAGATTGAACATATTATGATACAAATGTTAATGTATCATGGAAATAGAGTTATTGACAATTCTCAGCAGTGGCTGAAGCGTGCACAGGATGCTGAACACTTTTCCTTTGGCTGACATTTTGCAAATAGTTTGAACTGGGGAAGACAAAGAGGAAGAAGGGCCAGGAGATCATATTATCATCACAGAGATTTTTTCATGCCTGTTCAAGCTGTCACTAGTTAATTGTATTCAGCTCTTGTCACCATTGGTAAAGGAGGGCAACTGGAATTATAAATATGAAAATTTCAAGCTTTTTAATTCATTTGTAACCAAAGATCAACTGACTGAAACAACTGGGCTTGTATTTTAAATAGCTTTTTGGCATCCTTCCACCACCTAATACAATACAGATAATTCCCTGACAACGTGCCAGAGATAATGCAATTATCACTGAGTTTCTTTAGACATGTTTTGTATTACCTATTTAAAAGAATCCTATTTCCTTGATGTAATCTAATCTATCTTGGATCTCACTATCCTAAATGAGACAGATAGTTTAAAGACAAAAGGATGAACTGAGGATGGGCTAAGGTACTTGCTACGTCTGCCTCCACTGTGAGACAGCTCTTCCGTGTAATCTAGGTCACTAAGGAGGCCACAGCCCCCAGCTCTACATTCCCATGCCCCTAGGGACATCTGTGGTAGCTTCAGGCTATTTCTATGGATGTTTCCAATTATTATACTCATAGGAAGAGATCTTGAAAGGAGATTTAGTTCATTTTCCTCCCTGTAGGAGGGACTCCACTGGACAGCTGACCCTGTCCCATGTTAAAAACTCTATATGAGAGAGGTTATCTCTCTGCCCCCACCTAATAATTCATAGCAATATTCATTACCTTTTTCTCTCATGAAGTTCCTCTTCATATCTGACCTAAATTACAGATAATGTAACCTAGTGCTCATTTTTCCTCAATGGAGATTTAATACTATCTTCCTTTTCATGTAGTGATGCCTTGTGATTCCTGGAAACCACGATCAACTCACTCTTTGGTCTCTCCTGGTCAACTGGTTCAATTTCCTTAATTTTTTCCTTTGAGGTCTCAGTATTGAATATCTGTTAACCAGTTAGTTATCTGCTCTCCTTGGCCTTTCCTGAATCTCTGCATGCTTCAAATTTATGGAGCCCATAATTGGTCCTTATTGTCACAGTTGGAAGAGATGCAGACTGAGACTGCTGGGCGGTCAGAAGCAGTCAGTGTGACTAAGAATTATACCAGTAGAGACATGGTCTGCAAAGTGAAATAGCACAGCTTCATATTTTGGACAACACTACATGAGCTTGGAGAATTGCATTTTTGCATTATGAATAATAAAATTAATCACAGACCTTCCAGATACATTTATTTATTTATTTATTTATTTATTTATTTATTTATTTATTTATTTATTTTTGAGACTGAGTCTTACTCTGTCACCCAGGCTGGAGTGCAGTGGCGCTGTCTTAGCTCACTGCAACCTCCGCCTCCCAGGTTCAAGCGATTCTTGTGCCTCAGCCTCCTGGGTAGCTGGGATTACAGGTATGTGCCACCATGCCTGGCTAATTTTTGTATTTTCAGTAGAGACGGGGTTTTGCCATGCTGCCCAGGCTAGTCTCAAACTGGTCTCAAGTGATCTGCCTGCCTCAGCCTCCCAAATTCCTGGGATTATAGGCGTGAGGCACCAGATCTGGTCTTTCCAGACTCTTTAGAGAAATACTTCAGGCACCCACAGCAGAGATATGTGTGCTTCCCATTCATTTATACATTATTTCAATGGCAGTCAAGCTCTCACACTGGTCACATGAAACAACTACAATGGTTACCATTCCTGAAAGGTGAAAATTTGTAGGTGGGAGTTCAATGTTGCACTCCCTACCAACTTTATTTTTATGAAGCAGGTGGACACACTCTAACTCAGCCACGAAACAGTGTCTGACCTATAGCTCTCAGGAACACTTTTCTTTCTGACTGGTCAATTATTTATTTCACAAACACAGAAAGTGCTTCCTATGTGCCAGGTACTGTTCTAAATAGTTCACAAATACTAATTTATTTAATCTTCATGACAACCCCAGCAGGTAATTACTAATATTAACTTTATTTTACAGGCAAGAAACATTAAGTCACAGAGTTATTAAATATCTTGCCTGAGGTCACAATACTAATAAGTGGTAGGACAGAAATCGAAACCCAGGCAGTTTGATACCAGAGCTTGCCTGCTTGACTACTACATTTATCTGCCTTTTGACTTTCTTCTGCATTCCACGCTCCAAACCTACCTCTTTTTCAAGACTAAACCTTGGTCTCTCCTAAGCTCTTGTTTTTCTAGTAGTTTTCTCTGGCATATTACGTGTATACATAGTGCAAGATTTGGAGAGGAGGATGGCTGGGTGAAATGGCCCTGCCTAAATGGTAAGCTCTCTTTTACTTAGTGCATTTTGTTCTTGTGCTTTTTGTTGCCAACTTCTTTATAACCCAAGTTTTTGCTCCAGCTGCTTAATCAATTGATTTTCTGATGGTTAAAAAAAGAAAACCTGGTGAGAAACTTGGGCAATTTTGTTAATTTCTCAGATGTCTGTGATTGGCATAGTCTGTGATCCCTGCACTTTGCTCTGCCTCCATTCTCTCCAGTGCCTGTATACTTGAGATGAGACCAAATGAGCCCAGATCATCTCCAACAGAATGATGAGTGGAGGCAGGCTCTTATTAAAATACAGATTCCTGGGCTGCACTTCTGACTCAATGAATTAGAATTTTAGGAAGGAGACCCAGGAATACACATATTATCAAGCTTCTCTTTAATCATTCTGATGCATACCTAAGTTTAAGGTCCACTGCCCCAAAAAGCTTTGTGAATGGCCAGGCTGTAGAATTAATGTGGAGTTTTTGGAAAAAATGGAGATTCCCTGGCCCCTACCCTGGAGTGTTTGTGCAATGGTGTACTCGTTGTCAAACCATCACTCCAAAACAAACAAAAAACTTATTTGTAGCAGTTGCCTATTTCCATGGTGTAAATAATTCCACCATGGCTTATTTTAAGCTATATATGTGAAGTCACTGAACTCAGAGTTGGGAGGACAAGTGTACAATTAGTTCTTGCAAGCCAGTACAAGCTGTCACCAGCACCCTGGATGGGCGAATGTGAGAGGGTGTGAGTAGGAAGTTGGCAGTAACATAGGAAGGGGCAGAGCATTGAATGCAAATGTAAGTGTCAGGGCTGGAATTTAAACCCAGCTCTTTTAAAACCCAGCTCTTTCTTACTCCAAAGCTGCATTTTTCAGCCTTTGTGCACACTGCAACCAGTTTCAGGAATATCCTTTCCCTCCAGCTCTGTCTATGAAAATTCTGTCCATCCTTCAAGGCCTAGCTCAGCTACAACCTGCTTTATGAAGCCTTCCATGTATCATCTTCCCACTTCCAGCAGATGTGTCTTTTCCCATCACTATGGGATGCGTTATTGGAGAGATATCATTATTTCAAGAATGATCCTTAAGCAGATTTACTCTTCTTAAAACAAGTAGCTTGGTGCAGAAAAACACTGGGATATAATGACAAGAACAAAGATTTTAGAGTCATATATGAATTCAAATTCCAGCTCCAATATTGATCAGATATATAGAGAGATAGTCACCTCTCTAAGCTATAGTTTTCATAGATGTAAAATGGGGGTAAGAGCAATGCTGCAGGATCATTGCAAAGATTAGTAGTAATTTATGGGAAGTGCCAGGCACTCATTAAATGCCCAATAAATGGTGGACATTATTATTCATGTATTTGGCCTACACCAGACAAATGTCATTCATACTTCGCATCCTCAATTATTTGATATCAAAGGTACAGCCTAGCCAGGTGTGGTGGTGCGTGCCTGTAATCCCAGCTACTCAGGAGGCTGAGGCAGGAGAATCACTTGAGCCCAAGAGGCGGAGGTTGCAGTGAGCACTATACTCCAGCCTGGGTGACAGAGCAAGGCTCCGTCTCAAAAAATAAAATAAAATAAAATAAAAATAAAATAAAATAAAATAAAATAATAAAATAAAATAAAACAAAATAAAATAAAATAAAATAAAATATAAAATAAAATAGTACAGCCGATAGTATAGCTTTCCCCATAAATACTGTTCCCCCATTCACTCAACCAAAAAGTCAGCATTTGAGCTTGTCTTTGGTGATTCAGCCTCACCCCAAGCTTTGGTCAGGGCTGCCAGCACATGCAGAAGTTAAGTCTTTAGTTGAACTACACCTCACTAAGCTGCAAATGGCTGACTTGCCTGACATTCACTTACACCTCTTACCTCACCTTCTTTTTGGCTGTCAGGGCTATGAGTAAATAGGAAGGGATGAGGTTGGGATTGAGATGGGGCCTGTATACTACAATACCAGTATATCAAAACTCGCTTTTCATGCACTGTGGTCTGCTTGAATGGCAGCCAGCCTCAATGGGCTGTCAAAGTGATGAAGAGGTTGTCAGAGAAACAGCCAATTCCAGTCCATCAATTCAAATTTTGACCCATAGGCAGAAAAGAGCCAGGGGTGTCTGAAGGTCACAAGCCTAGGCCAGGGTACTCCCGGGTCATTGCTGTAGGGTTGGTGTGCCAGTGGATAGCCTACCCTATGTAACTTCATGGTGTCTAAAGTCTTTCCAGAATGTTCTTCTTTAAGCTAAGGCATTATCGAAGGTTCCTGTTCCAAGTGTAATAGTTGTAGATGGAGCCATTTTCAACTGTTAACATCTGTGCAGAAATGAGTTTATTAGATTAGTCATTCGGTAATATCGAGTGAGATTCAGGCAAATGAGGTTTAGAATTGTGCCCAGGGTGGGTGAATGGGGACTGCTTGCGTATCAGAACTGTGCAGGGGTTAAACACAACACCTGAATGGTAGAGTATGATGGAAGGGAGAATATTGATGTAGTGTTTAAAGTCAACTTGGCCCTTCAAAAATGGAGGTGTTGTGGCTCAGGAGACAAACTCTCTAGATTTTGCCATCTTGCCTCAGGCCGATATTGGTTCCCAGGCTCAGAACAGCTCCCTGAATTTCCAAGCTGCAAGTGACTTCACTCTCTGCTAGTCTGCACTGAAAAACTGTAGATAAAGGTATGACAATATTTGGACATGCTTGTAAGCACTTGCTGACAGGCCAGGGACGGAGGGTATTACTGAGCTGTATTTCAACAGACTTTTTCAATGCTCAGTCCCCCTACCTGTGGATGCTGGGAACCTGGGGAATATCACTGAATAAGAAGTAAGGATTTCAATAATAAAAAAAAAAAGTTAGTGCTGATCCCTTTTCCTGGAAGTCCCCAGTTGAGGAGAGCGGTAGCTGATGAGGGCAGGTACCCAGGATCATGATTGGTTTTGGTTTGATTTCTTCCCTGCCATACCCACAAGTTCAAAGGAACCATTTTTATTTTAATTGTAACACAGTGAAGTCTGTGACACATGTGGGATTATTTTTCCTTTTTAAAGTTTTAAAACATTTGATTGACAAAATTATATGTATTCAAGGTATACAGTGTGATTATGTGTGAAATGATTACCACAGTCAAATTAAATTAACACATACACTATCATACATAGTTACTCTTTTTGTGTATGTGGTGAGAACACTTAAAATTTGCTCCCTTATCAAATTTCCAGTATGCCATACAGTATTAACTATAGTTACCATGCTGTGCATTAGATCCCCAGAACTTATTCGTCTTATAACTGCAAGTGTGTATGCTTTGATCAACATCTCCTTATTTCCCCTACACCCCAGCCTGTGGGAACCTCAGTTCTATTCTCTGTTTCTATGAGTTCATTTTTTTTAGATTCCACATATAAGTGAGATCATACATTTTTTGTCTTTCTGTGTCTGGCTTATTTCAGTTAGTGAGATGTGTTTTTGTCTCCATATAATTCTAATTTGGTCTCAATAAGATCTGATTAGCTGAGAATTATCTCAGAAGAAAATTCAAATCAATTTACTAAAACCAAGCAACTGCACCCACAGTCTTCTTCCACTGACTTCCTAATAAAGATAAAACACCAGACGTCAAAACCTATATGAGGCGAGTGAAGCTTGACATTTATGCCAAAAAAAGGTGTCCCCTCTAGGGAAAAAATAACTGCCTCCTTAAGGACTCAAGATCATTAATCCTCATTCATCCCACTAATTACCTTTTCTACTCCTATCCAGTCTCATGAGGGATGATGTTTTATTATGTTCCTCCTGTTGGAGGGGCTAAGCCATTGTCTTCTACTCAATAAATTTTTACTGAGCTTCTATTATGTATCAGGAACTGTGCCAGGCATGGAGGCTAAAAACATGTATAATTATAGTAGTAACCTTCATTGAGTACTGACTATGTGCCAGCTATTTTAAATGTATTATCTTTTAAATCCTCCCAACAGCCCTATTCAAATAGGTACTATTATCACCCCCACTTTACAGATGAGGAAATCGATGCACAGAGAAATTAAGCACCTTGCTTATGGTCATAAGTGGTAGAAGTAGAACTTTAAACCTACTTTTCTCTAGTACCAGAGTCAAAACTTTCATTGTAACATGTACATTACTGTGATAAGGATTTTGCCGTATCTCATGTGATTGTCACAGAAAACACCATAAGGCAGGGGCATCCAATATTTTGCCTTCCCTGGGCCACATTGGAAGAAAAATTGTTTTGGGCCACACATAAAATACACTAACACTAAAGATAATGGTTGAGCTAAAATTAATCACAAAAAATCTCATAATTGATGACATACAGATGGGTTTTTGGTGTGGATGTCCTTTCTGTTTGTTAGTTTTCCTTCTAACAGTCAGGACCCTCAGCTGCAGGTCTGTTGGAGTTTACTGGAGGTCCACTCCAGACCCTGTTTGCCTGGGTATCAGCAGCAGTGGCTGCAGAACAGTGGATATTGGTGAACCGCAAATGCTGCTGCCTGATCGTTCCTCTGGAAGTTTTATCTCAGAGGAGTACCCGGCCGTGTGAGGTGTCAGTCCGCCCCTACTGCGGGGTGCCTCCCAGTTAGGCTACTCGGGAGCCAGGGACCCACTTGAGGAGGCAGTCTGCCCATTCTCAGATCTCCAGCTGCGTGCTGGGAGAACCACTACTGTCTTCAAAGCTGTCAGACAGGGACATTTAAGTCTGCAGAGGTTATTGCTGTCTTTTGTTTGTCTGTGCCCTGCCCCCAGAGGTGGAGCCTACAGAGGCAGGCAGGCCTCCTTGAGCTGTGGTGGGCTCCACCCAGTTCGAGCTTCCCAGCTGCTTTGTTTACCTACTCAAGCCTGAGCAATGGTGGGCGCCCCTTCCGCAGCCTCACTGCCACCTTGCAGTTTGATCTCAGACTGCTGTGCTAGCAGTGAGTGAGGCTCCGTGGGCATAGGACCCTCTGAGCCATGTGGGGGATATAATCTCCTGGTGTGCCGTTTGTTAAGCCTGTTGGAAGAGCACAGTATTAGGGTGGGAGTGACCCGATTTTCCAGGTGCCGTCTGTCACCCCTTTCTTTGACTAGGAAAGGGAATTCCCTGACTCTTTGCGCTTCCCGGGTGAGGCAATGCCTCGCCCTGCTTCGGCTCATGCACGGTGCACTGCACCCACTGTCTGGCACTCCCCAGTGAGATGAACCCGGTACCTCAGTTGGAAATGCAGAAATCACCCGTCTTCTGCATCGCTCACGCTGGGAGCTGTAGACTGGAGCTGTTCCTATTCGGCCATCGTGGCTCCACTCCATGTGCAAGGACTTCATGTCTAAAACACCAAAAGCAATGGCAATAAAAGCCAAAATTGACAAATGGGATCTAATTAAACTAAAGAGCTTCTGCACAGCAAAAGAAACCACCATCAGAGTGAACAGGCAACCTACAGAATGGGAGAAAATTTTTGCAACCTACTCATCTGACAAAGGGCTAATATCGAGAATCTACAATGAACTCAAACAAATTTACAAGAAAAAAACAACCCCATCAAAAAGTGTGTGAAGGATACGAACAGACACTTCTCAAAAGAAGACATTTATGCAGCCAAAAAACACATGAAAAAATGCTCATCATCACTGGCCATCAGAGAAATGCAAATCAAAACCACAATGAGATACCATCTCACACCAGTTAGAATGGTGATCATTAAAAAGTCAGGAAACAACAGGTGCTGGAGAGGATGTGGAGAAATAGGAACACTTTTACACTGTTGGTGGGACTGTAAACTAGTTCAACCATTGTGGAAGTCGGTGTGGTGATTCCTCAGGAATCTAGAACTAGAAATACCATTTGACCCAGCCATCCCATTACTGGGTATATACCCAAAGGATTATAAATCATGCTGCTATAAAGACACATGCACACATGTTTATTGCGGCACTATTCACAATAGCAAAGACTTGGAACCAACCCAAATGTCCAACAATGATAGACTGGATTAAGAAAATGTGGCACATATACAACATGGAATACTATGCAGCCATAAAAAAGGATGAGTTCATGTCCTTTGTAGGGACATGGATGAAGCTGGAAACCATCATTCTCAGCAAACTAACACAAGGACAAAAACCAAACACTGCATGTTCTCACTCATAGGTGGGAATTGAACAATGAGAACACATGGACACAGGAAGGGGAACATCACACACCAGGGACTGTTGTGGGGTGGGGGGAGGGGGGAGGGATAGCATTAGGAGATATACCTACTGCTAAATGACGAGTTAATGGGTGCAGCACAGCAACATGGCACATGTATACATATGTAACAAACCTGCACATTGTGCACATGTACCCTAAAACTTAAAGTATAATAATAATAAAAAAATTGCATAATTTATGAATTTGTGTTACCAATTCATAAGCAAGCTTGCTATAAGGTAAGTAATTACCTTGTTATTGTCCCTATTTTACAGATGAGAAAACTGAGACTGAGAAGGATTATGTGGCTTGTCTGAAGTTATGTGAGGAATAAGTGGTAGAACTAGGATTTAAGCCCTGATCCTCTAACTTGAGAGCACATGTGCTTAATTGCTATGTTCCACTGCTTCCATAAAAGTAATCTATGATCATTAAATGGGGATAAAAATGTAAATAAGACATATTAGTGACAACAACTAGAACCAGAAGCTCGTGTAGATGAGCTTGGGGTTGACAGGTATTTTAATTCAAGTGGACCAGTGAGGTTACCTGAGACAAGGAGCAGAAATCTTAGGTTAAGATACAGGAGGGAAAGCCTAGAAATGTCAGCTAAGGCAGGCAGTAGCACAGCCTCCCTCAGCAAAGAGTCGTATCTGGTATCCTCACAGAAGTCAGAAGATCTGGGTCTTAGTTTAAGCTCTACCATCACCTTTCTAGGTGATACGGGGCAAGTTAGGTCTCCTCTTTGAGCCTCCATATGTAAAGTTGTAATTAGAGTTCTTGCTCTGTTTATCTTACAGGGATGTAAGAATAAGAATAAGATGTTGTGAGAACACAAGAAAACAATATATATCAAAGTAATGTTCAAATGTTTCTATTTTTAGTGAATTGGTTTTTGAAGTTATTAGACCCATTTTCTGTATTTTTGCATCATAGAGCACAGCTTGAGTTTATTTGACTCTTAGTGATTGACTGACCCAAACAGAATTACCAGTTGCCTTTAGACATACCTAAAAATAAGAGTCAACCCTTATTCAGCAGGTATCTCCCTGGGATCTTGTGCTGAGTGTTCTGGGCATAAGGCAGAGCTGACTTTCAGTCACTTTTACTATAGACTTTAGTTTTTTAACTTTCCCATTTGGTCACAGCAGAAAAGACTGGAGTGGGCTTTCCTGAATTTAACAGAAAATCCCCCTCTTTTCTTTGCTTTTTGGAGTGTTAGCTATGATTTGTCTTACCTTTCCATGCAAGTTAAAAACCTTAGGAGACAGGAGACTTTCTTGGAAGCTTCATTCCCCACCCCAAGCCCCAGCTTCCCCACTTCTTGAGGGGAGCTGAGGTAAGGCCAAAAATCCTCACCCTATTTTGGATCTGATTCTCAGGATAGGGGGATGGTGATGGTATTACAGCTACCATCACTGTTCATAAGGCAGTAGGAAGGATGTTCAGCCAGTGACATAGTTCTCAGCTTCTTTGAGATCAAGAGGCAGTAAAGTGCAGTAGGATTGAATCATCCCTTTGGATTTAGAAGAACATTCATGCATCCTGGTGGGCATAAAGGGGGAGAACAGGCTTCATCTCCTCTTCCCACTTGTCATCTCAGTCATCCACCAACCATACACCTACCAACAGAGTGTAAACTTGTCGAAAGGTCACAACGGGCATAGCTGAGCATGTGGCAGAAAGGAAGCTCAAGAAAACAACTAACATCCATCTCTTCCAAGTTGGTTAGTTGATTTATCACGTGGTTGTATCTGAGTTGAACCTGCATTTTGGTTTGTGGCTTTTTCATGCTAGAGAGAGCACAGAAGAAGTCTAAACACATTTTTTTTTTCTGGCCTTTGGACTTTCAGAGTCAATGGACTTTGAAGCTGAGTCCTATTATAGCCCTTGAGGTGAAGAGAGGATCTTCTATTCTCAGTCTAGCCATGACTGAGCTCCTGGACACCTTGTATGGAGTCAGCTATTTGTTACTGAAAAAAGAGCAGCAAAAGCAATGTTTTTGGACTTTAAAAATCTTTCTATTTTAACTCTAAAACTTTTATTTTATTTAATGGAAGATTTTCTCGACAATCATGATGACCCATTTCTTGTGACTTTGGAGTTAGATGGAACCCTTATTGGCTATGTAACCTTGGGCAATGCACCTAATCTTTCTGAGCTCTAGTGTTTGTTATGCTTTGTCCAACAGAGTTGTAGTGCCTTCCTCACAGATATGCAATGAGGATTAAGCACATACATAAAACAACCAGTATAATGCCCTGCCACAAAGTAGACATACAACAAGTACCAATTCCCTGTCTGTTTTTGCATTGTTTGGCAAAGTGACATGGATGCCAATTTGCCTTAAAAACAAAAATAAGGCCGGGAGTGGTGGGCTCACACCTGTAATCCCAGCACTTTGGGAGGCCGAGGCAGGCAGATCGCAAGGTCAGGAGATTGAGACCATCCTGGCTAACACAGTGAAACCCCGTCTCTACTGAAAATACAAAAAATTAGCCGGGCATGGTGGCGGGTGCCTGTAGTCCCAGCTACTCGGGAGGCTGAGGCAGGAGAATGGAGTGAACCCGGGAGGCGGAAGTTGCAGTGAGCTGAGATTGCGCCACTGCACTCTAGCCTGGGCGACAGAGTGAGACTCTGTCTCAAAAAAATTAAATTAAATTAAATTAAAAAATAAAAACTTTCTGCAACACATAGTAAATTGTTGGCTTATTAATCCAACACAGTGTTTATCTTCTGTAACTTAAAGGCCAGATTGTCACCTTATACACTCTTATCCCCTTGTTTCTTCTGTTGGGTAATCAGTGCTGCACAAGTAGGATATGGTCTTGGAAAGGAGAAACCAGCTAGTCTGAGAACTGACCCTGGATTAATACAAAATAGTTGAATTTCCTGGGGGAGTAGGCCATACCCCTCCACTGCAGTGGCACCATCATTAACTCTATATATTCCTGGGGACTAGGAGCCCCTGGCTTTGGGATCAGCTCCAGAACTAGTGGTCGACTCGCCAAGGTTTGTGACTTTCACAGGTTGTACTTGGGGCAAGGGCTGCAAGCCACGAGTCATACTTGAATCCCACCCGCCCACCTGTACGTGCTCCTCCCTTTCCTCTGTCTTTGCCAGAGCAAATGAGTAGCGGTAGAGAAGCCAGGTTGATGGGCTTCTTTTTATACTCCAGAAAATCTGATTTTGAATTTCTACTTCAAGCAGGTGGGATCAGCATCACTCCCCTCCCAGTAAAATAAAAGCCTGAATGACTTGATTTATCACTGTCAAATAATTTCATTATGATCAATTTGTGTTTGATGGAGCAAAAAAGGAGAGAAGTGCACAGTAGAGCACTTATAATTCTGGTCTGATGACTGCTTCTATTCACCCTGGCCTTGAGGTTTGGCTAGTATTTATCAAGTGGGAGGGTAGATTTGGCTGCTTAGGTGTGTTTGGGGCTTCTGCTTTAAGAGCTTATGATTCAGACATTCCTGTTTTCGGGATCCAGGTGGCTTTCCTTCCCTTTTTAACCCCAAATTGTTTCTGGCAGCAAAACAGAAATATCATCAAGGGCTGCTCATAGAATTACTTGCCACAGATGGTATCAAACTCAAGTGAATAGGCATTTTCATTTTTGGCTTCTTTAAGAGTCACCACTTTTCCTTTGCAGCCAACTGATATCAATGGACTCAGTCAAAGAAAAATGGCAAATAGCTACCCTAGGCCAAAATACAGCCTCCTTTATGGAAGGTGGCATGACCACATCCCAGTGTGAGTCAAACTTGAGCCTAGAGTCTACTTAATAAGGGGTAATGGCTTCAGTTTCTGGTTGTGATGTTCTGTGCTGCCTCTGCTAAGTTCCCAGAATGCCTTTGTGCTTTATAATAGCCATGTTCCTTTGGTTGGGGCCCAAAGCAATCCCCATAATTGGCTTCACTGACAGGACTTTTTTCTGCCTTAGAGGCAGCACAGGACTCTGACTATGTCTTCTGTGAAGACAGAGTTTGACTACACAGCATCTGGTGGGATTGACCCCAAAGGTCTAAAACACTTCTCAAATTATTGGGGAATACCTTCTTAGCTTTTGTGACTTAAGCACAAGTATAAATATTAGTTGTATCTAATAAAAATGCTCCACCAATTCAGAACTCTTTAAGGTCTAGCCAAAGCCAATGAAAAATTGGACCTGGCACCCTTCCCAGAAGGTCAACAGACTGGCTTCATTGGTACATCAAGGAAAGAGCCATTCCTGAGGCAAGGATTCTGACTGTTCCCATTCTGTCTTTGGCTGTTTAAATCTGGGAAATAGTATCATGAGTATATTGGGAAATCTCAGCTCCCAAGAATACTCAGAGTAAGTAAGGCTGAGGAAATGATCCATTTTAGAGCTGTAAATGTTTGTGGAATAGCTTCTCATAAGTACTCATGTGGACTCATGTATCCCAGGTGGTACCAAATGTTTCTGGCAACCAAGAAAGCTACTGCTTTGGAGGCGGAGTAGGAAAAAGTTGAAGAGAGGAGGGAAAGTATGAAACAATTGATACTGCAAAGTTGGCCCAAGTGCCAGAGAGGGGAAGAGAATGATTTAAATAAACATAGAAGCTCACCTACCAACTTATTTTTGCCTAATTTTGATGAATTGGTTCAGGAAAACGAGTGTCATAACAGCATTCTCTCAAATGTGATTTGCCTATTCCTATTTGCATTATCTAGATGAATGATGGAAACTTTATGAGCCCCAGTTTCCTTATTTAAAAAATGAGAATAATAGTATCTAGCTCACAAGATTATTATGAGAATTAAATGCGCTTTCTTTCTTTTCTCCATTGTACAGTGCCTGCTCCTAACTTTCATATATATATAATATAGATATAGATCTATATCTATATATAGATATAGATCTATATCTATATATAGATATAGATCTATATCTATATATAGATATAGATCTATATCTATATATAGATATAGATATATATAAAATACGACTATGTCTTCTGTGAAGACAGAGTTTGAATGAATATATATATAGTCAAACTAATAATAAAAGGGATCCCTTTTAGAGAAACCCAAAGGCAGAGAAATTCACAATGTCCAGGCTCAAATCAGGGCCAATATCAACAATCAGTAGAGACATCAGAGACAAATTGTAGATCAGGAATCATGACTAGGAGATGGATAAAATAGTAAAGCTGTACTGTTGTAAGCAGAATAATGCCTCAGTTCACACAAATATGTCCACATTCTAATCTCTGGAACCTGTGAATATGTTACCTTACATGGCAAAAGGGCCTTTGCACGTGTGATTAAGTTAAGCATTTTGAGATGAGGACATTATCCTGGATAATCTGGATGGGACTGATGTTGTCACAAGGGTCCTCATAAGAGAGGGCCAGAGGGTCAAACACAGAAGGCAATGTGATGACAGAAGCACAGGTTGGAATGATGCAATTGCTGGCTTTGAAGATGGAAGAGAGTGACAATTCAAGAAAAGGAGGCAGCCCCTAGAAGCAGGAAAAAGCAAGGAAAGGGATTCCCCCCTAGAGCTTGCAGAAAGGAACCAAAGAGTCCCAGAATTAAATGGCCCCTAATAAAGAATTCTAGATTTCAGGACAGTCTCCTCTTCTCTTGATTAGGACTGACCTTCTGTAGTGTGAGGTTGGCTGCCAAGATCATTTTATTTTAGGGGCAACAAGAAGAAGTGCCTTGCTCAGAAGAATTCACATTAGAGTTATGGAAGGAACGTGTGTGGTTTGTTGAGGGGGTAAGACAATTAGATAGTGGCCTATGGAGCAAAGTGGTTTGCTACGTAGCTACTTCACTCAGACAGTTCAAAGGATGGGCAGGGGCTAGACTTTTGCCCTTAGAATTCTTTGAGGATCAGAGAAGTGACCTTCAGCTTGGTATTTCTTGAAGCTGAATGGCCTCTGAAGGTCAAGTTCATGAGGGAAGTATTGTAGCCAGCAGGAGGGCAGAAGGCTGCTATTTGCTGATTGGCAATTTCTCCAGGAAACAGCTCCCGTATTACTCTAGTTTAAGTATAAAATGAGGAAAACAAATTTTTCTTCCTCCAAGCTTATACAGCTCAATTTTTAACATGCTATTGAACTTTAAGGAGAAATTAATCTAAGCATTGTTATAATGGAGGTAAATACTCTATGCCCATTTCTATTATAGTTCCTGTTTAATATATTTTATTACCGAGCGTTACCTGTATATTATTCAACAATATTTGCTCAGCACCTAGCGTAGAGAAGGGACACTTACCACATTCTTTGTGAATGAATGAAGAGCGATTTATTCAGAGAGCCAAATGATGCTGGCTGAATCTCAGTGAGGTTGAGACATGAGGAAAGCTAAAAGGCATGCTCTATTGAAAGAATATGTCATTCTGTTCCAGTGTTAGGAAGGTGGCCCACTACAGCTGCATAATGAACACTTCTTCAGAGAAAATCCTATTTCACTAACATGGCTGCTACTACAAAACAAATGTGTCTTTTGTCTTCCATTAAGACACTTAAAAAATACAGAAAAGTGCAAAGAACAACACTCCTATCCCTTCAGCCCTGTAATTAACTATTAGCATTTTGCCCTATTTGCTTCTAGTTTGTTTTTAGACAATATAACATTACTGTTCAGCTGAAGGCCCCTTTGACCACCAGCTCAGTCTCCTACCCCTCCACATTAGAGACAAGTAGTATATTTCATATTTTTATGTCTATCACCATAAACAATTGATATTGATTTCTGTGTATATGATCTTTATATTTATATAGTTGGAATCATATTTTACTTATCATTCTACATCTTACTTTTTTCTTTCAGCACTGTTCTTCTAGATTTGCCCATGATGATTGATATATACAGATCTAGTTCATTTCTTATGTTCCATCTTAAAACTATGCCCAAATAAATTATTCTATTCCCCTCTTGAAAGACACCTAGGATATTTTTACTCTTACTGCTATTACAAAGAGTGCTGGAATGGCCTTCTTTTTCTAGATAAGATGGAGCAGTCCCATTTCTCCCTCTTAAAAATAAAAATCTATGGATTTAATGAAACAAACAATTATAGGAAGACTATGAAAAGGAAAAGAAGAAAGCAGACTGCCTTAGGGACCTCGGGACTTGAGGAACAACACAACAGTGATTTTTTATTTTTTTTTACCTCCTATATATCCCAGATGGTGTGCTGCTATAGTATCCAACCTGGAACCAACAGGCACAGACAAAAAGCTCCAAGAAAAGCCTGTCCCCACTAGCTAAAGCACTGGGAAATGGTGGTCTAAAAACAGAAAATCTGATTGGCAATACCTGCTCTACTACAGATAACTACTAATGGAAAAGCTATCCCATCCCTCATGGTTTCAGTGGAGCCAAGCACTGAAGCAGTGGAAAGAAACTGATCTTCTGCCACAGCCTCCCATTTCGCAGAAGCAGATGACTATATTCCAATCTCCCCACTGGGAAACAGGTCTTCCACCTTGCCTCCACCTAGTGAAAGCAGGTGGTCATACTCTGAGTCTCCCACTAAGATGGTATTGATGGGCAGAGTGGGAAGCTGATCTTCTACTCTTCCATTCCTCTACCCCATTGCCACCTATTCCCAGAAACAGGTAATATTTTGGTTTCCTCCCTGGCCTAGGATGATGTTGGCAGGGCTGAGCAAGAGGGAGCTGATTTTCTATCCTCCTACCTGGCAGGGGCAGGTGGCACTCAGAGTCCCTGTCAGGGTAGTGTCAGTGGGGCCTAGTGGGGAGGCGGGCTTCTATCCCTGCCTAATATCAATAAGGTATAATAAAGAGGAACAAGATGGAGCTAGCAGGCATTTCCATCCACCCCATGGAAGCAGGGCCCAGTAGGAAACTGTGTCTTTATTCCCACCCAGCAACCATGAGACTGAATGATGAGGTGTAAGGCAGAACAAGTGGGAATTCTGCTTTTCGCCTTCCTGGTGTCAGCTTGGTCCACAGAAAAGCTGAATTTCCAACACACATGGCAGCAACAAGTTAGAACATGGGTGTGTAAGGTGGTGAGAATTGGCCCTCTATTTTATCCCCTATCCTCAGTGTCAGCAGGGCCCAGTGGGGTGCTGAGCATACATGACCACTTGGTATGAGTTGGTGCCCCATATTCACAAGGAAGGTGTCAGTAGGAACAGAAAAGGAGCTGAACTTCCATTCCACCATCTGCAATAGGATAGTACGATTTAACCTTCACTTTTGCCAGGGTAATATTAACAGGCACACACAGAAACTGAATAACCATTTCCGCCCATATCTGTATACTACAATTAAACATGGTGATTGTCTGCTATAAAGAAGGTTAAATAAGATCCAGAATCTTACAGGATAATACCTAAATATCCGAGGATACAACTGAGAATCACTCATTATACCAAGAACCAGGAAAATTATAACTTCAATATGAAAAGATAATCAACAAGCATCAACAATGAGATGATTCAGATGTTGAAATTATCTGGATTTTAAGGTAGCAATCACAAAAATGCTTCAATGAGCATTAACAAACCTTTTTAAAACAAATGAAAAATATTTCAACAAATAATTTGAAAATATAAAGGAGAACCAAAGGGATATTATAGAACTGAAAAATACAGTAACTCAAATTTAAAAATCAAAAGCTCCCTGGCCAGGTACAGTAGAAGACTGGTGACAAGACAAGGAACAATCAGTAAACTCAGAGACAGATGAATAGAAATTGTCCAATATGAACAACAAAGAGGAAAATAGGATGAAAAAATATAAAATGAACAGAACCTGAGGGAATGTATAGTAACAAAAGATCTAACATTTGTGTTACTGGAGTCTTGGAAGGAGAAGAGAAGGAATGGAGTCTGAAAAATCATTTGGAGAAATAGCAAGGCATCATAGCTTAGCCTAGTCTGACTTAAATGTGCTCAGAACTATTACATTAGCTTACAGTTGGGTAAAATAATCTAACACAAAGCTGATTTTATAATCAATTGTTAAACATCTCATGTGATATATTGAATACTGTACTGAAAGTGAAAAACAAGATGCTTGTATGGGCACTCGAAGTACAGTTTCTACTAAGCACATATTGCTTTTGTGCCATTGTGAAGGTGAAAAAGGGTAAATTGAAGATCATTTGTATTTATTTATTTATTTTATTATACTTTAAGTTCTAGGGTACATGTGCACAATATGCAGGTTTGTTACATACGTATACATGTGCCATGTTGGTTTGCTGCACCCATTAACGTGTCATCTACATTAGGTATTTCTCCTAATGCTATCCCTCCCCCCACCGCACGACAGACCCCGTTGTGTGATGTTCCCCACCTTGTGTCCATGTGTTCTCATTGTTCAATTCCCACCTATGAGTGAGAACATGTGGTGTTTGGTTTTCTGTCCTTGTGATAGTTTGCTGAGAATGATGGTTTCCAGCTTCATCCATGTCCCTACAAAGGACATGAACTCATCATTTTTTATGGCTGCATAGTATTCCATGGTGTATATGTGCCACATTTTCTTAATCCAGTATATCATTGATGGACATTTGGGTTGGTTCCAAGTCTTTGCTATTGTGAATAGTGCCAAATAAACATATGTGTGCATATGTCTTTATGGTATTTACAAATACCATAAAGATTATATAAATATAATCAAATCCTTTGGGTATGTACCCATTAATGGGATCACTGGGTCAAATGGTATTTCTAGTTCTAGATCCTTGAGGAATTGCCACACTGTCTCCCACAATGTTTGAACTAGTTTACAGTCCCACCAACAGTGTAAAAGTGTTCCTATTTCTCCACATCCTCTCCAGCACCTGTTGTTTCCTGACTTTTTAATGATCGCCATTCTAACTGATGTAAGATGGTATCTCATTGTGGTTTTGATTTGCATTTATCTGATGACCAGTGATGATGAGCATTTTTTTCATGTGTCTGTTGGCTGCATATATCTCTTCTTCTGAAAAGTGTCTGTTCATATACTTTGCCCACTTTTTGATGGGGTTGTTTGATTTTTTTCTTGTAAATTTGTTTAAGTTCTTTGTCGATTCTGGCTATTAGCCCTTTGTCAAATGGGTACATTGCACAAATTTTCTCCCATTCTGTAGGTTGCCTGTTCACTCTGTTGGTAATCTCTTTTGCTGTGGAGAAGCTCTTTAGTTTAATTAGATCCCATTTGTCAATTTTGGCTTCTCTTGTCATTGCTTTTGTTGTTTCAGTCATGAAGTCCTTGCCCATGCCTATGTCCTGAATGGTATTGCCTAGGTTTTCTTCTAGGGTTTTTATGGTTTTAGGTCTAACATTTAAGTCTTTAATCCATCTTGAATTAATTTTTGTATAAGGTGTAAGGAAGGGATCCAGTTTCAGCTTTCTACATATGGCTAGCCAGTTTTCCCAGCACCATTTCTTAAATAGGGAATCCTTTTGCCATTTCTTATTTTTGTCAGGTTTGTCAAAGATCAGATGGTTGTAGATGTGTGGTGTTATTTCTGAGGCCTCTGTTCTGTTCCATTGGTCTATATCTCTGTTTTGGTACCAGTACCATGCTGTTTTGGTTACTGTAGCCTTGTAGTATAGTTTGAAGTCAGGTAGCGTGATGCCTCCAGCTTTGTTCTTTTTGCTTAGTATTGTCTTGGCAATGCGGGCTCTTTTTTGATTCCACATGAAGTTTAAAGTAGTTTTTTCCAATTCTGTGAAGAAGGTCATTGGTAGCTTGATGGGGATGGCATTGAATCTATAAATTACCTTGGGCAGTATGGCCATTTTCATGATATTGATTCTTCCTATTCATGAGCATGGAATGTAATTCCATTCGTTTGTGTCCTCTTTTATTTCATTGAGCAGTGTTTTGTAGTTCTCCTTGAAGAGGTCCTTCACATCCCTTGTACTTTGGATTCCTAGGTATTTTATTCCCTTTGTAGCAATTGTGATTGAGAGTTTACTCATAATTTGGCACTCTGTTTGTCTGTTATTGGTGTATAAGAATGCTTGTGATTTTTGCACATTGATTTTGTATCCTGAGTCTTTGCTGAAGTTGCTTATCAGCTTAAGGAGATTTTGGGCTGAGATCATGGAGTTTTCTAAATATACAATCATGATATCTGCAACCAGGGACAATTTAACTCCTCTTTTCCTAATAGAATACCCTTTATTTTTTTCTCTTACCTGATTTCCCTGGCCAGAACTTCCAACACCATGTTGAATAGGAGTGGTGAGAGAGGGTATCCCTGTCTTGTACCGGTTTTCAAAAGGAATGCTTCCAGGTTTTGCCCATTCAGTATGATATTGGCTGTGGGTTTGTCATAAATCACTCTTATTATTTTGAAATACATCAGTACCTAGTTTATTGAGAGTTTTCAACATGAAGGGCTGTTGAATTTTGTTGAATGCCTTTTCTGCATCTATTGAGATAATCATGTGGTTTTTGTCTTTGGTTCTGTTTACATGATGGATTAAGTTTACTGATTTGTGTATGTTGAACCAGCCTTGCATCCCAGGGATGAAGCCACCTTGATCTTGGTGGATAAGCTTTTTGATGTGCTGCTGGATTCAGTTTGCCAGTATTTTATCGAGGCTTTTCGCATCGATGTTCATCAGGGATATTGGTCTAAAATTCTCTTTTTTGTTGTTGTTGTGTCTCTGCCAGGCTTTGGTGTCAGGATGATGCTGGCCTCATAAAATGAGTTAGGGAGGATTCCCTCTTTTTCTATTGATGGGAATAGTTTCAGAAGTAATGGTACCAGCTCCTCTTTGTACCTCTGGTAGAATTCGGCTGTGAACCCATCTGGTCCTGGACTTTTTTTGGTTAGTAGGCTATTAATTATTACCTAAATTTCAGAGCCTATTATTGGTCTATTCAGGGATTCTACTTCTTCCTGGTTTAGCCTTGGGAGGGTACATGTGTCCAGGAATTTATTAATTTCTTCTAGATTTTCTAGTATATTTGTGTAGAGGTTTTTATAGTATTCTCTGATGGTAGTTTGTATTTCTGTAGGATCGGTAGTGATATCCACTTTATCATTTTTTATTGCATCTATCTAATTCTACTCTCTTTTCTTCTTTATTAGTCTTGCTAATGGCCTATCAATTTTGTTAATCTTTTCAAAAAACCAGCTCCTGGATTCATTGATTTTTTGAAAGGTTTTTTGTGTCTCTATCTCCTTCAGTTCTGCTCTGATCTTCGTTATGTCTTGCCTTCTGCTAGCTTTTGAATGTGTTTGCTCTTTCTTCTCTGGTTCTTTTAATTGTGATGTTAGGGTGTCCATTTTAGATCTTTCCTGCTTTCTCTTGTGGGCATTTAGTGCTATAAATTCCCTCTACACACTGCTTTAAATGTGTCCCAGGGATACTGGTACATTGTGTCTTTGTTCTCAATGGTTTCAAAGAACATCTTTATTTCTGCCTTAATTTCATTATGTTCCCAGTAGTCATTCAGGAGCAGGTTGTTCAGTTTCCATGTAATTGTGTGGTTTTGAGTGAATTTCTTAATCCTGAGGTCTAATTTGATTGCACTGTGGTCTGAGCAACAGTTTGTTGTGATTTCTGTTCTTTTACATTTGCTGAGGAGTGCTTTACTTCCAATTATGTGGTCAATTTTAGAATAAGTGTGATGTGGTGCTGAGAAGAATGTATATTCTGTTGATTTGGGTTGGAGAGTTCTGTAGATGTCTATTAGGTCTGCTTGGTGCAGAGCAGAGTTCAAGTCCTGGATATCCTTGTTAATGTTCTGTCTTGTTGATCTGTCTAATATTGACTGTGGGGTGTTAAAGTCTCCCATTATTATTGTGTGGGAGTCTAAGTCTCTGTAGGTCTCCAAGGACTTGCTTTATGAATCTGGGTACTCCTGTATTGGGTGCATATATATTTAGGATAATTAGGTCTTCTTGTTAAATTGATACCTTTACCATTATGTAATGGCCTTCTTTGTCTCTTTTGGTCTTGTTTGTTTACAGTCTGTTTTATCAGATACTAGGATTGCAACCCCTGCCCTTTTTTTGCTTTCCATTTGCTTAGTAGATCTTCCTCCATCGCTTTATTTTGAGCCTATGTGTGCTTCTGTACGTGAAATGGGTCTCCTGAATATAGCACACTGATGGGTCTTGACTCTTTATCCAATTTGCCAGTCTGTGTCTTTTAATTGGGGCATGTAGCACATTTACATTTAAGATTAATATTGTTATGTGTGAATTTGATCCTGTCATTATGATGTTAGCTGGTTATTTTGCCTGTTCATTGATGCAGTTTCTTCCTAGCATCGATGGTCTTTCCAATTTGGCCTGTTTTTGCAGTGGTTGGTACCAGTTGTTTCTTTCCGTGTTTAGTGCTTCCTTCAGGAGCTCTTGTAAGGCAGACCTGGTGGTGACAAAATCTCTCAGCATTTGCTTGTCTGTAAAGGATTTTATTCCTCCTTCACTTATGAAGCTTAATTTGGGGGGATATGAAATTCTGGATTGAAAATTCTTTTCTTTAAGAATGTTGAATATTGGCGTCCACTCTCTTCTGGCTTATAGAGTTTCTGCCAAGAGATCCACTGTTAGTCTGATGGGCTTCCCTTTGTGGGTAACCTGACCTTTGTCTCTGGCTGCGCCTATCATTTTTTCCTTCATTTCAACCTTGGTGAATCTGACAATTAGGTGTCTTGGGGTTGCTCTTCTCGAGGAGTATCTTGGTGGTGTTCTCTGTATTTCCTGAATTTGAATGTTGGCCTGCCTTGCTAGGTTGGGGAAGTTTTCCTGGATAATATCCTGAAGTGTGTTTTCCAGCTCAGTTCCATTCTCCCCATCACTTTCAGGTACACCAATCCAATGTAGATTTGGTCTTTTCACATAGTCCCATATTTCTTGGAGGCTTTGTTCATTTCTTTTTACTCTTTTTTCTCTATTCTTCTCTTCTTGCTTCATTTCATTAGTTTGATCTTCAATCACTGATACCCTTTCTTCCATTTGATTGAATTGGCTACTGTCACTTGTGCATGCGTCACGTAGTTCTCATGCCATGGTTTTCAGCTCCATCAGGTCATTTAAGGTCTTCTCTACACTGTTTATTCTAGTTAGCTATTCATCTAATCTTTTTTCAAGGTTTTTATCTTCCTCGCAATGGGTTTCAACATCCTCCTTTAGCTCAGAGTAGTTTGTTATTACCGACCTTTGAAGCCTACTTCTGTCAACTTGTCAAAGTCATTCTCCATCCAGCTTTGTTCCATTGCTGGTAAAGAGCTGCAATCCTTTGGAAGAGAAGAGGCACTCTGATTTTCAGAATTTTCAGCTTCTCTGCTCTGGTTTCTCCCCATCTTTGTGGTTTTATCTACCTTTGGTCTTTGATGATGGTGACCTACAGATGGGGTTTTGGTGTGGATGTTCTTTTTGTTGATGTTGATGCTATTCCCTTCTGTTTGTTAGTTTTCCTTCTAACAGTCAGGTCCCTCAGCTGCAGGTCTGTTGGAGTTTGCTGGAGGTCCACTCCAGACCCTGTTTCCCAGGGTATCACCAGCGGAAGCTGCAGAGCAGCAAATATTGCAGAACAGCAAATATTGCTGCCTGATCCTTCCTCTGGAAGCTTTGTGTCAGAGGGCACCTGGCTGTATGAGGTGTCTGTCAGCTCCTACTGGGAGGTGTCTCCCAGTTAGGGCACACGGGGGTCAGGGACCCACTTGAGGAGGCAGTCTGTCTGTACTCAGAGCTCAAACACTGTGCTGGGAGAACCATTGCTCTCTTCAGAGCTGTCCAACAGGGATGTTTAAGTCTGCAGAATTTTCTGCTGCCTTTTGTTCAGCTCTGCCCTGCCCCAGAGGTGGAGTCTACAGAGGCAGGCAGGCCTCATTGAGCCGTGTTGGTCTCCACCCAGTTTGAGCTTCCCCGCCACTTTGTTTACCTACTCAAGCTTCAGCAATGGCGGACACCCCTCCCCGAGCCAGGATGCCACCTAGCAGTTAGATCTCAGAATGCTGCACTTGCAGTGAGTAAGGCTCTGTGGGTGTGGCACCCGCTGAGCCAGGCATGGGATATAATCTCCTGGTGTGCCATTTGCTAAGACTGTTGGAAAAGCACAGTATTTAGATGTCAGTGTCCCGATTTTCCAGGTACAGTCTTTCACGGCTTCCCTTGGCCAGGAAAGGGAAATCCCCAGACCCCTTGCACTTCCCGGGTGAGGCGATGCCCCACCCTGCTTCAGCTCACCCTCTGTGGGCTGCATCCAGTGTCCAACCAGTCCCAATGAGATGAACCAGGTACCTCAGCTGGAAATGCAGAAATCACCCGTCTTCTGCATTGATCACGCTGGGAGCTGCAGACTTGAGCTGTTCCTATTCGGCCATCTTGGAATGAACCTCTGATTGTTTGTATTTATATTTAAAGAGTGGAGAAGGTAAAGCTAAATGGATGTAAGATTTCTTTACTTCAGTTCACTTGAAGTGGCAAAACATTGGTATAAGTAGGCTGTGATATGTTCTGTATATGTATGTAGTAATAGCAAAAGCAACTACTCAAAAAACTGCACAATACATTATAAATTATATAATTCAAATACATTTAAATAAATCAAAATGGAATTTTGTAAAATGTTCAAGTGACCCAAAAGAAGTCCTCAAAGGTAAACAAAGAAACAAGAAACAGTACAAGCAAAAACAAAAAACAAAATGGCAGACTTAAGCCTTATACATATTACTAATTACTTGAAGTCTGAATGGTTTAAATATACCAAGTAAAAAGCCAAGATTTTAATTATCCCCTCCAAAAAAAGGTACCTATTAATAGTCATTCCCTATTCCCATCCTCTTCCCTATCCCTAGCCCTATGCAACTACAAAATGACGTTTTATCTCTATGGGTTTGCCTATTTTAGACATTACCCATGAATGGAATCATACAACATCCAGTCCTTGGTAAGTGGTTTCTTTAACTTAACAGTATGTTTTCAAGTTTCATCCATGTTGTGGCATATCCCCTCATTTTTTAAGCTATTATTTATTAGGCACAAAACATGATGCCAGGAACTATGATGAGTTCATTGGGTGCTTCATTTTGTTTTCTCTTCAAGACAATACTTTAAGGATAAATAAGATTATCTGTATTACAGATGAGGAAAATGAAACTCAGCAAAGTTAAATATTTGCTCAACATCTCACAGCGAATAAGTGACTGAGCCAGAAATTAAATCCCGGTTTGATGCCAAAGCTCATGTTCCTTCCACTATGCCATGCCACTTCACTGTCCAAAACAGAGTGGATCTGTTCCAGAAGACAATTTGGAATCTGCCCAGTGATCAGTGATGATTGTTTTTTGGCCATAACAATAGTACTTGAGGGTCCTATTGGCCTCAACTTGAGCTAGTTCCCTTGGGAACAGGAAGGACTGGTTTCCTCCAACTGTAAAAGCTGACCTTGCAGAACTGGGTGTATCTTCCAGAACCTCCCATATCTTTCATCTGTGACCAATTCTGCTGCATGTAAACAGATTTGGCTAATATTCTTCCCCATCTACACCAAAGGAGTCAACCGGCCTCAAACCTTTGAGTTTTTAGACAAAAGAAATATATGTTAACTTTGTACTACAGTTGGCAGTGATTTATCTAGGTTTTCATGAGTAATCAATGTAAGTGGAAGACATTGCTTGTTTACTACAGATAGCTATAATTATTTCCAAGAAAAACTTGAAATTTCCAGAGAAATTTGGTGTTTCCTTCTGTAGATTCTTTCTATAGTCTCTTTAAAAAAATCTACTTTTCTTTTGTGGTGAAAAGAGCATTTTAAAATTTTCTCTCAGAGACTTAAGAGCAGAAAATTTGTTGAGCAAATAATGTGCAGTTTGGAAAAGCAGCTTGAGTAGCCAGATTTTCAGTGGATAATTTGATATTCTTAGATTGTCAGATAGTTTAAGCCATCCAGGTAATTTGCTGCTTTAAACCAAAACACAATTTCCTCTCCAAGCCCCTACAACTTATTTTTGTTGTTTGAAATGTTGCCTTACAATAGCTTTCTCCTTTCAATTCGCCATTCTGCACCATCTGTTAGAAGAGTGCCTATTTTGAATGCAGTGTTCATATACCCTATCATTCTTATAGCTTCTGGAGGAGCCAGGCCATTTGGAGAATGAATCCTGGCATTGGGAAAAGAAATAAGAAGGAAAGGTGAAAACAGAGTCGTCAATATATTTCTGTGAAGTATCTCTTCGGTAGGATAATAACTGTCCCATGGTGGTTTGTCCTTTGAGCAAGGGAAGTGATGCCAAATTGAAAATAGGCTAGGGGGTAGTGAAACTCAGACCTAAATCAAGTAGAAAGTATAAGGGCCTACAGCAATAAGTATCATTATTTTTAGCTGAGTAGAATTCATATCAGAGGTGGAGTCATGAATAAGAACATAGGTTAGCAATATGATAGCAAGATGGTACTAGAAAACGAGATAAAAGTAGCCTAACTTTATTCTGCCTGATGATCTATTGCTGGCACAGGCCTCCTTTTAAAGTCCTGGGAGCATCCCTTGTAGGTTGAACTGCTTTTTGTCTTTAAGGCTTCAACCAGAGCCCAACATTCTCAAGTGTCCAGGGAGAGAAATAAAGATGGGTATTCAATAGTTTTAAATGCAGCCCAGTGAGCGGGATTAGTTAGTGGATTAAGGAAACAGTCTTATTTTTTCACATTCCCAACATCAAATAATTCATTTATGGGCACTTGCTTCGGAAAATAGGAAGTGCTGGTGGGTAACAAACCTTGGATTATACTGATGTAAATTAATACAGATTTGAGGGTACAGGAATGGAGTCCAAGGTTTGATCATGTGAGTACCTTATTCTTCCATCTGACCATTCATCTGGATCAACTCTTGAGATTCAGACCAAGGGGTTCTGAGTATCTGTGACGGCTAATTTTATGTGTCAACTTGAGTGAGCCATGGAATGCCCAGATATTTGGCTCATCATTGTTCTTGGTGTGTCTGTGAAGGTGTTTCTGGATGAGAGTAACATTTGAATTGGTAGACTGAGTAAAGCAGATGGCCCTCCCAAATCAGCATGGGCCTCATTCAGTCTGTTGAAAGACAGAATAGCATAAGAAGTTGAGTAAGAATTCTTTCTCTCTTCCTGATTATCTTCTGCCTTCAGACTCGGACTCAGATTGGAACTTACATCATTGGATTTCCTGATTCTCAGGCCTTCAGATTAGGACTGAAACAATACCATCAACTCTTCTGGGTCTGAACATCTCAGCCTCTATAATTGCATGAGCCAATTACATATATATATATATGTAATTATATATATATATATAGAGAGAGAGAGAGAGATAACACATATATAGATAACACATAATCAGTCCAATTTTTCTAGTGGTGACATTCTTGGGAAAACAGAGATAAGTATTCTTGTAATGCCCCTGCAAGAGGAAAAAAAATATTCAGAGTCAACTACAGCCACCTTTCTTCTACATAGTCACAAAGACCCATGTGGAGGCTTGAAAATTGGATAACAGGGCCGGGCGCAGTGGCTCACGCCTGTAATCCCAGCAATTTGGGAGGCCGAGGTAGGTGGATCATGAGGTCAGGAGATCGAGACCATCCTGGCTAACACGGTGAAACCCCGTCTCTACTAAAAAAAATACAAAAAATTAGCTGGGCGTGGTGGCTGGCGCCTGTAGTCCCAGCTACTTGGGAAGCTGAGGCGGGAGAATGGCGTGAACCCGGGAGGCGGAGCTTGCAGTGAGCCGAGATCGTGCCACTGCACTCCAGCCTTGGTGACAGAGCGAGACTCTGTCTCAAAAAAAAAAAAAGAAAAGAAAAAGAAAATTGGATAACAGAAGTGAAGCTGTTTGTTTCTTAGTTTTTTGTTTTGTTTTGTTTTGTTTTTGTTTTGTTTTTTTCTGTGTTGTGCTTGCTCAATTGTCTGTCGCTATAGCTGTATGGGACCAAAATCAGCTCTTCTGGCTGAATTGACTGGCCAACAGATGAGTGAGGATGTGATGTAGACCCAGTCTGTGTATCACTTGTGTCACTGCTCTAAGTGTACACAGGGCAGAGGTTGCATTACTGTATTGTGTGAACAGTGTCCAGGATAGCGTCACATATAGACAAGGGCTTATCAGAGTTATTTGATGATACAGTTGGTAATTTTCCCTCTGTATGCAGATCTCTTGGGAGAAAGAAGACTAACTAGAAGTACTGTTTTGTTTACATGGCAAAACGTATTTAACGTCATAAAAGAAAAATGCAATCAGTCATGACGATGTCTGGATTTTCTTAGGGACAGGTAACATTTACCCCCCAGAGGAAGAAGATCAGACCTGCAGCTTATTTTAAATTATCTCACAGGTCATACATTAGGCAACAATTCTGTTTATGTATGTAGTTGGGAACACAAACATGACATTTAAAGTATTTTGTCCATATATATTAAAAACATAAAAGGAATACTTTTTCATTCAAGATCATTATCTTGGCAAAAATATAATGATGATGATGATAACTATGATGATGGTTATGAGAGTAATAGCTACCATGTATTGAGTGCTTACTAAGTGGTTGTTGTTGTTCTTAGTGCTTTACATATAACAACTCATTTAGTCCTCAAAAAGATTACCTTCAACTACTTAGCTTCATTTGGGGATGCTCCCTAAGTGTGAAAAATGAAGTATTTTAGGAGTTCCTGCACTGGTGAACTTTAAATAGAAATTAAATTCTGTCAATTTTTACCTATTGTTAAAATGTAAAAGATTATATTATTTTCTTTTTTAAAAAGTCATGTGTTAGATTTTTGCTTCTTGGGACTTTGGCAAACATCAAACTCTTTCTGTCTTTTTTATCCTTGCCTTATTCCCTTTGCTCATTATTTCCTATTGTTTTCATCCCTCTCTTCTTCATCCTTTCCTCAGTGGTCAGGTATAGAAACATGAAAAACATTATTTGTGGTGTGGGCCCTGTTTATATCCTGCAAAAGATAACACTACACATCAGGCCATTTGAAAACTTCTGGACTACAAAGATAATTTTTCAATATTTACAACCTAACAATGTTTAGAATAAATAAATTAGGTCCAGATTTAACCAGGTTTTATATCAGGGTAATTTTGTCTATCTTTGACTATTGCACAGCCTTACATAGATAATATATTATGTGTGTGTGTGTGTGTGTGAGCATGCATGTGTGTGTTAGAATTGAGGATAAAGGATTAGAAGTGACTCCATATTGACCTTACAGACCAGCACTGTACTTCTAAAAGGTTTACAGCCATAGCTCTCAATTTCTATTCCTGAAATATCTGGTAATGATAAACCCAGGATAAAATAGCTTTTAATTTTAAAGCAGATACACAGCTTTATTTTTCTTTAATATCCCAATGCCTAATAGAGAAACAGGTGCACTTTGATTCATAGAATTTACTTGATGGCGTTGTAGCCATTCTAATAACAATGTGTCTTTGAACCTTATGAAAATGAAATACACTCAAGCACGGAAGGTGAGCATCATCTAAAGGACACCCACAGAGGCATCAATCTCTGATCCCTCTGCCATCCAAGCTCTGGGGGACGATTTGAGTGGAACCCTTTCCAAGCTATCAGCTACTGTTCTCTTTATCAAAGATAAACACGACATCTCTCAGTGAAATTAAATCAATCTAAAATGAACTGTTTTTCAAGTAAACTGGTTCATGCTTTTCCACTCTGGCCCAAATTTTTCCAGGTATCCTACAAGGAATCTTGCTGTTAAATAAAAGTAAGCGATTGAAAAAAGAAAAAGCTTTCTCCCAAGCTGTAAGCTCATTCCTCCCTAAAATCAATCTCCTAACAAGTACTGCTGTAATAACATGAGCTTGGGAAGTGTTTGCTTTACCACTTTCAATGCCAGGTTGATTACTGAAATAAAAGTTAAAGTCTATTTTTAACTACTGTATTTGGAGAAAGAGAGTGAGAATGAGAATAATCAAGAGAGAAAGTCTATGAGAGAGAGACAGAGATTGTGAGAGACAGATTGTATATGCATGTGACTGTGAGAATGTGGAGGGTGGAGTTTGAGCACGGCAAATTTATGAAGTAAATAAAGTTTGCCATTAGTATGCTCTGTGCTCCACCTACTCTGGGTGCCCTTTTTCCCCGCTGGCTCTGCCCCATTGCTGCCCAAATCGTCTGGCTATAGTGCTCCTATCATTCTTGGCCCCATGCATGACCCCTGTCCTGGACATTTATTTCTCCCTGTTTTCTGTCACAATTTTTCTGTTCTGAATCCTGTTAATTAGGTGCCACTTGCTAGCTGATAATGAATGTCTTTCTTTGCTGAAAAACATAGAACCACAGAAAATAAGAGCTGAATGAGAACTGGCCTAAACCTCCCCTTTTATACCTTGGTGATCCTGGATCCCAGGATGGAAAATACCTCAATCAAAGACATACAGCTTGCTAATGAGGGCTAACAGTTTACACACACACTCCCGCACCTCCTCTCCTATTTTAAATGTAATCTTCTGGATTTAATGCTTCAGCCCGAAAGAGTGGCTAATGGTGGAATTTTCTGATACTTGCTATAGAGTAATAGATATGAAAACGTTTTGAACCATTTTTAAGACTTTCAGTAGGAAGTCTGTCCTTTTCTACCATGGATTTGGCTCCACCTCCTGAGTGGCAATGGTGAGTATGTCATCCTACCTGGTTGCACCTGTCACATGTCTAGGCTGCTTGTGCTGTTTGCCATAGGTACTACCTCTGGTATTTTCTCAGATGGAAGTCAAAGAAGTGGCTGCCTGAGAAGAAATGAGTCTATTGCAAGCTGTTCACTGTTTCATTGAGCTCATTTCCATTCCCTCTCTTTTGTAAATCACTAATGTGACTTGCCCACACAAATGGAAAGAAGCAGCTCCAATTAAAAATGCGTGGGGCTGTTTCCTACGAAATTCACTGTGGGAAGTCATCCACTCTAGAAAACACAGCCATCTTTATGCTTTGCTTCCTATATTCTATTTGGAACTTAATATACCAAAAACAGAAAGGCCAGGTTGGCTGGTATTATGGACCTGTGGGAGACTTACAGAGATGGAGCTCATTTTTTCTCAGGCTCCCTTTCTCTCAAAGTGTTCACAGAAGTATGATGCAGTCTTGGTTTTAATATATTACATTTCAGTGACCTTAGAGTTAGAAGTAACCACACAGACTGATTATGACAGCCTAACTCTTAACGAAGACTCTCTTCTTGGCCAAACTTTAGTTAGCCTCCTCTGAGCCCACTTCTTGACTAGGCCTCAATCTTAGCCCCTGTTCTAGGTTTGGCCTGCCCAGCCCAGTCTTAGAATTCTGCTAAGTTACGCCTCTACCCTTGATATCTGATCAGGTTCCTCATCCCCTAGGCTTAATGTCTAAATTCTTGGCCTGTTACACCAGCTTAGCAATAATTCCCCAATCTTTAATGCCTCCTCTTAGTAATTTTCCATCCATTGATCCCCACTCACATCCTGATCCTTGGCTATAAATCCCCACTTACCCTTGCTGTATTTAGAGTGAAGCCCCTTCTCTCTTTCCCAATGTGTCTCAAATAAATTCTTCCTTACCATTTTAACAAGTATCAGAATATTTTTTCTCTTTAAAATCCTACTCAGTAGACACATTTTTTCTCTGATACTCCCAATATTAGAATCCCATCCTACTGCATCCCTAATGGATGATAACATCGGTTAAGCTTCTAGTGACAAGAAGCCTGTTGCTCTGAAGTAGACCATTCTGTTTAGATGATGTAAAAGATGTGAAAGACAACTCCTTATTGCAGAGATCATAGTCTTCGGTGTCAGACGGACCTGGCTTAAGTGGTTCCTTCCTTCTAAACTTCTTTTTAATTTTTTTTTTTTTGAGACGGAGTCTGGCTCTGTCACCAGGCTGGAGTGCAGTGGTGCGACCTCAGCTCACTGCAACCTCCACCTCCTGGGTTCAAGTGATTCTCCTGCCTCAGCCTTCTGAGTAGCTGGGACTACAAGCACACGCCACTACGCCCAGCTAACTTTTGTATTTTTAGTAGACGGGAGTTTCACCAAGTTGGCCAGGATGGTCTTGATCTCTTGACCTCGTGATCCACCTGCCTCAGCCTCCCAAAGTGCTGGGATTACAGGTGTGAGCCACCGCGCCTGGCCACCTTCTTTTTACTTTCATTCAACAAACATTTTATGAACAGGGGCGGGGGGCATTAAGAAGTTGTCCTAAGTTGAGGAAACAGGCTATGTGAAGTCCCAGAGACAAGAAATAAACAAGAAAGAGGAGAGCATGGTATATGTTAAAAGATAATTTTCAGAAAAAAAGATGAAGTCATGACTCTCATACAAGTATAAAAATGAGTATATGTTAAAGAATTTGTTTTTCTCATGAGATATGAGTGAACTAGGCACATGTTATAACTAGTTCAAAAGAAAAGTCAAAACACCATAGTTTTATATGGAGTAAAGGAACATTGAGATTAGTTGCAAGTAATACAAAACTTTTTTCCACAGGGGCTGGGGAAGTCAATTAATCACTGCTGGGCAGGACATAACTTACACGTCTCTCAGTTACTTACAACTTAACAAAAACTTGCAAAATACCTCAATGACAATGAACAGGGCTAGAATCTGATGACCCAAAAGAGTGTGCTATATAGTATGCATAGTTTTCCATTGAAACACCACATTTTTTTGATACATATTTGAGTAATTTAAAGATAGTCTGTGTGGCTGCAGAACAGTTCCAAATAGCGAGTGATTTATAGAGTGGTAAGCAAAAGCCAGATTATGAAGGGCTTTGTAAGCTAAGCTAAGAAATTTATGCAGGAAAATAATATGAACAGATTTATGTTTTAGAAAGAACATTCTGGCTGCATTGTTATTGGAGGGACAAGATACAACGTATGGAGACCAAATTAGGAGACTGTTGTAAATTGGATTCAAATCCTTTTTCTGCATTTACTAGCTGTAGGGTTTTCAGTGAAATTACTGAACCTTACTGAGCCTCAATTTTATCCTCTGGAAAATGGATAATGATACATTCCTTGCAGGACTGCTGCGAGGATTACTATTATGTATGCAATGAGTCTGGCATGTAGTAGGCAGTAAATATTATTTTCATTCCACTCTGTTCCCACCTCACAGCCAAATTGTTAGAACATTTCAATACTGGGCCCAAACTTGCTTCCCTTAACCTATATGATTATGGAGGTCCTAGTGGTGCTATTTGAAAGAATATAAAATAAGTCTAACTTCTCTTGCCTCAACGTATTTGAAGATTTATCTCGTTTCCCTTAAGTCTTCCTTTTTGAAACTAATCTTTCTCAGTTACTTCATCCGTTCTTCCTCTGTCTCCTGGATACTCTCTCTAGATGAGGCAAATATCTTTCCTAATTTATGGTACACAGAAATGAAATGACCGTAATACTCTAGGTATGGCTGAAACAGTATAAAGTGGAACAATGATATCTCTTGATCTGGATAAGATTCTATTATATTGCCTAAAATCTCATTAGCCTTTTTAGCAACCATGTCATATAATTGTTTCATCTTTAGCTTATAGTTAACAAAAATGCCACGATATAATTCATATAAACACCTGTTTGAGTGAGCTCTCCTTCATTTAGAGCATATGCAATGATATTTTTAACTTAAAGATAGAATTTTATTTTGTCCACTAAATTCCATTTTTGTTTATTTTGGACTAGCTTTCTAGCTTTAAAATGTATAAAAAATGTAGTATATATTTGTTCAAACATTATGAAATGGCATAACAATGAACAGTAAGCTTTCCCCCACTGAGATATTCTCATAGTCACCTTGCCCTGAAAGAACCATTGTTTTCATTTTCTTATAAATCCTTTCAAAAATATTCTATTCCTATGCAATTAAATGTACAATTAGAAATACAAATGATAGCATACTACACACACTGGTCTGCACCTTGCATTTTACAATTAATAATTCCAACATAATATACGCTCTAAGAGGACAGAAATTTCTGTTTGTTTTTCAGCACCTAGAAAAATGTCTGACACACAGAAGCTCCATAATTTGTTGAATGCTGAACAATATATTTGGACAAGGAAACATTTTGTTCGAATTGTATTGGATTTATGGATTAACGTGGAAGAAATTATAATCTTTTTGATACTGATTTTCTCATCCATGAATATACCACATGAACACTTACATTTCTCCATCTATTTAGGTTTTCTTTTATGCTCCTAATAATATTTTATAATTTTCTTCATAAGAGACTTACACTTCTGTTGTTAGATATATTCTTTAGTCCATATGATAGTTTGTTTATTGTAAATAGTATCTATATTTGTTATTTTACTTTTGAATTGTTTATTGCTGGTGTATAAGAATACAATCTTTGCACATTAATTGTATATCCAGCAATCTTTTAGTTATAAAAGCTTGTAGTTTCCCTTGAGTATTCTCTGTAGACAATCAAATCATCTCCAAATAATGTCAGCTTCATTTTTTCTTCTTTGTTATGACATATTTGATTTCATCATCTTGTTTAATTGTGTTGGTCAGATTTTCAAAAAGAGTAGTAGTAGGAAATCTTTACTTATTCTTCACTTTAATGCAAATATTTCAAAGATATCACCCATCAGTTTATAGCTGTTATACATTTTCTGGTAGTGAACTTTTATTAAGTTAAGAAATTACTTTTTATTCTGTTTTCTAGTTTTTTTCCTGAAAGGGTGTAGATTTTTATCAAAAGCTTTTTTTACATTTCATCAGTTATTTTTCTATTTGACCTAATAATGTTAAAGGACATATCTATTTTTCTTGAATGCTAAACCATCCTTGCAGTCTTCAGATATATCAAACTTGGCCATGCTGTGATATGTTGACAGATTGCTATTCTAATATTTTATTAGTATTTTTGTGTCTATGTTCATAATTGAGATTGTCCTATAGTAGTTCATTTTACTTATGTCCTTTTCTGCTTTTTTTCTTAATTTAGCGTTGTTGTGTCTTAGTCTGTTCAGTCCACTATAACAAATTTCTTTAGACTGGGTAATTTATAAATGACAGAAACGTATTGCTCACAGTTCTGGAGGTTTAGAAGTCTAAGACCAAGATGCCAGCAGATTCAGTGGCTTGTGAGGTCCCGTTTTTCATAGATGATGCTTTTGTTGCTGGGTCCTCAACTCTTTATAATGGTACTTACCCATTCACAAGGGCAAAGCTTCTCTGAGCTAATTACCTCCTAAACACCTCACCTCTTAATACCACCACAATCACAATGGGGATTAGGTTTCAACATGAAGTTTGGAGGAACACAAACATTCAGAACATAGCAAGATATAATCAACAAGTAAAAATTTTAAATATTTGGGGTGTACAATGTAATGTTTTGACATATATATAGCTCAAAACTGTGTATATATATATATGTGTATATATATATATACACATATATATATAAACTAAGCTAGGTTCATTGAAGAACTGAATACTTTTTCTGGAACATTTATTTAAATTAGAGATTATATGTTCTTTGAAAGGTTGTTTTTGTAATTTGGTTGAGGGGGTGGATTTTCAAATATTTATTCAATCTTCTAACAATAATTGAAGGGCTGATCAGATTTTCTGTTTCTCTATGGCTCAGCTTAGAGAGTGTTTTCCATAAGTTTAATTTTATTTTAAAAAGTTATTAATAGTCTTCTCTTTTGATATTTAAAAATCTTCTCATTAAAATGCATTTAATGAAATTGGTGCATACATATCATTACATATCCAGCAAAACCCATAAATTATACAACACCAAGAGTGAACCCTATTGTAAACTATGGGCTTTAAGTGATAATGATGGGTCAATGTAGGGTCATCAGTTGTAACAAATGTACCACTGCGGTGGCGGGTGTTGATAATAGGGGAACACGTGCATGTCTGGGAAAATGAATATGTGGTAATTTTATGTACCTTCTGCTCAATTTTGCTGTGAATCCAAAACTACTCTAAAAATAATCTATTCATTTTTTAAATGTATTTAATTATGGGTGAAGTTAAGTATTCATATATTTAATGGCATTTTAAAGTTTGTCTGTGAACCGTATGTCCATGTTGTTCACTCCTTTTTAATTGAATTGTTAGTGGGTTTTTTCGCGGACTTCTAAGAACTCTCTATATAAATGGAATTAGATTTTTGTCCTATGTTACATTTTTTCACTTCTCTTTTATGTTTAGGATAGCTTTTGTGGTCAGATAATTGAAACTTTTCTGTTTAAATTTATCAGTTTTCCTACATGACTCCTCAGTTTTTCTGTTGCTTAGAAAGGCCTTCTTCAATATTAGATTATTTTATAAACATTCTGTCATATTTTCATTTAGTATTTTTACAATTTTATTTTTTATTCTTAAGTCTTTTACTATCTGGAATGTATTTTAGGGTAAGGAGTCAGCCAATTATACCAACATCAGTTATTGAATAATTTGTTTCCTGGCACATTTTAAATACCATCTAGACAATTAAAAAACTCCTGTATGTATAGGTGTTCTTTCTGGATACTCTGTTGAGTTCCATTGACCAGTTTGTTTTCTTATTATCCAGCCCCAGGTTGTTGAAATTATTATAGTTTGATAATATGTTTTTCAGTAGTTTTCTGGCTAATCTTGTATGTTTATTTTCCAGCATGTTTAAATCGAAAAAGTCCTGTTGGCATTTTCATTTGGATCATAATTAAATTAATACACTAAATTTTAGCCCTATATGTGAATTGACATCTTAAAATATTGAATTCACATATTCAAGAACAGTGTATCTTTCTATTTGTGCAAGTTTTGTTTTATGCTTCTTAGTAATACTTTAACATTTAAGCAAGTCCTCATAGAAATCTTATATATTTTTGTTTAGTTCTGTTTGAAACAGAATCTTTATTTCCATTTATAATTTCTAACAATATGAAAGTTAATCATTTTCTATTTGTAAACTGGTGATGATAATAATCGTTGCTAGCTCCTGGAGATACTACGAGGATTGAATCAAATACAATTAGGTTGGGTGATGCAAAAGTAATTGCATTTTTGCCATTGAAAGCAATGGCAAAAACCGCAATTACTTTTGCACCAACCTAATAAAAGCACTTCACACAGTGCCTGGCACATAATAATCATACAGTGCTACCCAGTTTTCTGTTTCCTTGTCATAGTATCTGGACTCTGCCTCAGTATCCTTGTTGGAAGATAAGACAAGCAATTCCAATCTCTAGTTCAAGAAAAAGTGGTGGCTAGTGATGTAAATGACTCATTCACTAATGATAAGCAATCAAAGCAATTCTCAGAAATCCTCTTCTCTGAATTTCAATCCTTCTGTCCAGATTGCCTAATAAAATACCAGAGCATAATATATTTTCTTCATACCCACTCAACACTTTCCTAATTACTGAGAAGGCAATAATGTGAAATCACTAGCAATGGTTAGGAAATTTTGCCAAGGTGAACAGCTTTGGATTATTATAGAAGGGAATTTGGTAGACTGGACAGATGCTTTCTGCTTCTGTACACCCATGTTAAGTCGTTCCTAGTAGTCTGAGCATTTGGTCCTGACGAGGCCAATCCTTGAAGCTTGAGATAAAGAGAATTTCAATTTTTGATCCCCTTTGGATAGAATGCTCTGGAGTTTTTGCAGTAAGGTACCAAATCTTGGTTGCCTAGAAGCAACAACAATTTATCTAGGGCTGGTGGTTGCAGTATCTAACTCATCCATGCATATCAGCTCTAGCTCACAGGGGCCCCTGAAGGAAATAGGTCTAGCTCTTGGAAGCAAGTACAGCTTTTAACACTGGCCTATATTCTATGATTTTTAGGGTTTTGAGCATGCCTCACTGCCCTTTAGAGTCCTCCTGTCAGCATACAGAGGCCTTTTACTCTGCGATTGAAAAAGATGTCCACAGGAAAAGGATTGCAGTAATGTGAGGTTAATTCAGAACAAAAGACTTGGCTAGCTGGCTAATTTTTATAAAAAGAGGGCCTTGAATGTCTAGAGCAGGTATTACATTGAAGAAAAGTTTCCACAGAGTATTGATAATGGTTTTAAAAGGGGGATGGTTGGTTTGCTAAAGGCAATTTTCTTTAAAGCCAAACTTGAATACACTAATAGTCAAATTAACAAAATCACCATCTTTATTATATCCTGTCATCAGTGTTACTAACTTTATAGATCCATGCAAATGACTATCTGCAAGGCTCCAGAAAATGAACGTATACACATAAGGCCGCTGCTTTCTCATTTATTTAATCCGCATCCTTCTTACCTCGATCCTGCTATACCTATACATTTGGTTACATACCTTGTGCTGAATCTAAGCACATTCTCAGACATTTCTCTTTTTCAATCTGGGCCTCAAGAGCATAAACAAACCCATGAATACCTAATCTTAGATAAGCAACTTTGCTTTGATTCATAGGCAGGCTAAGGGGTGTATCCAGTCTCATTCAGAACACTGAGTGGTTATTTGATTTAAAGCATAAATTGTAACTCTGTCCCCTCATCCTTGAGGATTTACAATTTGGTAAGGCATCACTACGATTGAACCTCGACTTAAATTAATTCATGAAACAAACATTGATGGAATGTCCATAATACATTAGGGACTGTGTAAAGCAATGAGGATATAAGAATGAATGAGGCATGGGCTCTGCTCTCAAGGCAGACTAGTTGAAAGATGATTATAAACATAGTGTTGGAAGTTCTGACCACGGAAATCAGGCAGGAGAAAGAAATAAAGGGTATTCAATTAGGAAAAGAGGAAGTCAAATTGTCCCTGTTTGCAGAAGACATGATTGTATATTTAGAAAACCGTATCATCTCAGCCCAAAATCTCCTTAAGCTGATAAGCAACTTCAGCAAAGTCTCAGGATACAAAATCAATGTGCAAAAATCACAAGCATTCTTATACACCAATAGCAGACAAACAGAGAGCCAAATCATAAGTGAACTCCCATTCACAATTGCTTCAAAGAGAATAAAATACCTAGGAATCCAACTTACAAGGGATGTGAAGGACCTCTTCAAGGAGAACTGCAGACCACTGCTCAACAAAATAAAAGAGGACACAAACAAATGGAATTACATTCCATGCTCATGGATAGGAAGAATCAATATCATGAAAATGGCCATACTGCCCAAGGTAATTTATAGATTCAGTGCCATCCCCATCAAGCTACCAATGACTTTCTTCATAGAATTGGAAAAAACTACTTTAAAGTTCATATGGAACCAAAAAAGAGGCCACATTGCCAAGTCAATCCTAAGCCAGAAGAACAAAGCTGGAGGCATCACACTACCTGACTTCAAACTATATTAAAAGGCTGCAGTAACCAAAACAACATGGTACTGGTACCAAAACAGAGATATAGACCAATGGAACAGAACAGAGGCCTCAGAAATAATACCACACATCTACAACCATCTGATCTTTGACAAACCTGAAAAAAACAAGCAATGGGGAAAGGATTCCCTGTTTCAGAAATGGTGCTGGGAAAACTGGCTAGCCATAGGTAGAAAGCTGAAACTGGATCCCTTCCTTACACCTTATACAAAAATTAATTCAAGATGGATTAAAGACTTAAATGTTAGACCTAAAACCATAAAAACCCTAGAAGAAAACCTAGGCAATACCATTCAGGGCATAGGCATGGGCAAGGACTTCATGTCTAAAACACCAAAAGCAATGGCAACAAAAGCCAAAATAGACAAATGGGATCTAATTAAACTAAAGAGCTTCTCCACAGCAAAAGAAACTACCATCAGAGTGAACGGGCAACCTACAGAATGGGAGAAAATTTTTGCCATCTACTCATCTGACAAAGGGCTAATATCCAGAATCTACAAAGAACTCAAACAAATTTACAAGAAAAAAACAAACGACACAATCAACAAGTGGGCAAAGGATATGAACAGACACTTCTCAAAAGAAGACATTTATGCAGCCAACAGACACATGAAAAAATGCTCATCATCACTGGCCATCAGAGAAATGCAAATAAAAACCACAATGAGATACCACCTCACACCAGTTACAATGGCGATTATTAAAAAGTCAGGAAACAACAGGTGCTGGAGAGGATGTGGAGAATTAGGAACACTTTTACACTGTTGGTGGGACTGTAAACTAGTTCAACCATTGTGGAAGACAGTATGACAATTCCTCAAGGATCTAGAACTAGAAATACCATTTGACCCAGTGATCCCATTACTGGGTATATACCCAAAGGATTATAAATCATGCTGCTATAAAGACACATGCACGTGTATGTTTATGGTGGCACTATTCACAATAGCAAAGACTTGGATCCAACCCAAATGTCCATCAATGATAGACTGGATTAAGAAAATGTGGAACATATACACCATGGAATACTATGCAGTCATAAAAAAGGATGAGTTCATGTCCTTTGTAGGGACATGGATGAAGCTGGAAACCATCATTCTCAGCAAACTATCGCAAGGACAAACACCAAACACCAAATATTTGGTTTTGGTCCCACTCATAGGTGGGAATTGAACAATGAGAACACTTGGACACAGGAAGTGGAACATCACACACTGGGGCCTGTTTTGGGGTTGGGGGGAGGGGGGAGGGATAGCATTAGGAGATATACCTAATGTAAATGACGAGTTAATGGGTGCAACACACCAACATGGCACATGTATACATATGTAACAAACCTGCATGTTGTGTACATGTACCCTAGAACTTAAAGTATAAAAAAAAAAAAAAAGAAGCAGTAAATCAGTAAATGCAGTGGTAGAGAGAAGCATTGTGTTCTGAGGCCCCAGGTTCAGAGGTGATCACCTAGGGGGCTAAGGTGAGAGTCTTGGAGCACAACACAGTTTGAGGTTTGAGCAGAGCAAGAGGATCTGGATGAATGGCCAGAAAATGAGCAAAGATAAAGGGCCAGAAAATGAGAGAAGCTGGTAGAAGAAGACTTCAAAGAAGTCAAAGAAAGAGAGAGAGCAATGTCTCCTTATTTCTTCTAACTCCCAGCTCCTGACCACCACTGTTTTACTCTCTGCTTCCATAAGCTCAACTTTGTTAGATTGCACATATAAGTTAGGTCATGCAGTATTTGTCTTTCTGTGTCTGACTTATTTTACTTAGCATAGTGTTCTCCAAGTTTACTCATCTTGTTGAAAATGGAAAGATTTCCTTATTTTTATGGCTGAATACTTCTGAGGATCTAAAGTACAGCAGAGTAGCTATAGTTAATAATATTGTATGGTTTACTTAAATTGTGTAAGGGAGCAAATTTGAAGTGTCCTCACCCCTCCCTCACACACAGACATACAAAATGATAACTATGGGTGGTGATGGATGTATTAATTACTTTGATTGTAGGAATCAGTACATAATGTATATGTATGTAAAATCATGATGTGTACCTTGAATTCGTGCAATTTTTGTCAATTAAATATTTTAAAATAAAAGGAAGAGAGAGGAGTTTAAGGATTCATCTCACTCTTTTGGTCTAGAGAAAAGGAGCTAATAGTGGGTGTGGTTGCTGGATAAGAAAGTCTCCCTGATGGATGGACTTGATTTACTCAATGAAATAAGAGGCTTAGGCATCCCTGGACAGTGATGGAAGAGATTGAAGAGTAAGATTCATGACAGTCAAGTGTCTGGTCCAAACCATGGTGCCCAGGAGAGAATATGAGGGAAAATAAAGATGACGACTGCTACTACTACTAGTAATAAATATTTGCAAAGTTCTATTCAACAACTCTAACACTTGGAAATTAGGCTAGTGTGTAGAGGGATGGGACATCAGTAAGCAGAGCTCAACAATCTCTTTAGCTTCAGGGCCCTGCTAGGTTATTGAGGTAGATAATATTAGTATTTGGAGCCTTCTCATTTTCCTCTCTAAACAGCTCCACACACACTGTAGGTGCCAAGACTTTAAATTTGACTGCAGATGATGATGATCATGATAAGAAGGAAGAAGAGTTAATACTCATTCAGTGCTTTCTAAGTGACAGACATGGTCCTAAGCTCTTTTCAGGAATGAGAATGGGCTAAATAGATGAGTTAATTCATGGAAAGTGATTATGTATGTATGTGTTTGTGTGTATATGTTCATGTATATGTATGATAAATATAATACAAATGACCTACGTATAACATATAAACTTCACACTGTTTCTAGTGTTTAGTAGGAGCTCTAATTTTTCCCTTTCTTCCTCCATCTTCCTTCTCTTCCTCATTACTCTTCCTAGTCATCCACCAATCCCCTCCCACACTGGAGCTGGGATAAGAGAGGTGAATGCAGAAGGGGTCTGTGTGTCATTGTTGCTGACAAATGACTGGTTAGTGGAAGAGAGAGAAGCCCTTGGAATTGTCTTTGGACTTGGTGTCTAAGAGTTTTCTTCCTATTGAAATTATAATTTCTTCAAGGACAGTAGCTATGTGGTACCCTTGTTGTGTTCCCCATAAGCACCAGCATGGTGGTGGGTATGTAGTAGGTACTCAATAAACTCTTTGAGGCCAGTCTCGGCTTGGGGGTCCTGGTTATTGGCACCATCAACATTTTCAGTGATCACTGAGGCAGGTCTTGGAGCCACAGCTGACAGGTTCCAATGAGCTCACAGACAGCAGCAGCTGGAGCCACCCAGTAGTGGCCCTCTTGGCAGTGCTCTGCAGGGGATAGGCCACCAGGCCAGGAGGCCAAGGACTTGCATTCCAGAGGCAGCTCACAGGTAACGCTGTTCAAATCTCTCTACTACCTGGATTCTTATTTGTAAAGTGAAGGTCATAATCTTTACTTTGCCTCCTTCATAGAGGTTCTCTAAGGATCCAGTTTGGATGAGAGTCATGAAAGCTCTTTGCAAAGTGAAAGGCATGCAGATGTGAAGGGATGATAACTCCCAGAGCGTGGCCTTGATTCAGAAGAAGACAGGAAGGGAGAGTCCCTGCATAACCCAGACAGAAGGGGGCTTTAATTTGTTTTCCTCCTGTTAAAACAACTTCCATGATTCAAGCTGGTACTGCATGTGGAACATTCTGTCCTTTGAGATCTTCAGGGACAGGAGAATTTGCAAAGCAGTGAGGCTGCAACCAGCTCATGATGTAATGAAAAATACATGAAATATTGTGGGGTTCATAATTGTGCTTCTTCAAACATTCCCTGCCTAATAGCAGTCAAGTGAGATAGGTAGCTTGTCCTCTGCTCAATTCCCTAATAAATCTTTCCCTTCTTGCCCCTGATCTTGCAATGTGGTCAGGCCCCACAGCTCTGTGTTGGACCATATTATCTTCTCTCCCCCTCCCTTTTCCCTTTCCCTTCCCATTTTCCCCTCCCTTTATCCTTCCTCCTCCTCCATGCATAACCTTAACCATTCTCTTGGCCTCACGTAACCACCTCCCAATTCTGTGCCACCTTCACTCTAGAACTATAATGTGAGCCATACACCTGAAACTCTACTCAGATCCCCCCACAGGCCCCTCACAGTCACCCTCTCCAGAACCTAACTTTCCCTTCTTCCCACTTCAAATCTGCTGCTTCTTCAGTTTGACGGGAGTGTTATAGGCCTTCCCTTGTAAAAGGGCAAACAAGATAGCCACCATCAAGGACTTGGAGCAACTCAGTGTTATGTATGGATACCCTCGAGGCACACATTTCACTGGACATGAGGTCTAAGATTGGGAACATGAAAAAGACATAGATTGGTTTCACTTGCCATATAACACCCAAGCAGCAGACTTAATTGAAAGGAAAAAATGGCATTTCAAAGGCACAACTGTGAACACTTCTGCAATCCAATACTTTGCATGGGTGGGTGAAGGTTTTGCCTCAGGTCACTAAAAACCTTAATTTGGTTTAAACAAATACCGGGCTGGCAGCATACCAATGACTCAGAACGACTGCAGGAGAAGGTCCATTGACCATAGTTGTCAAGAAAGTCCAACCAGACACATTTCTACCACAGCACATAAAAAGCCTATGACAAATGTTATTTAGGACTCCTCAAGACCTTGAACTAGGGGAGGGGGAGGGGACATGAATGGGGGTTGGACTGGCAACTTCCCTGAGGTTGGATAGGATATTTCTTGCCAGAGAGTGAGGAATTCCCCTGCCAGATAACGTGGTCTCCATTGATACTGCTGGAGTCCCAGCCAAAATGCTCCACATAACCATACACTGGAACAGGGCCCCTTTTAAAGTTGGCCATTTGACATGGTCTTTTGCTGCCCCTGTAATCTTACAGATAATATCAGTACCTTCTCCTTTCAGGCAACATGTTTGGTATGGACTCTCAGCCCATAATCCTTAGACCACCTGTTTCCTAACTGAGATGTCATAGCTCTCATAGTTATGACAGTCATTCTGTTTGATGGGGAAGAAATGCCCTACCAAGTACTTACTAAACACTTGTATTTCTACCCATCTACCTGTGAATGTACCTGTATTTTTTCTCTTCTTTCATGTTACTGTGAAAGAACCATCTCTGCTCCCTATCTAAGGCCAAACCCTCCATTTGTGCACTATCTCCCAACACCTCTAGGTTACTCAAAGATATTGCTCTAGCAATTTTCTCTTAATCTCCTGCATCAGTGGAGCTCTACTGGTTCATTCCCAGCACTATATAAACATACTGTTATCACTCACATCTTAAAGAAACTTTCCCTTGACCCCACTTGCCATAAATGTATGGCCTCATTTCTCTGGTTCCCTTCTTAACAAAACTCCTCAAAGGAGTTCTCTACTTACTGTCCCCAATTTTCTTTGGAGCCCACTCAAATCAGGCTTTTGCCTCGATCACTCCATCAAAACTGTTCTTTGTAGAAGTCACTAATGACCTCCACTTTGTTACATTAAGTGATCAATTCCTATTCCTTATCTTTCCTTACCTATCAGAAACAATGAACACAATCAACATCCTTTCTCAAATACTTTCTTCACTTGACTTCCAAGAGTCCTCACTCTCTGGTTCTTCTCCTATCTTACTGGTTGTTCCTTCTCAGTCTCTGCTGATTCCTTTTCCTCCCTCTGTCCTCCAATCTCTGTGATCTCCATGGCTCAGTCTCACAGTCTTCTCTTCTATTTGTACTCGTTGCCTTGGCAATCTCATCCAGATTCATGGTTTTGAATATTAACTATATAATGATGATTCCAAGTTTATATCCTAGGCCCAAACCTTTTCCCTAGTTTGCAGACTCATACTTCCAAAATGGAATTCCCCATCTTCAACTCCAAACATGTTTCTCCTATAGTCTCTCCCATCTCAGTAAATGGCAATTCCACTGTCATCCTTGGATCTTTTCTCACTCTCTCTTTCTTCCCCCTTTTTTTCCCACCCCACCCTGTTTATCTCTCTCCACATCCAATTCATAGGGGAAATTATGTTAGCATTACCTTCAAAATATCCAAAATTCAACTATTTCTCATCATTTTTATTGCCATGACTCTGGTCCAAAACATGATGTCATGTTTGGATCATTGCAATAGCCTCATCTTACTTGACTCTCTGCTTCTCTTCTATACTCCTACATTCTATTCTCCACACAGAAGCATAAATGAACATTTTGAAACATAAGCCAAGTCATGTCACCCCTCTGCTTATAACCCTCCAATGGCTGCCATTTCACTCAGATGAAAAGCCAAAGTCCTTATAATGGCCTTCAAGATCCTACCTAATCTGGCACCAGTCCCCATCCTTTATGTACTCTGACCTTATCTCCAACCACTCTCTTCTTTTTCTTACTTTGTTCTAACCACATTGATCTCCTGACTCGTTTTACAACATGGTGGTTATATTCCTGCCTAAGGGCTTTCTCTCTTGTTACATTTGCCTAGAAGGATCTTCCCCCACGTGTCCACATGGCTTGTTCTCTCAATGAATGAAAGAACCAAAACACGAATGTATGATAAATAACTTTCTGAAACCCTCACAATACCCAAGCCCTTAAAGCAATTCCTTTATATATTTTTATTTTATATATACTCTCTTAGGGCAGATTGAACTCTCACCTATAATCTCATGACTCCCAAATCTCTATTTTCAACCCAGATATCTCTTACCAAACTTCAGATCCACATTTCTAGCTAGCTACTAGCAGAGCAATTGCAAAAGTTTCTGGGAGAAGTGGGAGGTATAATCCAGTTGGTGCTCTGCTCACCAGGCCCTGTACCAGCCTGTATCAAACTGGATAAAGAGGTGTTTTTTTCTTCACACAAAGGTACTATCTGTCTGTCCACTAAGTCTTGTGTTCAGGGCTCTGTCTGGAGAGAGCATCTTGTTAGATAGCCACACAAAAATTCTAAAAAGGCTAACTGTAAGTCTGCCTGCTGGGCATCACTGCCTGAATGTTCCACTGGCACCTCAAACACATGTACAAAAAGAGCTCATTATCTTTTCTACCTCTACTGCAAATCCACTCCTGTTCTAGACTTCCAAATATCCCTTAATGGCATAATCATTTTCCCAGTCATTCAAGCTCCAAACTCTGGCCTTATCCTCCCACTCCTTCCTGCCGTTTGAATGCAGAGTTTCAATTTCTCTCAGTTCCATCTCCGTGACATTTCTTGTCTCTGCACCCCTAGGATCTATTGTCTCCAGTTGAATATAACCATGTTCTAACTAATTCTGAGAGCTGCTTAGGAAATTGCCTCAACAAATAGCTATGAAAGTTGTGGGCTACAGATGGATAATAGTCCATGTAAACTGTCAGCTGGCATAAGTATAAAATCTAGGAAAAGACTGGATAAGGAGTATCTCCTTTTCATGTCCCTTATCTGAATAGGAGTGAGTAATGCAGAGTGATTTATAGATTTCCTCAGAATATTAAAATATGAATTCATAGCCCATTCCCATTTTACAAATCAGCTTAGTAAACCACATTCAACTTTTCTAAACTTTTGTTTTCTCATCTGTAAAACTGAAGGCAATGATTTAGAGGGACCTTTAGTTTCCTCTTGCTCTTACAGCCCAAATATCTCAACTTTTTGCTCTAAATCACACTTGGTATCAGGGTAAAAAAAAGAGGAGAAACTAACACTTATTAAGTATCTCAATACTTAACACTTATAAAATGGACCAAACTCTTTATATCCATTTTGTAATTTATTACTCATCACAATTATGGAAGGTAGATAATGTTATGCCTGTTTTTCAGTTGAAGAAACTGAGGTTTGGCCAATTTAATTATTTTTTATGGTCACAGACTTGATAAAGACTGGGCCTAACCACAGGTCTCTTGCCTTGAAAGCCCACCTCCCAGATACAGATGTAAAATGTACTCCTGTATATTCTTTTCACTTAGTTGCCTTTCTTTGATCTCAGTCCTCAAGACAATTCATTTTTCAAATCAAGTGCACTGAACCAATCACCTTAGTGTCAGTTATAATCATTTGAACTCTGGAGCTCACTTTTCTCTCCCTCTTACTGTCCAATTCACTTCTAGCCACACATTGCAGTAATGTTGAAACATGGTGTTCCCTCCAGGGAAAAACATAATTGTTCATAGCTTTGTGGCATAAGCAGGATTAATTATGGAGAAGGATAATTAGAATAGGTAGTATCATTTATAATATCATTCAAGTCAAATTATTGGCAACATCCTAAGAAAGGACTCACTCTTTTCCTCTTCTGCTCTAATGAAGTCCCCTTTTTCAGACCCCTGGAAAAACTCTCTGTTGGGAAATTTCACCTTTAGATGAAGTTCAATCACATCCATTGAGGTCATATCTACCAGTTGGAAAGTGAAGGAATCAGCATAATTTGCCAGGCACTTTAAAGTCTTCTTACGTGGCATAACTGGTTTGAAGGATTGCTTTAAAAATTACTAATGGATTAATCAAAGTGCTTTCTACAAACTTGTAAAAACCACAAAGCCTTAACTAGCTAAAGATATAGTCACATATCTGGATATCTGTTTTTCAATTCCATTGATAACAAATGACTTTTGGATTAACATAATGAGGAGCAGGATACTTTAAGATAATACTAGTCTTTAATGCCTTTTCTCAGGTTTGTTTCTATATCAGCAGCATTACCCAGCACCCAGCAGGATCCCTAAGGAGGGAGATGTAGGACAGGTAAACTTTGTTAAGAAAAAGAGAGGATGTGGACCTTGGGGCAATGGTTCCAGTTGCTATAACTGAATTAGCCTATTATTTCATTCTCTTTTCTGTCTTTTCAGTGCCTAGTCTCACTCATCTAGACAGCTAGCAGACAGCCCTGTGGCAATCACTGAAACGGAAATGGGTTGACAATTAGGAGGTGGCATGATGATGCTTGGTGGCTGGGAGGGAAAAGGAGTTCTGTTGGGAGGAAGGAGGGTGCATCCAAAGTAAAGGAGGCTCTCTCAAGCCTTAACCTAGAGAAGTAAGTAATGTGAAATGCTGCTTTTTTACTGTCACAGGCTGTAAAGAAGAGGCATTTGAAGGGCAATCGGCTTTTTTTCAAGGCCATTCAGTAACACAGAGGTAACTGATGCCTAGGCCAGCTGTGCCTATTAGACGTCATAGTTCCTAAGGAGTAAAGAAGCACAGTCAAGAATCAATGAGGTCCCCACTCTAAGATATGGAACTGCTGTGAAAGATTTGGTCCTGGAGACAGAAAAAAAAAAAAAAAAAAAAAACCCACAATGGAACAACAGTAGTCCACATCAGTTAGGGTTTGCAGGAAAGAGATAAGAACAGCACAATGGGAACTAAGCTAATACTCTGATGGGATTAAGGAAAACAAGAAGGGCTTTCAGAGACAAATGGATAGAGTGGGAGGATCAAGCAATTCATATATAAGACAGAGTGTGAGATTAGCAATGACTGAAAAATGGCTGAAAGCCTGAGCTCAGTTTCGAGATCGATCTTTTGAAAAGAACAAGATAAGCAAATAAATCATTGACAGTTTGAATATGTTGAAGATCTGGCATGAAGGGGTATAGACCAAATTGCCAAAAGCGAACTGCATGCTTTGTTCAAAGACCTACTCATTCTCATAAATAATTTCTTTTGCCTGTGCTTTTTAGATGTTTGCACATAGTGCTACCTTGTTTCATTTATTCATTAATCATTTAATAAAAACCTCTTGTGTACCTAGAACTGAGGGGGAAAGCTCTGAGCAATTAAAAAAAAAGAAGGCATACATAATTCCTGCCCTTGAGAGTTTATAATATTGTTTTAGAGACAAGACTCTCAATTATTTTTAAAATTTGGCTTTATTGAGGTATAATAAACCAGTAAAAATTGTATATATTTAAAGTATACAATATGATGTGTTTTCTTATTTAGTTTTTTTAAAAACAATCCATTTTGAATTTTTGTGGGTGCATAGTAGGTGTATATATTTATGGGTTACATGAGATATTTTGATACAGGCATACAATACATAACAGTCACATCAAGGTAAATGGGGTATCTATCACCTCAAGCATTTATCCTTTCTTTGTGTTACAAACAATCCAATTATACTCTTTTAGTTATGTTAAAATGTAACAATATGATGTTTTCATATGCATATACACTGTGAAATGATTACCACAATCAAGCTAATTAATATATCCATCACCTCACATAGTTACCATTTGTGTGTGTGTAGTGAGAACATTTAAGATCTACTCTCTTAGCAAATTTCGAATGTACAATACTGTATTATTAACTATAGTCATCATGCCATGCATTAGATCTGCAGAACTTATTTATCCTGCGTGCATAACTGAAACCGTACTCATCAGCCAACATTTCCCCAAAGATTTTCAGCTATTGAACAATTAAAAATTGTGGTAATAGAGAAATTTTAACATAATTTAAGCATATCATGGGTTAAATAGTTATTTTAGTAGGCTGGCCATAAATGAATGATTATATCTAACATTTTTTTCTTTATGGAAACAAACCCTGAGTGATAAATTTGAGGCAAAAGGGTCATTATGAGTTAGGATTTGTCTGCGCAGTGGATCCTAAGCTGAGTCTGGATGAATGGACATGGAGGAGGGGGAAAGCAACAGGCACAGATGCAGAGGCAGGAATTGCAGAAGGTACACTTGATAGCAGTAAGTAGAAAAGTTTGATTGGAATGTGGAGTTCATGTTGGGAGGTAGAATGGGCTGTGAATGTGGAGGCCCTTGAATGTCAGTCTGAACATATTCACTTCAAGTCTATAGGGCTTTTGAGTAGAAGAATGGCATGATCAATTTTATATCCTTTTTACTTAACAGTATAGAATGTCCATTTCACATACCATGTAGTCTTTGTAAAGACTCAATTTTAAGTTGAGACAATTAAATAAAATTAAGATATTAAGATTTATACTTTTTTCCTAGAATTTTGTCTTCTAGTGTCCATGTGGCCAATTAGACTCTAATTTTTTTTTATAATTAAGAGAATTATGGTGACATTCTCCCTGGCCTAAGTGTGCCTATTGTAAATGCTTTATATTTATTAAATCATTTAGTCCCAAAAATATCTCGTGAGAAAGATGCTATTATTATCCCTACTTTATAGCTATATACCAAGGTGAAATCTCATGATGAAAGAAGCATTCTGTTTAACAAAGTGATTTTCAACTTGTATAGACAATCACCATGCGGCCATAACAAATTTCACAATAACTGTCAAAACAAGATGTTCTTTTCCACTACATGAAGAAAGAACTTTCAGGAAGGTGAATTGTAGCATCCTGTAAAGTCATACATATCTGGGATTAAACTCTGACTCTGTCACTTCCTAGCTGGGTCACTTTGAACAAGTTTCTTCATCTCTCTGTGCCTCAGTTTCTTCATCTATAGAATGAGGAGAAACATTCATACCACATAGAGTTGATGATTTTTTTTTTTTTTTGAGATGGAGTCTCCCTCTGTTGCCCAGGCTGGAGTGCAGTGGCGTAATCTTGGCTCACTGCAAGCTCCGCCTCCCGGGTTCACGCCATTCTCCTGCCTCAGCCTCCCGAGTAGCTGGGACTACAGGCGCCCACCACCACGCCTGGCTAATTTTTGTATTTTTAGTAGAGACGGTGTTTCACCTTGTTAGCCAGGATGGTCTCAATCTCCTGACCTTGTGATCTGCCCGCCTCGGCCTCCCAAAGTGCTGGGATTACAGGCGTGAGCTACCGCGCCCAACCAAGTTGATGATTAATGAACATCATGCATGCAAAGATTTCAGCACAGAGTCTGGCAAGTAGTAAGCATTCAATAAGTTCCATCATTTGTTGAAAGTGGTGCTGACAGTTCTGAGTGCAAACTGCCTGGAAGGTAGCAGAGTGGGGTGGTTAAGATAAGAGCATGACTTCTGGAGCTAAGCTGCCTTGACTTGAATACCAGTTGTGCTTTGTGACCTTGAGCAAGTAACTTAACCTTTCTGTGCCTGAATGTTCTCATTTGCAAAATGAGGATAATAATGATAATTATGTCACAGAATTGTTATGAGGGTTACATAAGTAAATACATGTACAGAATGCTAAAACACTACCTGGCACATAGCAAATCTCAACAAGTGTGAGCCACTATTATGTGCCAGGTACTATGTTGAAGGTTTTATATGCTTTAACTCATTTAATCCTCAAACACTCTGTGAGATAGGTATTAGTACAGTATTATCCCCATTTTATAGAAAGGCAAATTGAGGCTCAGATAAATTAAATTCTAGTTAGTAGTGTGTCTATGATCACACCACTAGCAAATAACTCCAATCAGGTCTGTCTGACTCTAAAGACCTTAATCCTCTTGACTACTGCTCTATATAGTAAGGCCTGTTTTTCACAGGAGAGTAGTTCAAGTGTGGTACACCATAAGAGAATTGGAATGGAGGAGAGCTGGTCTGGAAAGGAAGGTGAATTGGATGTGAGATATATTGAGTTCGAGAAGCTGGAGGGAAATTTCAGGGGAGGATGTCTTGCTATTTCCTGTGGAAATCTGTGTTCCCATTAGAAGTAAGCAGTCTGTTCTGAGCCCATGTTATAAACACTTTAGGGGATTTGCAGTGCTTAATTTAAAAGCTTGGGCAGTATTTTAAAATAGCAATAACACAAACTTCTACTTTAAAGGGCAAAGTGCTACTGGTGAAAAATGAAGAACAAACCTCCTGACTGAGAAAGGTCAGCTCTGCCAAACAAGTACGAAAGCAAGAATCAAACAGGAAGAAAGGTTAGGAACACAAAAGCGCAGAGGTAGGTGGCATTGTAAAAGACTCATAGTTCACATCCACAGCTGTAAAGTAGAGCTCAGAAGGCAGGGCACCAGCAGGAAGAAAAGATCCTAGGGTCTTAACCACTTGACAGTACTTGGTTAGGGTCTCCTTTTCCACATGGTCTTGACTTACAGGTTAATCCTTATTTTTCTGCTTTCTTTTAGAGTGTTGCAATATTAAAGTCTACTTTTTGAGACTCACTTCTTCAGTTCTAGAAAATTCCCATAATCAAATAAGAATAGTCTTAGTGGGATAATGATCATAACTGAAACTAGCAGAGTACATGTCATGAGCTAGACCCTATTCTAAGTGCTTTACATATATTAACTCATTTAGTCCCAGAAATATCTCATGAGACAGATGCTATTATTATCCCCACTTTATAGACAATAAAACTGAGCCACAGAGAAATAGGGAATTTACCAAGATCATACACCTAATATGTGGAAAAGCCAAGCAGTTTGGCATCAGCATCTACGGGTTAACTGCCACGTTATACTGCCTCATTGAGCCATTTTCTGCAGTAAGCTAACATTTTAATTTGATCTCATTTTTTCTCTTTCTTTCTTGCTTTTTTTTTTTTTTCCAGTCTGGTAGCTAGCTGAGAGCGGGGTAAAGAAAATCTTGCAGTCACCATATTCACATGCGAGAACTAGCCATGGAACTGAATAAAGTTCTGGGCCTCCCTCTAGGGGAAGAGATATTGTGGTTAAAATTGAGAGTGTGTCAGTTAGATTAGCTTTGGACTAGCCCTAGAGTTAACTGTTGTCTTTTCCCAGAAATTGTGATGGTGGACTCTTTTACCATCATCTTCTCCGATAGGTAATTCAATGTAGTGTTTAAGAGCATCAGCAATGAAGGCAAACAAAAAGGTTCAAATGCAAGCCCTGAAATTTTCTAACTATGTAACCTTATGCGAGTTACTTAAATTTTCTGTGTATCAATAATACTGGTAAAATGAGGAGAAAACGAGTATCAGTCTCACCGGATTGTTGGAAGGAAAAATGAAATAAACCAGTGTTAAAAAGAAAAAAACCTGGCCTGACGTGGTGGCTCATGCCTGTAATCCCAGCACTTTGGGAGGCCAAGGCGGGCAGATTGCTTGAGGCCAGGAGTTTCAGACCAGCCTGGACAACAGAGATACCCTTTCTGTATAAAAAAAAATGAAGATTAGCCAGATGTGGTGGTATGAACTTGTGGTCCTAGCTACTCAGGAGGTTAAGGCGAGAGGATTGCTTGAGTCCAGGAGTTCAAGGCTACAGTGTGCTATGATCCCACCACTGCACTCCAGCCTGTGTGACAGAGCAAGACTCCATCCTCCACTTTTTTAAGAGTAAGCAAGCTCATATTGCTGTTATTCTCTCTAGGGAGTGTTTGGCAGCCTCAGTAGTTGGTTTCCAAGCCTGACTAGCCATTCTTTTTTTCTTCCTGTCATTTTTCAGAAGGTCTTTAAGGTCTCCATTCATTTGTCTCCATGGATTTTCTTTCTCCTCCATTTGGCTTTCAATTTAAAGAAAGAGAGCATTTATTCAGACCACTCAACCTTTTGACAGCTTCCATCCTTCCATCATATTCTTTGCTAAGACGTGTTAGTAAATTTAATCGTTTTTGCTTGAGGGCAGACTGAAAGGAAACATGAACAAGAGATTGATGTTGAAAAGCCACCAAGATGGCAGTATCTATTTTCTTAATGAAGCCTTTCCCAAAGTGTGTTATGTGTAATTAGTCTCATGAGATGCTCCCAAGAGTAAAAACAAAACAAAAACAACCCAGTTTACATTGTCAAAAAGCTTGGGAAATAGAGCATGCTGTATTTTCTTCTTAGAGAGTCATACTCCCCACTAGTCTATTAAAAGCTCTAAATAGTCTGCAATAAGCAAATATGTTTAACTCTGTCTTATTCAATACTTACACAAATTAATTTGACCTCAGAACCTGTTTTCTACTCTCAGAGTGGGAAATTACCTGGATGCAATGGTCTTCTCCAAGTATGCTACCAGGCAGGTAGCATAGCATAGAGGGCACACAGCAGAAGGGCTCAAAGACCAAATTAAGGTGACTGCATCATATGATTTATCAAATTAATTTTAATATATGGTGAAAAGCAAATGAAAATAGATTGGTATTTTAACATACTGGAGATAGAGGTCTGCTAGTGCAGCTCATCAGTTCATTGAAATCAAACTATTAAACTGGTCATTTGTTTTCAGATAATAGTAAAAAAAATTAACATTATTAAGTACTAGGTACTATTGTATGTTTTTTGCATATACTTAACAGAGCCCTAGTTGTGCATATTTTGTGATATGGAAATGAATAAAATGTTCAGTTTCATAAAACAGACATTTAGTTTTGTCAAAGTCAATGGTTTGAGCACCGAATGTTTCTTATGATTATCCCTGTAGATTTTGTTAAGAAGGAAATAAAAAATAAGACTTTGGGGCTCAAGGTGCTGGTAAATTAAACACACAGACCTAATTTCATTCCAAGAGTTTCCCCCATGTCTTGGGTCCAGGGAAAGCTTCTGAGGTAATACAGATGACATCAAGGGAGATGTACAAAAACTGGGAGGATTGAGTAAATCTATGCATACTGAAGTCAGAAACCTCCTGCTTTCTTCCCATACTCAGCTCTCAAAATGTTGGCAACCAGATTTTTATACTGCTGGCTGGAGATTAGAATCACGTTCTCTGGGAAATCTGAGCACTTTAAAAGGAAAGACCCAAAGATATTGACCTTGGAGAGTTCATCAAACCTGAAATGCCTCTGAACTACAATCAAATGATTTTTAAAAACAATATAAAGCCCAAAAGGATAGAGAGAACTGGAGGGAATACAAGAGCAATATTTTGGAAGATGGAAAGCAAATAGATCAAGGTTAACTGAATTAGCAAACCTAAGAAAGATGAATTTTAGACAGTCAGTGGGGAAAGCGGAGAGCCAACCTGGTTCGCCATGCAGAATCATCAAAAGGCTCACAATTGGAGGCAACTTGTACCTCTGAAACTGGGGATAAAGGGGAAGCTATGATAAGGAAGATTGATTGAAAGCTGTTTAAAAAGTAAATCCCCAAGTGTGCTCACTTACTCCATGCTTCCAGGCAGCTGCCCCCTCTACCTCAGCAGAAAACTAGAGATTTATTCTCTAGAGATGGTAAAACAGAGGGTATCTGGACTGTGGAATGCCATAAACAGCTGACAGCTTGAATATCATAAGGAACATGGGATTAAATAAAATGAATCCTGAATACTGAAATCCCAGCCTTTTCTTCCTTCTAGATTCTGTTCAGAAAAAGGATTCAAAAGTTGAAGTAAGGCTAAAAATTTGCAGCACATTTTTTTGATGTTATATAGAGCACTGTTTAACAAGCCCATCCAAGGATGATTTAAGTGTTCAGGGAAATATACCTCTATTTGATGTTACTTACTATTTTCTCTTAAACTCAGTGAAGATTTATGTTTACTTGAAGATTTTACCCAAGAGAAATATAAATAATTTTTGTCCATTAGAAAATATAACTCTAAAGATTGTTGGTTTTAATTGTCTTATCGGACATTCACCAGTTGCATATGTAACCTAACAATCTGACTTTAAAATTTCTTCTTAAATGACTATAAATAATGTTCAGCTTCTCAAAATATTATTTGAATCTGTTTGACCCTAGATTTGTATATAGGAATCATGTTTTTAATTTTTGAACTTTATATGTTGGCAGTTTCTAAAACATTGGCAGTCAGGCCTTTACCTCTAGGTAGGAAATTGAAAGAGTATTCCCTGGGAAATTTGACCACCCAAAGAGGAAAAACCTAGAGATACTGACATCTAAATGTTCTAACAAATGGCCCAGGCAGGTCACTTTGTATTTAGGATAACCATATAATTTATCCTACAAAATGGGACATTTTTGAGTAAAAGGAGGCTTTATTAGTTATTACTGGTTATTACTGAACAATAAGCATAACCTGGGACTGTCCTGGTATTACCAGGACATATGACTATACTACCTATAGTGAAATTCTCAGTCAACAATCCCATTCATGCTGTAAGAACTTCCAATCAGCTTTTTAGCTGGCCTATATATGAGCAGAGAACCAAGTACCACAAGGATTTGATGAAAGCTTCTAACTTGAAAGACAGATCAAAACAAAGAAACAGTTAAAGGCAATGTGGAGGGAACAGAGGCTATACAAGGATAATAAAGTTTCCTCCTCCCAAAAAAAAAGATACTACCATAAATAACATTAGAGAGCTAAAATTTGCGTTGAATTTATGAAATGAGAAAAGGATGATTTAAAAAGAAGAAAACAACATTTAGAGAGCAGCTGCAATGAAACCTTTGAAAATTTCAAACATAACAGCAAAAATGAGTGAAAGGATTAGAAGATAAAGTTATGGAAATCTCACAGAAAGTAGAGCAAAGACAAAAGATGGAAAATAAGAGAGAAAAACAATAAGAAAACTGAAGGACTAATTAAGTAGGCCCACATCTAGATAATACAAAATTTAAAGAGAGAGAACAGAGAAAATGGAAAGGAAGAAATCATCAGTAAAATAAAACAAGAAAAGTTTCCCATGCTGAAGCATATGAATTTCCATATTTAAAGGGCCAAATTAGTGCCCAGCACAATGAATGAAAATGGGCCCACAGAAAGACACATTATTATGAAATTTTATACTATTAGGTACAAATAGAAGATCTTACAAGCTTTTGGGATGCGGTAGGGTAAGGTCATATATTAAGCATAGAGGAATGAGAATGATTTAACAGAGAAACAAGAAAACAAAAGAAAATGGAGCCATGTTTTTTAAATCTGGTGAAAAAATATTTCTAACTTAGCAACCCAAACTATTAATCAAGTATGATCTTGTTTACTCAAAGAGTAGAATAAATATATTTGTAGACATGAAAGATCTCAAAATAATTTCTTTCCATGCACACTTTCTCTAGTAGGTACTGAAGGATATAGTCCACCAAAATGAGGAGGTTAACTTAAAAAAAAATGTAATATATGAAACAGGATCTGAAACATAGGAGAGATCTCAGAGGAATCTCCAGGTTGAAGCTAAAGGGAGAAATCAATGTAACATGGTGTATTAAAGCAGAGAGGGCAACTTATCCAGATTGTTGAACAGAAGATTCTGAGATAAACTTCTCCATGAATTTGATATTGATTCAATAATTGATGCATACTATCTTGAGAGTAGATTTTGACAACTGGAGAAAGTTTGGGGTGGAATTAATGATAAGTATGTACTACATTAAGCAAACAAAAAAACTCCAGTAATTATTAATTGCAGGGAAAATAAGAACTTGTGCAACAAAGTTAAAGTAATCAAAGGTTACGATACTGCCAAAATAATGTAAACACTGATCTAAACCAATTATACTGAGATTTTGAAGAGATGGAAAATGTGTATGTTTTTGGTGGGTAGGGAAAAAAAAGAATGCCAAATCTTCATCCTCCAACCTGGAAAATCAATAGATACTGTCTAAAACTGAAAATCTATGAGTCAGCAATACAAACATGTAAATTTGGAGATACAGATATATGCATAAAAAGAATCAGAGTCATTATCCTAAGTGAATTAGCACAGGAACAGAAAACCAAACATCACATGTTCTCATTTATAATTGGGAGCTAAACATTGGGTACTCATGGACATAAGGATGGGAAAAATAGACACTGGGAACTACTGGAAGAGGAAGAAAGAGAGGGGGAAAGGTTGGAAAACTAACTATTGGATACTATGCTCACTACTTGGGTGATGGGATCATTCATAACACAAACCTCAGCGGTATGCAATATACACAGGTAACAAACCTGTACATGTATCCACTGAATCTAAGGTACAAGTTTTTTGTGTGTTTGTTTTTCTTTCTTTGTTTTTTTGAGATGGAGTCTCACTCTGTCACCCAGGCTGGAGTGAAGTGGTATGATCATGGCCCACTGCAGCCTAGACCTCCCAGACTCAAGCAGTCCTCCCACCTTAGCTTCCTGAGTAGCTGGGACCAAAAGCATGCACCACCATACCTGTCTAACTTATCTTTATATTTTGTAGAGATAGGGTCAGTCTTACCATGTTTCCCAGGCTGGTCTTGAGCTCCTGGCCACAAGCAGTCCTCCCTCCTTGGCCTCCCAAAATGCTGGGATTACAGGTGTGAGCCACCAAACCCGGCCCTAAAATGAAAGTTAACAAAAAACTCAGAGTGAATATATTTAACTTATTTTTATTTATTATTTATTTATTTATTTTTCAGTGACAAATACACATTGTGTATATTATCATGTACAACACGTTGTTTTGAACTATGTGTGCATTTTGGGATGGCTAAATTGAGCTAACTAACATATGCATTACCTCACATACTTCTCATCTTTTGTGGTGAGAACACTAAATCTACCCCCTTGGCAATTTTCAAGAATAGAGTACATTGTTATTAACTATTGTCACTGTATTTTTATAATAGATTTCTTAAACTTATTTCTCCTATCTAAATGAAATTTTGTGTCCTTTGACCAACATCTCCTGAACCATTCCTCCAACCACTGTTACCCAACATTCTATCTGTACTTTTATGAGTTCAACATTTTTAGATTCAACATATGAGTTTGATCCTGTGGCATTTGTCTTTCTGTGCATGGCATATTTTACTTAATGTAACATCCTCCAGGGTCATCTATGTTTTCGCAAATGACAGGATTTCCTTCTTTTTTACGGCTGAATAGTATTTCAATGTGTATATATTCCACATTTTAAAAATCCATTCATCCATTGATGAACACAGGTTGATTCCGTATTTGGGCTATTGGGAATAATACTTCAATGAACATGTCTTTGTTTAGATATATTTTTGACATACTGATTTTGTTTCCTTTGGACATATACCCAGTAGTGGGACTTTTGGATGATACAGGAATTCTATTTCTGTTTTTTTAAGGAACCTCCACACAGTTTTCCAAAATGACTCTACTAATTTACATTCCCACCAACAGTGTGTAAGAGTACCCTTTTCTCCATATTCTCACCAGCATTTGTTGTCTTTCATTTTTTTTACAGGAGCCATTCTAACAGGTGTTGAGGTGCTATCTCATTGTGATTTTAATTTGCATTTCTCCAATTATTACTGATTTTGAGCATTGTTTCATATACCTGTTGGCCATATATATGTCTTCTTTTGAGAAATGTCTATTTGGGTCCGTTACTCAATTTTAAAATTATTTGTTTGCTTACTATTGGGTTGTTTGAGTTCCTTATATATTTTTACTATTAATCCCTTTTCAGATACATGGCTTACAAATATATTTTCCCATTTTGTAAACTGGCTCTTCACTCTGTTGATTGTTTCCTTTGCTGTGGAGAATTTTTAGTTTGATATAATCTCACTTGTGTATTTTTGCTTTTATTTCTTGTGCTTTTGTGGTCATATCCAAAATATTGTATCTCAGACCAATGTCATGGAGCTTGCATCCTGTTTTCTTGTAATAGTTTTACTGTTTTAGGTCTCACATTTAAGTCTTTAGTCCATTTTGACTTGATTTTGTAGATGGTGTGAGACAAGAGTGTAATTTCATTCTTCTTCATGTGGATATCCACTTGTCTCAACACCATTTATTGGAGAGACTGACCTTTTTCCATTGTGTATTCTTGGGACCTTTGTTAAAAATCAATTGACCATAAATGCATGAATGTATATCTGGGCCTTCCATTCTGTTCCATTGGTTTATGTGTTTGTTTTTATGCCAGCATCATGCTGTTTTGATTTCTATAGCCTTGTAGTATACTATACTACCTTGAAGTCAAGTAGTATAATACTTACAGTGTTGTTCTTTTTGTTCAAGATTGCTTTGGCTATTTGGGGTCTTTTGTGGTTCCATATGAATTTTAGGATTGTGTTTTCTATTTCAATGAAAAATGTTATGTGAATTTTCATAGGGTATGTATCAAATCTGTAGATAACTTTGCGTAGTACAGACATTTTAAAAATATTAATTCTTCCAATCCATGAACATGGGATATTTCCTCATTTATTTGTGTCTTCTTCAATTTCTTTCATTAGTGTTTTACAGTTTTCAGTGCACAGGTCTTTTATCTCCTTGGATACATTTATTCATAAGTTTTTTCATAGCTATGGTAAATCAGATTGTTTTCTCAATTTATTTTTTGGATAGTTTATTGACAGTGAAAATATTAATAATTGAAGATGCTTTCTTAATGGGAATAAGAAATTGGGTGAAAAAAGAGGAATAAAGACTGCTATTTGACATAAGATACCATGTAGAATTAGTTGATTTATTATAGTAGGTGTATGTGAAACTTTGATACTTTTTTAAATAGAAAGGAATAATAACTTTGTTGGGGTCATGATTAAAGAAACAACTGATATTGGAGTTTGGAAACGTAAGTACTTGGTTCTGGCTTGAAGTTCAGGTTTTGGTAAGAGATTCTGGCTTATGGACTTAATCTAAAACAACCATGTAGAAAGGGTTTTCTCTTTCAGAAAATCTGTTTTGGGTCCTAGAATGCTTAAATTAACTCTTATCATTTATGAAAAAAATATTGTTTTGAGGTAACAAAATATTGTTGTTCTTAAGGATCACCTAGGAATCAGGAAACTTTAATTCAAATATCTATGCTGCCACTGAATGTTGTGTCACCCTGAACAACTCATTCACCTTTTTTGGACATCAGTTTTCTCATCTGTCAAATGGATATAGTAAGAGCAGTTGTGTCTGCTATCATGCTATGAGCCAGAAGTTCTCTCCTCCAGTACCAGTGCCAGAGAGATCAAGAAATCTCAGAGAGAAAGACTGGTAAAGAGGCAACAAAGACTATCAAGAGTATAAATCATTTTAAGTCAGAATGGAAACTTAGCTCTAGAGAGGAGACCCAAACTACCCCGCAGGGTTATGGTATCACCAACAGGATCAGAGGCTTATTGAATAGATAAGAATACGGCTGCTGAGAATAAAGTCACAAAGCTGCTACAGCAAGCCTACTGTCCTTTAAAAATCACACAGCATCTACTCCTAACAGCAGAGATATCTAGGAGCCCACAACCATTTCCAAATAGAGTAAATAAAATGCCTCTTTTGATTTATACCTATTAATATTTAATTAGTTTTACTATGCCTTCCCTATGCCTTTCTCCCACTGAGCTTTTGTCCTGGCACCCAGTTTCTCATATTTTTATTATGCCAACCCTACTCTGACTCCTCTTTTGTCACCCTTGCTTGCAGACATCTCATAACCTGCTCTTGTGACCATATCTTTTCCAGAACTTGGCCTTTATTTCTAATCCTAATTCTCTACCAATCTAGCACCTACGTAAAAAAGGTGCACACATCCTCAAGTGAAATAATGCCATATTTTGTTTTATCTATTTATTTATTTATTTATTTTATTTTTCAAAACCCTAGAGGTTAATACTGATGCCTCAGGATCCAAACAGTGACTGGGGTAAGGAGTGGGAAAAGTAACTGAGGCCTAGTTCATAGAGCTTTAGAGCATCCCTTTCAACTAGATCACCTCTACTTTTATTATATATACATATATATGTATAAAATTTATATATAATATGTATTTTTATATCTATTTAGCTTCTGGGCAAGTCTTTGGCAGAAGAATTCTTCAAAAAATGAAGTTTAAAAATACAAATGTTTGATGTGATATATGTGAAAAAAAAAAGTATTATTTGGATTGAAATCCCAGTTTTCTCACTTATGGGTTGTGTGACTATGGGTAAGTCACTTAACTCTCCCTGTGCCTCAGTTTCATCAACTGTAACATACTATATATAATGAAAAAGCAGAATCCAAAGGTAAGGGAATATTATTTTTCATTCCTCCTGAACTTTCTCATTCTAACTTCTCAGGTGGTTGTAACCTTCAACAAACCACCTCTTCTCTGCTCATGCTAAATTTGGGGGCCAGCAGTCAAGGTTCTCTAAACTATGAAAAGCCCAAGTACCATTCTATGGCCTTTGGTAGTTGTGTGTGGCCCAAAGGAATCTTTGCATTGTTCAGGTTGTAATCATTCTATAACTGGAAGGTGCACCTCATCCATTTTTTCTTTAGGGCATGACTCACAAGCAACTGGCAGCCAGGCCTCTATGAGTCCTCTGCTCGCACTGCTTAATTCTTGACAACTCATTGTGCCTCTAACATAAAAAGCATATTGTCCCAGGTGTCATCAATTTAGTATGTTTCAATTTGCCCATTCTGATCCCAGAGACGCTCTAGAGCCTTAATTCTTAACTGTTGAAAATTAATCTGACACTTTGTGCACTCTCAGATGGAGACAAATGGACCCTGAATAATTTAAAGGACATTTTCTCAAAACGTCCAGCAAAGTTAAAGGCTCCTGGTTTGTCATTGTTCTTATAACCTAAGCCAAACTGGCTAAATGACCAATATTAATGCTTTCATTCCTCTAAAAACAATGGCCCAGTAAACATACCAGGTGATCATAATATATTTGCTTATCAAAGTTGAATAACCATTTTGGGGAGCTTGTATCTTTGAATCTGCCTCTAGCTGGATTCCTGACACTGAAGAGTAAGAAGTGGTTTAGTTTGTTCTAGGATGTTTCAAATGTGCTCTAGTTAAAAAGAAGGCAGAACAAACACAGGAAGTAGACTAAATGAAGTCCAGGGATAATCCAGTGGTTACAGTGACATATGCTTGACTTTGTAATATTAGTGGAATTCCCAGTAACAGTTGTATTAATAGATTTCTTAAGCAACTGCAAATCATGAACCATAATAAAAATTGTTCAGACATATTTTCAATAGATGGATCCTTTTAAAATATGGCTTATCCCTTAGAATATTCAGAGTTTCCCTCTGAAAGTGGGTTTTATTTTGCATATATAGAAGTATTGCCTTTTCTAAATCCAGCATCCTCCCAAATCAAGGCAACCCTACAGGAAATGGACATCCAATAGTCAAAGGGAGAATTGGGAGAGGCTGAAGGAAAAATAAAGATGGATGGTATTCATCATATCAGTCTTTAATATTGGTAATTGCCATGACCCAGTCCTGGATCCTCACCTTTTTCACTGTATACTCCTATCTAGCTTATCTCATTCAGCCTCATGGCTTTAAATACCATCTCTATACTTATGACTTTCAAATTTATAGCTCCAGCTTGATCTGAACTCCAGATTGTACTATGTAGCTTCTTACTGGACATCCCAGCTTGGATGTCCCCAATTCACGTCCAAATCAGCACATCTAAACCTAACCTTGTTGTCTTCACCCATGCCTGCTCCTACCCGCTAGGTACCAAACACTATTCTTGGTAATAGAAAATTTAACTGTGAACATATTTCTGGCTCCTGGCATCTACATTTTATTGGTGGGGAGTAATAATTTTTAAAAAGCAAATAAAGAAGTCTAATGAGTGTTTTATACATAAAATATAAAATAAAGTATATTGAAACAAAGTGAACCAAGGAGATAGAGAGTGATGGGGAGGATACTGTGTTTGATAGGGTGATGGAAGAAAGTCTCTCTGAGAAAACACTAATTAAGAAAAAAACTGAACAAAAAGAAAGAATAAACCATGTATCTGGGAGAAGAATATTTCACGCAGTGAAAATAGCAAGTGCAAATACTCTGAGGTAGAAATACGTTTCGTGTATTTGAGGAAAAGCATAATGACTGGGGAGTAGTAGGTGAGAAGAAAAGTTTTAGGAAATGGGTTAGAGAGGTAGCCAGGAGCCAGATCATATACATACTTGTAGGCCATAGGAGAATTGGAATTTTGTTTCAAGTGTGATGAGAAGTCATTGTAAGGTTTTGAGCAGAGGAGTGACATAATCTGACTTAGGTTTTTAAAGGAGTTATTACCATTGTGATGAGAATAGACTGTAGAAGGCCAGAGTGGAAGCACAGAGATCAATCTCGGTGCTATTCCAACAGTCTAGGGGAAATGATGGACTAGAGTGATAGCAGTGGGTGTGGTAAAAAGTGGTTACATGCAGCTTATGTTTTATAGGTAGTGCCAACTGGATTTGTCTATCTAAGGGAATGGCACCACTACCATCCATCCAATTTCAAGTCAGAAACCTAGAAGTCATTCTTGACTCTTTTTTTAAAAAATTCAACCCTACAGCCAATCCATTGCTAGAGTCTATTGCTTCTCCCCACATAGAGAAGAACATTTCTGGTAGAAAGAGAAGAATGTGAACTGAAATAAAATGTTTAGTAGGATTGATTAGACCACAGACTATTTTCAAGGAAACTAATTAAGGTAATAGCATCCAGGATTGAATATCACCACATGGAATGACCTTGTCAAACTCCTCCCCCAACCTAAATTATCTTACCACATTTCATGTTACCACAGTTCCTTGTTATTTTCCCTCATAGCAGTCGTGGCAAATTTTGGATACATATTTATTCATTTGATTATTTATTTAATATCTGTCTGCCTCACTAGGCTGTATGCTTAGATGTGTGCAGGAAAAACGTCTTACTTATTTTTGTGTCTCTAGTGCCTAGCGCAGTGCCTGACTCATAGAAGGTACTCAGTGTGTGATGAATGAATACATGCATCAGTGAATATACATATAGGAAAGGCTATTATAAAGAGAATTCTGATATAAAGAGAGGTCATTATTAAATACCTTAAAGCACTGACAAATAATGAGATTAGGCATAAGGAAAAAACTCCTGACCAAAATATTCGGAAATTCTGGAATAAGTCTAAGAGTAATAGTATCTCATTTCTTACATTCATTATAGAATAGACTTCCAAGTACTGTATATAAAATAAGTTTGTTCCCACATAGACTAAATGGTCTTTAAATTCTCTTCTAGAATTGTAGGATTCTGAGAAGTATATCTGACAATTTACTAATCTTGGACGTATTCATTGACCTATTGATTCAACAAAAATATTTTGAGTACCTACTCTGTGCTAGGCACTGGACCAGGCATTGTGGACTCAACATGTATTCTGTCTGTACTCTCAAGGGGACTGCATTCTAGTAGGAGCATTCATTTGAGAGCTATGCATGGTATAAGTGGACATGATCTCTTGCCTCCAAGTCTAGGCCCCAAGTATGACATCTTAAAGACGGACAGCCAGCAAATTGTGTTATGTGTGTCAAGTTCCCATGAAAAACCGATATCAAGGTGATATTAACTGTCAAAAGATTTTATTATGGAAAACACCTATGAGAGAAAATGGAGAAGGGGCCAGTAAAAGCTAAAAGACCACAATTTAAATCTGACCCCTAGTTAAGTACAGTCCAGTAGATATGTCTTACACCTCTGAACACTCTGAAGATGATTTGACAAAGCTTTAGAGAGTCAGTCATCAGATGAATCTTGTGTCTCCCCAGGATGGACCTGCCTAAATTTCTCTGCTGCATTTAGCTCTGAGCAGCTTGTAGAGAGTGTGACTTTGGAACAAATGCTGTGCTTGATTCAGAGGACAACAACTGTTGCTCTTGGTCAATTATTCTTCTTGTAGTTGACGAGTCTTAAGGCTCATTCTCATGGCTGCCACAGCCTGCTATGGAGTTACGATGACTTATGAAGGCTGCAAATACTTACTCGGAGCAAGTATTGTGAATAGTTTCCCAAGAAGTCTACTGTTATAGAAATAAACCAAAGAAATAGTTCAGCGTAAGAAATTGATTGCCAGGTTGCTAGTGAGAGAAACATGCAAAACTTAGCTCTCTTGGTTTATATGTTCACCTGATCTATGCAGATATGTGTACACAATTTAATTATCCTGATGTTTGTTTTTATTGACACTCTATAGGAAAGGTACTGCCTATTTTAGTGAGGGCACTGCCATAGCTATGGCTTGTTTGTAGCAGTTTCCCTTCAAGTGTGCCAATATTCAACCTTCCAAACCCCAATAGTCAATAAGCAGCTATTACTAAATCCATAGCAAAGGTTGTAAAAGAATGGGATGCTGTTTTGTTTTACTCCTTTCACTTTGTATCAATCTGGGTATGCTAGATTATGCTGTAGTGAGAAATAACTTGAAAAATTACATTGGCTTGAGTTGGCAGAAGTTTATTTCTCCTCATATATTTTGTTGGTTGGCTGGGGCTCTTCTCTATACCATCCTTATTCTGGGACCCAGGCTAATGGAATAACTACCATCTGTAATATTGCTGGTCATGATTGCAGAGGAAAAATAGCTTGTAACTGAGCATGTAGTAACTCTTAAGCTCTATTAGAAGTGTGTATCTCATCATCTTCATCCAAACACATCTAATGCCCCAAACCTCACTTCAAAAGTGTGGAAAGTATTATTTTTCCACAGGATGAGGATTCACATGTTAGGAAACACTAATATAGGGAATGCAGTCTCATTCTGGACAGTCTGTATCCCTGGTACCTATAAAGGTACCTGCAACATAGTATGTGCTCAATCAAGATTTGTTGAATGAATGAATAGAATTTAAAACTGAAACGCTAAGACCCTTCAAGTCCCAGCCTTCTCCTTATTGTGTCTCTTATCACAGGGGACACCCAGTCGAATAAGTACGAAGGGACTGAAGTATAAAAAGCTTACAGGCTGGATTGGGAGGAAATGGTCAGGGTGCCTGGTAAGTCATGGGCAGGAAACCCTTTTCATGAGTTCAGCAATAAGGGAAGCAATTTCTTTGTACATGAAGGTGATAGTTTCTAGGCTTAACTCAAAAAGTACCTTTCAAGTCAGTGGATGTTTATGAAAAGCCAACTTTGTGGCAAACAACTAAGGATTACAATGAAGAGAACAGAGGATCTAGAAGTATTATAAGACAATAGATTTTGTCCTTGGAAAGTTTATAGTCTGATTGGAAAGACAAAGCATATACAATAAAAACAATTAGAATAAACACTACATAATACAAAATATTGACTTGGAACCAGATCAATCTGGATTTGAGTCCTGCATAGACCATTTTGTTTTGTATGACCTTGGGCATGTGTATTAACCTTTCTGAGCTTCATTTGACTCATCTGTTCAATGGGGGTAATAATAGAACCTTATGTCACCTGGTTGTTGTGTATATTAAATGAGATAATGTATGTCACAAGCCTAGCACATAGTAGGCAAGAAATAATAGCTAATATTTACGGAACACTCACCATGTGACTGGGCTACTTTACGTACTATGTGCATGTGTGTACGTGTGTGTATAATATATGTGTGTGTGTGTGTGTGTGTGTATAAAATACACATACATACACATAGTCTTTTCATCTTTACCACAACCCTTTGAGGTAAGTGAGGTAGGTACTGTTATTATCTTCATTTTGTAGATGATAAAGCTAAGGCACAGAGCGATTATGTAGCTTGCCAAGGTATACAGAGAGTAAGTGAGAGCTGACATTTGAACTCAAGCAGCTTGACCCTAGCAGCTGTACTCTTAATCACAATGCTGCACTGTGAACAAGGGTGGGACATGTGCAGACAACATGAAGTAGCCAAGACTACATATGGCCTGAGTGTGTATGTCAGAGAGCATCAGGCTATAGAGCTGCTCAAGGAAAGTTTGTAGAGTTTTAGAAATAGATAAACGGTGATTATTGAAATTATTGTCTGGAATGCAGTAGAGACTAAAAAAGGTAGCTGTTGATCATTGGAATGACTAACTAGAAGATGATTTGAAAGTATTTATAAACCGGGGCTATATTTCCTGATAGCCATGAGAAGGTTTCTTCGTCTTCAGAGAAGGAAGCCATCAGCACAGGGTGAAATAATGATGGAAGGCTTTATAAAGGAGAGAGAATCTGAAGATTTATGTTTTTAAATTTAAAAAACGAGGAAAGGCATGACATGTAGAGAAGTCATGATGGACAGTGACAGACGGTCTTGACCAAAAAGGGAGGATCATCCTGGGGAGTCATGGGACAAGCTGTTAGCATGGCAATAAAATCAGGACAGTAGTAATGCTAATGCTTTTCATGTATATTGCATATTCCCACTTGTACTGTTCAGTATTGTGTGATAGAAAGAGTACTAGACTGAGAGAGTCTGTGGACCCAGGTTCATAAGCTACTGCTATAACATACTAACTAGCTCAATAAGCTTAGACACATAGCTGACCATTTCTCAATTTCCTGTTGATAATTTGAGTATAGTAATATAATATTTAGCACAGAGTTGTTTTAGCAATTAATTGAGACAATAGCTATGAAAATAGTGAAACCACTCCACAAATGTTTGTTCTTTTCTTCTACATCTCATTGGATCCCATCTATGAAGTACATTGTGAAAACTTCATTATTGAACCTTGTTTTTTGGGAGAAGGAAGCTGAGATTCAGAGAAACTGAGGTTTAGAGAAACCAAGTGATTTGCCCCTGAACTACATGGCTATTAAATGGGATATGGTCATTGCAATTTCCTATCTAAAATACATTCCCTTATTATTACGTTTCTAGTTAGACAGCTAGCGGATGGCAGGAGTTTGTGGGACTAGGACCCAAGATAGGAATACTTTGCATAAGGGAGAGGGAGGCAGGACCAGCTCTGAGTAGGTTATTGCCTGGCAGAAGGGAAGTAGAAAAGGGCCCTAAGTAGCCCAGAGGTAGGATGAGGTATTGGTGGGTGGAAGAGGTGTCCAAGTAGGGAGCAGGAAGCAGAAAGTGTGGGGACCACCACAGATCAACATTTCCTTCCTCTCAGTTTGTCTCAGACAAGTTTGTCCAGGATGAGTGTTGGCTGTGTCTCTTATAATATGCATTTTGCAAACAAGATGTGAGCCAAATTCATGAATATAGATATATGTATGTTTGTACACACACACACACACACACACACACACACACACACACACACATGCACACATTGATGGGGTGGTGGGGTGGAAAAGAGAAGAAATAATAGTGATGTTTGGAATTGTTTTCAACAGAAACATTGACATGTAAAACCGGGGTTCATAGGTTCATAGGTCAATATGAAACATCACAGGGTGAAAACCAGAAGAAACACCATCTACCCCTACGTACTTGACCTAATCAGATACCCTCTAGTTCTTTTTTTTTTGACGGAGTCTTGCTCTGTCACCCAGGCTGGAGTGCAGTGGCACCATCTCCACTCATTGCAAGCTCTGCCTCCCCGGTTCACGCCATTCTCCTGCCTCAGCCTCCCGAGTAGCTGGGACTATAGGCGCCCGCCACCAGGCCAGCCAATTTTTTGTATTTTTAGTAGAGACGGGGTTTCACCATGTTAGCCAGGATGGTCTCGATCTCCTGACCTCGTAATCCGCCCCCCTCGGCCTCCCAAAGTGCTGGGATTACAGGCATGAGCCACCGTGCCCGGCCTAGACACCCTCTAGTTCTACCAACCATCTCCCCCTTCCTTCCCTCCTCCCTTCTCTCCTAAGAGCAGGATTGCCTCCTCCTGCTACTTCTCCTACACTCACTAGTTGCAGCAGGGTGATTTCTGGAGAAATTGAATTCATTAGGATTTTTATGGATAATTATAGTTGTAATATGCTTGGAGTCATTTTATTAAAGCAGTTATGAGGTAATTAATCTTGTCAATAACCTCTAGAGTGAATGTGCATTGTCTGTATTTTCCATGCTTTATACCTCTATTCAGGTCTCTGAAAATACCAAATGTGTTTGTCACTTCTGATGCTCCCACCTCCTTCAGAGCTGAAAACCAGACGGAAACTCAGACCAGAATTATTTTCTCACTTAAGGAAAAAGATCTAGGACAGAAGACCTTTAGTTGTGCTTTGCTTTTGTTTTGTTCCTTTCTCCTTATAAATGAAAAACTACCTGTGGTCCAGTATCTCCCCATAGACGCTTCTCATCAAATTAAGAGAACTGAGAGTGCTGCTGGATAATGACTAGCAAAGCAAGGACCTCTGAAGCCTCTTCCTCACATTGAATATCCATGTGCCTCCATTTCCCAGAACACCTGATAAGCAAAATTCTGAATATATTGTTCCACAATACTTGGGTGTTTAACATTACAATGATCAAAAGATGATTCCTTACCTAAAGATTTCCTTTAAATAGGCATTTAATATAGGATCTGATTTGTAAAACCAATTAAATAAAAAATTCCATGTACTGAAATATTGGAAAATGCTAATTTGCATCAAGACCTAACTAAAACTCAGTACTTTTTTTCTTTTTGAACTGTGAACTAACCTAAAGATTTATCCCCTCAATGTGTAGAATACAATAGCTCAATCCAGTGTATGTGTGTATATACTGTTCAATAGGAAAAATATGTATTATAAAAATAACATAAATACATATTTTTATATGTATATAATTTTTGAGAAAGATCATACTAGAAAATCACTGACTCTCTGACTCACTGACTTTTAGTCTCCAATTTACATCTAACTTCCCAAGAACATATCTACTGTGTAAAGCAGGCACCTTTGCTCTTCCTACTGTGCTTCTGAAAGCTTCCATCCAAAAAATTGCTAATAGCAACACAGACAGCCTATGGAGAATCAAAAGACCAACCAATCTGGACCTCAGGCAGCTCTTTGATCTTCTTCTTATGATTCTTGTTTTCTCTTTGTAACTCAAAGGTGATGCCAGGGATGGCCATTATTCCCCATGTAGGCAAAATGACTGAAGAGATAGATGTGACAAGCTGTCCCCTTTGTTAGCAGTACTTTCATCTTCCTTCCCATGGCTGGCTAAGTCAGAGAAGGTCTCTATTAAGGACCTCCATCTATAGACACACATGTAATTCTGAAAACACTCATTCCATTAATAGACACATATTCCTTGTCTTCTCCATTTTTCTTTTGTATTATTTTTGCCCTTTAGCTGCCAACTTTGTATAACACAGTATTCACTATTCATTCAGATTTTGTAATGAATCATATACTTCCAGTGAGATTTCTGGAGTGATATAATTATCTGCCAATATTATCTGAATAGTATCTGCTGAAAACTTCGATAGTCTTAATCTATAAGAATGGGGTAACAGTTTTCCATGCAGTCATCTAAACAGCAGGATGTCTGGTGGAATTGACTACCTTGGGGAAGATCAAAGGGAGTTGGGATGGTTCTTAGTTAAAAGTAATTTCCTTTCTGGCACTAAGAGAAATCAAATTAATTAAAAGTACAATGGCTTCTAATCTATAATATTTCCTGGCCACAAAACTGTTGCTAAGGTTGCATTGTTCATAAGACATCTTCCAAATTTTTAGGCTTAGAAATAGTACCTACAGGAAAGCCAGTGGTTATTCAAAATATTAGACTCTGTGCTAAAATGTAACTTGGCAAAATTCCCTACCTCTACCAGCTTGAGCAGTTTGAGAGTTTTCATGTTCCAAAGTAGGTTTCCATGCATCCTGCTCAATTGGCTACTGTCAATTGAGAGGTATGAAATAGCAAGTGCTCATACTCAGAAAACCTCACTAGTTTGTAAATAAACCAGTGTTTATTTAAATAAGCTGTTCTTTATAAATAAAACCTGTCTAGAAGAGGTCTTCCATTTTGGAGAGGTCTGTGAGCACTTTGGGAATCAGATGAAAAACATTGATTCTCTTCCCCAAAGAAACACCTGTGTGCACATATTTTGTAGATAATTATGGGAAATACATTGATCTTATAAACTCTGGTCTAGATGAATTTTGTACTAATTGCTGAGTGCTTAAGCCTCAACAGCCTTGGGATCCACAACATAGGCAGAGATTTGGCAGATGAGAATAGTGGATCAAATGTTTTCAGTGTGTCCTAGGATTACTCAAAATATCAACCAAGGCCAGGCGCGGTGGCTCACACCCATAATCCCAGCACTTTGGGAGGCCGATGCAGGCAGATCATTTGAGGTCAGGAGTTTGAGACCAGCCTAACCAACATGGTGAAACCTGTCTCTACTAAAAATACAAAAAAAATTAGCCAGGTATGGTGGCACATGCCTGTAGTCACAGCTACTCAGGAGGTTGACGCAGGAGAATCACTAGAACCTGGGAAGCAGGGGTTGCAGTGAGCCGAGATCATGCTATTGCACTCCAGCCTGAGAGACAGAGCAAGACTCCATCTCAAAAAACAAACCAAACCAAAACAAAACAAAACAAAAACCGTCAACCATTAATCCCTCAAAACTACTTTTCATATCTGCTATGTAGTTTGGCATCTCGCATCTACTTTTAACCCCAATACTTTGAATCAGCCTTAATCTTCTGGGAATTTATAACATGTTCTTTGAAATTTTCTTGGTGTTTTTTAGATGGCCAACTTCCTAAGAAGTTCATTTCATTAGCACTTAGCAAGCTCAATACCTGATCTGACCATTGAATGATAGATGACCTCTTTTTAATAATAGATGACCTCATGTGTACATTCTAAGAGACTCACCATAGTGTACCAGCCAACAATAGTGAAGACCAGTCTCTGACTGAGCAGACTCTGGTTTGACTACAATAATCAAATATTGCTACAAATGCATTTTCTTGTAATTCAACTTTAAAACACAATTTCTTTTTGTCATCAAACAATGCCTCCCAAAGATTAGGACATTTGAATCATAGCATGTCCATGAGTTTCTCTATAGAAGGCTTTTTGGAGGCAACACAGCAGCTACTTGTTCCTTGTGGATAACTTTATTGCTTCTAAGTGTATCCAAAATGATTTTGGCCACTCAGAGACCTTGAATTAAATGTCTTCGGGTAAGAGCTGGTATTTTTTTTATCTCCCTTCTCATAGTCTTCCACCACTGAGACCTTCTGCTCCTCATTTGATGCTGTTGTCTTCTCCATCCTACTAACATCTCCTTATCTCCCTGGCTTCTAGGGCAGTATGCTTTTTGGTCCTGCTCAAGAGGTTCCTTTTACCACTCCCACTTGAAGTATAGAAATCTGCTTCTCTTCTCTTCATTTGTTGCCTTCAAGTGGTTTCAGTGAGCACTTTTCCTCAAAGGGTCATTCCAAGTGCATCACTTACCCTCACTGCAGGTGCCTGCCTGCCAGCACAAATCAGGAGCCATGGGGACAGCCCACACATGAGATCTGCTGGTAGCCCACACAAGGGCCATCCCGCTTCTACTTATGTCCTTCTGCAACTCCAAGCCTCAGAGATAAATTCAGTGCTATGAGCCTTCCGGGGCATTATGACCAATCATTTTCAACTGTAGCTGATGGGAGGGATCCCAGAAAAAGCGAGCTTAATGGGTCTATTTCCATTCCTGCCTTCATCATCTATAACTCCAATTTCATCAAGCACTCTGAGTACAGCTCATTAAGTTTGCATTTCTCTTTTTTTCTCTGTCGAAATTACTGTGCAGTTTGCACAGAGTGTTTTTATATTGAAATGCCTAAAGATTGTACCCAAATGTCTCAGTTCCAAAGTCAGGTAAGTGACAATAATCAGCTGTATTTTATATTGTTGAAATACATTGCTGAAAAATATTGCTGAAATATATTCATTTATACTAAAATGAACTCTCTGCCTATTTCCTCGTTTGTCCTCTACCACACTGCAGAGAGGGGATAGGATGAAAAATGCTTTTCCTCCAGAGAAGCTGAGGCTCTGAGGGGACCACTGCCAGGGCCTGCCTCAGAGGACATAAGACCATTTGTCACTGCCACTGATCCTTCCTTCCTCTCTATCCAACCTCATCTCTCATCATTTCTCTTATGCATCCCAAAACTCCAGCAGAGTCAAAGGACCTGAAGTTCACCAACCCTGTTATTCTCTGAGTTGCCTTAATACCTTAGTTCTTACTGTTGGCCCATTTCTCCTTTACCTGACTAATTAATGTGGGTTTTCAAAGACTTGGCTCTAACTGTGGTTCTATTCTAGAATTCCTGAACGTGTTCCAGGAGTTATGGCAGAATCAAATAAGTTCCTTTTAGCTACATTACACCCTGTATTTTGTTCCCCACTAATTCATAGAGATACTGTGACTTCCTACACCCACACACATCCCTCCACCAAACCCCATACTGAGCAGTTGGTCTCAGTATGACCTCAGAGAATAATTTCCCTGTTTTTTGTTTTCCCTTCCATCTGGGTTTACCCCTCTTGAGAATCCTTTTTCTTTTCTTTTCTTTTCTTCTTTTTTTTTTTTTTTTGAGACAGAGTTTCACTCTGTAGCCCAGGCTGGAGTGCAGTGGCACAATCTCGGCTCACTGCAAGCTCCGCCTCCCGAGTTCACGCCTTTCTCCTGCCTCAGCCTCCCAAGTAGCTGGGACTACAGGTGCCTGCCACCACGCCCAGCTAATTTTTTTTTTTTTTGTATTTTTAGTAGAGACGGGGTTTCACCGTGTTAGCCAGGATGGTCTCGATCTCCTGACCTTGTGATCCACCCCCCTCGGCCTCCAAAAGTGCTGGGATTACAGGCATGAGCCACCGCGCCTGGCTGAGAATCCCTTTTCTTTGCCATCTCTTTCTTGGCCTTTTCTCTCCCTAAGTTATTCTTAGGTCAAAAAGATAGGATTCAGGTGAAGTGGAAGGACAGATTTTGTCCATCTTTTTCCCTTTTCCTAATTCAGTGCTGACTGCCTTTCCCTGCCTTCCAGGGAGCTCTGTCTCATCTGTCATAATGTTTTGGAAGAGAAGGAATGTCCTCCATGCCTTAGAGGTTCAACCTGTTTCTACCTCCCCAGTGTTACAAATTAAGGCTCTTCTTAGAATCCCTTATCGTGGGAGCAACTTAACTACCCCCAATTTCAATCTTTCTTCAGTCCCAAGTGGTTTTAATGGTGTATTCTCACACTGCTATGAAGAAATACCTGAAACTGGGTAATTTATAAAGAAAAGAGGTTTAACTGGCTCATGGTTCTGCAAGCTGTACAGGAAACATGACTGGGGAGGCCTCAGGGGACTTACAATAATGGCAGAAGGCGAAGAGGAAGCAGGCGCGTCCTACACAGCTGGAGCAGCAGGAAGAGAGCAAAGGGGAAGGTGCTACACACTTTTAAACAACCAGATCTTATGAGAACTCTATTACGAGACGGCACTAGGGGAATGGTGATGGTGCTGAACCACGAAAAACCATCCTCATGATCCAATCACCTCCCACCAGGCCCCACCTCCAACACTCAGAATCACAATTCAGCATGAGATTTGGGTGGGGGCACAAAGCCAAACCATATCAAATGATTCCCTCCTTTACATGCCTACAAGCCTGACACACAGGCCATTGTAGTGACTGATTTCTAGGTCTGTCCCCCCAACAAACAGTGGCTCTCAACCGCTTTCTTAAAGTGCAACACTTATGTTCACTTATACTAGATTTTTCATAGGCCTACTCAGCTTAGAGGTACGTCATAGAAAAGATGTTCTGGAACACTCCTATTGGGTCAGTACAAGCTATAACTTTGTCTCTTCTCATACATGACACTTGTCTGAGAGCTGCTTGACTAGACTCTGGGTTTCTTGAGGACAGGGTCTAAGACTTAATCATGTCTGTATACAAAGTGCATGAAACTGAATAGGTGCCTAGAAACATGCTTATTGGTTGGTTGATTGGCTGGCTGGTTGGGTAGATGGGATAACATAGTGGAGCGATTCAGAATCAGAGCGTCTGGATCCCAGCTTTGCCATTTACTTTCGGTTCGACTTTAGGCAAATTATCTCACCTATCTGGGCATGAGTTTCCCCAAACATTAAGCAATATATAATATTGTATCCACCTCAGAGTACTTTCTGTTTGTTTTAGCTTATATTTATTGTCTACTATGTGATAGACACTGTTCACACTGCTTTACATAGATTAACTCACTTAATCCTCCAGATGAAATTGAATAAAGTGTGTGTTTTGTCTAGCATATAGCAAATACTCATAAACATTAGTTATTACGAAAGAAAGAGAGACTACCTGGGCATAGCTATGAAATTCTGCCTCTAAACTAGATCCTGAAGAGCTTTAGAGGTTCAGCCTGGTTCTTCCTCTACAATGTTACAAATTAGGATTCTTCTTCTCAGAATCCCTTATCATGGGAGCAACTTACTTTAGGGTCCTCGGGTTCTTATTCTTGAGATTTTTCATTCCACATGGTTCTTTTACTTTCCTTATTCCTCAGGAACTTGGGTCAATAATTGGATAGAAAAATGTGTGCTCTGGATCTTAATAATTGCTCTTCTGTACAGTAGGTTTGTTTAGTGTTCCTGACCCCAGGCTTTGCCTGATTTGAATGAATCCAACAGTTGTAGCCCCAGTGACAGTGTGCAAACTGCCCTTTGGGGGTAGTGGGGTTATTTGGGGGCCCTTTTCTGTTCTAGATCCCAGAAGCAAGGTGAGCTTTCACCGGCACTCAGGTGCATGTTACCAATGACAAAAGAATTATTTGACCTTTCCTTATACTTCTTGTATTGCTTTTCTGATTATCAAAGCAACGCTCTGTAAAATGTACCAACTGATGCCCAGGGCTCTCTTCTAAGTTGTGTAAGATAACTTCAACTGTGTTTGCATCAGTTCGTTTCCAAGACCTTTTATGTCCTTCTCCGCTTTTGCAGGCTGTTCTTGCCAATCATAGGTCATTCAAGACAGGGCATTAAACACTGGTATTTCAGTTTTAACTCTGAGATTTGAGAGTTGGCTCCCTCAGTCTTTTCAATGATGCTTTCCAACTGGGACATTGTGGCGTACTGACGTGCCCTGAGTGGGTTGCAAATGCGCTGAGCTATTGATCCTTCTAGGTGGTCTGATATATAACAGGGCAGCCATAGTCCATGAGCAGTCTTTGCTTCTGGCCATGAGCAAACTTATTTTACTTCAGTGTGCCACACAAACATTGTTATCTTCCATTTGTGTCATGTACTGAAAAAGTTGGAAAGTGCTATGTTTACAGCATTTGTTATGAAGTGTCTTTTAACTATGGAGCCACAATATGTGAATCAGATTAAAAGTGAATTTTTTTAATACCACTGAACTGAGCACTTAAAAATAGTTAAGACGACAAATTTTATGTTATGTGCATTTTACCACAATTTTTTAAAGTAAATCTGCTTTGAGTAAAATGGCACCTGGGCCCTGGAACTTTGGCATCCTTCTCAGTGGACTTTGAGGGCTTCAGAGAACACAGCTGAGAAAGCACTACTTCAGAGCAAGAATCAAAAGCCTTGCTCTCCCCCTTGGACTTTGGAGTCTGCAATAGTGCATTCCTCTGTGAAGCCAACCTTCAGCAACTCTGTAACGGGGCAGAGGTTGCCTCCTGGGCTTTCCCATGGGACATATATACTCTTCCTGACAGTGTTCCTTTGTCAACCTTCTCAGGAACTTGATGCCAATATAACTTGCTCCTGACTTTCCCTCCCTAACAGATTGAAAAGTTACTTATCATAAATATAAACTAATATTTAGTGATGAGGTTTTTCATCATCATACTGTATGTGTGTGTGTACACACACACATACACACACATATATCACACAAAATAAAATATTCAATCATTTCAGAAGGGTATAAAATATACAGAAAACCTCTCCCTGTCCATTGGTAGTCCCATGCCTCCCCAGGTAAAATAATTGGTGACAGTTTTGTATTTTTGTATCTATATATTCTTTCAGAAATATCTTTGCACATATAAAATCTATCTATCTATCTATCTATCCATCCCTCTATCTATCCATCTAATATATAAAGGTCCTTTCACTCATCTGATTTTACAGTTTTCTCTTTTTGATTAATAATGCATCTTGATAATCACACCATATCATCACTTACATTCTACATTAAGCTTTATAACAGCTGCATAATATTCCATTGAATGGTTGTATCATATTTTATTTAATTGGTCCTCTGGTGATAACATTTAGGTTGTTTCCAATTGTCTGAATAGCAAAGGATTTGAAACCATCTCAGTGTTCAATATTCAACAATTCATTAAATCAACTGTATTATAATCTGTAATATGATTTCTTTTAAAGATGATATTGTAAAAGCACATTCAAGGCTATAGCAAAGTGTTAACTGTGTCTTTTTACAGGAAAAAGTAAGTTACAAATTCATTTGAATAGTGTGGGCCCTAATGGATAGAAACTGAGCATGCATGTATAGATGTGAAAGGATGTTCACTAAACTGTTAGTCTGTTAACAAAGGTTCTCTACATGGTTGGAAGGTAGGGTTTTAAATTTTTTCACCATTTTGCTTGAGTATTTTCTAAATTCTCAACAATAAATGTACATGGCCTTAGTAGTTAGAGAAGCAATACGACAAGATTAATTTTTTAAAAAACAGATTCGCATCCATCGTATGGCACTGCAGCCACATTCCCCTGCTCCTACTGTGTTTATGGCACTATGCCAGCTGGTGGAGAACTAGGCAGTCAGAACTAGTTAGCCTAGACCATATATTGTGTGAGCTGTCAATCTAGTGAGAAAGAGCAGGGAAGACAATTACACTAAAGAAGCCAGAGATCAGGGCAAGGCAGTAGGAATCAACAACCTTTGAGACTCACACAGACAGTGCTGAGGGGGACTGAGCCAAGGGAACAATCCCTGTGGAGTATATCAATGAGAGTTAGGGGTTGCGTCTCGGGAGAAGTGGGAATTGGGTTCAATACGGAGGGGCAATAGGATTTGCAGAGGCCAAGCTGAGGAGAGTAGGATTCCTACAGGCACTGACAGTGGTTGGTAGGGCATCAATAAGATCTTCTGTTCTGTCAAATTATCTGGTTTGTCAGCTAGTTACCAAAGTGGTACGGAGTGACTGAGAGGATGTGCCCTGTAATCTGACATATGTGGGTTCAAATTCCATCTCTGTCAATTACAAGATATTTGCCTAGGTAAGCTACTTAACTTTTTCAAACCTCAGTTTACTCATTTGTAAAATGGGAATTATAACAATACCTTCCTCATCAGGTTGTTTAAAGGTTAACCGAAATAATGGCATAGTACTGTGCCTGATTGGCACATAGTAAATGCTCTACATAGGGTAGCTGTAATTATTATTAATACTAATAAAGAAAACATATGTCATAGCATTTAAAAACTTGGTTTAATAGTAACAATGAAGTCATGTGCAAGGGATTCATAATTCTCAGAAGCAGACAGTTTTTTTTTTCAAGGTCTCTGACATGAGGTGTCAGGAAACTGTAGATTAGAGAACCCAAACAGGTGTACAAATTTCTAAATGAGAGAAGAGAAGTGTATAGAGGATGGTAGCTAAAAGCATTAGCTTTGGTTGGGCTCAGTGACTCACACCAGTAACACACACACTTTGGGAGGCCGAGGTGGGAGTATCACTTGAGTCCAGAAGTTCGAGACCAGCCTGGGCAACATAATGAGCCCTGTCTTTAAAAAAAAATGTTTTTAAATTGCCCATGCCCGATGGTCTGAACCTGTAGGCCCAGCTACTCAGGAGGCTGAGGCAAGAGAATTGCTTGAGCCCAGGAGGTCGAGGCTACAACTGAGCTGTGATCGTGCCAATGCTTTAGCCTGGGTGATAGAGCAAGACCCTGTCAAAGAAAAAAAAAAAAAGGTCAGGGGCCGTGGCTCACGCTTGTAATCCCAGAAGTTTGGGAGGCCAAGGTGGGTGGATCACGAAGTCAAGAGATAGAGACCATCCTGGCTAACATGGTGAAACCCCGTCTCTACTAAAAATACAAAAAAATTAGCTGGGCATGGTGGCGGGCACCTGTAGTCCCAGCTACTTGGGAGGATGAGGCAGGAGAATGGCGTGAACCCAGGAGGCGGAGCTTGCAGTGAGTGGAGATCACGCCACTGCACTCCAGCCTGGGCGACAGAGCAAGACTCTGTTAAAAAAAAAAAAAAAAAGCATTAGCTTTGGACTTAAGACTTAAGAGGACAGGAGTTTAAGTCCCTAGCTCTGGCACATGCGTTGTGTGATATTAGCCAAGTTCCTCTTTAGTACTGGGGCTTGGTTTCTCCATCTGAAAAATGGGGAACTATCTACAACATAGGTTTTTTAAATTACAGATTTAGGCGGTAAATTGCTATTTTGTTACATGAATATATTAAGTAGTGGTGATTTGTGGGCTTTTATTGTAGTGATGGCTACAAATAATGTAAATTGTACTCATTAATAGTGTAAATTGTGTAAATAGTGTAAATTGTACTCATTAAGTAATTTCTCATCCCTCACCCTGTAGGGCTGTTAATGTTAGAATTAAATGAGATAACACAGGTAAATTGCTCAGTATGTGGTACTCAGTTAGTATTCAGTTCATTCATTGAACAAATATTTTTCGAGCATTTACAATGTGCTAGGCTTTGTGCTTAAGCACTGGGATAAATTGGTGAATGAGATAAAGAGGGGCCCCACTCTTAAGTAGTTTTTAATAAATGAGAACTACCATTACTACTGCTACTACTGCTATTTGAACTGTCACTATCTAGACGTTCATTATTTTTAAAAAATTACAAAAATGTTTTCCCAAACTTCACTATTCTAATCAGAAATCCTCAGGTGAAAACATTTGAGTTGCACAGGAATCCTATCCAGAGGACGTAGAATGTACCCCTCTCTGGATAAAACAGCATCTTGGCTCCCGATGCCTTGTGCATGATCATTCTCATCTTCCACACCATTTTCTTAAGGGTTTAGTCCTTCATTAGCCCAGTGTTTGCTTCTTTCAAGTGCCTAGGGACACTATCAACCGTGGTCCACGTAGACCACATGTTGAGAATCTCTAACACATTATTTCATTGTTTATATTACAATGTATGTTCATTGCAGTTTAGAAGAGAAACAGTTTGCTCCTGAAATTGTAAATGATTGTATACCAAACACAAAAAATACCCTTTAATGAGTTCATTACGTGTTAATTAGGTATTGGCATTTTAAATGAATTATATTATCCATAAGTCCTTCATGGATTGATTGGTAGCTGTTTAAATGTTTTAATAATGATTAGGAAAATTGTTTGGAGTTTTTGGATGGCTTAGGAATGTATTGTCATTTCTCCATTTAAAATAATGGGTTCATGTCCTTTGTAGGGACGTGGATGAAATTGGAAATCATCATTCTCAGTAAACTATTGCAAGGACAAAAAACCAAACACCGCATGTTCTCACTCATAGATGGGAATTGAACAATGAGAACACATGGACACAGGAAGGGGAACATCACACTCTGGGGCCTGTTGTGGGGTGGGGGGAGGGGGGAGGGATAGCATTAGGAGATATACCTAATGCTAAATGATGAGTTAGTGGGTGCAGCACACCAGCATGGCACATGTATACATATGTAACTAACCTGCACATTGTGCACATGTACCCTAAAACTTAAAGTATAATAATAATAAAAAAAATTAAAAAAAAAGAATTTAAAAAAAAAAGAATTTTAAAATAATGGGATATAGGCTTCTGCTCATGTTAATTATGCAACATATTCTCTATTACTTTTTATATTTGAATATACAGGGATGCTTGTATTATAACTACTAACACAGCATTACTACCACCCACCATCTAGTACTTGCAAATTAATAATTGCTACCTACTGACTTCCACAAACTACTGTCTCGAAGTGTTGCGTGTATAGTCTTTACAGTAGCTAATGTGGCCCTTTTTCTCTTTTTTGAGCGTGGCCATATGGTTGGGTATGGGGCCTAATTCTTGAAGTGAAGGACCTGGACCTTTCTGTGGCTGATACCCAAGGAAGGCTGCCTAAGGATAAAGAGCACAACCCCAGTCATGTCTTTTTGTGGCTCTCAGGCCACTCCAGGAAGTCAGAGATCATCAAATCCAAGGGTGTTGGCAATGGGAAAGAATACTTCATATGGAAGAGTAGCCAAAGATGCACTACTCCAAAGGCACCAGCCATTGCCTGGTGATGTGTGTGTGCGTGTGTGTTTGTGTGTGTGCATTTGTGTTTGTGTGTGTGTGAGACTATCTTGTCCCCTAGGGTATTGCAAAGGCACTTGGTTATTTTGACAGTGTTGATAAGCACCTGAATGGGCAGATGTGGAATGAATTGCAGTTTTATTACCGATTTAAAATTTTTTAAAGGACCTGTTCCTGATGAAAGGACCAAGGGCAAGCCCCCTGGTCAAAGAAATTTCCGGGAACCGTGTTTACAGTATTTCCTGGGGGATGTCATCAACATATAAAAGGCTCCAAGTAGTACTGCAGGAAAGCAACCTGATTACTCTCTGCTTACTAGAATTTTCCCACATCTTTTTTTTTTTTTTTTTTTTTTTTTTGGCTCACAGCTATCTTTTCTGTGTGGCAGCCTATGGAACACTAATCCACAGCACATGTTTTAAGAAACACTGTTCTAAATTGTTCTAGAATGAGGTATGACAGAATTTAATAAACCTCCTGACCCACTCATTATCCTCCTACTCCCTCCTGCCCCCTTTCCTCATGCTTCTTTCCTCCCATCCCACTCCTGCATCTCTCTTTCCTTATCTTTCCTCTTTTCCTTTCCACATTCATTGGCATGTTACTAAGAGACCCGACCATCACCAAAAGCATTTCAATAACTTTTTTAGCATTGAGAACAATAGCAAAGGCTGTCAAAAACGTGAAAAAAATACTCCCTGCTTCTGCCCCTGAGAAGCTGTCAGTAGCTTATGGATCTCGGCTGGGTAGATCTGCAGATTCTCCATAACATAAGAATCTACATGCAAGCAAATGACTGAACTCATGGCATGCTCATGGAGGGGATGGGGAGTACTCAGTGAATTACAGTTATATCTTTGTGTTTTTTTTGTCTTTTTTTTTTTTGACAGAGTCTTGCTCTGTCGCAGTGGCTCGATCTCGGCTCACTGCAACCTTCGCTTCCGGGTTCAAGTGATTCTCCTGCCTCAGCCTCCTGAGTAGCTGGGACTATAGGCGTGCACCACCATACCTGGCTAATTTTTGTATTTTATTTTATTTTATTTTATTTTATTTTTATTTATTTATTTATTTTTTGAGACAGAGTCTCGTTCTGTCACCCAGGCTGGAGTGCAGTGGTGCCATCTCGGCTCACTGCAAGCTCCACCTCCCGGGTTCACACCATTCTCCTGCCTCAGCCTCCCAAGTAGCTGGGACTACAGGCACCTGCCACCACGCCCAGCTAATTTTTTGTATTTTTAGTAGAGATGGGGTTTCACCATGTTGGGCAGGATGGTGTCGAACTCCTGACCTCAGGTGATCTGCCCGTCTCGGCCTCTCAAAGTTCTGGGATTACAGGCGTGAGCCACAACACCCGGCCAACAACCATACCTTTTTAAATAAGTACTAAGAACTTGCCAACACAGCTCAGCAGGAAGAGAAGAAACACTATTGTGATTCGTTGTATAATATATGCCATTGTACAGTCAGTGCTGTACTCTCAGAGGGACATTGTGTAATTTTCAGATTTTGTCATGTGCTGCCTTCTTTGCGAAGCTGCACTAGAATTAGGTGGTTTGGTTTTGGTGGCCAGCTCAGGCACAGACTTGCTGCCTTGCTTCAATCAAACCGTTTGGCCTCTCTGGACCTCAGAGGAGATTTTACTGTATCACCTGGAGTAGCCCGTCCCTTCCTGATCTGAAATTCTGTGATCTGTCTAGTGGGATTGCTGCTCCTTGGTGGTGGCTTGAGGGTGAAATGAGATGGGATATGCAGAGATTATTCCCTTCAAAACTTATTGCTGGTTTTCAAAAGTCTTATACCAAGTGTCACTTGAGAGAGGAAAGACTGACAAATTTGCAAGTGGAAACTGATTGTGGGCTGGTGCTCATATGTCCATTTCTATATCTCGCCCCACCCAGAACAGCCCCAGCATTGCCCTGCTTAATGAATATTTGATGTTGAAGCACAATTTGTTCAGATGACATTTGCATTCTGGGAGTAAGCTACGGTGTGCAGTGTGCTCATAAAGAGAACAATGTGTGACAATTGAGTAACTGGAACTATCTCTTTTCTAGAATGTACATGCATGCAGGGCTCCAGGAGAAGAATTTACCATGTGTAATCTCACTTAAGCGTCATGAAATCCTGTAAGAAAGGTCAATTCTATTATCCTCATTTTACAAGTGAGAAAACGAAGCCTTGGAGAGATTCCATGACCTGCCCGAGGTCACACAGGTAACTGGAGAAACCAGCTTTCAAACCTAGCCAGCCTGACTCCAGAGCTCTTAACTAGCATGCTTTTCTTTTAATTGGTTCAAACAGATAGCGTGAGAAGTAATCAGTTATGAAGAGGGGAAAGATGGAAGGAGGGAAGCAGAGCTCCTTGCTTTGGCTGGGTGAGCACTGAGCTTGTCAAGTGCTATCTGTCCTATGCTGGCTTCATGTAGAAGCAGTGCATGCAGATTCCCAGCTACCCAAAGTCTTCCCACAGTATTCAGTACTCTTTACCTCCTCCGTAGGAAACTCTACGCTCAAGGGGAAAATGTTTCTGCAGTGGCCACAGCAGGAAGCTGGTTCCAGTGCTGTCTGTTCACATGACTGTCCAGGAGCTAAATCCTGAAAGATGAGGAGCTTGTCCTTAGCACTTCCTGACCTCCTCTCAGGATCTCTGCCTCCCTCTGCTCAGCATCTGTTAGAAACCTTGTGTGTGTATGCCGCCTCTGGGATCCCAGTTTTTTTCATGTTGGCATTCCTTCCATGGGCCTACTATTCTCCACAGTTTTCATTGCTTCAGATCTTTCTGTCCCCATTCTTCCTGTTAATAGCTCTTGACTCTGTGTCTGCCATTAACTGAGATAATAATAGCAAAGAGCTGATAATAGCTAACATGTATTAATCATTTTCTATGGGTTGGGCTGTGTTCTAAGCAGTTACATGCAATATCTCATTTAATACTCACAGCAATGCTGTGTAGAACTCTTATTGTGCCTACTTGACAGTGGAGGATGTTGAAATTCAGAAAGGTTAACTTGTCCAAGTCACCTAACCAGTGAGTGGTTAAGAAAGACTCACAACCAGGTCTTTCTAACTTCAAAGTCCATGCTTATGTGCATGTCCACTAGTCCATATTATGTCATTGATATTGTGTCAATAAGCAGGATTCCCAGTCTGCCTGGTTAGATTTCTTTCCTAACTGAACAAGTAACTTCATAGCAATTTCTTTTCATTAGCAGGTCTTCCCACTGCAAGTGATCCCTTCTCAATGTCTTTGGAACTACTGTACAGGCCTTACAGGACACACCTTATAAGATCCCCAGGATATTTTTAAATCTCTCTCATCTTCCCTCCATTCCTTCCTTCCATTCATCTCACCCAAATTCAGCACATTTTTTCTTGTTGTTTCCACATTTAACTTTCACTCATGATCCTCACTGTGCTATAGATTGGCTAATTCAAACTTTGAGTACCACTAAGCTTTCTTAATCTTGTAATGATATTTATTCTGTTGTTCTTTTATTTTTCCTTCTCTCAACAAGAACGGCCTGATATCTACCCTCACAATTCCTTTGCTGTTTTTTCTACTTCCTCATCATCACTCACTTACAAGAGAGACTCATTTTCTGTCACACTGTCCTTATGAGGCAAAGTAGTAGTTGTATTAGCCCCATTTGATAGATGAGGAAACGGAGGTTCAAATGGCTTAAGTGACTTGCAAGGGATTACACTATCTTTTCTCCAATTGGGAGATACTCTCTAGTACTATTTGATATAAGCAAAAGTTGGTGTTAAGAGTGCTTGAGTTATGTGGGGACCTCTAAATTTTGACTTAAAATCATGCCACTTTCTGGGGGTTTTAGCTAAAGCACTGCAACTAGAATGGGGTGAGCGGGGTTAGAAAAGCCTCTAAGAGGTCTCGAATCTACTACCTAGCTGGAGGAAGATAAACTTGATACTTAGAGTGTCATTCAAATAGGCAAAGTAAATCACCTCCCACCCTGAGACAAAGCCAGGTTGAGTCTGGTAACTTTAAAAAATCATCCTTTCATTTCTGGGCTGGATCTTCCCACTACCCTAATGAATAAGGATATCAAAGGAAAACACATGGCTAACAATATTTAGAAGTCAGTGCTGTGAGGAATGAGCTATTGTTGGAGAGGGCCCTATCTTTGTGTTAGTATTTAGCTTTACAATATTCTATAAGTAGCAATTGTAGCTCTCTGATTGGATAAAAGGATGGTAGTCAGGGAAATGGAGGACAGGTTGGGCTTAGGGACAAAAGGGCACCTTTCCTTTTTTTCTGGATACCAGACATATCTTTCTGGTCAGATTTCTCCATTTAGGATTATGGTGAAACTCTCTCTGTACTTTTGGTACATGGCCTGCTGTTTGCCACATAGTAGAAACTTTTTAGGTGGGTGAATGGATTTGGGCAACTGTTGTACATTGATTGCTTGTTCTTGGTTTTCATTCAATGTGCCAGCCTATCATGTCCTTATCAGAGACTCCTTAGAGCCAGTATGGTTGAAACCCCAGATGTAATAAGCCACTGCACATAGTGTGGAAACACAGAGGGGTTAGGGGTTTAGGATGATTCCAATAAAACAAAAAAAAATGCTTCCTTCTGTTACCCAGTGCCCTTCAGATTAGAGCTTTGCTTCCTCTTGAGATGCAAATCTTCCTGGATTGTGTAATAGGTAAAATAAGGTGTATCTTCCTGGAGTGTCAATTTTTACTCCAAGATTTGAGGAAAGGGAAGTTATTGACTTCTAGAGTATTTAAACCATTGTTTATATATTGAAGCAAGCACTGATATTAGTAAGCTCAGCTGCCATAACAAAATACCATAGACTGGGTAGTTTAAACAACAGGAATTTATTTCTCACACTTCTGGAGGATGGCAAGTCCAAGGTTAAGGTGCTGGCCAATTTGGTTCTCCAGTAAGGTCTTTCTTCTTAGCTTGCAAACAGCTGACCTCTTGCTGTCTCAAGTGGCAGAGATAGACAAGTAAGCTGTCTGGTGTCTCTTCTAAGGGCACTAATCCTATCATGAGAGCTCTACTTTCATGACCTCATCTAAACCTAACTACCACCCCAAAGCTCCATCTTCAAATGCCATCATATTGGAGGTTAGGGCTTCAACATATGAATTTGGAAGGGGGTACAATTCAGTCCATAGCAGTATCTAATAGAATGGACTATGAAATTCATGTGTCTTTTTTTTTAAGACAGGATCTCACTTCGTTTACCAGGCTGGAGTGCAGTGGCACGATCTCGGGTCTGTGCAACCTCCTCCTCCCAAGCTCAAGCAATCCTCCTACCTCAGCCTCCCAAGTAGCTGAAACCACAGGCGCATGCCACCACGCCCAACTCATTTTTTGTAGAGACAGTGTTTCACCATGTTGCCCAGGAATGTCTTGAACTCCTGACCTCAAGCGATTCACCTGCTTCGGCCTCCCAAAGTGCTAGCCTCCATGGCCGGCTATATGTATACACATACACATATATATACACACACACACATATACACACACATATATACATATATATACATATATGTATACACATATATACACACACATATATACATACATATATATACACACACACACACATATATGTGTGTGTGTATATATATATGTGTACACCTGTGGTTTCAGCTACTTGGGAGGCTGAGGTGGGAGGATTGCTTGAGCTTGGGAGGAGGAGGTTGCACAGACCCGAGATCGTGCCACTGCACTCCAGCCTGGTAAACGAAGTGAGATCCTGTCTTAAAAAAACAGATACATGAATTTCATAGTCCATTCTATTAGATACTGCTATGGACTGAATTGTACCCCCTTCCAAATTCATATGTTGAAGCCCTAACCTCCAATATGATGGCATTTGAAGATGGGGCTTTGGGGTGGCAGTTAGGTTTAGATGAGGTCATGAAAGTAGAGCTCTCATGATAGGATTAGTGCCCTTAGAAGAGACACCAGACAGCTTACTTGTCTATCTCTGCCACTTGAGACAGCAAGAGGTCAGCTGTTTGCAAGCTAAGAAGAGAGACCTTACTGGAGAACCAAATTGGCCAGCACCTTTATACATATATATATATATATATATATATATATATATATATATATATATATTTAATATAATATACGTATATATAATATAGAAATATATATTATATAGAAATATATATAATATAGAAATATATGTTATATAGAAATATATATAATACATAAATATGTTATATATATTCACATATATTATATTTATATATTATATATTATATATATTTATATATAATATTTCTATATTATATATTATATATATTTATATATATTTATATATATTATGTTTATATATTATATATATTTATATATATTAGTATATTTATGTATTATATATTATATATTTATATATTATATAAAATAATATATTTCAATATTATATATTATATATTTATATATTATATAAAATAATATATTTCAATATTATATATAATATATATTAATATTATATATAATTCTATATTATATATTATATATATTAATACATTATATATTATATATAAAATACATTATATATATTTACATATATATAAAATATATGTATGTATTATTTTTATATATATGTATATATAAAACAGGAGACAGCAAAGAAATTCCAGTCTTGCAATTAAATTCCAGTCTTGCAGCTGTCTCTGACCTCCTGGGAGGTATTTTTTCATTCTCTTCTGCAAAGGGGGAACTTGAGATGAAGTTTAAGAAGCACTACTAGGCCTGTGTAAGTAGCTACAATATGAAAGGTGCTCCTTGGAGTTGTGTCTTCCAGAAGCCTTAAGCTCTTTGAAGTTGTTAGGAGTAGTTTATACCTGGATGTGAATGAAAGATCTGAAAGGAAATTTTGGGGATTGTGAGTAGGCATTGTGTGTGATAAGGCTGAGAAGAGAAGAGTACTGAGTGGGAAGAATTGAGAAGCTGGGGCCCTTGATAATTCTCTTTTCCAATTTCACAGTTTGTTGGGGAAAAGATTGCCCTTTCTGGGACCTCTTTCCCCATCTGATTCCCTCTGCATTTTATAGGATGTTGGCTGTACTTCTAAAAGTGCCCTCAGACGGGTTCTAGAGAAACAGATTAATCACTGGATCCTAACAGGTTTCATTTCTAGGGGTAAGGATGAGAGCACTGGACAAGAATTCTGATGCAGTAACCTCGTTTAAATTTTCTACGAAGTGTATGTGGGAGCAGCTGCCCCTGTAAGTCCCTTAGGCCAAGATCACTGAGACTTTTTCCCTCCCTCCTCCCCTGCCTGCTGTATTAGAAAAGTAACACCCAATGAGAGCACATTTCTTCCTTTACACCTTGAAAGCCAAAAGTAAGTGCAGTTTAAGTGGTATTTTCTATTCATTAGTGTATTTAGGATTTCTGGAGCTTTGCTTTGAAACCATTTCTGTAGGTGCTCTGGCCTGCCTCCTAACTCATCCTCCTCTCTTAATTTTTCTACAGTGCTCACATTCACTTCCTTTTAATCCTTTTATCCCCTTTCTTTACTTTCACAAAAACCTTCTCCTCTATTCCCCCTGTTCAGAAAAGTCTCTCACTCACTTCAGAGTAGCTGCTCATATCTTTCCAACCCAAATCACTGTTTCTTGTTAATTTCACTCTAAAAATAATTGATACTCTACATGTGGTATCTTATTCACAACCAATGCTATCATAGTTCACTTGAATGAACTGCTTCCTCTATAAAAATTCATTCATTCTCTTGGCAATAATATTAACAATAATATTGGATAGTTAATTAAAATGCTTCTATTCCCAGCATAGGTAATAACCTATCAACGTATTTCCAGACATCAAAGTGTAGTAGTTGAAAGTACAGGTCATGGCATTGGACAGATTTAGCTTTGAATTATGACTCTACTGGTGACCTTGGAAAAGTCACTTCAACTCCCTGGATCTCTTATATGTAAAATGAGGACAATCATTTCCATGTACCAGAGTTATTATAAGAACTAAATAAGATGGTATCTGTAAAGTGCTAACAGATAAATGACAGCTTGTCATTAATAATCTACAATTCAGATTAGAAGTGATACAGATCCTGCCAAATGAGGAGCAGAGCTTGATTTTCAGCTGTAGAATAAGTTAATGTATTTTGGAGAAAATATCTCAGGACTCCTGGGAGAACCTTGGAAAAATTTCAGTTAAAGACTGTGTTCATTCCCTTAAGAAATGACACAGTAGGTTTAGAAAACAATTTGACCTAGTTTAGGAGGTCTTGCTGTATAACTTAAATAAAGCCCAGTTGCCTCATGGCCCCATGTCTCACAGTGTTACAATTAGAGGAACACAAATCCTACATACAGATTAACTGAAGAGCAGTTGAAATCTTCATTGCAAGCTCTCTCTAAAGTGCCAAAGACAGAGTACATTCATAAGGAACAGAAAGAGTTCTCCAAAATCTCATTTCAATTTCCTGCATTCTCAGTATGTTCCAAACACCACAGCTGCCTCCAGGTCCTGTTTCTCCCCAACTCTGTCTCCCCAAACCTTTCTCACAAATAGAGCCCATGGATCCTCTCATGTCTTTTTTCTTCCCCCATCCCTTTTCCTTATACTAGCTCTTTATTTTGTAGGCCCACTTATCCAGATTCTACATCAAAAAGGAGGATTAGTAACATGTTCTAGATAGCCTGACCACCGTCAGGGAGTGCAGGGAATGTGTGTGTGCATACGTATGTGTGTTGAGGTGAAGATGGGTGTGTAGTGGGAAGTTGATTGCAAACACTTATTAATTAATGGCTTTTCTAGGTTCAGAGCAATTTAACTCAATTGAAATTGTACACTTACTCAAAATATGGTTGTTCAGGCTAGAAAGGACATTTTTTTTTCTCTTTTGGGTAGGAGTTTAGCAATTCACAGATGTAATACTGACCATATGGGACTATTCTGACTGGTGGCTATTTATGTTTTTTAGAAAAAAAATTGTTATCTTATGTATTTTAGTAAAAACAAAACAAAACAAAACCTCAAACCCCAGGGTCCACAGTTGTGGTAGTTAGGGGAGATAAGATGAGCTCTGAGTGGTGAAAGAAGTTTGAAAACCTCTGATGTGGTACTTCATGCCCCACGCATGATTTTATTTAGTCTTCACAACACCCTGCACAGTGGGTGCTGTTATCTCCATTCTGCAGGTGAGGAAACTGAGAGTTACAGAAGTTAAGTATTTTGACTAATATCACTCAGATGAAGTTGGGGCTTTGTCCAAGAGCTGCATAACTTTAAAATGACAGGTGGAATAAAATAAAGATTTTCAGATTGCTTCAGAACCTCTCTCTCTCTCTCTCTCTCTCTCTCACTCACTCTCTCTCTGTCTCTCTCTTTCAAATCCATATCTTATCTGAGAGGGTTAGATTGAAAAAGGTATGATTATCTGAAGGCCAAATTCAGTTATAGCGCTTGAGATGATGTTGCTCTGACAAGGACAGAGGAAGGAGAGGAGTGATTATTAAGGTATATAAGAACCAGCAAATGTCACTCAAATGACAAAGTCATAAAGATGGATGTCAAAAGGAAATTTAAGAAAAAAAGGCAAAGAGGCTGAGGAGTTGAGTATTCTCAGCATGGAATTTAGAGGGGAAAGGGAGATCAAAAGGAAGTGGGGAAATTTTGATGCCTCTCATATACTAAACACTATAATATATATAAAGCTTATACGATGCTAATAGCTTATCACCAGACTGCCTGACTTTCACAAGGATCCTGTGAGAAAGTTATGCTCATCATCATTGTATAGTTTTGCATTCAATTCTCCAGATATACAAATATCAGTTAAACGCCAAGTACTGGCTAGTGTGAAGAAACTGAGATTCAGAGAGATTAAGTAACTTGCCACTCCAAGGCAGAACCAAATCTTCAACCCATGTCTGACCAATTCTAAAACCCACCGTTCAGCACATCCCACCGGGGTTTTAAAAATTTAGGAAATAAGATAAAACTGATCAAGCAATTTCCAGTGCTAGTTTTCTGGGAGTTAAGTACAACTTCCTAACACCATATGTAATCCTAGTAATGGGAACTTTTTGGTCCTGGGAGTTCCCCATCTTGGTTTGCTGTTTGGTTGGAGGTGAGGATAAATACTGCAAAACAACAGAGGTGCTGCACCTATATAATGGGCAAAAGGGCCAAAAGGAGTAAATGAGGTAGTAGTGATGAGGAAGGGGATCCTGGTGAAAGCTACATGAAGGACTTTTGAAATGTTTGTGTTTCTGAGAAAATGATAAGCCATGGTTTCTTGGAAATTTTATCAGCTTTTGCAACTAGACAGGTTGTAAATATGAAAATGCTTAAATGATATAATTAGCTTGCAATTTAACATTGATGTCACATCTCTCTCATTGGAGCCTTTCAGATTGTTCTTTTGTTTTCCTCATCAACGTGCTCTTTAGAAACATAAAGCATTAATCACAAGGAACCTATTTTACCAGCCCCACTTTTCTCATACTCTCCCACAAATTTTAGGCCTTCTCCAGTTCTTCCTCTTTTCCATGCACACTATCTCTGACCAAGTCCCTTTTGGTGATTTGATGGAGAGGTGTCCCTGTTTTCTTCTGCCTTTCTTATGTACCTTCAGAGTAATTCCATGCCCCAAGATTCTGGATTTGCAGGCTTTAAAATATTCCTTCATATTGTGAAGCCGTGAAGTTGGAAAACAATCATAGCCCATCATTGGCCATGATGAATATTTTCCTGTTGCCTCGAAATTAAGTATATAATGGCGGTCCTTACAACAAACTCTCCTGGGAGAAGCCATCAGGAGAAGCAGAAAAAAACCTTATATTGCTGAAGAGAGAAAGCTCCAGAAGTCAGGCCCCACGTGTTGGTGATTAGGAGAGCAGCTCTCCCTCCAGGAGCCACGTGACAAAGAGTTGAAATAAAGAATCATAGAAAGTAGATCTAGCAGGCTCCTTTGGCCTAGATATCCCCTCAGGGAGTGTTGAAGAGATGAGGTGGAGTGGATTGATTCATAAGCAAAGCCCATGGTTACACTGAGTGGTTCAGGGCCTCTCAAAATCTTCCAGCAAAATAGCTCCAGGGGAAGAACTCATGACCTCCCCCACGCTACTCCCACCTCTACTCTCGACAATACTGGAGATGTGGTCCAGTGCAGCCAAAAGTAAAACGTTTATTTGAAATCTGCCGTTTTCTTTTAAAAATTCATGTGAATCTGGCATTCTACCTCTTGTTTATTTCATTTTGATTTTATTCTCCTTTAGCCTCCACTCCCTTTCCCATTTTCCCCCCAACATATACAACCATCTTCATGTGTTTTGGAGTATCTTTTGATTTGAATGTGTTATTCAAAATATATTGTTTTATGTGCATGCATTTTAATGTGTGGAAATGGCATTTATTACATGTCTCCTTTCAGTTTTTATCTCTTTCCTCTCAACACTGATAGAAGAACCATCCATGCTCTTTGTATACATCTAACCTGATGCTACACTGAGGCATTACACTCCAGCATGTACATCTGCCATGTTTCACTTGTTCACTCTCCCAGGGACAAGCACCCAGATGGCTGCCAACTTCCTGCCTCCCTAGACAAAGATGCAGAGAGTATCTTTGTACATGTCTACATATGGATTCATGTGCAACTTACTTTGGAGTATATACTAGGAGAAGAATTGCTGGGCCATAGAATGTGTGTTTTCTTCATGAGACGGAGTTATGCCAGACTGCTCTTTGGAATGGCTGTACCAACTTTAATGCCCACCTGCAGTGGAGAAGGGTTTGTTTCTCTTTTCCTTCATCCCTTCCAACCCTCCGCATTATCCAAATTTTTTACTTTTGCCAGCCTGAAATGTGTAAAGTGACAGCCCAGTGACTATTTTAATTTGCATATCTCTGATTATGAATGATTCCTGTTTATATTAAATGACCAATCTATAGTAAAGTTGATGCACCAAGAATCAAGAAGATTCAATAATCCTGTTGTTTTGGGTTCCCTTCATAAAACCTTAATGTGTTCCCTGGCTTAGGCATGTATTATTTTGAGAAGTGCAGCTGCTAGCTGTGTGATATTGGGAAAGTTGCTTTCCTTCTCTAGATCTCCACTTCCTCATCTATAAAGGAGGACTGGATTAGATAATCTCTAAGAGCCCTTCAGGGTTTAACATTTTGCAATTCAAATTATTTAATGGGGACAATGTTTCCTATTTGAGTGGTGGTTACACTACAAGCCCAGACTTTACCGCTATGCAATATATCCATGTAAAACCCTATGCTTCTACCTTTTAAACTCATACAAATAAAAAAAAGATGTCATCTTGAACTATTAAACGTTGCACTACCTCTTCTGTACTAACCGCTCCCCAACAAAAAATTAAAATCCATTGAGTTCATTTTTCTACATTTTACCAACTTATTCTCTACTAATAGTCCACATCCTTCCCTCCCACTTCTCCCAACCAGAGAAGCAAACTGCCTTTTTACACTCTGTCCCTGACATGTGAAAAGAATGACACTAATTTGTTCCTGCTGTTCTTTAGTTTCCCACACAGCATTTGCCCAAATTACAGACCTATCAACTCCACTGCCCAATCAGAACAAGGGGAAGATTAAAAGACAAGCTTGAGCTCAGCCACATGTCGCTGTAAATACAAAATGCAAAGGGGGCTAATAATATAACATTATGATCTGAAAACCACATAGTACTCATTATTCTTTGCACCAAATAAAGGTCATTTATGTCTCTTTTTTGCGGACGGTGGGAGGGAGCAAATAATGTCTAAACCTTCTCTGATTCAGTCTTTACGGAAAGAAAATAAACAAACAAACAAAAAATAAACAAGGGAGTTCAAGACCAGTCTGACCAATATGGTGAAACCCCGTCTCTACTAAAAATACAAAAATTAACCGGGCATGGTGGCGTGCACCTGTAGTCCCAGGTACTCGGAAGACTGAGGCAGGAGAATCACTTGAACCTGGGAGGCGGAAGCTGCAGTGAGCCGAGATGGCGCCACAGTCTCTTAAAAATCCCAGAGACGTAATTACCAAAGGCTTCATTAATACTACTCTTTTCCGTTTCCAAATAGGACTGGCATGTATTCTTTACTGGGCAGTCAGGGCTTAAACAAGGGAAACTATTGCTTTCTTGATGTTGAACGACTAGTGCAGAATAAAAGCCATGTTTCCCCCAGCTAACTTGGCCATGGACTCTGCCTTTCCTTGAGTATTTTGAGTGTTTGTAGACCATGCTGCTCCCTGGAACTCTGCCTCCTGGGACTGCTGTGTGAATCAAATTTGATGGTGCCAGGTAAATCAGTGTACCTACTTTTAAAGCACCAGGTGTATGCAAGGAATGGGGAGGAGCTGCTATTTATTACATATGTGTCAGACATGGTGCTCAACTGTTCAAATGCACCACGTATTATATTTGAAATGGTGTGAGAAAGGCACTTTTACATCCATCTTATAAATGAGAAGGCTGAGTCACAGAGGTTAAATAACATGCTAATGGTCACACATCTAGTAAGTGGTAGAGTTGGGACTCAAAGGTCTGTCTGATTCCAAAGCTTATGCCCTTGCCAATGCTCATTCTGCTTTTTCTCAGAGCTTCAATAGCATCCAACAACTTTATTTGTGGATGTTGCTTCAACAATGACATAGGAAGTTCCTAAAGGGAAATAGCTCTTGTATCTGAATATGCTGACCACTGATGCTCATTGCAACAACACACAGCACTTATTTTCAAAATATTTATTGATCATCGTGTGTGTGTCAAGCAAAACATCACCAACCAAATTCTACAAACCACTCTAATTTATAAATACCTTTTGGACTTCTGTTCCACTTTTCCCCCAACCCCCAGGTTGCTTTAGGCCATGTATGCCAGAACCTATCACAGTCTTTCTCAATCTTGTATCTCAGAAACATGGAACTTGCTCTTTTGCCTATCTGGAACATTTTTCCTCTCAGGCTAAATGTCACCTCATTAGAGAGACCTTCCTTAAACATCTTACCCAATATGGAAGTTCCTTTTACTCCCTATGCTCTACTATTCTTAATTTTTCTCCATTGTACTTACCATCATCAGATTTGTACATTGTCTATTTTGTTCATGTATTCCCCGCTATCTAGAACAATCCCTGGCACACATGAGGTACTCAATATTTGTGAATGAATAAGGAAATTATTTTCACCATTGAAGGAGCTTATATGTGCCTATTTTAATTATACCATCATCATTTTGATAAGTAAAACAAAACATGTATGATTAGGTTATTGTATAATGTTATTAGCAGTCATCTAAAATAGCTTTCTTAAGAGTTATTTTTCTTACTGAACTACCTATACTGAAGCTTCTTCTTATTCTTTACATGGCTTCCCATTTAGTAGCTTCTTTAAGTAAGACACTTCAATTACATGGTGGAAACATTATAGATGATGGAATCTCAACACCCCCCACCCCAATTCAGACATCATTACCTTAATTGCTCTTTATAAAAAGCTTGACTTTTTATATCTACAAAAGAGACTTTTCCTTCAGAAACTTTCAAGCCCTGGGTTATTGATTACTGACAGCCAGATTTCATAACAGCCTATAAATAGAGAACAGAATGAATTAATCAACTTAAGAGAAAAAGATGAGGGGAGAGGGAGAGGAAGAGAACATTCTAAAGTCTTTTTAGTTCTTCCAAGGTCAGCACTATAGACAAAAACTGAGATTTCCTACATGGGAGCTCAGTAAAGAAATACTACAGGCTTGGGTTGAACTAAACATGTGCAGGACCTTTGTGTGAAGCTTTCTAATGGGTGCAAGTTTCCAAAAAACTGACGTTGTAATCAGATTCAACTTTTGTAGACTAACAGTTTATTATAAAGATACTTGACCTCTGGATGTCTCTTTTAGGCCCATGAATGGTGAGGAATAGTGAAGGTCCCAGATATTGTAAAGTCTAGTTAGTTCTTTGTGCTCTTCATGCATTGTACAGTACCCACTGCTTAGTCAGAAAATGGGTTCCCCTCCATTGCTTCCTTTTGCTTTTCTTCTTTAATGGAAAGGCCATTCAAAATTTTAAGAGCATAGACAAGGTTAATGGACATACTGAAGTATCTGTACACTGCGCCCTTTCCTTCCTGTGTAGGGCACTCTCCATAGTAATAGAAAGAGTAACAGCAAAACTTTATTCATTTTTATATCTTTATTTTTATTGAGACATAATTTATGTAAAATAAAGTGCATGTATTTTAAATATATAGTTCTATGTGTTTATATGAATTTATACACCCAGATAACTGCCACCGTAATTAAGACATGAGACATTTCCACCGCCCCTATAAATTTGCTTATGCCTCTTTCCATCAATTCCTTCCACCACATAGACAGCCATTAATCTGATTTTGCCACTGTAGATTAGTTTTTCCTGCTCTAAGGATTTGTATAAATGGAATTATATAGTCTGTAGTCTTTCATTTTTTTTTCTTTCACTCAATGTTTTTGAAATCTATCCGTGTTGTTGAGTATATCTCTAGTTTGCTCCTTTTTATTGCTGAAAAGTATTCTCTTGTATAGGAGTCATTACAAATCATTACAACATGTGGTGTTTTGTGTCTAGCTTCTCTTACTGATTCGTTCTTTGCAGAAATGGAGAGCCAAAAGAATTAGAAATTGAAACTTGGGGAAAGAACTTGGGATTCCAAAATGGGATAGAGGCAGTGTAGGTTAGGATCTTGGCAGCAGCCAAAGTGGACTATTTTGAGATCAACAGAGTGATCTGTGGGAACCTTCAAACTGAGACATATGCTGAGTTGCAGTGACAGTATCAAAAGATCTCTATATATGAGGGATATAGAATAGTCATCATTAGGAGATCCGGGTCGTATTACCATGTTTCCCTTGGAAGGACTGGTCTTGATGCCTCCCCCTGGTAATTGCTGTTGTTAAGCCTCTTGTGTTTCCTGAATGTGCTCACAGATTGCATTCTTGAGTTTTACTCCGTAATTCTTGAACCAAACCTGCAGTGCCGTTGGATGTATGACCATTTTTGAAGCTGTTTATTTCTGAAGGCTTGGGTTTTGGTATGGGTTCTTATTAAACAAGATATTCAACACTTCCACTTGTTTCTCGGTGAACATAATACTTTCATTGCTTCTGGTGCTAGCCTTTAGGAAGGATCTCTGAGCCTGACATTTAGTTTAGATGTGTTCCTATGTTCAAGTCCAGTGGCAAGAAGCTAGCAGAATGTTGAAAAAGAACATCAAGTAATTTGTTTTCTGTGTGGAGAGATAATAGACCAGATGTTATTAATGATGGAAGTAAAGAAAAAGAAACAGTGAGGTGATTAAAGGGGTAGAAGCTACTCAAATTTGTTAGTTGAGCCATGTGTCTGGAATTTCAGTTCAAGGATAAGAGCTTCTTCACTCTAACTACAGTTAATAAGTCTATGACCTTATTAGCTACAAGCTTCACTTTGTGGCTTCAAAGTCATATTAACACAAATGACTTAAATTCCAGTTTTCTTACCCACCCCCCACATAGGATCAATGGAAAATTAAATCTCACATGTACTGGTTTATCTGTCTTTAAACATTTCCATATATTTATGTAAAAAGTGTTTAGCTTTGCTCCTAAAAGAGGGAGGGGAGTAGGGGCATATGTGTAGCTCAGGGAAGATAATGGTTATTATAGACTCATTAAACACTGGAGGAAGACTGAAGGTAGCTATCAAAACAACATTCACCTCATCTTGGGTTTGTAAGGCCTGCTTTCAGGGAACTATTTGTTTCCTTCTATGTTGAGCAACAATTTGCTGTATGGTATTTTCTGGGGTTATGGATTCACAGATTGAGTGGAGAAGCTTCCCTAGGTATAATGAAAAAAATTAAAATGGCTATTATACTTTGCTACTAACCTGACTATTCTGAGGTTCCTCCCACCAATATAGCATTGTATTAAAATAGAAAATAAAATTTGGGCGGGGCTAGGTGGCTCATACCTGTAATCCCAGCACTTGGGGAGGCCAAGGTGGGCGGATCACGAGGTCAAGCGATCGAGACCATCCTGGCCAACATAGTTAAACCCTGTCTCTACTAAAAATACAAAAATTCGCTGGGTGTGGTGGCGCGTGCCTGTAGTCCCAGCTACTCGGGAGGCTGAGGCAGGAGAATCGCTTGAACCCAGGAAGTGGAGGTTGTAGTGAGCCGAGATCATGCCCCTGCACTCCAGCCTGGTGACAGAGCGAGACTCCGTCTCAAAAAAAAAAAAAAAAGAAAGAAAAAGAAAAGAAAGAAAGAAGAAAGACAGACAGACAGACAGAAAGAAAGAAAGAAAATAAAACTAAATGTTTGAATGCCTACAAAGACAGACGTATTGTAGTAACTGGTTTTATATATCTATTTAATTTAATCTTCTCATAACCCTATGAAGCGAGGATGATGAAACTCATGGATGGAGAGATTGGTAAATTGCCAGAAGTCAAACAACTACGTAATAGTAGAATTGGGAGTGAACATGATCTTTGAATCTAAATTCCACATCTCATCTTTCCTGTACAACTCCCCTGTTAAACAATATGTTTCAATGGATTGAACAAGTCACTATATATTACATACATGTATGAAAATTTCTCATGTACCCCATACATTTGTACAATAAATAAATAAAATCTTCTTTTAGAAACTCCACAGTGAGAAAGTGCAACATTAATTTATCAGCGACTATTCAATCCAACTATATATTTTTTCCAGAGTAGACTATAATGCTTTTTTCAACCCTTAATTTTTATGATCATAATTGGGTTTCTGAAGGACTACTGAGTAGTTAAAATCAAAGTTTTAGTAAAGCAACAAAAAGTGTAGCTTTTCTCCCCTAATAACTTTGTGGCATTTTCAGTGACTAAAAGAGTCTTGCATTTGCATTTGCTAGGTGAGTCGTACAGGAAGTTTGTTATTACCTCTCTTATCCCACTTAACCAAGGTCATTCTTCTTCCACCAATTTTAATACTATATATCAAAGTAAGATAAGGACATCATCTTTTCATTAATGATTTGCCTAAGGTAAGGCGCTTTTCATTTTTTTTTTTTGTAGAGGATATCTTAGAGTTATTATGGATGTTTCTTCATTTCCGACTACTAGAATGCTATAGTTTTATATAATAATAATGATATTTCTTGTTGGTGTAATCTCTTAAATTCACAGAACAAAGCACATTCACGTACACTGTCTCATTTCAGCCTTAATGTAATTTTGTATATTCATTTTAAATGTCATGTGTAGAGATATATATACATGAATATCTAATTTTATGTAAGTGTGATCATTACCTGCAGGTTTATTTTTTCCCTTTTCTTTTTTCCTTGGCTCTCATTTCTCTTCCTCTTTCTGTTTCATTAGGTAACCCATGATAAACCATGTTGCCCTTAGGATATATTCTTTGACACTGTTTCATGCTCATACATGTACACACATATATAGGATTTCATCATTATTTTTTAACGGGGTTGTACTATGCATACTTTTTTTGTATCTTGCATTTCTAAATTAAGAATACTTCTGAGAAATATCTTCGGCCATCTAGGATAACAGCAGTATATTAGTTTTAATTGCTGTCTAATATTCTATGAATTAGATGTACTATAATTTATTCAGCCTTCACCCAATAGAGGAAATTATCTAATTTATTCCAGGTTTGTGTTTCTGTTTGACACTGTAAAGAATACTGCAATAAACATGCTTGTACACATGCTTTTACTACAATGGAATAAACTACAATGAATGGGATTGCTGAGTTGAGTAAATTAATATTTTATTTCAATAGATGTTTCCAGATTGCTTTCCAAAAACGCTGTAAAACTTCACATTTCCACCAGCAATGTATGGGTGTTATTTGATTTTCAACTTTGTCAGTTTGATGGGTTTATTGTGTTACCTCATTTTAACTTTAATTTGCATTTTCCTGACTGCTAGTGAATCTTTTTGTCTGTTAGCTTTTTTGGATTTACTCTTCAATGAGTTGATTATTCATTACTTTTGACCATTTTTTCTATTGAATTGTTTGTCAATTTTCTTTCGCTTTGAAAGAACTCTTTGTTTATGTGTAATAACCTTGTGTCTTTTATCAGCATTACACATTTTTGTTTATGATATTTTAGCTTATATTTTAGCATATAGAAGTTTTGAATTTTATTTTATTTTATTTTATTTATTTTATATTTTATTTTTTCTTTTGAGACAGAGTCTCACTCTGTTTCCCAGGCTGGAGTGCAGTGGTAGGATCATGGCTCACTGCAACCTCGACCTCCCTGACTCAAGTGATCCTCCTACCTCTCAGCCTCCAGAGTAGCTGGGACTACAGGCACATGCTCCATCCCCAGCTAATTTTTGTATTTTTTGTAGAAATGGTTTGCCATGTTTCCCTGCCTGGTTTTGAACTCTTGGGCTCAAGCGATCTATCTGTCTCAGCATCCCAAAGTGCTGAGATATCAGGCATGAGCCACCATGGCCAGGCTTGAATGTTAAATGATCAAATATATCTATCTTTTGTTCTAAAGAGTATAGCTTTCCTAGATTTTTCATATACTGTCTAGTTTATAACCTGTAGTGTCCTGAGTTTTTCCAATGATATGATTGTACTATTAATATTTTATAAAGCTATAATTAACATACCAGAAAATTCACTCGTTTAAACTGTATATTCAATGCAGAAATTTTTAGTGTGTTCACAAGGGTGTGCAACCATCACTACTACTTAAGTCCAGAATAGCTTTATCACTCCACAAAGAAATCTTGTGTACATTTTAAGTGACTCCATATCTTCCTTCACTCCAAGTGATGGTAATCTTTAATGTATTTTCTATGGATTTGGCTATTCTGGACATGTCATATAAATAGAATCATACAATATGTGGCCTTTCGTATCTGGCTTCTTTCACTCAGTGTGTTTTCAAGGTCCATCCATGTTGTAGCATAAATCAGTACCTTATTTCTTTTTGTGGCTGAATAATATTTCATTGCATGGATTTTGTTGATTATTTCCTTGGCAGTGCAGAAGCTTTTTGGTTTGAAGTAATTCCATTTCTCTATTTTTGCTTTTGTTTCCTAAGCTTTGGGGGTCAACTCCAAAAACTCATTGCTGAAACCAATGCTATATAGTTTTTTTTGCTACGTTTCTTCCAGAACTTTTTCTGTTTCAGATCTTATGTTTCGGTCTTTAATCCATTGTTTTGGGTTTAATTACTTCTTTTCCTGGTTTTCTAAGATTAGATTATTGATGTGCAATTTTTTTTAACTTTTAAAATATAAGCCTTAATAGCTACAAATTTCCTTTGTAGCACTCTTTTAGATCCCTCTATGTTTTGAATGTTGTGTTTTAATTTTCATTTGTCTCAAATTAGCTTCTAATTTTCCTTATTTCTCCTCTCGTGATCAGAAAATATACTTCATACAATTTTAATTATTTTAATTTATTGAGCTTTTTTGTAACCTAATATTTGGTCTATCTTATAGAATGTTCCATGTGCACTTAAGAAGGATGTGAATTCTGCTGTTTTTAAGTACTGTTTCATAGATGTCTATTAATTCGAGTTAGTTTATAGTGTTGCCTAAATATTCTATTTTTGTTGTTGTTGATCTTCTGTCTAGTGGTTCTATCCATGATTGAAAATAGGGTATTAAGGATACAAAATCAATATGCAAAAATCACAAGCATTCTTATACACCAATAGCAGACAAACAGAGAGCCAAATCATGAGTGAACTCCCATTCACAATTGCTTCAAAGAGAATAAAATACCTAGGAATCCAACTTACAAGGGATGTGAAGGACCTCTTCAAGGAGAACTACAAACCGCTGCTCGATGAAATAAAAGAGGACACAAACAAATGGAAGAACATTCCATGCTCATGGATAGGAAGAATCAATATCGTGAAAATGGCCATACTGCCCAAGGTAATTTATAGATTCAATGCCATTCCCATCAAGCTACCAATGACATTCTTCATAGAATTGGAAAAAAACTACTTTAAAGTTCATATGGAATCAAAAAAGAGCCCACATTGCCAAGTCAATCCTAAGCCAAAAGAACAAAGCTGGAGGCATCACACTACCTGACTTCAAACTATACTACAAGGCTACAGTAACCAAAACAGCATGATACTGGTACCAAAACATTGATATAGACCAATGGAACAGAACGGAGCCCTCAGAAATAATACCACACATCTACAACTATCTGATCTTTGACAAACCTGACAAAAACAAGAAATGGGGAAAGGATTCCCTATTTAAGAAATGGTGCTGGGAAAACTGGCTAGCCATATATAGGAAGCTGAAACTGGATCCCTTCCTTATGCCTTATACAAAAATTAATTCAAGATGGATTAAAGACTTAAATGTTAGACCTAAAACCATAAAAACCCTAGAAGAAAACCTAGGCAATACCATTCAGGGCATATGCATGGGCAAGGACTTCATGTCTAAAACACCAAAAGCAATGGCAACAAAAGCCAAAATTCACAAATGGGATCTAATTAAACTAAAGAGCTTCTGTACAGCAAAAGAAACTACCATCAGAGTGAACACGCAACCTACAGAATGGGAGAAAATGTTTGCAACCTACTCATCTGACAAAGGGCTAATATCCAGAATCTACAAAGAACTCAACACATTTACAAGAAAAAAACAACCCCATCAACAAGTGGGCAAAGGACATGAACAGACACTTCTCAAAAGCAGACATTTATGCAGCCAACAGACACATGAAAAAATGCTCATCATCACTGGCCGTCAGAGAAATGCAAATCAAAACCACAATGAGATACCATCTCACACCAGTTAGAATGGCGATCATTAAAAAGTCAGGAAACAGGAGCCAAGATGGCCGAATAGGAACAGTTCCAGTCTACAGCTCCCAGCATGAGCGACACAGAAGATGGGTGATTTCTGCTTTCCATCTGAGGTGCCGGGTTCATCTCACTAGGGAGTGCCAGACAGTGGGCGCAGGTCAGTGGATGTGCGCACCGTGCATGAGCTGAAGCAGGGCAAGGCATTGCCTCACTCGGGAAGCACAAGGGGTCAGGGAGTTCCCTTTGCTAGTCAAAGAAAGCAGTGACAGACGGCAACTGGAAAATCGGGTCACTTCCACCCGAATACTGCGCTTTTCTGACGGGCTTAAAAAAACGGCGCACCAGGAGATTATATCCCGCACGTGGCTCGGAGGGTCCTACGCCCACGGAGTCTTTGCTGATTGCTAGCACAGCAGTCTCAGATCAAACTGCAAGGTGGCAGCGAGGCTGGGGGAGGGGCGCCCACCATTGCCCAGGCTTGCCTAGGTAAACAAAGCAGCCGGGAAGCTCGAACTGGGTGGAGCCCACCACAGCTCAAGGAGGCCTGCCTGCCTCTGTAGGCTCCACCTCTGGGGGCAGGGCACAGACAAACAAAAAGACAGCAGTAACCTCTGCAGACTTAAATGTCCCTGTCTGACAGCTTTGAAGAGAGAAGTGGTTCTCCCAGCATGCAGCTGGAGATCTGAGAACGGGCAGACTGCCTCCTCAAGTGGGTCCCTGACCCCTGACCCCCGAGCAGCCTAACTGGGAGGCACCCCCCAGCAGGGGCACACTGACACCTCACACGGCCAGGTACTCCAACAGACCTGCAACTGAGGGTCCTGTCTGTTAGAAGGAAAACTGAAAAACAGAAAGGACATCCACACCAAAAACCCATGTGCACATCACCATCATCAAAGACCAAAAGTAGATAAAACCACAAAGATGGGGAAAAAACAGAGCAGAAAAACTGGAAACTCTAAAAAGCAGAGTGCCTCTCCTCCTCCAAAGGAACGCAGTTCCTCACCAGCAACGGAACAAAGCTGGACGGAGAATGACTTTGACGAGCTCAGTGAGGAAGGCTTCAGATGATCAAATCACTCCGAGCTATGGGAGGACATTCAAACCAAAGGCAAAGAAGTTGAAAACTTTGAAAAAAATTTGGAAGAATGTATAACTAGAATAACCAATACAGAGAAGTGCTTAAAGGAGCTGATGGAGCTGAAAACCAAGGCTCAAGAACTACGTGAAGAATGCAGAAGCTTCAGGACCTGATGCGATCAACTGGAAGAAAGGGTATCAGCGATGGAAGATGAAATGAATGAAATGAAGCGAGAAGGGAAGTTTAGAGAAAAAAGAATAAAAAGAAATGAACAAAGCCTCCAAGAAATATGGGACTATGTGAAAAGACCAAATCTATGTCTGATTGGTGTACCTGAAAGTGACGGGGAGAATGGAACCAAGTTGGAAAACACTCTGCAGGATATTATCCAGGAGAACTTCCCCAATCTAGCAAGGCAGGCCAACATTCAGATTCAGGAAATACAGAGAACGCCACAAAGATACTCCTCGAGAAGAGGAACTCCAAGACACATAATTGTCAGATTCACCAAAGTTGAAATGAAGGAAAAAATGTTAAGGGCAGCCAGAGAGAAAGGTCGGGTTAACCTCAAAGGGAAGCCCATCAGACTAACAGCAAATCTCTTGGCAGAAACTCTACAAGCCAGAAGAGAGTTGGGGCCAATATTCAACATTCTTAAAGAAAAGAATTTTCAACCCAGAATTTCATATCCAGCCAAACTAAGCTTCATAATTGAAGGAGAAATAAAATACTTTACAGACAAGCAAATGCTGAGAGATTTTGTCACCACCAGGCCTGCCCTAAAAGAGCTCCTGAAGGAAGTGCTAAACATGGAAAGGAACAACCGGTACCAGCTGCTGCAAAATCATGCCAAAATGTAAAGACCATCGAGACTAGGAAGAAACTGCATCAACTAACGAGCAAAATACCCAGCTAACATCATAATGACAGGATCAAATTCACACATAACAATATTAATTTTAAATGTAAATGGACTAAATGCTCCAATTAAAAGACACAGACTGGCAAATTGGATAAAGAGTCAAGACCCATCAGTGTGCTGTATTCAGGAAACCCATCTCATGTGCAGAGACACACATAGGCTCAAAATAAAAGCATGGAGGAAGATCTGCCAAGCAAATGGAAAACAAAAAAAAGGCAGGGGTTGCAATCCTAGTCTCTGATAAAACAGACTTTAAACCAACAAAGATCAAAAGAGACAAAGAAGGCCATTACATAATGGTAAAGGGAACAATTCAACAAGAAGAGCTAACTATCCTAAATATATATGCACCCAATACAGGAGCACCCAGATTCATAAAGCAAGTCCTGAGTGACCTACAAAGAGGCTTAGACTCCCACACATTAATAATGGGAGACTTTAACACCCCACTGTCAACATTAGACAGATCAACAAGAGAGAAAGTCAACAAGGATACCCAGGAATTGAACTCAGCTCTGCACCAAGAGGACCTAATAGACATCTAGAGAAATCTCCACCCCAAATCAACAGAATATACATTTTTTTCAGCACCACATCACACCTATACCAAAATTGACCACATACTTGGAAGTAAAGTTCCCCTCAGCAAATGTGAAAGAACAGAAATTATAACAAACTATCTCTCAGACCACAGTGCAATCAAACTAGAACTCAGGATTAAGAAACTCACTCAAAACTGCTCAACTACATGGAAACTGAACAACCTGCTCATGAATGACTACTGGGTACATAACGAAATGAAGGCAAAAATAAAGATGTTCTTTGAAACCAATGAGAACAAAGACACAACATACCAGAATCTCTGGGATGCATTCAAAGCAGTGTGTAGAGGAAAATTTATAGCACTAAATGCCCACAAGAGAAAGCAGGAAAGATCCAAAATTGACACCCTAACATCACAATTAAAAGAACTAGAAAAGCAAGAGCAAACACATTCAAAAGCTAGCAGAAGGCAAGAAATAACTAAAATCAGAGCAGAACTGAAGGAGATAGAGACACAAAAAAACCTTCAAAAAACTAATGAATCCAGGAGCTGGTTTTTTGAAAGGATCAACAAAATTGATAGACCGCTAGCAAGACTAATAAAGAAAAAAAGAGAGAAGAATCAAATAGATGCAATAAAAAATGATAAAGGGGATATCACCACCGATCCCACAGAAATACAAACTACCATGACAGAATACTACAAATACCTCTACGCAAATAAACTAGAAAATCTAGAAGAAATGGATAAATTCCTCGACACATACACTCTCCCAAGACTAAACCAGGAAGAAGTTGAATCTCTGAATAGACCAATAACAGGCTCTGAAATTGTGGCAATAATCAATAGCTTACCAACCAAAATGAGTCCAGGACCAGATGGATTCACAGCCGAATTCTACCAGAGGTACAAGGAGGAACTGGTACCATTCCTTCTGAAACTATTCCAATCAATAGAAAAAGAGGGAATCCTCCCTAACTCATTTTATGAGGCCAGCATCATCCTGATACCAAAGCCTGGCAGAGACACAACCAAAAAAGAGAATTTCAGACCAATATCCTTGATGAACATTGATGCAAAAATCCTCAATAAAATACTGGCAAACCGAATCCAGCAGCACATCAAAAAGCTTATCCACCAAGATCAAGGTGGCTTCATCCCTGGGATGCAAGGCTGGTTCAACATACACAAATCAATAAATGTAATCCAGCATATAAACAGAACCAAAGACAAAAACCACATGATTATCTCAATAGATGCAGAAAAGGCCTTTGACAAAATTCAACAACCCTTCATGCTAAAAACTCTCAATAAATTAGGTATTGATGGGACATATCTCAAAATAATAAGAGCTATCTATGACAAACCCACAGCCAATATCATACTGAATGGGCAAAAACTGGAAGCATTCCCTTTGAAAACTGGCACAAGACAGGGATGCCCTCTCTCACCACTCCTATTCAACATAGTGTTGGAAGTTCTGGCCAGGGCAATTAGGCAGGAGAAGGAAATAAAGGGTATTCAATTAGGAAAAGAGGAAGTCAAATTGTCCCTGTTTGCAGATAACATCATTGTATATCTAGAAAACCCCATTGTCTCAGCCCAAAATCTCCTTAGGCTGATAAGCAACTTCAGCAAAGTCTCAGGATACAAAATCAATGTACAAAAATCACAAGCATTCTTATACACCAACAACAGACAGAGAGCCAAATCATGAGTGAACTCCCATTCACAATTGCTTCAAAGAGAATAAAACACCTAGGAATCCAATTTACAAGGGATGTGAAGGACCTCTTCAGGGAGAACTACAAATCACTGCTCAAGGAAATAAAAGAGGATACAAACAAATGGAAGAACATTCCATGCTCATGGGTAGGAAGAATCAATATCATGAAAATGGCCATACTGCCCAAGGTAATTTACAGATTCAATGCCATCCCCATAAAGCTACCAAAGACTTTCTTCACAGAATTGGAAAAAACTACTTTAAAGTTCATATGGAACCAAAAAAGAGCCCGCATCGCCAAGTCAATCTTAAGCCAAAAGAACAAAGTTGGAGGCATCACACTACCTGACTTCAAACTATACTACAAGGCTACAGTAACCAAAACAGCATGGTACTGGTACCAAAACAGAGATATAGATCAATGGAACAGAACAGAGCCCTCAAAAATAACACCGCATATCTACAACTATCTGATCTTTGACAAACCTGAGAAAAACAAGAAATGGGGAAAGGATTCCCTATTTAATAAATGGTGCTGGGAAAACTGGCTAGCCATATGTAGAAAGCTGAAACTGGATCCCTTCCTTATACCTTATACAAAAATTAATTCAAGATGGATTAAAGACTTAAATGTTAGACCTAAAACCATAAAAACCCTAGAAGAAAACCTAGGCATTACCATTCAGGACATAGGCATGGGCAAGGACTTCATGTCTAAAACACCAAAAGCAATGGCAACAAAAGCCAAAATTGACAAATGGGATCTAATTAAACTAAAGAGCTTCTGCACAGCAAAAGAAACTACCATCAGAGTGAACAGGCAACCTACAAAATGGGAGAAAATTTTCGCAACCTACTCAACTGACAAAGGGCTAATATCCAGAATCTACAATGAACTCCAACAAATTTACAAGAAAAAAACAAACAACCCCATCAAAAAGTGGGCAAAGGACATGAACAGACACTTCTCAAAAGAAGACATTTATGCAGCCAAAAAACACATGAAAAAATGCTCATCATCACTGGCCATCAGAGAAATGCAAATCAAAAGCACAATGAGATACCATCTCACACCAGTTAGAATGGCAATCATTAAAAAGTCAGGAAACAACAGGTGCTGGAGAGGATGTGGAGAAATAGGAACACTTTTACACTGTTGGTGGGACTGTAAACTAGTTCAACCATTGTGGAAGTCAGTGTGGCTATTCCTCAGGGATCTAGAACTAGAAATACCATTTGACCCAGCCATGCCATTACTGGGTATATACCCAAAGGACTATAAATCATGCTGCTATAAAGACACATGCACATGTATGTTTATTGCGGCATTATTCACAATAGCAAAGACTTGGAACCAACCCAAATGTCCAACAATGATAGACTGGATTAAGAAAATGTGGCACATATACACCATGGAATACTATGCAGCCATAAAAAATGATGAGTTCATGTCCTTTGTAGGGACATGGATGAAATTGGAAATCATCATTCTCAGTAAACTATCACAAGAACAAAAAACCAAACACCACATATTCTCACTCATAGGTGGGAATTGAACAATGAGAACACATGGACACAGGAAGGGGAACATCACACTCTGGGGTCTGTTGTGGGGTGGGGGGAAGGGGGAGGGATAGCATTGGGAGATATACCTAATGCTAGATGGTGAGTTAGTGGGTGCAGCACACCAGCATGGTACATGTATACATATGTAACTAACCTGCACATTGTGCACATGTACCCTAAAACTTAAAGTACAATAAAAAAAAAAAAGTCAGGAAACAACAGGTGCTGAAGAGGATGTGGAGAAATAGGAACACTTTTACACTGTTGGTGGGACTGTAAACTGGTTCAACCATCGTGGAAGACAGTGTGGCGATTCCTCAGGGATCTAGAACTAGAAATACCATTTGACCCAGCCATCCCATTACTGGGTATATACCCAAGGGATTATAAATCATGCTGTTGTAAAGACACATGCACACGTATGTTTATTGCAGCACTATTCACAATAGCAAAGACCTGGAACCAACCCAAATGTCCAACAATGCAGACTGGATTAAGAAAATGTGGCATATATATGCCATGGAATACTAGGCAGCCATAAAAAATGATGAGTTCATGTCCTTTGTAGGGACATGGATGAAGCTGGAAACCATCATTCTCAGCAAACTATCGCAAGGACAAAAAACCAAACATCGCATATTCTCACTCATAGGTGGGAATTGAACAATGAGAACACAAGCACACAGGAAGGGGGACATCACACATTGGGGCCTGTTGTGGGGTGGGGGGAGGGAGAAGGGATAGCATTAGGAGATATACCTAGTGTAAATGACCAGTTAATGGGTGCAGCACACCAACATGGCACATGTACACATATGTGACGGACCTGCACATTGTGAACATGTACCCTAGAACTTAAAGTTAACAATAAAAAAAAGAAAATAAGGTATTAAAATCTCCAACTATTATTGTTCTATTGTTTTTTTCTTCCTTCAATTGTGTCAGCTTGGTGCTCTGTTGTTAGGTGCATATATATTTATAATTGTTACATCTCATTTGTTGGTTGATGCTGTTATCATTATAAAATATCCTTTGTCTATAATAAAAATTTTTGTCTTAAAGTCTGTTTTGTCTGATATTATATATCCACTTTACCTGTCTTCTGGTTACTCCTTCAATGGTGTGTGTGTGTGTGTGTGTGTGTGAATATATTCAATGGTGTGTGCATGTGTGTATATGTATTACTTTTTCACTCTCAGACTGTTTGCGTCCTTTAATCTAAAGTGACTCTTGTTGAGAAGAACAGTGGTTACCAGGGTGAGGAGTGAGAGTAAATGGGGAGACGTAGGTCAAAGGGTATAAATTTGCAGTTATATAGGATGAATAAGTCTGGAGATCTAATGTACAGCATGAAGATTATAGTTAATAATTGTGTATAGTATACTGAAAAATTGCTAAGAGCCTATTAGGTCCTCTTAGCATGCACACACAAAAGATAACTATGGAAGGAGATAGATAGGCTAATTTGCTTTACTATGGTAATCATTTCACTATGTGTATCAAAACATTACTTTGTATACCTTAAATACAGTTTGAATCCCTTATCTGAAATGTGTAGGACTAGAAATGTTTCAGATTTTGAATTCTTTTTTATTTTGAAATATTTGCAGCATACTTACTGGCTGAGCATCCCAAATCTGAATATGTGAAATCTGAAATGCTCCAACTGGCATTTTATTTATTTATTTTGGTTTTGAAAAATTTGTGGGTATACTCTAGGTATATATATTTATGAGGTATATGAAATGTTTCTATACAAGCATGCAATGCGTAATAATCACATCATGGGGAATGGGGTATCCATCCTCTCAAGCATTTATCCTTTGAGTTACAAACAATTTAATTACACTCTTTAAGTTATTTTAAAATGTACAATTAAGTTATTATTGGCTATAGTCACTCTATTGTGCTATCAAATAGTAGGTCTTATCAATTCTTTCTATTTTTTGTACCCATTAACCATCCCCACCTCCCCCCACAAACACCCCCACTACCTTTTCCAACCTCTGGAAATCATCCTTCTACTCTCTATGTCCATGAGTTCAATTGTTTTGACTTTTAGATCTCACAAATAAGTGAGAACATGAAATGTTTGTCTTTCTGTGTTTGCTTTATTTCACTTAACATATGACCTCCAGTTCCATCCATGTTGTTGCAAGTGACAAGATCTTATTCTTTTTAAATGCTGAGTAGTACTACATTGTGTATATGTACCACATTTTCTTTATCCATTTATCTGTTGACAGACACTTAAGTTGCTTCAAATCTTAGCTACTGTAAACAGTGCTGCAACAAACACAGGAGCAGATATCCCTGTGATATACTAATTTCCTTTCTTTGGGGTATATACCCAGCAGTGGGATTGCTAGATCAGATAGTAGCACAATTTTTAGTTTTTTGATGAACCTCCAAACTGTTATCCGTAGTGGTTGTACTAATTTATATTGCCACCAACAGTGTACAGGGTTCCCTTTCCTCCACAACCTTACCAGCATTCAACGAGCATTTTATTTGAACATCATGTCAGCACTCAGAAAAATTTCTGATTTTAGAGCCTTCCAGATTTTGGGTTTTTGGATTTGGGGTGATCAACCTGTATATACAATGAAAGCAAATATATAAATAAATATGATAAAGTGTCTCCTGAAGAGCTGTGTCATGTTTTTATTCACCTTGCTAATTTCTGCTTCTTAATTAGAATGTTTAATAAATAAACATTTTATGTAATTACTGATAAAGCAGGATTTACATTTGTCATTTTGATATTTGTTTTCTCATGTCTTATGTCTTTTTAATTTCTCTGTTCTTCCATTAGTGTCTTTTTTGTGTTAAGTAGATAGTTTCTAATGTATCATTTAAATTCTCTTGTTTTTGTTTTAGTATATTTTTTGAGTTATTTACTTAGTCGTTTCCCTGGGGATTACCATTAACATCTTAATTCATAACAATGTTGGTTGGATTAATGTCAACTTCATTTTAATTGTATACAAATTGTTTAATACTATTTTTATTAGATTTTAGAGTTGAAGTTTTGCTGGATTTAATAAAATGGATTGGGAAACCTCCATTAATTTCTATGGCCTGGAATAATTTACGTAACAGGAATATTTAATCTTTAGGATCAGATAAAACTTCGCTGTAACTCCTGTAGTGCTGAATGAAGCGTTTTTGAAAGGTAACATATTTGTCACATTTGCCATGTTCCTCTCTGATAGTTGATCTATTCAAATTTCCCACTTCTTCTTGAATTGATTTTGGAAAGGTTTTCAATACTGTTATCACGGAGTTTGATTATTTATTTTTTGGAGATTATGTTTATTTTCTTATTCCTACTCTTCTGTTTTTTGGCTTTTTCTCTTTTTTCCTAAAACAGAAACATAAAAGGTCATCCTCTCCTAAAAGAAAGAAAGAAACAAACAAAAACACCAAACTTTAGATTTATTTGCCATTTCAATTGTTTAAAAAAATCATTCATTTTTAGCTTTTATCTCTTCCTGTTTTCTTAAAGTTTGTTTTGCTTTTACTTTTTGAAGGTAAACAAATTTATTTATTATGTTTTTCTCCTATCGTGATGATATTTAAGGCTAAGTATTTTCTTTTGCTTACAGTTTTCAATGTCTTATGGGTTTTATTATAAAGTATTCTCATTTCCATAACTTCTAAGTATTTTATAATTTCTCTTTTATATCCTTTTTAACCCAAGGCTTATCTAAGAATCTTTCTTAATTCGATTTTCAACTAAATTAGTTGAATCTTATTCTTTTTATTCCAACTCATTAATTTTTATGTTCATCTTTTTATTTCTAATAGTGTTAAATTATGATAAAAGACTGCAGCCAGTAAAATCTTTATTTATTTATTTATTTATTTTATTATTACTATTTATTTTATTTTTTTGAGTCAGAGTCTCGCTCTGTCCACCAGGCTGGAGTGCGGTGGTGCGATCTCGGCTCACTGCAAGCTCCGCCTCCCAGATTCACGCCATTCTCCTGCCTCAGCCTCCCGAGTAGCTGGGACTACAGGCGCCTGCCACCACGCCTGGCTAATTTTTTGTATATTTTAGTAGAGACGGGGTTTCATTTCGGCCTCCCAAAGTGCTGGGATTACAGGCCTGAGCCACTGCACCCGGCCAAAATCTTTATTTTTAATTGCATTAAGGTTTTCCTTGTAGCCAAGTAGTTGATCAATTTTGTTAAAGTTCCATGGGCATACCACAAAACATATTTTCTCTGTTTGAGAGATGTAAGTTCGTATAGAAAGTTAGTGAATCAAGCTTGTTGATTGTTTCCTTCTATTACTCTAACTTTCTATTTTTTGTTTACAAGAGCTGTCTTACCTGAGAAAGGCATATATTATTTTCCCCCATCATTTTATTTTACCAAGTTTTCCTTTTATTTTTAATAGTTATTGTTTTACTTAGTTTTGTGCATACTAGTTTGTGCTTTTTACCATTGCTCAACATCCTCCTAATTCTGTCTTGTGCATTCAATCTCACATTCCTCTTGTTTGATATTTTGATTGCCAGTTATGCTTTTTCATTTTATCACTACAACCACTACAACCATAATGCCTATGTTTTGCCTAAATTATTTATTGTTTTTTGTTCTAAAACCGTACTGTGCAATACAGAAGCCAGTAGCCACAGATAACTTTAAATTTAAGATAATCAATTAAAATAAAAATTCAGTAACTAAGTCTAGTCACATGTCATATACTCAATAGCCACACGTGGCTAGTGGCCACTCTACTGGACAGCACATATATGGAACATTTCTATTATCACTGAGAAATTCTATTGAATAGCACTACTATAGAACAGGGATTGGCAAACTTCCCATAAAGAGCAAAACAGCAAATATTTTAGGCTTGACAGGGCTTGTTGTCCCTATTGCAGCTACATAGCTCTGCTTTTCTCATAAACCAGAGATAATACATAAATGAATGAGTATGGCTAGGTTCCAATAACATTTTATTTATGGATTGTAACACTTTAATTTTCTATGGTGTTCACATGTTGTGAAATTCTCTTTTTAATATTTTTCCACAATTTAAAAATGTAAAAAAATTCCTCACTCACAGCCCACACAAAAACAGGTAGCAGGCCAGATTTGATCTGTGGGCTGAAGTTTGCCAGCTCTTACTTTAGCCTGTTAGAAAATGTCTCTCAAAGTATGTCGCTTTGATTTTGAGTCCTTATTAAGCATTTTAAACATATTCCCAGTCTGCCTATCCTAATGTACATATACCAATTCATATCATAATAGTAGCTATCTTCTTTTTCATTTACAGAATTGGAAAGATAGAAAATAATTATTTATTTTATTTTAATTTATTTTTGGGGATGGAATCTGGCACTGTTGCCCAGGCTGGAGTGCAGGGGCATGATCTCAGCTCACTGCAACCTCTGCCTCCTGGGTTCAAGCGATTCTCCTGTCTCAGCCTCTCAAGTAGCTGGGATTACAGGCACCTGCCACCATGCCCAGCTAATTTTTGTATTTTAGTAGAGACAGGGTTTCACCATGTTGGCCAGTCTGGTCTGGAACTCCAGACCTGAGGTGATCTGCCCACCTTGGCCTCCCAAAGTGCTGGGACTACAGGCGTGAGCCACCGTGCCTGGCAAAAAATATTTTTTTTTTCCAGAAAACATTTTCTGTAGATGCACTTGAATTTCCTTCAATGCTCTTATTTCTTATTCAAGTTTTCATCTGTCCCTTCTAATAGTTTTAATTCTCTAAGAATGTATTCAGTTTGTTCTGCCTTATCTTCATCTCTCTGGCTTCTAGGTACCCTGATATAGGGTTGTTTCTACTGTCAGCTCATTGGGATTTCAGTAGATGGCATGTCCTATGTGTCTGTAGTCCTTCAGTGCATGCACAGTTGTCTCTATCCCTGTAAGTCAAGAGTATGGAAGTACGTAGGGCACTAGTCTCCCACTGAGGCACTTGGACAAATTCTCTAGGCTCTCTTATTTCCTTCTTATACTTCCTGTCTCAGAAAGGAAGGACTTGGATCACTTCTTCACTGTCTTTTTAGATTTTTAGGAGGCAGAGTGACTTGGCAATCTTATGCAAGTCCAATATCAACCTTCTCTATGAGAATTCATAAATCTGTAAAAGTCAAGATTTACCAATTTACAGTCTTCACCTAGAAGTTCCATGATAATCATTTTCATACACTCACACAATGGGCAGGGAAGAGATGAAATCCTATATCACTTTTCTCACTAGGACCTAAGAAAGCCCAAGTCCTTACTTGCACCCAGTTGCCCATGGGCACCATTACCCATTTGGTTCAGAAAAACAAATAGCTTGTAACTGGGAATTAAGGGAAAAGGTGTGATAGTCAGTTCACCATATTTTCAGAATCTCCTGCTCCCAAAATTTAATTAACCAGATCAGTTCATTATCAGAACATATGTATTTATTATATGCACAGTCTCGTGCACTCTAAATAAAATTTTTCTCTTTCAGAAACACAATTTGGAGTAAATTAAAAGTGACTGACAAAAAAATCAATTTGAGGTTGATAACTGAGGATGAATTCAGGTAGTTCTATGGAATATATTACAGTACTTATCCTAATCTATGTTTTACAAATCATCTATTAATTATATTAATTAATTATTTGAGCATGATATAGTTAGCTCTGGAAGTAAGCTAGTCCGATCTTGTTTCTTTGACAGATGAGCAAACCTGAGGCCTGAAGCATATTAGTGATTGTGATGGAGCCAAGAATAGAAACCCTAGTCCCATGATTTCATTGTCATCCCCTTTCTACTACACTCTTCTGAGAATGAAAATTGTCAAGCCTCTTTAGTTGAATGGGCAGGCCCCAAAAATCATTTGAAAATTAAAGATTTGTCAATAAAGTAATAGCAGAGAAGGGTTAATAGAATTGCATAAGCTATCATCATTTTAGATTATAAAGAAAATAACTCCTTCTTTCAAGATGCATTTCCCATGTCATGATTGCATATAATTATATATAAATCAATGAGCAAATAAACCTATGTACAGAAATAAATTGTATGTACGTGAGAGATAGTCTAGGAGCTAAATATACAGGTACAAAATGTATGACATGGCTCCTAACTGAAGAGAGTGTATATTCTAATTGAGGATCGATATTATAAAAGTAAAAAAAAAATCTAGTCTGAGACTCCATACCGTAAGTAACAGTGAGTGTTCTACATACTAATCTTAAAAAAGAGAAAGAGTTCTGTTGGTTGAAGACATCAGAGGCTTCATGGAATCAGTGGAGTTTGAAGTCATCCTTGAAGGAAGAATATAGCTGGGATAACTATGTAATTTGTTGTTCAAATGAGTACACTTCTGAGAGTGAAATGAGGCATCGTTAATAATTACATTAGGGTAACGTTTGCAAACTGAGATTGTCCCAGGTGAACTGGGACAGATGATCTACGTGTTCATAAAGGCAGAAAGGAAAGTTCAGAGCATTCCAAATTAGAGAAATGGTTTAAAGGAAAAGACAAAGATAAGAGTGAGTTGAGTGTGTTCTGGATACAGAAAAGGTGGTTCATAATAAAGAACAAATGAGAAAGGATTAGAAAGTGTCTTGAATGTTAGGCTAAGGAGTTTTATTTTGTTCCATGAAAATAAGAACCATGTAAGCATGAGTGATTCTCAAAATATTTAACAACCACCACATCATGGGCGCTAACAATGAAAAGACTAAAGCCATAACAGTGTATAATAGCTGAATATCAATTGTGCATTTAAGTTTTTTTGTGCAGGAAAACTGCAGGATGAAATTGGCATTTTAGAAAAGTAAAAATGGCAGTGATGTGCAGAATCAATGAGAAGAGACAAGAGTAGGTAATGGCAAATTAGTAATATCCCTGGTAGTGAACATTTTAGGCTTTGTAGGATATATGGTCTCTGTTGCAACTATTCAACTCTGCCATTGTAGTCTGAAAGCAACATTAGTTAATATGTAAACAAATGAGTGTGGCTATGTGCCAATAAAACTTAATTTACAAAAACAGACAGCAAGATGGATCTGGCCTGTGGGCCATAATTTGCTGACCCTTGAGCTACAGGTAGAGAGACTGATTAAATGGCAATTTCAGTAGTTCAGCCTTTAGCCAGGGCTAGGTTTGTCAGAGGGAATCAAAAAATAAAAACAAAAATATATAAATAAACCTCAAAAATATTAAATAGTTGTAGTTTACTGGGTAATTTAGGCAGAAGTTTATTTTTAGTAGTCTGAAGAGCCAAATAATTGCAAATAAACAGTTTTTACTTTTGTTATCCAAATTGCCCCTTTGCTTTCTCTCCATGAACACAGTCCTAGCCTTCAGAAAGGATCTGTTTATGCATATACCAAAGAGATTACCATGAATATAAGCAAACAATGAACCCAGTCACTTAAACAGATGTCATATAATCGGTTTAGCTGAAATTTTCACTCTAGTGGATTATGAATCCAATTAGGATTAAGAAAACACAACCACAAACAGAATGAATCAATATATTCAGAGCGATTATTAAGTACCAAAAATTAGCCAGAGAAGGTGAATGAAATATCTGAGAAGCTAAGTCATCTTTGAAACAAAGACCCACGGGAATAGTAATGCTATCTTTATCTTTTCATCTTTTCGGCGGGGGTGGGGAGGCGGGGTGGCGGGGTAGGGAAACCTTTTTAGGCCGTTAGGACAAAAAAAAAAGCTCCCAAGAAGCTTTTGATGTCCTCAATTCACAGAGCATTTTTCCTCTATTAAGGAGGAAATAAAAGCATTTTATTTTATTTTTGAGACAGGGTCTCATTCTGTCACCCAGGCTGGCGTGCAGTGGTGCGATCTCAGCTCACTGCTACTTCTGCCTCCCAGGTTCAAGTGATTCTTATGCCTCAGCCTCCTGAGTAGCTGGGACTATAGGTATGCACCACCACGCCCAGCTAATTTTTGTATTTTTTGGTAGAGATGAGGTTTCACCATCTTGGCCAGGCTGGTCTCAAACTCCGGACCTCAAGTGATCCGCCTGCCCTGGCCTCCCAAAGTGCTGGGATTACAAGCATGAGCTACCACACCTGGCGTAGTAAAAGCATTTTGAACACGACTAATTAAGCATTATGTGACATGAAATTAACTTAAAAAACTTCTTTATGAAATGCTTGATGTGGGCAAATGGAAATATTTAGAGGACAGAAAAAAATGATATCACTGAGACCTGATAGCAGGCAAAAAAAAAAAAAATGCAATTGTCAAACGACAGTTAAGTGTGGCTAACAAAGTTAGCGGTAGGAAGGAGGGAAGGTTGACTCAAAAGACTCTGGCAATAAAATAAGTTCATTAATTATCCCTACTCAACCAGGATCCAGTGGACATCTGAAACTATCCCCTAAGATGTTAGAGCACCAAATCTTTAACCAGTTGTTTAGTCAGTGAATAAGCAATAAGTTGAGGAGATGTCAATGAGACTGCACCAACATGGTACCAGAACCTCTGTTCATTTTGGTCAGTTCCCTCAAATAGTTGGTCCTTTTGTGAGTGGGACCAGGGGATCAAATGGCCTTTTGGTGTATGCTAAAGTTCACCATGTTGGTTTTATTAAATTGACTGGCTGTATCATCAATTTGGTAGTTGGGTAATTTGGTGGCCTGTATAGATACAACCTATATTCTGACTTCATTGTTTAGGGTAGAAAATGACTGGAAGAAGTTATTAACATAAAAAAATAGCTCTCTTATTCCAGTTCCTTATAAGATTCCAAATATATTATCACGTTTATATACCAAATGGATAACAATGACTCACAGTTAGTTCACAAGCAGCAAATGTAGAGGGTCAGATGAGTAATCTTAAAACTGGAAGGGGAGAGCAATAGAGGAGTCCATGAAAGGAAGACAGTAAACTTTTGATGCAATTCTTGGCACAATCTCTATGTAAGTAATGTTTCTTTTCCTGTACCCTCCCTACTCTCTCCTGGCCTTGGTAGGTGACAGGCTGATCCACTATAGTACACGGTGCCAGTGACTAATAATAACTTTAATGTACTGCTTCTCCAGAGGGTATTTGCATTTTAAGAGGACTCCGGGGGCCTAACATAAAAGAACACATCTCTAAAGGGAGAGTTTCTAGCACTGTGGTTAGTCTGTAGAGAATTTAGGGGCACATGAGAGGTAAATCTACTGAGGGCCTCAAATCACCTCGTGTTGGCAGACACCTACTCTGGTTGAGTATAAATTCAATGCAGAATAATAGAGTCATGGTATCTACCATACCAGGATGAACACTTTTAACAAAGGGTTAAAAATATCATCTAACTCGGCCATTCTTAACTCTGGATGCATATTAGAATCATTTTGGGGCCTTTAAACAATAAGATGCCTGGGACCCACCTCCACAGATTCTGATTCTGATTTTATTGGTCTGGAGTAGATCGTAGGCACTGGAATTTTCAAAAAACTTTCCAGGAGATTTTAATGCATGGAGATATTTGAGAACCAACCACATAATTCTAGATTCTTAATGTTGGAAGAGACCTCACAAGTCATGAAGACCAATCTCTATCTCTATGACAATCTTGCCAAGTGATTGTTTACTTTTTGCTTGAACATCTCCAGGGAAAGCATTCCTCCAGGAAGCTCTCCATCTCTAAACATGATTGTCATCATCAGCTACAGCCAAGACAGTCTTCTGGAAGGCAAGAGAAACCATGGGAATGTCTCTATTTTTGAAAGCCAATGACAGATACCCTCCAATCCTCAATAACCAGGAATCAAACAAATTCAAAACAAATCCCACAAAACCCTTTCTGACACAGTTGCAAGAGAGCAAGTGGAGGGGTCGGAAAGTGAGTTTTACCTTCAGGAGTTCAAATAAAAAGGGTACTTTTAGCCGGACGTGGTGGCTCATGCCTGTAATGCCAGCACTTTGGGAGGCCAAGGCGGGCGGATCACAGGATCAGGAGTTCGAGACCAGCCTGGCCAATATGGTGAAACCCCGTCTCTACTAAGACTACAAAAAATTAGCCAGGTGTGGTGGCGTGCGCCTGTAGTCCCAGCTACCCAGGAGGCTGAGGCAGAAGAATCGCTTGAACCCGAGAGGTGGAGGAGGTGGAGGTTGCAGTGAGCCAAGATCGCACCACTGCACTCCAGCGTGAGAAACAGAGTGAGATTCCGTCTCAAAAAAAGGTACTTTCATGTCTGTCTATTATCATACTGCAACTGAAGTGGTTATTTGTTCATCATACCTAACAAGTCCAAATGTCATTCATTGTAACCACCGCTAAAAAGATTTGAAATAGGTATTGGCTTACAACAATGTTTTCCAACCATGATTCTGTAGATGATCCATCTTTTAAAATGCTTTGTGCCTGTTTCTTTTCCCTTCCACTCTTTAGTGATAGTAGTTGGAACCTAACTCCTGAGAATCTTACCCTGTTTCCCATCTTATTATCTCTTACTTTTCGGGATCTTGATAGAGGATTTAAATTGTTTACTCTTCTATAATGGTGTCTTCTATAGTATGTTCTGTAGCACGCCAGCACCATGGAATGTTCATAATAATTTTTTCAAACAAAAGTTTCCATAGTCAAGTTGTTTGGAGAAATGCTGGGTTAGTCAAAATTAGAACTGATTTCTTTATTGTAGGACTTTTTGGACAGTTCAATATGTTAATATACTTGTGAATCTCCAAGAGGAAATTGCAGCATTTTCCAACTTGGACTATGAGAATCTTTTAAAATGAAGCAGCAGCCCAGGACTAGTGTATTGAAGAACATTCTTCAGGAAAACAACCTGGTCACCACTATAATCTGGTTTAAGGAATATTAGTTTGGAAAACATGGTCAGAAGCGGGAGGAAACTTGGTGCTGAGAGGTACCTTGTCCCTTTTCTTGTGTTTTATATACAAACCTTTCATATTCTTGATTTTTTCCTCTACCAGAAAGGCTTCTTCAGCCCCTCTAGCCAATACTGATCTCTAGATTCTCTTTGAATTCTTAAATGCTCACTGGCTATGGTGCTCTTGTCCTAAATACTGAATAATGAGTGTTTTTTCTGTCTAAATGTTTCATTTTTCTTCACCAAAAGAATAAGTTCTTTTAGGGAATAGTGGTACATTATTCTTTCATATGTTCCACAGTAACTAGCCAAGTGCTAGCCTTAACATTTGTTAAATTTATTAAACAAATATTTACTGAACATCTACCATGTGCCAGTCTTGAAAGTTAGCTTTTCTTCGTAAAGCCATGTGTCATTGTAACCAAACTTTCCAGTTAATCCACATTCCACAACTCCCTCAAGCCCACCTCCCCTCACCCTAACACCCACCTCTTTTACAGAGGATTTACAAGAGTTAAACCATACAAAATTGCTGTATTAGTTTGTTCTTACACTGCTATAAAGAAGTACCTGAAACTGGGTAATTTATAAAGAAAAGAGGTTTAATTGGTTCAAGGTTCTGCAGGCTGTACAGGAAGCATGGCTGGGAAGGCCTCAGGAAACTTACAATCATGGCAGAAGGCAAAGAGGAAGCAGGCACGTCTTGCATGGCAGGAGCAAAAGGAAGAGCACAAAGGGGGAGGTGCTACACACTTCAAAACAACCAGATCTCATGAGAACTTACTCACTGTCATGAGAACAGCAAGGGGGAAGTCTGCCCCCATGACCCAGTCAGCTCCCACCAGGCCCTTCCTCCAACACTGGGGATTACAATTTGACATGTGAGATTTGGGCAGGGAGACAAATCTAAACCATATCAAGTGCCATTACTTTTTATTCACAAAATTGGCAATTTCCATTTTTATATGGTTTTTGAAAAACTTACCGGGTGTATTAGTCTATTCTCATGCTGCTGATAAAGACCTACCTGAGACTGGGTAATTTATAAAGGAAAGAGGCTCAATGAATTCACAGTTCCACATGGCTGGGGAGGCCTCACGATCATAGTGGAAGGTGAAAGAAAAGCAGACTTACATCTTACATGGCGGCAGGCAAGAGAGCTTGTGCAGGGGAACTCCCATTTATAAAACCATCAGAACTCGTGAGACTTACTCACTACTGCAAGAATAGTATGGGGGAAACCGCCCCCATGATTCAATTATCTCCACTTAGCCCTGCCCTTGAGACATAGGGATTATTTCAACTCAAGGTGAAATTTGGGTGGGGACACAGTCAAACCATATCACCATGCAAGGGGTGGTCTGCCTGTAGGTCACCCCCAGCCTAGCTCCCATACTTCCCTTATGTCCGTTGTGGGCTGTTGATTGCTGATGGCTCCAGAGATGATGACGTGAGTGCTCTTGCTCTCAATCAGCAAGGAGAGCTTCTCTGGCTGTCACTGTTAGAACTCTCAGGACACCTCAGACTACAATTCCCTTGAGTTCAGTTCCCGGACTATATAGAGTTCTTACTGTACCCTTAGTTGCCTTCACTAAGACTGCTGATATCCAAACAGCTCCTTTCCTGGGACTGGTTGTCACACTATTGTGTTGATATGGGCCCTGTGATACAGATCCCCAATTCTTGTGCTCAGTTTCCCTGTGTTTTCCAACAATTTGTTTATCCCTGTCTTGAATCCCCAACCTGGACCTATTTGTACACTCAGACTGTATGCTGCCCTCCTACTTACATTTAGCCTTCTGGGCCTTGATCCCTGACCTATACCTCTCCCTATGCTTGACCTCCAACTAATCTGGACCTCTCTGAGTATTGTCCTCAGCTTATACACTGGAGTTCAGAACTTTACCTATGTTCTTTCTGTTTCTTCTGATCCCTCAGGTACTATTCCCAGCATCATCCTTATGACTTACTTTGATGTGGGAATAGGGTCCCCAATGGGCCTCTTGTCAGATTACCAGCCACAGGCCCACCATCCCAATTTGACCCCTAGTTCTGGTCTGTTTTTGCTTGTCTTATTTTTCAAGATTCCCTGAACCAGGCATGATAGTCATTAGACTTTTTAAAACCAAGACAGGAATTTGATTTAAGGAGATTTAATGAAAAAGGATGTTTATGATGATTTATCATTAGGATAAAAGTCAAGATCCAAAAGCTTGTATACAGTATTGTTCTGTTAAAAAATACATATGTGTGTCTCTCTCTGTCTCTGACATATGCACACACACACATACTTGCATAGAAAAAACGACTGAACAACTATATATAAAAATATTGACAAAGATTTTGTTTGAGTAATGGGGGTAACTTTTTTCTCTGTTTTCTAAACAATTTATGATGATTATGTTGTATTTTTATAATTTTAAAAACACCTTATTTTAGGTAAATTTTTCTGACAAAAGTATGACTGTGGTCATCATTTTAGTTTCCTTACTGTGGCCAAAGACATACTCCCCTTATCTATAATCTCACAGAGCATTCCTTCTATGGCCCAGCATGCATTTGGCTACCACTTTCTTCAATTTCTTCTATAAGCACATTTATCCCTGGGAGACAATGGCAAGGAGCCAATGATGAGGGAAGGGCATACAGGAAGGGAAGGAAAATCTTATCAATGGACTCAAAAGCTGTTTTTCCTTTGAAGACAAAGAAGTCATACCCTTGTGATACCCCCTTTTTAATGGAAAAGGTACAACACAAAAATGCTTGAAATTGGAGTCACGAAGAATGGCTGGGGTTCGGGGGTGAGAATATCCCTCTTTAGTATGAAATACAGATTGGTGCCTTCTCTGAAGCAGCAGATACCATTTGGCAATCACAATGAAGGAATGGGTTTACTGAATACTTCGGATGTGTGTAAAGCACTGAGGTATGCTGCGAGGAGGCCATGCAGAAGAAACCATGTGTCTTAAACTTTAGTTAGGAGACACAAGACATAAACCCATGTAAGGTTTACATATAGATATATAGATGTCAAAGGTCATCATGAGCATGAGAACCTATACAAATACAAGGGAGTTGCTACTAGTAGTTTTTAGTACAGTGGTTCTCACCAATTTCAATAGACATCTGAACCACTGGAAAATATTGAGGTTCCAGACTTACTTCTCAGAAATTGTTCTCCAGAAAGTTTGAGGTAAAATTCAGCAACCTATATTTGGGTGATTTTAGTGCTTGTTATCTGTGAACTACACTCTGGAAAAGAGTATAGAAAAGCTAGAGACAGATAAAAACCCGTCTGAAGTCTGGCTTTGCCATTTACTAGTTATGTGACTAAAGAAAAGTGACCTAAATGCTCTGAGCCCATTTCTTCCTCTCCAAATAGAGATAACAAGAACTTACCTCATAAGGAAGAGGTGAGGAGTGAGATAATTCATGAAGAGCTTCAAGTACAAGACAAACTCAACAATTTTTTTTTCTTCTACAAATACCATCACTATCATCATCAAGGCATATGCTAACTGTGAAAAGCATGACAAATATGTGATATGCTATAGGAGTTGCAAAAGGGGAGAAATCATTTCTTCCTTCTGGAGTGGTCAAGAAACTCTTAGCCAGGAAAGTGCAACTTGAACTGAGTTTTGAAAGGATAAGAATGGTCTGACTAGGTGGGGATAAGAGAACGTACGCAAAGATAGTATAGGAGTCAAACTTGACCTACTCACCAATTATTCCAAGGTTCAAGCCTAGAGAAAAGCAGACCACAAAATCCAGGTGGACTGAGATACAATCAAGAAAACATCTTTGGCAAATTGGTAGCTGAGGTGAGATGGGGAACAGGAACTCTGAGATCTTCTATTCCTTTAACCAGATACTGCCACTAGGAACAATTGCACTGTTTAGGCAGAACTGAAAGTAAAATTTTGTGCTATATAACTGAGTGGCTAATCAACCATCAAATAAAAAGCCACAGAATCTGACCTCCAGTGAGATATCTCCAACCTAATGTTGGAATGGAGACACAAGGTTGGGTAGTTAGTCCTGCAGGACTTTTGGGCAGTTCCTTATCCAAACATCAGACTATAATTTTTTTTATGACTTTATACTTTTGAGATTACAGGTTTGGCATCTAAGAGATTCTTTGTTCCCCAAATTGTTTTCCTATAATTAGAGTAATTGTGACAGTACATCCCTTACCTGATACAGTCTCATAAACTAAATGCTAAGTCATATATTTTATGTAATATACAGATAGGAACCAGGAAATGTTTTCAGAACTTTACTTTTCATCTAGATATAACTTTCCTAAATTCTAAGTCGAATCTTACAGAGCAGGCATAAATAATCAATGCCTAGAGATACTTTGGTATAGGTCTCACTAGTTGATATTAACTCTTTTTTTTTTAATCCTGGCCTTCGGTTTTTATGTAAATTTTCTGTTTCTGATTAGACATGGCGTCACAATTAGTTCAGATGCTAGAATTTTGTTAGGTTGACTCTCAACCAATTCCTTTAGCAGTTAGGCTTCTCTTCCTCTATCCTTGATGAGTGATATGATCGCTATACTTTGATTGCCACAAATTAAAGGAATAATCTTAATTTGTGTTTTTTTTTTTTCTGTTTCATATCATTTAGGTGATCCTTGGTATTTCTTTAGTCTCATTTTCTCCTTTTTTCCACAAAATAAAAAATAAAAATCAACAAACCAGTAAGCAGACAATTAAAAACACACACACACACACATACACCCACAGAAGGAACAAACCACATAACTATCTTTTTGATAGTAACACAAACCTACCATGACTAGATTGTTGCCATCAGAAAGTGGTATTTTTTGACTTTTCAGATAGACCTAGCATCTGGATATACTGTGTTCCTAAAGACTGCACGTTCCTTAAAGTAGGTTCCATATGGCAAAATCTTAATTGTGCATGTGCTGAACAATGACTATATGTGTTGGTGCCTTTTCTTCTGTTTGATCATGGAAAGAAACAAGGAACAAGTGGTTAGAGGCAATTAGAAGTGAAACAAAGTCAATGTCCTGAATAAATAGTGTGGTGGAGAGTATGGGTCATACAACAAGGAGAGATAATAACTCCCTGTGTAATTTTTCAATACCACCACTGCTGGTAGCTAATATATAAAACATTTACTACTGCCAGACACTTTTATAAGAACTTTAAATATAATATTTACTTCTGTAATTCTCACAACATGCTGTACATAATAGTTCATACTATTATTATCCTCATTTTAGAAATGAGGAAGTTGAATGACTTGCTTAGAATAACATAGTAGATGGTAAAACTCAAATTTGAATGTATGAAGTCTGCTCAAGAGTCCATGCTCTTAAATACTACACTATTTAAAAAAGAATTACATTCATTTTAAACATTTATATACAATGAACTATGAAGACTATATAACGGGTTCTGACACCAGCTTGTAGGTTCTCCTCCCTACAGAATGAGTGTGACTTTGTTTTGGTGTCTGACATTGTTCTTACCTTTCTCTGAATCCAATTGCACGGCCCTTTTTGCTTCAGAATTCCTTATCACTTGATAACCAGTTAAAGATGAAGCATAAAGCCTTTTTTTTCTTTAAACAGAGAAACTGGTTGTCTAATCAAGAAGAGGTTTTGGTAGCTTGATGGGGATACCATTGAATCTATAAATTACCTTGGGCAGTATGGCCATTTTCACGATATTGATTCTTCCTACCCATGAGCATGGAATGTTCTTCCATTTGTTTGTATCCTCTTTTATTTCATTGAGCAGTGGTTTGTAGTTCTCCTTGAAGAGGTCCTTCATGTCCCTTGTAAGTTGGATTCCTAGGTATTTTATTCTCTTTGAAGCAATTGTGAATGGGAGTTCACTCATGATTTGGCTCTCTGTTTGTCTGTTATTGGTGTATAAGAATGCTTGTGATTTTTGTACATTGATTTTGTATCCTGAGACTTTGCTGAAGTTGCTTATCAGCTTAAGGAGATTTTGGGCTGAGACAATGGGGTTTTCTAGATATACAATCATGTCATCTGCAAACAGGGACAATTTGACTTCCTCTTTTCCTAATTGAATACCCTTTATTTCCTTCTCCTGCCTAATTGCCCTGGCCAGAACTTCCAACACTATGTTAAATAGGAGTGGTGAGAGAGGGCATCCCTGCCTTGTGCCAGTTTTCAAAGGGAATGCTTCCAGTTTTTGCCCATTCAGTATGATATTGGCTGTGGGTTTGTCATAGATAGCTCTTATTATTTTGAGATATGTCCCATCAATACCTAATTTATTGAGAGTTTTTAGCATGAAGAGTTGTTGAATTTTGTCAAAGGCCTTTTCTGCATCTATTGAGATAATCATGTGGTTTTTGTCTTTGGTTCTGTTTATATGCTGGATTACGTTTATTGATTTGCGTATGTTGAACCAGCCTTTCATCCCAGGGATGAAGCCCACTTGATCATGGTGGATAAGCTTTTTGATGTGCTGCTAGATTCGGTTTGCCAGTATTTTATTGAGGATTTTTGCATCAATGTTCATCAAGGATATTGGTCTAAAATTCTCTTTTTTGGTTGTGTCTCTGCCAGGCTTTGGTATCAGGATGATGCTGGCCTCATAAAATGAGTTAGGGAGGATTCCCTCTTTTTCTATTGATTGGAATAGTTTCAGAAGGAATGGTACCAGTTCCTCCTTGTACCTCTGGTAGAATTCGGCTGTGAATCCCTCTGGTCCTGGACTCTTTTTGGTTGGTAAGCTATTGATTATTGCCACAATTTCAGAGCCTGTTATTGGTCTATTCAGAGAGATTCAACTTCTTCCTGATTTAGTCTTGGGAGGGTGTATGTGTCGAGGAATTTATCCATTTCTTCTAGATTTTCTAGTTTATTTGCGTAGAGGTGTTTGTAGTATTCTCTGACGGTAGTTTGTATTTCTGTGGGATCGGTGGTGATATCCCCTTTGTCATTTTTTATTGCGTCTATGTGATTCTTCTCTCTTTTCTTCTTTATTAGTCTTGCTAGTGGTCTATCAATTTTGTTGATCTTTTCAAAAAACAAGCTCCTGGATTCATTAATTTTTTGAAGGGTTTTTTGTGTCTCTATTTCCTTCAGTTCTGCTCTGATTTTACTTATTTCTTGCCTTCTGCTAGCTTTTGAATGTGTTTGCTCTTGCTTTTCTAGTTCTTTTAATTGTGATGTTAGGGCGTCAATTTTGGATCTTTCCTCCTTTCTCCTGTGGGCATTTAGTGCTATAAATTTCCCTCTACACACTGCTTTGAATGTGTCCCAGAGATTCTGGTATGCTGTGTCTTTGTTCTTGTTGGTTTCAAAGAACATCTTTATTTCTACCTTCATTTCGTTTTGTACCCACTAGTCATTCAGGAGCAGGTTGTTCAGTTTCCATGTAGTTGAGTGGTTTTGAGTGAGTTTCTTAATCCTGAGTTCTAGTTTGATTGCACTGTGGTCTGAGAGACAGTTTGTTATAATTTCTGTTCTTTTACATTTGCTGAGGAGAGCTTTACTTCCAACTATGTGGTCAATTTTGGAATAGGTGTGGTGTGGTGCTGAAAAAAATGTATATTCTGTTGATTTGGGGTGGAGAGTTCTGTAGTTGTCTTTTAGGTCCACGTGGTGCAGAGCTGAGTTCAATTCCTGGGTATCCTTGTTAACTTTCTGTCTCGTTGATCTGTCTAATATTGACAGTGGGGTGTTAAAGTCTCCCATTATTAATGTGTGGGAGTCTAAGTCTCTTTGTAGGTCACTCAGGACTTACTTTATGAATCTGGGTGCTCCTGTATTGGGTGCATATATATTTAGGATACTTAGCTCTTCTTGTTGAATTGATCCCTTTACCATTATGTAATGGCCTTCTTTGTCTCTTTTGATCTTTGTTGGTTTAAAGTCTGTTTTATCAGAGACTAGGATTGCAACCCCTGCCTTTTTTTGTTTTCCATTTGCTTGGTAGATCTTCCTCCATCCCTTTATTTTCAGCCTATGTGTGTCTCTGCACATGAGATGGGTTTCCTGAATACAGCACACTGATGGGTCTTGACTCTTTATCCAATTTGCCAGTCTGTGTCTTTTAATTGGAGTATTTAGCCCATTTACATTTAAAGTTAATATTGTTATGTGTGAATTTGATCCTGTCATTATGATGTTAGCTGGTTCTTTTGCTCTTTAGTTGATGCAGTTTCTTCCTAGCCTTGATGGTCTTTACAATTTGGCATGTTTTTGCAGTGGCTGGTACCAATTGTTCCTTTCCATGTTTAGTGTTTCCTTCAGGAGCTCTTTTATGGCAGGCCTGGTAGCGACAAAATCTCTCAGCATTTGCTTGTCTGTAAAGTATTTTATTTCTCCTTCACTTATGAAGCTTAGTTTGCCTGGATATGAAATTCTGGGTTGAAAATTCTTTTCTTTAAGAATGTTGAATATTGGCCCCCACTCTCTTCTGGCTTGTAGAGTTTCTGCTGAGAGATCTGCTGTTAGTCTGATGGGCTTCCCTTTGTGGGTAACCCGACCTTTCTCTCCATCAAGCTACCAACGACTTTCTTCACAGAATTGGAAAAAAATACTTTAATGTTCATATGGAACCAAAAAAGAGCCCGCATCGCCAAGTCAATCCTCAGCCAAAAGAACAAAGCCAGAGGCATCACGCTACCTGACTTCAAACTATACTACAAGGCTACAGTAACCAAAACAGGATGGTACTGGTACCAAAACAGAGATATACATCAATGGAACATAACAGAGCCCTCAGAAATAATGCTGCATATCTACAACCATCTGATCTTTGACAAACCTGACAAAAACAAGAAATGGGGAAAGGATTCCCTATTTAATAAGTGGTGCTGGGAAAACTGGCTAGCCCTATGTAGAAAGCTGAAACTGGATCCCTTCCTTACACCTTATACAAAAATTCATTCAAGATGGATTAAAGACTTACATGTTGGCCTAAAAACCATAAAAACCCTAGAAGAAAACCTAGGCAATACCATTCAGGACATAGGCATGGGCAAGGACTTCATGACTAAAACACCAAAAGCAATGGCAACAAAAGACAAAATTGACAAATGGGACCTAATTAAACTAAAGAGCTTCTGCACAGCAAAAGAAACTACCATCAGAGTGATCAGGGAACCTACAAAATGGGAGAAAATTTTCGCAATCTACTTATCTGCCAAAGGGCTAATATCCAGAATCTACAATGGACACAAACAAATTTACAAGAAAAAAAACAAACAACCCCATCAAAAAGTGGGCAAAGGATATGAACAGACGCTTCTCAAAAGAAGACATTTATGCAGCCAAAAAACACATGAAAAAATGCTCATCATCACTGGCCATCAGAGAAATGCAAATAAAAACCACATTGAAATACCATCTCACACCAGTTAGAATGGTGATCATGAAGAAGTCAGGAAACAACAGGTGCTGGAGAGGATGTGGAGAAATAGGAACGCTTTTACACTGTTGGTGGGATTGTAAACTCGTTCAACCATCGTGGAAGTCAGTGTGGCGATTCCTCAGGGATCTAGAACTAGAAATACCGTTCGACCCAGCCATCCTATTACTGGGCATATACCCAAAGGACTATAAATCATGCTGCTATAAACACACATGCACATGTATGTTTATTGTGGCACTATTCACAATGGCAAAGACTTGGAACCAACCCAAATATCCAACAACGATAGACTGGATTAAGAAAATGTGGCACATATACACCATGGAATACCATGCAGCCATAAAAAATGATGAGTTCATGTCCATTGTAGGGACATGGATGAAACTGGAAACCATCATTCTCAGCAAACTATCGCAAGGACAAAAAACCAAACACCGCATGTTCTCACTCATAGGTGGGAATTGAACAATGAGAACACATGGACACAGGAAGGGGAACATCACACTCCGGGGACTGTTGTGGGGTATGGGGAGTGGGGAGGGATAGCATTAGGAGATATACCTAATGCTAAATGACGAGTTAATGGGTGCAGCACAGCAACATGGCACATGTATACATATGTAACAAACCTGCACATTATGCACATGTATCCTAGAACTTAAAGTATAATAATAATAAAATAAAATAAAAAAGAAGAGGTTTTGGTGTGCTGTGGGTTAGAATGTCCAGAAAGGGAAGACAAATGATTTTTTTAAAATTAATCAGCAAATAATACAATATTTAGTATCTTAGAATTGAAGCTAAAGTCATTTTCATGGTTCTGACTACTACCTTTGCAGCTTTTGTGGGTAACTGTGGGATTGTTTCATGCCTCCCATGGGCCAACAGTTTTATTTCCTAAATAGGACAATAGACTAAGGTATGCATAGTTTTGGTACCAGAAGTCTAAAGCTGGAGAGACTTTGGCATAGAAGGGGGAATTACTTGAGGAAGCATTGGCCCCTTGAGGGGATGCAGTTGCATAAGGGAGGTAGCGCAGCATTATAGTATAGGACATGGACTTGGAACCAGGCTGCTTGGGTTTGAATCCAGGCTCTACTACATACTGGCTCCATGACAGTGGACAATTTGCCTAGCCCCTCTTTACCTTAGGTTTCTCAACATTAAAATGGTGATGGCAATATAATAGTACCTAACCTTCCTCATTGGGTTGTCATGAAGATTAAATGGATTAATATTTGTAAATCCTTTATGTGCCTGTCACATGATTAGTGCCACGTAACTTTTTATTAAAATAGAAATATGATCCCATAAAATTGGTTTTCACAGCGTTTATTACTTAATTTTTGCTCATTATGTAAAGAGTTGTCTTTATGCATTGATATAAATGGAAATCTCTGTGTCTCTAGAATATTGCAAAATAAGTTGTTTAGTGTTTTACAAAGGGAAACCTTGCCTTTCTTAGCATTTTCTCCTGCAGTGGTTATGGTCGACATTAATACAATAGCATTTTACTCCAGTAGCCATTCCAGCTAGAACACTGCCCTTTTTTTGAGCCTCAGTGACAAATCCAACCTTGTGACAGAAGGAAAGTGAGATGATAGGTGTGAAAGCACTTCAAAACATTAAGAGGGCCTGACATTCTGGTGCCAAAAACTCTTTGAGGTTCACCCTTTGGAGATGTCCAGTTTTCAAGGGTTTTTGCTCAGAATTGTAAGTGTGAACCCCTAAAACAACAATGACAACAGCAATAACTACTACTACTACCAGTAATAGTAGTAATATAAATAATCAACACTTTCTATGTTCTTACAATGTGCCAGGAAATGTGTTAATGCTTCACATGAGTTATTTCATGTAAATGCTTCTTCGGTGCTGCTGTTTCTGCTGTTAAGTCTCTGAGAACTGGTTTGTTCCTTTTCTTCAGCTGGGAAGAAATAAGCAAGACTTCACAAAAAATAAAGTTGAGTTCTATTTATCTGACAATGGGAAAAAAAGCTATTCCCCTCTCCTTTCTCTACTTCTAGGTTGTTTTAACAACACTTCGAATTATTGATTCCTTATATAACCTTGACAAAGTAGGCATTTTTAATGACAACAACTTCATTTTAATGATCCAGCAAAAAGCATCCCCCTCAAAGAAATGGAAGGGAGACTAAGAGGAGCTAGGAACAAAAGGAAAGGAGGGAAGAAGGACTAGTAAGGAAGGAAAGACAATTCTACCAAAATGATTAGAATGACAGGCTAGAACATAATATCATCAGTATTTAGGACATGTATATTTTTTCTTTTTCTCATTTTGAGTTAGAAAAGGAGAGGATAGAAGGGTGTTTGAGTAAGCTCTGGGGTCAAAGAAAAAGACTGGAACTTTTCTTTCATGCCAACAAAAGTCATCCTTTTTGGGCCCTTGCTACTTCTGCAAGAGTTAGCTGCTGGATGGGCCACCTCAGAAAAGCCTTACAAAGAGATAGTGAGCAAGATGTTGCCAGAACTCCAGGATGTTTAGTTTTGTCTGCGCTGGGGTGGGATGATCCTGAGGATGAATTTGATATTTGTCTGGCAGGCTAGAAGATGACCTTGAGTTAGTTGGTGAACCTGAATTTCACAGAAAGTGCCAGCCTGCTTTGGCCATGTGGTCCCATCCTTACATGCATCTCTGAATTTTTTTATCTCCTCATGAGCATTTTGGTCTGCTTATTCTGTACAGCTGGAGAACAGACCAGGAACAGAATAATATCACATTTTAGGGCACTCATTTTCAGACTGTTTAAATTTACCTCATGTAGGACAATGAGAATCATCTGTTTTCCCTTAAATCTCAGACATAATCCCCTAAGCCATTCACAACTAGCTGGGAAGGTGCCCATCAAATGAGGACTGGATCTCAATGTTGATGTTACCACAGTAGCCTTCTGAATACACACAGAGTTCATTTATTGATATGCAGAGTGCTCATTGATGTGTACACAGAGAGTAATTGAGATGATAATTTAAACATTGTTATAAACACTTGTGGGGGAGATTTTCCCTAGCACAAGTAAGCCAGTCCACAGATTTCAGGCTCCAAATTGAGAGTCAAGAAATTGAGGCATAGAAAGCCGTCTCCTTTATGCTCAAAATTCATGCTACAGACCAACCCACAGTCTTCTGCTTTTGAATGTATTTCGTCTAGTCCAGATTGATTTGTAATGCACTTTCCTCATCCTTTGCCTTAGTGCTGGATTCTTAGGTGAAAGGTTAATTAGCTGCAAAGAATAGAATCCCACTTAGGGTAGTTCAAATCACAAAAAACGATTGTAATTAAAAGGATAAAGGAGAGAGGGAAGGTTCTGGAAGAAATGAAGTGAAGAGAATACCACGTTGTGTGTAGAAAATAGGCAACTATATTATATCAATCAAATCCCATTTGTTTTGGGGTGTGTGTGTGTGTGTGTGTGTGTGTGTGTGTAATATGATCTCTTCTTTGAGTATTTTTCTAGTCTACTGTTTTCTCTTTATAGATTAGCTTTCTCTATTTACTCATGCTTCTCAGCTTTCCTATAACTTTATCTTGTAAGTAACTTTGCCTTGCCATGGCGCCGACTCTGGCCCAACTCTAGATGACGTTATAGCTAATTCATTTAGTCACCATGTCCAAATAATTATCTTAGTCCATTTTATGGATTGGTAAACCCTGGATCATGTGTTCATCTTAACCCAAAACATGACCATTGTCCTTTGACCAGGGACCAAGATTATGTGAACAATTTCAAAAACTGAAGCTTTGGCTAGTTGGCAATTCATATCTACTATATATGCCACCTGTGAATGTGAGAGAAATAAAAGTCTGCTATAGTCAGTACTCTTTTGGTGACAGAAAGCACAGTTCAAACTAGTTTAATCAAGGCAGGGAAATATATTAGATTATGTATCCACAAGTTTCAGGAGTACGGCTCACTGGAACAGAGAATTCAAATGATATCCTTAGAAATCTCTATCATTGCTCTGCTCTTGTTTGTGCTGGAAGCTATTTCCAACAAAGTGATAAAGAAGACTTTCAGTACCTCTAATCTTACTTTCTACTAGCTTAACTACTTCACCAAAAAAAAAAAGAGCTCCTCATCTGTGTTGATTCCAAGTGTCCCAGAATTTTCTTTGATTCAACTGATTTGGATCACCTGCTCACTCCCAAGCCGATCACTGTGTCCAGGAAGATACTGTGCTTTTATTGACCAATCCTGGGTCATTTGTCTATTTCTGGACCTGGAAGAGGGGATTAAGCCAACAGGAAGAGATAGACTCTTTAACCAGAAAAGAAGATGTTGGGCAAAAAATAACTAATGCTCACCTCATTGGTATACATAAGATTACAACAAACCAAAAAGATCAAAACAAAACAAAAAGATCAAACCAAAACAAAAAGATCAAAACCATGCCCTTAACCTCATCTGTACTGTGCTCAACCCAATAGCTACCTAGCTTTAAGGGCAGCATATAGCTTAAAACATCAAGCATGCTGCATCGATGGCAACTTTCCTAGTACCTTATCTATATATGCAAGAGGCTTATATATGGCTGTACAAACAACACTGATATAATCAGAGCATGATGTTTGGCTACTAATGTCATGGCTAATTACCTCAGTTTGCCTATGTGTAAATTAAAGTGCTTTTACTGGACAGGCTTGCTAAGGACCTTTCAAACACTGACATGTATGCTAATCTCAGGTTCTCAGACTGCAACCATCAGAAAGAATATAAGGCAAGTATTTAAACATTTACTGATTCTTATGTTTGGAGCCCCAAAGTAATAGATAGTAATTCAATCTTTTTTTTTATAAAATAAATACTATTGAGATACCTTGAATATGGGCTTTGTGCTTTAAATTTTTCTTTGTAGTTATAGGAACGGGTTTCTACTGAATCATCCAAAATTATTTTCTTTTTTTCTTTCTTTCTTTTTTACTTATTTATTTATTTATTTTTAGGCAGGGTCTCACTCTGTTGTCCACGCTGTGGCATGATCACAGCTGACTGCAGATTCAACTTCTGGGGTTCAGGTGATCCTCCCATCTCAGCCTCCAGAGTAACTGGGACTATAGGCATGTGCCACCATGGCCAGTTAACTTATGCATTTTTTTTTTTTTTTTAGAGATGGGGTCTTGCCATGTTGGTCAGGCTGGTCTCCAGCTCCTGGACTCAAGTGACAAAATCACTTTCAACCGAAACTTGGATGCATCTGTGAAACAGGTGGTCACACTTAAGTGACAAATACAACATAGTCAAAGTCAATTTGCCATTTTTGTAGAATAGAACTTTATGTTTTAAGTGACTGAAAACACATCTCTAATTAATTTATGTAATAAAGGAAATATGGAGGGGCACATATAACTTACAATTGCAGAGGTAAACAAAGCTTGATACAACAAGTCAAACAATGGCATGACAACCCAGTCGCTCTACATCTTTCTACTCTTGACTTCTGTAGTACTGGCTTTATCTTCATATTCCACATGATGGATATGTGGCAGCACTAACCTCTGCCACATCATGGTAGCAAAATGGTGGCTGCCATTCCAGATCTCTCACTCTCACTATATTATTTAGGGAAAGACAAAGCATTTTTTCCAGTACTTTCTGCACTTAGTCCTTTTCACTATCCATCACTGGTATGAATTTGGTTGAGTGTTCATCCTTAAATTAATCACTTTGGTTAGGGGAATAAGATTTGGTGATTCATTTAGGCCAATCAGTGTCCATCCCTGGATTTAGGGGATAGAATCAACGCCGTCCAAACTATACTGACTAAAAGTCAAAGAAAAATGAATTCTTCAAAGGGTAATCAGTGCATCGTGGCTGGGAGAAGGGAGTACAGTTGCTGGAGAGGCACATAACAAATGTCTATCTTTAGCTAATGAAAACAGTGAGTCTATAATATATCAAACCTTCAGAACTATACCTTTTAATTAAATATGTTTTTTAAAAAATCTAGGACCATACATTAACAATTTTCTGTGGGGGTACGTAGTAGGTGTATATATTTATGGGTTACATGAGATATTTTGATAAAGGCACACAATGCATAATAATCACATCAGGATAAATGGGGTATCCATCATTTAAAGCATTTGTTCTTACTTTTTGCTATGAACAATCCAACTGTACTCTTTTAGTTATTTTAAAATGCAAAATAAATTATTGCTGACTGTAGTCACTCTGTTGTGCTATCAGATAATTGATCTTATTCATTTCCCACTTTCCACCCCCTGACTACCCTTCCCAGTCTCTGATAACTATCATTCAGAAATGTTTTATTTTTTATGTAATGGAAATAGCTTTACTTTTCACCACCTCCTTGCTGCACAATGACTCCTTGGAAGACTGTGTACCTTCTCAAGTACTTTTATAAAGATAGCTACATTTTGAACATTGCAATTAGGAAGTAGGTAACCTCTCTTTCTCTATTCCTAATGGGTCTTCCACTCCTTATACTTTCATTCCCCTATCTCTTGGGACTGAAGAAAAATAAGCAAGATTCATTTTTTACTTAATTGGTGCTTCTGATAATTCTCTCTTGGCTAACTCTGGCTGCCCGTTGTGACAGGCATTGAAATCCAGGCTCTTTAATGAAGCAGGTTTATAGGTTCCCTGAAGCCACTTTCCCAGGTGCCACACACAACACCACACAGTTTTCTGATGTAGGCAATATATGCTCCTGCTGACTAGGACTAATGGACGTTTTGAAAGCTACAATTTTTCAAATGGGAGCAGTAATTTATTAAATTAGAATGAAGATCTTGTAGAAATATGGAAAGGCCCAGAGGATCTTACATACACTTAATGCAGAATGATCATAATAATAGCAATTGCAAGGATGAAATATTGGTTATATAAGCATCCTGTTTTAACTCTCCTTTCATATGAGTTGTATACATAAGCCTCGTCTGACTCAGGCTCACTGTCTGAACCTCATTGTCTCATTTTAGATTTCCCATCACTTACTCATCCTTTCACAGATATGGTTCTACTACTGAACCTCTTTCTCCTTTGACCTCTTCTAATACTGATTCCATTTCTCTAGGTCCTTTTAAATCAAATTGTGGATTTGAGACACAAAGATTTTTTGAAGTTCCAGATCCACTTATCCTTCCCTGTCTCAGGTTTCAAGGCCTAGATTTGGTTTATTGGCTCAGTATCAAGACCCAAATTCATAGTATAAGGATTCAAACAAAAGATATGTTATTTAGGAGTTTTAAAGTATAAGAGAATAGAACACAAATAAGAAATCTGAGAAAACCTAAGGCAACACAGACTCCAGTTAACCATTGTTTATGTTGCTTATCAAAGGACCCAGATCACAATAGTCCTAAGAATTCTTTCAGAACATAGCATATCTAGCGTTTAAATTTTTTTTTTTTCACTTTGACTCTGTTTATATTCACTTGACAGGTCTTTGAACTTTTTGTCCTCCTTCTTCTATCATCATACTATATCACTACATATGCCTGCCTTCTGTTGTTTGATTCTTTTTTGAAAACTCATTTCACCATTTTTATTTGGCCTCTTGTTCACAAGAATATTTTGGCAAGTTAGTTTATCATTACATTCCTCTCAGTAATTTTGTGGCATCTTTCCTACTGTATACTTCTGAAAAAAAATGGAGAAGCAGCATTTCATTAAACCTGATAGTCACAATGAGTCATTTAAGATAGTTATGAAACTCAATTCATAATCGTATGTCATATTCCAAGGTCCCTGGAGTTATTTATGGCCTAGGGAGGCAGAGTACTCTTTGTGTTACAGAAGAGAAACAGAACAAAAAAAGAAAAAAAGAAAAAATGTTTCATTCTTCTAAATCAAATCAACTTTGAGTTAGCCAAGACAAAGAAAGGACACATTCGTAGCACTTCACATAACAAAGAAAGAAAACATTCACAGCACTTAAACACATACACACACACACAACCTTACGCAAAAACTAAATCCAAAATTTGCCTGAGAAGTTATTTTCCCAATTGCACAGGTATTTCTTTCTCTAGGGACAAAATTATTCCCCAGATAAGTTGCTATTACAATTGGGGAAAAAGGACATGTGTTATATGCTACCACAAACATACACATATATATATACAATTAGCAACAGTTTTAGTTGATAGCTTTAGAAGAATTCAACAGTCTCTCTACTCCTATTCCTGTTCCTAGGCTCTCTGTTTTTAGTCATTCCATGGTTCTTACTCCCACTGCCTCCTAATCTTACCCACGGGGATAGATAACTTTTACAGTTTACTTGTTGGTTTTAATCTCTAAAAAGTCAAACATGCTTTTCATCCTTTTTATTTCAAGACTGAGAATTCTAGGCTATGTTAGGATTCTAATTCGACAACTTCCTCTTCAAAGGCAGTTCCAAGAGTTTGCTAGAAGTGACCCAATGGATTTTATGGGGTTTCTTTCTTTCTCCTCCCCTCTGCAATGCAATCTCTACACCCACCATCTTTTCTATCCGAGGGAGAGATTCCTCTGCCACGTCTGGACAATCTCATGGAATGTCCTCCATGAGAAGAGTTCTGGTCTCGTGAATGTGTGAAGACCTTAACTCCTTGATCTCTTCTTTTCTTGCTTGCTCGCTCTCCCCTTTAGTTATAGTGGCTCATTTTGGTTAATTGAAAATTGTGGTATCAGGAGGTTCTATCCCCAAATAGGATACTTTACACCACTTCATGGCAACTATGATTTCAGCAAAAGAGGATGGACCTTCAATTGGAATTGACTAAATTCTTTCTTTGTTTCCCTATTATTCAGCTTCAACAATCTGCTTCTACCAATAATAGATGCCACTCCCAAATGTTTATAGACTCACTTTTCCCCTTCATAGGTATTATCAAAGATCCAGGGAATATTTGCAAGACACACACCTATTCAGATACCTTTTGTGCAAATATCCTTCTGAGAAGTTATTCAGATATGACCCTGAAATGACAGCAACGATATCTCGGCTAATACTTCTGTAATGTCCTCAGCAAAGCCATGGGTCTTGCCGTGCACAAGCACTTGGATTTGTTCATTCATGCAATGGATAGATATTGAGCTCTTGCTACTCTTCTGGATGCTGGACGTAGAGCAATGAACAAGAAAGGTGTGTTTCCCTCCATTATGGAGCTTTCATGTAGTGGTGGAGATACACAATAAACAAGTGAACAGATTAATAAGATCAGTTGTGGTGATACTAAACACTATGAAGAAAAGACGATAACATGTTAGAAAATGGGCAGAAGTAGAGGTTTCCTAACCATCCATTTTACAATTAATGGTTAAAGAAAGTCTCTTTAATGATGTCTTTCTTCAGATCTTCATGTGAAGAAGACTGTCATGTGAAGAAAGACTGTTTTCAGGCAGAGGGAACAGCCTCAGTATGAATAAGCTTATGGTGTTTGAGAAGAAAGTACAGTGCAGCTGGAGCAAAATGACCAACGGAGAGAGTAGTAATAAATGAGATTACAGAGATGGACAGGGGAAGCTTCTGTTGAGGCAAGTTTTGGACAAGGTTCATGATAACAAACATAGTTTGAGGGTCCACACAGACTAAGGTTACTATTACAGTCCCCTTCCCAACAGACTCTCTCAGTTCCTTACCCACGTCTAGGGTAGTCAACCATCCTGGTTTTCCTGGACGATTCTGATTTTATCAGTGAAAGTTCATGCCCTAGGAAATCCTTCAGTCTTGGGCAAATCAAGATGGTTAGTTATCCTGTGACATATCAGACCCTGCCCCTAACATGCAGAAATACCATCCCAAGGTCTGAGCTGTATCTTTCCCAAGTTTGTACGGAAAAAGCACAAAGTGTGCTCTGCGAGCAGCCTTCCCTCCCTTCTCTTATTTCAATACTCAGTTCCCCTTTCTCTCTTCCCATGGAGGAGTCAAAGTTATCTGATCAGAAAAGGGTAAAGGTGGGAGAGAAGAGAGTTTCAGACTTAAGCAGAGATCAGTTCTGAAACAGCCTTTGTAATGGGAACACTTGGAAGACAATGAAAAACAATGGGAGGCTCGCAGATTGTCAGCAAAAGCCCAGTTCATGCCAGACAGCATGACTTGGAAGTGAACCAGCAAGTTTCTGTGACCCTTCCTATCTGCAGGGAAATGAAGACATACATAATCATTTCTTCCTATTAAATGGTTGGAGGGTCTCCAGGGGAAAGTGCTATCTGCATTGACATTAAGGCCCAGAGGACAACTGCTTTTAAATTAAGGGCAAGAGGGAAATTATTTGGGGAATGGTAGGGTCACTTGTGAGATAAACTTCCTGCTTATTCTGGTATCACATCCGAGTCCATAGCAGTTTGCCAGTTGAACACAGAGGCAGAGAGTCTTGCGTACTCATACTTATGAGTATGAGAAGGACCAGTAGTAAGCTTCTGATTTTTCCATCCAGAGTGTAACCATTTGGAAAATATAAGCAAGAGACAGAAGTTGAATCACAGCTTTTCTACAAAAATAGACACCTACTCCCTGTTCAATTACACTCTGTGAAATGCCCTTTAATTTAAGATGCTCCCATTTTTGCTGCTATTTTTTAAAAATAAAAGCTCATTATTTGAAGCACCATTAACCTTCAGCACCATTGACATAAATATGGTGCACTCTCCATATTAAACACAACTTTTCAGCAGCTGGAGGACTGACCATAAGCAGGACATTGAGGATGTGACCACAGTGAGATACATAGCCAGGTGGTGACCCAGAGGCTGTGATGTGGGGAGATTTTTGGAGGGATGGATGAGGAAAGAAGGGAGCAAAATCATTTCTGATTAGGAAGGCTCTTTGCTTTAGTTAACCATTATAGAAGCAGGAATATCTGTTGTTTCAGAAGCATTAGTGTCAACCCAAGTGTTCCCATCACACAATAACATGTATGTCATAGGGAGTCACTTAGTCAGGACTTGTTGAATTGAATGGAATGGGAAGAACGTGGGTAATGGGAATCTACTTTATCTAATAGCTGCAGAGTTAATTTTAGCAGATGTTCTGAATTCCTCTCAAAGAAGTAAATGACTTGGATATTTTTCTTCTGTGGATTCCCTAGCCCAAGACTGTAATTACAGTGAGACCATAGAGGCCATTGTTTAGGTGACTGTGTGGTTTGGAGGTGCCCCCTCCACAACACACCCTCTACTCCCCATGAGAACCCATTCATAAACATGAAGTCTGACTGAAATTCCAGTATCCCAGATTTATTTCTCCTGATAAAGGCATTGAGGCTTCAGTAATTGACTATTTATATATAACCATTCTGAAAGTCCTAAGACTCAAACCAATTGTTGGATTAGGCCTCAGAATCTTGGTACAATTTAGTAACTTAGAACTGCATTTCAATACAACATCTCACTGAGATCTGGGAAACTAAGATGGATCTTTTTTGACTGGTGAGGGGTGGTGATGGTCATGGGAGTGCAGGCAGTAAAGATCAATCCCAAAGCATGGAGCATTGCTGAGAAGAGCAGGAGGAATGGCAACTCCGAGCAGCTATAGGTCTAGAGGTTGGGAAGTAGTAGAGAGCAGAAGTGATATTGAGAGGTAAGAGCAAGATGAAGAAACAGAAATACTAAAATGACCAGCAGATAGGGAAAATATAATGAACTAGGTTAAACAAAGTCTGGATTTTCCATTGGTATGGACTAATTAATATCCTACTACCATGAATGTTTTTGACACAGTACATTTTCTGAATTCAAATCATTGCTGATATTAATTCAATTCAACAAATATTTAGTGCATATTTAGAGTGTGTTACACACTGTGCCAGGTACAGGTATACCATAGTGACAGAGCCCCTAATGCAGCTTACAGTCTGGTGAAGATTTTCTGTAATTGCAATCAGTGTAATAGAATGTAAGATGGTGGGTAGTCAATTGTGTAAAGGAGCATGGAGTAGGTGCCTAATCCAGTCTTTAATAGGGAAAAAGAAAGCCTTTCAGAGGAATATACATCTAAGTTCATGCCTGAAGGATCAGTAGAAATATGCCACGTGGACATGGTGGGGGTGGAAAGAGAGTTCCAGGCAGAAGAAACAGCATGTACAAAAGTCCATAGGCCAAGGATGTTGGCACTTTCAAGGAACTGAAAAGCAAAGTAGTCTGGTTAGAACACACACTGCAAGACAGAAAGAATGAGAGATTAGATTGGAGAGATACGCAGGGGCCAGATCATGAAGAGTCGTGTTAGTGTACTTATACTTAATCTTAAAGGTGTAAGAAGTCAATCATTTCATAGAAGCTTTCCCAGATCACTTGGGGTCAGAAACTCAACTTATTTCTACTAGTGCCATTCCTCTGGCTAAGAGAGACTCAGTTATGTAAGGGTCATAGACACAGGCTTTCAAACCACCAAAGTGAAATACTTTTTGACCAAGTTACTTAAATAAAAGAAGTTTGTAGATTCCCTGGGAGGATCACATGACACAAGCTAGAAAGAGTTACCCAGAGAACCCAATGATGATATAGAAGATCTATCTAACCCATACATAGGAAAATGGCCTTCTGACTTGAATGCCTCTGATTCTTGACCTAGATCTTCTGCCTTTCACTCCCGTGCTCTTTCTGTAATCCCATGCTGCCTGCCCACATAGGCAATGGGCCCAACTTCGTGCACTTGGCAAAAGGTCTTACTCCATTCTCTTAATCATTGCTATCTTTACCCAGTCAACTGAACTCCAGTTAGGGTCCTCCCACCCTGCTTATTCATGCCAGGTGCCCCTTTTAATCCCATTCAATGCTTCTGGGTGGGCTTCTCTGGTTGTTCTGTCTCTGGTGAAGATGACCTACTGAATTAAAGACCTTACTTTTTTCCTTCACTTCAGATGTCCTCCTGAAAACTTAGTTTCTGCTTTGAGCTGTGGCTTATAGTAGCCCATGGGTATTGTCAACTTCCTGGAGGAGCCAGAAAGTCATCTCTCATTTGGCCGTTAATATCAGTAAGTTATGACCGTTGAGGCAGTGTGATTGGATGGAAAGCAAATGCACATTAGCAGATCTGAGCTTTAGTTCAGCTCTGCTCTGCTCTGTGGGACCTTAAGTAAGTCACTTATTTTTGCTATGTCTTTGTTTACATTTGACTAAAAGGAAATAATAGATGTGAAAGTACTCTGAAAAGTAGAAATGTTCAGGAAAGATAAAGTAATAATTAGTATAATCACCATCATCACCATCATCATTATGTACAAGCCTGACATATGCTACACAGATCATACACTCCAATACATGCATTGGCAGGTGGTTCCTCACAAGCTCTGGATGTGCCCCAGTCCCCTCCCTGCCTAGAAGCTTCCCCTGGGGAGAGATGAAATGTGATGCAGTTTATGGCAGAATGTGGGCTCATGTAATTCAGTTTCTCCACCTGGACAACTGTTCTGCTCTTTGGAGATAAGTATTTGTTTGTTGAATGGCTTATTTTATGAGTATGCTAGGCTGCCTTTCCAGGCTTTCTGACACACATTCCTCATGTGTCCCTGTCTGCCAAACTCTTCTTTTGAAGGTAGCCCCCCTATTTTTTTGTATCCACACTCCACAGGTTTGTGCAAACATCAAATATGTTTGTGTTTGCAGCATGCACAGACAATAAATACCTGTAACTGTTTTCTCTGTGTGTACTTGATAAGAAAGAGTAAATATGACCACAGTCTTTCTTCCTTGGTTGTGCTCAGAAGTGGCAATGTCAAGTCAAGGCTGGAGGCCTAGTCTAAGGCAGCTTTGATCAGCCCTGTAATAGAATCCTGGGAGGTACATTCTGACCTCAGCAAACAAGGCATGGGCTCTCTGCTACAGGGATAATAAATGATAGACAGTCACCTTTGAGGAAGCTTCTCCTGCCTGGAGCGCAGCTGAAAAGCAAGGAAGCTGTACAAAGAACTACGAATGGTCAAAATAGCTGCTACATGCCCTAAAACTCATGTCCTTTACACAGGGAAAAAAACCCACCTCTCCATCTTCACCCTATGCCAATATAGTTTAATTCTCTGAACAGTTCTAACATAATTGGCCACTTCCTTCCCCTGTAAATAGCAGATTAGAAGCAGAAAAATAGAAAGAGAACAGAGCATCAAACTTCCCCACTCCTATTGCTAGGTTATTAGTGTCAATCATGATGACAGCTGCAAGAAATGACACATGAGTTGAAACTGATAACTAAAAAGAACCAAGAAAAGAAAACTTCAACTGTTCTAGACTTTTGAGTGCTAGAGAAAATAATAATACCTGTACTAGTAGTTCCTAAAGGCATTATTGCATGAAAGCGCCACACTGTGCTTAATGATGGCATTAAGTCATCAGGAAAAAAACCACTAAATTATATTAGATATCTTCTGTTTTAAGAAGCCTAAATCTCTATCACACATTTCTTGTTTTTATACTTTTAGTTTTATAAGGAGGCAGCATGTGAAAGTAAACAATATGCTGAAACTCAAAAAATCCCAAGTTTCTTCCATTGATTGTTTTATTCATCAAATATGAATTAAGCACTCCACTATATGCCAGGCACTGGGGATCCTATGGTAAAAAAGACATAGTCCCTGTCATGGTGGAGATCACATTCTAGTGGGAGAAACTGACAAGGGAACGAGCAATTAAAACACAGAGTGATCAAGGGATTAACAGGGTGCTGAGAGACCACACAGGAAGGGACACTTAACCTGGACATTCAGGGAAGACTTCCTGCAGGATATGATGTCTAAGTTAATAAGTTATCCAGACAAAACTAAGTTGGATTGAGGAGTTCTACGCATAGAGCATATCATGTATTCTAGTCTGAAAATGAAAAATAATTTGGCATGATGGTGAAAAGGCTAGTAGTTTGGTGGTAAGGGAAATATAAACAAATGCCAGTTAACTGGTTAAGATGTTGGACATTTTTCACGAAGACAATGGGATGCCATTGAAGGGTATAAACTTACTGAGTAACATGAATTAATTTTATACTTTAAAATGCTTACTCTGACTACATTGTAGAGAATAGATTAGAAGGGGCAAGACTAGAGACAGGTAGTATGGTTGGGTGGCTGTTTTAGTGATCCAGGTGAAAGAAAATGATAGCCTGGTCTAAGACAGTGGGTGTGTTAGTGAAGAGAAGGTGGATTTGAAAAATATTTTGAACACGCTGTTGACAGAACATTGTGAACGTCTGGTGAAGGAGAAAAAAGAATCAGAGATAATGCCAAATTATCTGGCACGGACACAAAGTACTAATAGATGACGGTAGTGCCATTTCCTTTGGTAGTCACTATTTAATCACAAACTAGCCTTGAAATCAAATTCATTTTCCTAAATTGTAAAATAAATGTTAACTAGATAATTGGTTCTCAATATCAGGGATTTTGACCCCCACCCCTACCCAGGGTTCTTGGGCAATGTCTGGAGACATTTTGGTTGTCACTTCTGGGAGGGGGTTACTGACATCTAGTGGACACAGGCTGGGGATGCTGCTAAACATCCGACGATGCATAGGGTAACCTTTCCCTTCAACAATGAATTATTTGGCACCAAATGTCAATAGTACCAAGGCTATAAAATCTTGGGCTAGACAACATAAAGAACTTAGACTAAATAAACTCAGAGGCCTCTTCAAAGCTTATGAACTGACAAGCTAAAGTGCTTATTTATATTTTGACACTTTAGGGGATAAGCCTTAGTGACCTGGAAGATTCTCTTTCGTGGACCACATTGATAAATGAGGTATTATTAGAATCCACCAATTAATAATAACCAGATGTTGATGTATGTGGTCCCAATAACCTAAGTCAGTTTTCAAGAGTATTGGAATGAATTGTCCACTACAAGTACTTGCAGTATGTGTGCACATGGCACTTAGAATGCATCTGCAAACTTATTCTGATCTTCCAGAGACATAGAGTGCCTCTTGCCCATATTCTTTTTGGCCAGCATGCAATGTACCTACATACACTTTGTGACAGCAAGAACATGTGAGAAATGATGAGGGCTGGTGGCAGCCCCTGCCTGAGCTATCTCCTGAAATTATCCTGGGCACCAGAAGCCCTACTTATATAGCTTTAGGCCCCATGGGTGGAACCACAGGCAGAGCCCTACAGAGTATTCACTCCAGGTAAAGATATTTTACAATCTTTTGGCATTAGGGTATAGCTTAAATTGTGATAGGTGCTACTTTCTCATTCTGTACTAAGAGACACCCTTCCTGAGGGTATGTCTCTCACCCTCAGGCTTGGACTATCCAAGGGCTTCCAAATAGTAGTGGAATTCAACCCCAGGCCATCTGTGGAAGACTATGGAGCTCCCATTCAGAATCCTTCATAACTGTCTGGGCAGTGGAGTCCTTACCTCAGGTCTTCACAGCACACAGTAGGAATTCAATAAATAAGTGCTTGTTGAATGAATGAATAAATGAATGAATGAGATCCCTATATTGGGGGGTGGAAGAATTGGGGAAAAAGGAACCCCTGAGTTTTTTAGAAGAGAAAAAGAAGACAAATCTACTTTTTATTAGCAGATATTTACAGTGCCCACTACGTGGAAGCACTATTTAAGGTGCTTAGGGGTTTTGAGCAGAGCAAATCTGACTTATGCTTTAATACGATTCCTTTGGCTAGAAGCTAGAAGACCACCTAGGAGTCTGTTGCAGTAATTGAGGCAACTACAATAGTGGCCAAAACCAGCATGGTAGAAATGAATGTGTTAAGAAATGGATAGATTCTGGGTATTTTTTGAATGCAGAGCCAGCAGGATTTCCTGATGGATTGAATGTGGCTGCAAGAGTGACTCTGAGATCAGAGACCTCCAAGGTTTTTGACTTGAGAAATAGGAAGTATGGAGTTGCCAACAGTTGACATGAGGAATGTTGTATTGGGAGTTTAGTTTTGAACTTGGTTTTAAATGTGTATTAGACATTCAACTGAAGACATCATTAAGTCAACTGGTTATGTAAATCAAGTTTGGAGAGTGGTATGGGGTGAAGATGTGAAAGTCATGAAACTAAGTAAGATTATCGAGTATGAGTGTAAAGATGGAAAAAAGAACCAAGAATTGGACCCTGGGGGCCCCAGCATTAATAGGCAAAAGCCTCTTATTTGACCAGAGACTAACCCTCTCTGCCTCTTTTTTGTGGAGTGATCATAGCAGCAGCCAACCTGCCCCCAGCAGCCTCCTGAAAGAGGACTGGGAGTTTAGAGTCTTAGTTTTCTGGACTATGTCCTATTGTGCATTCCTCTCACGGTAACAACAGTTAAATCCTCCATGTGATATTTAAACCTCAAGAGGTTACTTGGTTATACATATTTATCATTTCCTCCAGGCTAATATAATGATTGTTAATTCCAGCCAAATAAGAATCCATTCTTACAAGGGTGAGAAGACATTTTTATCTGCATAATTCATATGCAAATATTTTGAAAAGCAGTTTGAAATGCAAGCTGCCACCTGTCAGTTTGCTTTTTGCAAGGAAGGGGGAGGCACCATTGTCCCTGAATTTTGAGAAGAGCAAGGATTCGCCTTGCTCCATGCATCTTCAGCTTATTGTTCGCACGCTGAAAGGTTCATATTTTAGGTGTTATTTTAAGTAGAAGATCCACATCCAAAGTTGTTGCACAGTACTTATCATCACTGAGAAGCATTCCTCTCTTTCTTTGAGGGCACCCTTGTACACCTTCACTCCTCTTGGGGTATAGGCAGAGTTTAGAGCATTGATTTCTAATTGAGGAGTGGGAAAAAGAGAAGCAACAAATGTCAGAGCTGAAGCATTGCTCTGAGGTCATCATGTTCCCTGTCCTGCCTCCTAGATAGGACTGAACCCAGAATTAGTCCTAATTCCCTTGAAACTGTTGAGGTATATTTCATATTGGTCCTGGCTCTGCAGGGCCCAAGTGAATCAATCCTGATTTCTAAGCTCCATGACTCTGGTGACAATGGCAATTCACAAGACAGGGGTGCAGAGGTACACTTGCTTTCTAAGATAGTTTTCAGCCTGGGATGTATGTACCTTTGAGGGTACATGAAGATGTTTCAAGGGACATTTAGACATAGTTTTAAGAAAATCAATTACCAGATTCTTAATTTTCATTAGTATTATTTCTTAAAAAACATCGGTAGTTGGGGTGTCATACCAGTTCTTCTTTGGCATATCTCCTGTCAATGTCACTCTTCAATTGCTTTCTCTGCAAAAGAAAGACACACCCATCATCCATTCTAAATCTTACTATGATGCAGTCTATCCTCTCATTACTGTTACAGAATGCAGTATTCTAATGGAAGACCTGTTAAGAAAACAAATAAACTTTGGTAAGAAACATCTTTTCTAAGTTCTGCATTTACTGGTGACCCAATACTTTCTCTTCTCAAAGTTAATTTCCACAAAGTACATTAAACTGAAGTCTTACAAGCAGAACATCTACTTATATATAGAAGTAGGACAAGATGTTCCCCAAATGTGCCATCTAATGTGTAATGACTTGAACTTTAGAATATCAGCTTCATTTGATTAGGGTTAATTTCTCCTTCTCAGATATGTTCTATTTCTGTCAAATTGTTTTCAACCATAAAATAAAATTACTGACTTATCTATGTATAATAATTCTCATGTCCATCTCTCTATTCATCCATCACACCATTTAAAGGCACTTTGAAACCCTCTATATCAGAAATTAAGATTTGGCATGAAATATTTAGATCCTAATTCACAACCTGTGGGAAAAACAATAATATGCATACTTTTTATGTTTTTAAGCTTCTTCAATTTTGTCTAATTTTAGCTCCATAGACAAGGTGCCACTAAGCAAGTTACATATATAACTAATATGTTTTTAATTTTTAAAATAAATTGCTATTATTTGAGGTATAATATGCATACATAAAAGTATACAAATGATAAATGTGCATCTTAACAAATCATCACAAAGTGAACAGACCCATGTAACTAATCAAAATTAAAAAAACATTTATGGCACTGCAGAAGGCCCCTTGATTTTTCCAATCACTATCTCATTCTTCTTTCTCACTGGTAACCACTCTCCTGACTTCTAACAGCATAGATTTGTCTGGTTTGTTTTTTAATTTTTTTTTAAATTGAAGTCTACAGCATGTGTTCTAGTGTACTCAGTTTCTTTTGCTCAAAATATTTGCTTGGTTCATGTATGTTATATAGTGTAGCAGTATCCATTTATTTTCTTTGCTATATAATATCCTGTTGGATGGCTATAACACAGTTAATTAATCACTTCTACTGTTGATGGACATTACAGCTGTTTCCAGTTTTGGGCTATTACAAACAATGTTACTATGCATGCATCCTGAGGGTAAGAGCATATTCTATACCTGCCCTTGAGGATTTTTCTTCTATTCCTGTCCCAGAAGCAGTGAGTTTTTGCCTGGGCTTTGGGGGAGGAAGGACGTGTTGCCCCTCCACCAATAGCTTAACCTTCACATTGTAGGAAAGAAGGATCCTGGGAAGCAACTGAGCTTCTTGCCTATGGGCCAGCAGCAGCCAATCACATACTGCACCACTAAGGAAAAAAGTTTCTCTCCTTTCCTGCTCTTCTACTTTGCCCGCAGTCTTCTTCACAAGCACCTGGAGACTTCCCTAAAAGAGAGTTTGTGAGTGAGGCTGAGCTCTTCTTGTATCTAAAACTTTTAGTTCTCCCAAATTGAGTGTTTCACTCATACTTGCCTTTAAGAATTGGATAAAATTTTAGCTTATTTCATCTTGCCTGTATGTGTGGTGGTACCTTTTCTCTTGTGCTCTGCCAAAGATGAAAAAGTTCTATGTTGTGTCTTTCCTTGGAGACACTTGTCACTCTTTTGAGTATTTATTTGGTTGTCCTGCAACCTTAACTCTCTGACAGGCTCAAGAAAATTATTTTGTAGATTCCCCATCTTCTTCTCACTGTAAGAGTGAGAACAGTTTACTCTTGTGTCTTTCTGTATCCTAAGCATAAATGGAACTCTCAACAACGGACATTCTTGTACATATTTTCAGTGTAACTTATGTACACATTACTGTTGGGTATATACCTAGAAGTAGAATAGGTGAGCCATGTATGTATGTATACATTCAACTTTAGAGCACATTGCCAGTCTCCTAAAGTGTTTTACCAATTTACACTCCCACCAGTAGTGTATGAGAGCACCATGAACACTCAGTATCATCATCTGCTGTTGTTATTGTTTTGGCCATCCTCATAGGCACATAGTGGTAACTCATTGTGATTTAACTTGAATTTCTCTGTGAAGAACATTGTCACTTGCACCTTTTAATGTCTTGTGTGATGTTTTTCTCTAGTCGCTTGTCAGTTTTCTTTTGAGTGTTCATCTTTTTCATATTGATTTGCAGGAATTCTTTATATAACCTAGAAATGAGCTATGAAAGTTATGTGTTACAAATACTGTCCCTCACTTTGTGGCTTGTTTCTTTGCTCTCTTAATAGTATCTTTTTAAAAAGTCCAATTTATTGAAGTTTAACTTATATACAACAAGTACAATGGAATACATACAATAAAATGTACCCATTTTAACTATACTGCTCAATGAATTTTGAAATATATATATATATATGTATATATACCAGAACAATCAAGGTATAGAACATTTTTAACACTTCAAAAAATTATCTCCTGCCTCCTCAGTCAATCTCGATCCCCCACTCCTAGCTTCAGGCCAACAATGGTCTACTTTCTGTTGCTATACATTAGATCTGTCTTTTCTAGAGATTCACATCAAAGGAATTATATGGTATGTTTTGTTTCTTTATTCTTTTCTTTGTTCTTTGCTCAACACAAAGTTTTTTAGATTCATCCATGTTTTATCAGTAGTTTGTTTCTTTTTATTGATGAGTAGTTTAATGTTGACTGTTGATGCATGCTCTTCCTAATATAAATTAGGAAATTTATCAATCATTTCCTTTATTGCTAATGTTTTTGAGTTTTTTGAGTGTGAAAAATGTTTGCCTACCCTAAATTTCATGAAGATATTCTCATATTATCTTTTAGAAGCTTTACTATGTTACCTTTCACATTTAGATCAAAATATATCTAGAAGTGATTTTTGTGTCTATATTGTGATAGAGGTCAAATTTTTATATTCAATATAGATAACCAAATTATCTCACACCATTTATTGAAAATAACTACCCTTGACTCAGTGCCACCTTTGTCATAAAACAGTGCTCCAATAGTGTGGATACTCTCTATCTGCTCGATTGATCTATTTGTCTATCTTTATGGCAATACCACACAACCCTGATTATTATAACTTTATAGTAAAATTTAAAATCAGGTTAGTTTAATTCATCCAAATTTGTTCCTCTTTAATATTTTCCTGGCTATTTGTGGTCCTTTGAATTTCTAAATACATTTTAGAATTAGGTTATCATTTTTCCACAAAAAAGTACCTGCTGCAATTTTCATTGATTTATAGATCCATTTAGGAATGATTGACATTTTCATAGTATCAAGCCTTCCAATCCATGAACACGTAATGTCCCTCTGTTTATTTAAGTTTTTTGAATTTTGTCTCCAAATTTTTCTACAATTTTCTGTGTAGACACCTTGCACATCGTTTGCTAGATTTACTACTATGGTGAAGTGGAAACAGTGTGCTTCCCATCTCTCTCTTCCTTCAAAACTGAGGAACTCATTCGCCTAGGTGCTGGGAGTTTGGTGGTTAAAGGCTATTGGCTGGAGGTTTTCCAGACATTGCCCTCGGCTGAAGAGAATTGCCTAGCCACAGGTCTCTCTCCCTCCCAATGACTGGTTGATGCCAGAGGAAAGTTATAAAGCCTTGTTACCTTGCAACAAGGGATAGTGTTGTCAGATAAAATACAGGACACCCAGTTATAATTTAAATTTCAGATAATGAGTACTTATACTAATACTTAGGAGGGAATTTTTAATATTGAATGTCTTTTCTTGGTCCTGCAAAGCCAGGCCAGGTGTGAGGGTCTTACACTTGTCTTCTCAAGGGTGTTGCCCTAAAATGCTTAAGTATGCCTTCCCCAATACCACAGAGTCAATCTGACTGTCTGCATGAGACAGTTGCGCTTGTCATCCATATGGTTATGCTAAGGGAGCTGGCTAGGAGGAAGAGGGATGGAAAGACATGCAGAGCATCTGGGGTGATCATGACCCAGTTGAGGCGGGGGCGGAAGTCTACAGGCAAGTTGTCTCAAGTGGTTCTCAGGCAAGCTTTCTGCTTGAGTTTGTAGAGTGGTTATTAAGGTTCTGCAGCCTCTCTTTCCTGCTCATGGTCTCTCCTAACCACTCAGCTGTGCAGATCACTTCAGTAATCTGGATGAGTTCAGAAAGAACTGGGCCTCTTTGATAGCATCTTGTATAATGGGGGGAGCCAGGTGCTCATTCACTACATTCTCACTTTTTTCCATGGGGGAAATCACAGGTTGAGGGTGTCTCTGTTAGCACTAAACTTTGTTGCCTTGGAGGAGGGATGATGTGGGTAAATTAACACTGTTCTTACCCTCTTCAAGGCATCTATTCATGAATTTTTTGCTCCAACAGTGTGCTGAAACTTCTCTGCTGGACTGTCAGACTCCAACAAAGATGTTCTAATCTGTGGGTACTTGTCAAAATTGATGCTTCTGTGGGGAGTGATGACGGTAGAATGCTTCTATTTTGCCATCTTGCTGACATCCATAACCATGCCTATTTGTTTTCACACTGGTTATGACTGCTTTCACACTAAAATGGCAGAACTGAGTAGTTGTGACAGAGACAAAATAGCCTGTGAATCTAAGCTATTTACTATAGGGACTTTTAAATAAAAAGTTTTCTGAGCCCTGATCTATATAATCAAGAGAAATCGCAGATGGATAATCAGAGGGCTGAGGACAATCAGACCAATAAGAAGTCATAATACCTGGCCCAGTTTCAGGACTGGATATGAGTAAGTTTTTAGATCATTTTTGATAATCATGATTGGGGGGATGCTACTGGAATCTCGTGGATAGAGGCCAGAGATGCTACTAAACATTTTACAATGCATAGGACAGCCCCTCAAAACGAAGATTATCCAGCTCCAAATCCAGTAGTGCTAAGGTTGAGAAACTCTGCTCTAAATGTATGTATGGTCATTTACTAAGATAACTGCACACTGGGGAAAATGGAATATCCAAATATGTCAAAGTCTATTGAATCTGAGTTGACATTAATACCCAAAGACTAAAATCAGTATTATTGACTCACTCCCAGTTGAAGTGGGGATGCATGGGAACCAAGTAATAAATGGAGTTCTAGGCCAAGTTCAACTTATGATGGATCCACAGACCAAGCCAATAGTTATTTCCCAAGATCCAGTGGAAGTCTCTGAAACTCTCCTCCACTAAAACCCAGTCAAAATAGTAAATAAAAAAATAATATTACTACTCAGATGGAATGGCACTGATTAGTGCCTTCCTTTAAGACCTTAAGGATGTAAGGGTACTAGTCACTATCATGTCCTCATTTAATTCATCAGTCTGGCCTTAGAATAACTGGATATTTACTGCAGGTTTACAGTGGACTCAAGCAAATAATAAGCCTCAATACTAGTTTTGCACCGTCATTTGTATCTTTGCTAGAGCTAACTAAAAAGGCCTCAGCTACTCGGTATATGGCCACTGAACTGGTGAATATATTCATTTCCATTCCTATCAAGGAGGATTAGAAGCAGTTTGCATTCGGTTGAACACAGAGCATCTACATTTATTTTCTTGCCACAAGCATTGTTAGGTAATCTATTCTGTTTAATGTAGTTCTAAGAATTCTAAATTTTCTGAATGTTTTGCAGAGCATTATATTGGTGCACTATATCAATGATGTCATGTTAATCAGACAAGATGGTAAATAAGTGGCAAGTATTTTGAAGGCATTAGAAAGAAATGTTAGTACCAGGAAGTGGGAGATAAACTCTATAAACATTAAGCTCATGACACTATTAATTTTTTTAGAGTCCAGTGATCTGCAGTATGGTAAAACAACCCCTTCAAAGTAAAAGGAAACTTATTTCATTATACCTCTCACCACTAAGAAGAGAGAACAATGCCCAATAGAGGTTCTAGAGGCAGCATATTCCATATTTTAGGATACAGATGCCCCTCAGCTTATGATATGGTTATGTCCCAATAAACCCATCATAAGTTGAAAATATTGTCAGTCAAAAATGCATTTAATACACCAAACTTACCAAACATCATAGCTTAGCGTAGCTTACCTTAAACATGCTCAGGACACTTAGCCTACAACTGGGCAACATCATCTTGCTATACAGTATACTTTAGACTATCAGTTGTATATCCTTGTTATTGTGTGACTTACTGGGAACTGTGGCTCACTGCTGCTGCCCAGTATTGAAAGAGTATTGTGCCACATATCACTAGCACAGGAAAAGACCAAAAATCTAAGTACAATTTCTACTGAATACGTATGACTTTCCACTATAGTAAAGTTAAAGAATCGTTAAGTCAAGGGCATCATAAATTGGAGACCATCTGTACTACTCAATACACCACATGATGATGTGAAAGGCTGCCAACTTTGTACAGGGTTTAGAGCATAAAAAGGCTCTGGAGCAGGACCAGGCTACCATGTAAGCAGCCTTGTTGTTTGAGATATATGACACAACACACACTATGGTATTCAAGATACCAGAGATGGGAAAAGATGCCATGTTGAATTTATCACACATTCCCAATAGCAGAATCACAATTTAGACCCCACGTGTTTTAGTGCAAGGTCATGCCACCTGAAGTGGAAAATTATATACCATTTGAAATGCTTTTGAGCCATAGTAGAAATGGAGCATCTCATCATGGAACATCAAGTGATCTTGTCATATAGCCAGAACTGCCCAATGTGAGTAAGATTCTAAGAGATCCTAGACTGCATTGTAAGGTTTGATGGACCTAAATGCAGATGCGGTACATCTGGAATTGGTCATGATCAGGGCCAGAGGGCACAAGTAAGCTGCACGAGTAGATGGACCAGGTTTCCATGTCATCCATCACTATCGCATTTGCACCTCCCCCTCAGCCCACATTGAGGCCACATTATTTATGGTAGTGGTAGTTATAGGGTATCCTTTAGGGTTGGCTGAGGGGTGAGGAAAAATACCAAGCTTGGTTCATAGATGGGTTAATTCAGTATGGGGATGTAAGCCAAAAGTGTACTTCTGGTGTACAATAGCCCTGCTCAGAATGACATTGAGCCTGAACACACTGAGTCATTCACTCTGTCTAGAAGACAGATTTCAGGGGAAATTCTTCCAAGGAACATATCTTCAGGTAGTACACTTAGTTATTCATTTTGTGTGGAAAAAGAAGTGGTCTGAGTTGACAATGTGTAACAGAAAGATCAAGGACAAGAAAGTCCAAGAAAGAGGCATGTGATATACCCAGGAGAATGTGGATAGACCTACAGGAGTGGGCATCAGATGTGAAGATTTTTGAATCACATATTAAAGCTCACCAAAAATAATCTGACATTTAAAAGGCACTAACAAGCAAGTAGACAGAATGATTTGGTAAGGTGACACTGCCTAGCCTTTGTCATTGACAACCTCAACGCAGACACAATGGGAACATAAATGGAGCAATCAAGGTGGCAGGAATGAAGGCTATGCACGGTCCAAATACAGTGGAGTGCCACTACCAAAGCTGATTTAGCTACTGCCTCTACCAAAAATCCAACCTGCCAGCAATAGAGACCAATGTTGAGTCTCCAACAGCGTACCATCCCTCAAGGAAACCAGCCAGTGTTTAGGTGGCAAATTGATTACATCAAATGCCTTCTGCGTTGGAAGCACAACAATTCATGTTGACTGAAACTGACTCCTATCCTGGGTATGGATATGATTTTTCTATATACAGAGCCTCAAATACCACTGTTTGAGTGCTCACAGAATGTTTGATCCACTGACGTGTGATCCCACATGTATTGCATAGACTATGAAACTTATTTTACAGCAAAGGAAGTGCAGCAGTGGGTGTCTCACCATAAGATGCACTGGTCTTATCATATCTACAATACCCAGAAGTTGCTAGCCTGATAGAGCAATAGTGCAGCTTTTTGAAAGTGATAACCAGATTGAAGATGATATCCTATGAGAATGAAGTGCCGTCCTCCAGAATGTAGTATACACTCTAAATCAATGACCACTGTATTGTGTTGAAACCCTAATAAGTAGATTACATAGGCCTGGAAAACAAAGAATTGAAGTAGCCTTGCTTACCATAAACTCTGAGTCACCCACTAATTAATTCTAGTAGTTTGTCAAGAGAAGATTTTCCCTCTATTTTCTACTTACGTAATCATGTTGTTCATGAATAATGATACTTTTGTCTTCTTTTTTAATTCTTCTGCCTTTTCTATCTTTTTCTTGCCTAATTGTACTGGCTAAGACATCAAGTACAATGTTGAATAGAGGGGGTAATAGCAAACCTCTTTGTCTTATTTCTCATCTCAGAAGGAAATTTATAACATTTCACCACTGAATATGATGTCTGCTGCACATGTTTTAAATGTGTGTTGATCAGACACTTCTTTTTATTTATAATTTTCTAGCAATTCATTTTTTGCTTCTCAGTAGTTGTTGATATTTATCACACTTTTTATGCATCTATTGACATGATCATAAGTTTTTTTATGTTTTTAATGTGATATACATTAGCTGATTTTAGTTGGAATATTTTAATAGTAATTATTAATTTATATACAGTAAATTTCACTCTTATGGAGTACGGTTCTATGATTTTTGTGTAAAGCATGCAGTCCACTAACCATCATCATCAATCAAGATAAAGAACAATTCAATCACCTGAAAAAATTTCCTCATACTCCTTATTGTACTAAACTCACATATCTCAACTCTGGAAATCACTGATCTGTTCTTGGTCCTTATAGGCTTGGCTTTTCCAAAATGTCATATGAATTCAATCATACAGTAAGTAGCCTTTTGACTCTCACTTCTTTCACTAAGAATAATGGATTTGAGATTCATTCAAGCATGAAGATCAATTTTTTTTTTTTTTGAGATGGAGTCTCGCTGTGTTGCCCAGGCTGGAGCGCAGTGGCACAAACTCGACTCACTGCAAGCTCCGCCTCCCGGGTTCACGCCATTCTCCCGCCTCAGCCTCCCTAGTAGCTGGGACTACAGAAGCCCACCACCACACCCAGCTAATTTTGTTTTTGTATTTTTAGTAGAGATGGGGTTTCACTGTGTTTTAGCCAGGATGGTCTCGATCCCCTAACCTCGTGATCTGCCCGCCTCGGCCTCCCAAAGTGCTGGGATTACAGGCGTGAGCCACCGCACCTGGCCCGGGATCAATTTTTTTAAACCTTTTATCAAAGAGTAGTATTTCATTATAAGGAGGAACTACAGTTTGTTTACCCATGCAGCCACTGAAGGAAGTTTGGATTGTTTCCAGTTTTGTGATTATGGATTATCAATAAAATCACTCAAAATATTTCCGGGGCCCCGCCCACCCGACCATAGAGACACCGCATGGCTAGAGAAACTTCCATGATGTTCTGGGCTGCGAACGAAAACAGAACCAAAGCGTCAGAAAGGAGCGGGTGAAGGGGCGCGGCCGTTGCCAGGGCATCTTCTTAGCGTCGGGCAGGGCTGGTGAGTCAACTAGTGACAGTGGCGAGGAAGTGGGGGCGCGGAGCAAGCGAGACGAAGGCTGAAGGGAGCTAGGAAAAGGGCGCTGATCTCTGCAGCCTGGGAGGGCTTTTGTCCCCTGGAGGAAGGCCAGAAGAGATGGGGTCCCGAGGGCAGGGCTCACACAGCAAGAAAACGAGGAGCATGCCTGTCATTTTGAGCCCACAGAGAACGGGGAGTGGAGCCACTGGAGGACCGGCTGCTCGGGTTTATTCGGTAGCCGAGGCGGTTAAACAGTTCAGGGCTGGACCAGCCCGGACTGGAGCAGGGTGCAGCCTCCAGGGTTGCTGGGCAGCACCGAGACCCTTTGAGCACCGAACGGATAAACTACGGGAGCTTTCCGCACTTGCACATTGTTCCCGCGAGTTGCAGACGCAGGTTCCTGATGCTAGCGCTCATTCCTTGGCAGTCACCCTCAGTGAACTTCACAGTTGCCGTGACCTTCAGGATGAATGCTTGGATTCCAGGTGCGACTAGGTTTGCTGAGGGCCCCAGAAGGCTCCTTCCACCGTATCATAGTCTAATAAATAATTTTGTCAAGCCAGAGAAGCTAACAAAGGTAGAGACAAGCCTTAAAGAAAAGATAGTGGCGGAAATGACGGATCTGAACAAGCATATAAAACAAGCTCAAACCCAGCGGGAACAGCTACTGGAGGAATCCAGGGAGCTACACCGAGAAAAGTTACTTGTCCAGGCTGAAAACAGATTCTTTCTGGAATACCTGACTAACAAAACTGAAGAGTACACAAAGCAACCTGAGAAGGTATGGAACAGCTATTTACAAAAAAGTAGAGAGATTGAGCGAAGAAGACAAGAATCAGCCTTCAGGTGTGCCGAACAAATTTCAGTGCTTAAAGCAGCGCTCTTGCAAAAGGAAAATATCCAATCCAGTTTGAAGCGGAAGTTGCAGGCAATGAGGGACATTGCTATATTAAAGGAAAAGCAGGAGAAAGAAATACAGACATTACAGGAGGAGACAAAGAAAGTCCAAGCTGAGACAGCTGCAAAGACACGGGAAGTACAGGCTCAGCTCCTCCAGGAGAAAAGATTACTGGAGAAACAACTGAGCGAGCCAGACAAGAGGCTATTGGGAAAGAGAAAAAGAAGAGAGCTTAATATGAAGGCCCAGGCCTTGAAGTTGGCAGCAAAGCGGTTTATTTTTGAATACTCCTCTGGCATCAAGAGAGAGAACCAGCAGTTCAAGAAGGAATTACTGCAGCTAATTGAGCAAGCCCAGAAACTAACGGCTACTCAAAGCCACTTAGAAAACAGGAAGCAGCAGCTGCAGCAGGAACAGTGGTATCTGGAGTCCTTAATCCGGGCGAGGCAGAGACTGCAAGGAAGTCATAATCAGTGCCTAAATAGGATGTTCCAAAGACCACACCCAGTCTTCCCCAAGGCACCAAATCAAGGATTAATCCAAAGTAACTCCTAAAATAACACTGATTAAATAAGAACTGGAGCAAGTACTCTTAAGTGCTACATTAACCTGGTTAGAAAGGCTTTTGGATTCCAGATTGCTATTGTAAAATCTCTATCATGATGTGTTGGAGTGAAGGATTAGATGGTTTTATCCAACAGTCCTACTAGATATTTGGTAACCAGCTTCCCTTAACTAGCTTTTTCTTTAAATACTCTTGTTAATAAGCTATTCCACAAACCTCCTGTTAACCTAACACATGACCCTAACCTAGCCATTTACCATACATCAAACTAGCTAAAGGAAACCAACCTAAGGAGGTGAAAACAGTTGTGATTTATTTCATCTAGCTAAATTATATTTCTTTATAGAGAAAGTACCTTTAAGGATAGCATTCCAAATAGACTTTGAATAGCGTTCTGCTCAGTAAATAACCAGTATCAGTTTATCCTCATTCCTTTTGACCAACTTAGCAGACAAAAGCAGTTTTTATAAGCTCTTCGTGAGTTTGTGCCAGTGACCAGGTAGCTCCTTTTAGTTTTCTTATGAGTGAAAAAGCATTCTGATAACAGCAAGTCCAGTAAGTGCTAGGCAGAGTGACCTTTCATCTGTTGCTAAGCCCCTACAAGTTTAATTGAGAAGGTAAGAAAAGATGAAGGAGACATATATTAGGTCAGCTCTTTTGAAAATGTTTTATTTGAAGAAACACCTGTAGCATTGAGGTGACTGAATGCCTCCGCTCATTTCAGGAAAACCTATCCAAAAAAAGTTGAAATATTTGGACAACTTTTTTTTAAGTGCCATCGATTTCCCTAGCAGCATTCTAAAAGATAGCAAGTAAAATGATGTTTGTTATCCTAAATGCTTTAGTTTTAGGTCATTTATTAATTTTCTTACAGGTGCACTTTCTAGTACATGAAGTATCTTTTGTAATTAATGTGTACCATATGTTTATTCCCATTTAGTATAACTGTATATTTTAAATTATATATTTCTAGGATAGTTATATTTTTTGGGGGTTCTACAACATTGAAGTTGGACTAGTGATTTATTTGAATGCTGAATCCTAGTATAGGGGAATATAATCTCATATTTTAACATGGGTCCTCTATGGGAAAATAGGATGAACTTTGTTTCCCAGAAATTGTTAGTGATGAAAAACTTCAAAATAATTTTCCTGCATTTTCCGCTTTATTTACATGTAAATTGAATTCCCTGAAAATTGGATTTAAAAAGGATTCTCCTTCAATGTGCCTTTACCTTGTAGCTTTAACAACTTTTCTGTTAAATATGTAGTTTTTTATTAAACAATGTTATTAAATAAAAACATTTATCCACTGGAAAAAAATATTTCTGAAGGGGAAGACACGAATAAACCTGGGTGCCCACCAATGGTGGACTGGATAAAGAAAATATACATATATACTATGGAATACTACACAGCCATAAAAAAGAGTGAAATCACATCCTTTGCAGCAACATGGATGCAGCTGGAGGCCATTATCCTAAGTGAAATAACACAGGAAAAGAAAATCAAATATAACATGTTCTCACTTACAAGTAGGAGTTAAACATTGGGTACACATGGACATAGAGATGGCAACAATAGACATAGAGGGATACTAGAGTGGGGCAAGGGTTAAAAACCTAACTGTTGGGTATTATGCTCACTACCTGGGTGATGAGACCGTTTGTATCCCAAACCTCAGCATCATGCAATATACTCAGCATCATGCAAATGTACCCCCTGAATCTAAAATAAAAGTTAAAGTTATTTTAAAACACACAGAATATTTCTGTAAGGGATTTTTGTGTAAACATACATTTTAATTTCACTTGAATGAGTACCTAGAAGTGGGGTTTCTGGATTATATTATAAGGACATGATTAATTTTATAAGAAATACCCCAAATTTTCAAAGTGGCTGAAATATTTTACATTCTCACCATCAGTGAGTGCACGTTCTGCACCTGTATCCCAGAACTTAAAGTTTGATTAGATCCCATCTGTCAATTTTTGCTTTTGTTGCAATTGTTTTTGGTGTTTTAGCCATGAAGTCTTTGCCCATGCCTATGTCCTAAATGGTATGGCCCACGTTTTCTTCTATGGTTTTTATGGTTTTGGGTTTTACATTTAAGTGTTTAATCCATCTTGAGTTAATTTTTGTATAAGGTGTAAGGAAGGGGGCCAGTTTCTGTTTTCTGCATATGGCTAGCTAGTTTTCCCAGCACCATTCATTAAATAGGGAATCCTCTCCCCATTACTTGTTTTTGTCAGGTTTTGTCAAAGATCAGATGGTTTTAGATATCTGGTGTTATTTCTGAGGCCTCTGTTCCATTCCATTGGTCTATATATCTGTTTTGGTGCCAGTACAATGCTGTTTTGGTTACTGTAGCCTTGTAGTATAATTTGAAGTTAGGTAGTGTGATGCCTCCAGCTTTGTTCTTTTTGCTTAGGATTGTCTTGGCAGTACAAGCTCTTTTTTGATTCCATATTAAATTTAAAGTAGTTTTTTCTAATTCTGCAAAAAAAGTCACTGGTAGCTTGATGGGACTAGCATTGAATCTATAAATTACTTTGGGCAGTATGACCATTTTCATGATATTGATTCTTCCTATCCATGAGCACGGAATGTTTTTCCATTTGTTTGTGTCCTCTCTTATTTCCTTGAGCAGTGGTTTGTAGTTCTCCTTGAAGAAATCCTTCACATCTCTTGCAAGTTGTATTCCTAGGTATTTTATTCTCTTTATAGCAATTGTGAATGGGAGTTCACTCATGATTTGGCTCTCTGCTTGTCTACTGTTGGTGTATAGGAATGCTTGTGATTTTTGCACATTTATTTTGTATCTTATTATTGATTTTGGAAAAGTTTTTATTCTGGAAACAAGTCTTTCATCAGATATCTGTTTTGGAAATATTTTCATCCAGTCTGTGTCTTCTCTTTTCACTCTCTTAAGGCTTTCACAGAACAAATATTTTAAATTTTGATGAAATCTGGTCTATAATTTTTTTTTCTTTTTTAAGATTATGCACTTGAAGAAACCTTGTCTAACCTATGATCCCCAGATTGTATGCTATGTTTTATTCTAGAAGTTTTATAGTTTTAGGCTTTTCATCCAGGTCTGTGATTCATTTGAAATTAATTATTGAATAAGGTACAAGATAGGGGTAAAAGTGTATTTTTTTTTTTGCAGTAACAATTTGTAAAACTTGAAGACAGTATTTTCAACAGCATTTGTTGAAAAGACTATCATTCATTAAAAGGCTTTTTACCTTTGTCAAAAATCAATTGACCATATATGTGTAGGTCTGTTTCTGGATGTTATTTTGTGTTTACTTGATCTTCGTGTCTATCGCTCCACCAATACCCCACAATCGTGACTATTGTATGTATCTGGATAGAAAATCTTCAAACTGGAGAGAATGATTCTTTCTACTTTATTCTCTTTCAAAACTGTCTTACCTATTCTAGTTCTTGTGTCTTTGGATATAACATTTTTTTCTGGCAAAGGAGTCTTTATTTTGTCTAAATCTGATTTGACATTTTACACAAACAACCACATGTTAGTCAGGGGTTGGGGAATGGCAAAAAAAAATTTTGCTCCAGATTATGAAATTTAAACATTCCTTTTAAGCAAAGCTCAGATTTTTGGATAAAGATGCTCAGATGCTAATATTTCTGCTGTTCTTCTGTGCTTCCTTGCAGAAGATATCTGGATTTACTGGGAAGGGATGTTAAGTGATATTTGGGGTTTAGTTCCCTGCAGGTACACAAAGACATTTTGAAGAGCACTTAGAATTGTTTTAAAGGAATTAATGTCTAGGTTTTCAAATTCCACATGGACTTAAAATTTTATATTAATAGGCTTTAATTTTACAATAGTTTTATTTTATGTTTTAATATTTAATTTTTTGAGTACATAGGTGTATGGTATACATGAGATATTTTTATTCATGCATGCAATGCATAATAATCATATCAGGGTAAATGGCGTGTCCATTACCTCAAGCATTTATCCTTTGTGTTACAAACAATTCAATTATACTCTTTTAGTTATTGTAAAATTTACAGTTAAATTATTTTGGACCAAAGTCACCCTTTTGTGCTAGCAAACACTAGGTCTTATTTATTCTTCCTTTTTAACTTTTTTTCCCATAGGTTTTTCGGGAACAGGTAGTATTTGGTTACATGTGTAAGTTTGTTAGTGATGATTTCTGAGATTTTGGTGCACCCATCACCCAAGCAGTATTCACTGAACCCAATTTGTAGTCTTTTATCCCTCACCCCCCTCCCACCCTTTCCCCCAAGTCCCCAAAATCCATTGTACCATTCTTATGTTTTTGTATCCTCATAGCTTATCTTCCACTTATGAGTGAGAACATACAATGTTTGCTGTTCCATTCCTGAGTTACTTCACTTAGAATAATAGTTTTCCAGTTCCATTCAGGTTGCTGCGAATGCCATTAATTCGTTCCTTTTTATGGCTAAGTACTATTCCATCATATATGTATGCCACAATTTCTTTATCCACTCATTGAATGATGGGCTTTTGGGCTGCTTTCATATTTTTTCAATTGGGAATTGTGCTGCTGTAAACATGCATGTGCAAGTATCTTCTTCAAATAATGACTTATTTTCCTGTGGGTAGATACCCAGTAGTGGGATTTCTGGATCAAATGGTAGTTCTACTTTTAGCTCTTTATGGAATCTCCACACCGTTTCCAAAGTGGTTGTACTAGTTTACATTCCCACCAGCAGTGTATAAGTGTTCCCTTTTCACCACATTCATGCCAACATCTATTTTTTTTTTATTTTTTTGATTATGGCCATTCTTGAAGGAGTAAGGTGGTATCGCATTGTGATTTTGATTTGCATTTCCCTGATCATTAGTGATGTTGAGCATTTTTTTCATACATTTGTCGGCCATTTGTATATTCTTTTGAAAATTGTCTATTCATGTCCTTAGCCCACTTTTTGATTTTTTTTTTCTGATTTGAGTTCGTTGTAGATTCTGGATATTAGTGCTTTGTTGGATGTATAGATTGTGAAATTTTCTCCCACTTTGTGGGTTGTCTGTTTACTCTGCTGACTGTTCTTTTTGCTGTGCAGAAGCTCTTTAATTAAGTCCCACCTATTTATCTTTTTTTTTTTTTTTCACTGCTAGTATCCATGGCTGGGAGACCTAAAGACAGATCACATCACAGGACTTTTTGCAGACATTTCTCAGCACCATCCTGGAGCCTGGTAGCCCTGCTGGATGGCCAGACCCAGAAGGGCAATAAAAATCACTGCAGTCTGGCTCTCAGGAAGACCCATTCCTAGGGAAAGGGAGAGAGCACCAGATCAAGGGATCAGCCAGTGGGACAAAAGAATCTGAATGTGATGAAGGGGTCCAGCTTCATTCTTTTACATATGACTAGCCAGTTATCTCAGCACCATTTATTGAATAAGGAGTCTTTTCCCCATTGCTTGTTTTTGTTTTTGTCTGCTGTGTTGAATATCAGATGGTTGTAGTTGTGCAGTCTTATTCCTGGGCTGTCTATTCTCTTCCATTGGTCTACGTGTCTGGTTGTGTACCAGTACCATGCTGTTTTGGTTTGTATATCCCCATAGTATAGTTTGAAGTTGGGTAACATGATGCCTCCAGCTTTGCTCTTTTTGTTTATGATTGCCTTGGCTATCTGAGCTCTTTTATGGTTCTTTATGAACTTTAAAATAGGTTTTTTCTAGTTCTATGAAGAATGTCATTAGTAGTTTGATAGAAGAGCATGGAATTTATATATTGTTTGGGGCATTATGGCCATTTTAATAATATTGATTCTTCCTATTCATGAGCATGGAATGTTTTCCATTTGTTTCTGTTATTTCTGATTTCTTTGAGTAATGTTGTGGTTCTCACTGTAGGAATCTTTCACCTCTCTGGTTAGCTATATTCCTACATATTTTATTTTTGTGGCAATTATGAACAGGATTGCCTTCCAGATTTGGCTTTTAGCTTGGCTGCTGTTGGTGTATAGGAATGCTAGTAATTTTTGTACATTGATTTTGTATCCTGAGACTTTGCTGAAATTGTTTATCATCTGTAGGAGATTTGGGGCTGAGATTATGGGTTTTTCTAGATATAGAATCATGTCATCTACAAACAGGGATAGTTTGACTTCTCTTTGTATTTGAATGCCCTCTATTGTTTTATCTTGCCTGATTGCTCTAGCTAAGACGTTCAATTCTACGTTGAATTGGAGTGGTGATAGAGGGCATCCTCATTTTGTGCCAGTTTTCAAGGGAAATGCTTCCAGTTTTTACCCATTCAGTATGATGTTGGTTGTGGGTTTGCCATAGATGGCTCTTCTCATTTTGAGGTATGTTACTTTGATACCTAGTTTATTGAGAGATTTTAACATGAAGGGTCATTGAATTCTACCGAAAGTCTTTTCTGCGTCTATTGAGATAACTCTGTGGTTTTTGCCCTTAATTCGCTTTATATGATGAATCACATTTGTTGAGTTATGTAGGTTGAACCAACCTCACATCCCAGGGATGAAGCCTACTTGGTTGTGGTGGAATAGCTTTTCGATGTGCTGTTAAATTCGGTTTGCAAGTATTTTGTTGAGGATTTTTGCATCGATGTTCATCAAGGATATTGGCCTGCTGTTTTCTTTCTTTGTTTTGTCTCTGCCTGATTTTGGTACCAGGATGATACTGGCATTGTAGAATGAGTTGGGGAGGAGTCCTTTCTCCTCAATTTTTTGAAATAATTTTAGTAGGAATGATACCAGCTCTCTTTTTTTGTACATATGGTAGAATTTGGCTGTGGATCCATTCAGGTCCTGGGCCTTTTTTTTCCTTTTTGGTTGGTAAATTATTTATTACTGATTAAATTTCAGTGCTTGTTATTAGTCTGCTCAGGGAATCAATTTCTTCCTGGTTCAGTCTTGGGAGGGTGTATGTGTCCAGGAATTTATCCATCTTTTCTAGGTTTTCTAGTTTGTGTGCATAGTTTATTTCTGTGGGGTCAGTGGTAACATTTCCTTCATCATTTCTAATTGTGTTTACTTAGATCTTCTTTTTTTCTTAATTATTCTAGCTACTGTTCTAGCTATCATGTTAATTTTCTCAAAAAAAAAAAAAACAACTCCTGGATTTGTTGATATTTTGAATGGTTTTTCGTGTCTCAGTTTTCTCCAGTTCAGGTCTGATATTTGTTATTTCTTGTCTTCTGCTAGCTTTGGGGTTGATTTGTTCTTGCTTATCTAATTTTTTAGTTGTGATGTTAGGTTTTTAATTTGAGATCTTTCTAACTTTTTGATGTGGGCATTTAGTTCTATGATTTCCCCCTTAACATTGCCTTAGCTATGTCCCAGAGATTCTGGTATATTGTATTTTTGTTCTCATTATTAGTTTCAAATAACTTCTTGATTTCTGCCTTAATTTCATTATTTACCTAAAAGTCATTCAGGAGCATGTTGTTTAATTTCCATGTAATTGCATGGTTTTGAGTAATTTTCATAGTTTTAACTTTTATTTTTATTGTCCTGTGGTCTGAGAATGTTTTTGGTATGATTTCATTTGTGTTTCATTTGCTCAGGATTCTTTTATGTCCAATTATGTAGTTGATTTTAGAGTGTGTGCCATATGGTGATGAGAAGAATGTATAATCTGTTGTTTTGAGGTGGAGAGTTCTTTAGAGGTCCATCAGATCCATTTTGTCCAAAGTTGAGATCAGGTGCTGAATATCTTTGTTAATTTTCTGCCTCAATGATCTGTCTAATATTGTCAGTGAAGTATTGAAGTCTCCCACTATTATTGTGTGGGAGTCTGTGGCTCTTTGTAGGTCTCTAAGGATTTGCTTTATGAACCTGGGTGCCCCTCTGTTGGGGCATTTATATATAATATATATATATATATATATATATATATATATATATATATATATATATATATATTTAGGATCGTGGCCAGGTGCCATGGCTCACGTTTGCAACCCCAGCAATTTGGGAGGCTGAGGGAAGTGGATCTCTTGAGGCCAGAAGTTTGAGAGCAGCCTGGCCAACATGGTGAAAACCCATCTGTACTAAAAATAAAAAATTAAATGGGCATGGTGGTGCACTCCTGTAGTCCCAGCTACTCAGGAGGCTAAGGCACGAGACTCGCTTGAACCCAGGAGACAGATTTTGTAGTGAGCCCGGATCATGCCACTGCAGTCCAGCCTGGGTGACACGGTGAGACTCTGTTTCAAAAAAAAGAAAAAAATATATCTTATAAGGCATGTCTGGTGGTAACAAACTCCTGCAACATTTGCTTGTCTGAAAGGAATCTTATTTCTCCTTCATTTAGGAAGCTTAGTTTGACTGGATATGAAATTTTCAGTTGAAGATTTTTTTTTAAGAATGTTGAATATATGCCCCCAATCTCTTCTAACTTGTAGGGTTTCAGTTGAGAAGTCTGCAGGTAGCCTGATGGGGTTCCCTTTGGTAACCTGATGGGGTTCCCTTTGTCAGTGACCTGTCCTTTCTCTCTGGCTGCCTTTAACATTTTTTCTTTCATTTTGACCTTGGAAAATCTGCTGATTATGTGTTTAGAGGATAATCTTCTTATGTAGAATCTTACAGGAGTTCTCTGTATTTTCTGAATTTGACTGTTGGCTGTTCTAGCAAGGTTGAGGAAGTTTTCATGGACAATATCCTGAAATATGTTTTCCAGGTTGTTTGCTTTCTCCCTCTCCCTTTTAAGGGTGCCAATGATTTGTATATTTGGCCTTTTTACATAATCCTATACTTCTCAGAGTTTTTGCTCATTTCTTTTTATTCTTTTTTATTTTTGTCTGACTGTATTATTTCAGAAAGCCAGTCTTCAATTTCTGAGATTCTTTCCTCAGCTTGGTTTATTCTGCTATTAATACTTGATTGCCTTGTGAAATTCTTGTATTGTGTTTTTCAGATGTCTCAGATTCGTTGGGTTCTTTTTTACATTGGCTGTTTTGTCCTTCAGCTCCTGTATTGTTTTATTGTGATTCTTAGTTTCCTTGGATTGGGTGTTGCCATTCTACTGAATCTCGATGATCTTCATTCCTCTATTTATTCTGAATTCTATTTCTGTCATTCCAGCCAGCTCAGCCTGCTTAAGAACTCGGTGGAGAACTGATGTGGTCGTTTGGAGGACATACAACATTCTGGCCATTTGAGTTACTGGAGTTCTTGAATTGGTTCTTTCTCATCTCTGTGTGTGGGTGCTCCTTTAACTGCACTGGAGATTGAGTACAGTCAATGGTCTATTTTTATGAATGTTTTCACAGGGCCAAGGCTTTGCGTAGGATCTTTATTTGTAGCTGACTTCTTGTCTTTGGTTTCAGAGGTGAGTGTGTTAGTGAGGTTATTTTTGGTGTTGAAGCTTTGGGGTGTGATCTAGTAGGTGGCACTTAGGTGTTTTGGTCAGTTGGTAGACTCTTGCTTGATTGTGTAGCTCCTCTGTTTCCTCACAGTTGCAGCTGTGTTCCCTCTCAATGCTCCAAAAGTATAGGTTCCTCTCCTCATTGAGTGCTGGCTATAGATTGTGGCTTGGCACTCCTGGGCTGCCCACTGCAGCTCTAGGTGCAATCTCAGTGTTTATGTTCCTTCCAAAACTTGGAGACAGAAGAGAAAGGGACATCAGTAGTGGTTGTGAGCAAGGGTCTTTTGTTGTCTCCTGGGGGCTCCACCCCCAGAGAGATGCATGTTAGCAATTGTTCAGTCCAGTCAGCCCAGGATGGAGGGTCTGTGTTTGGGGCTCAAGCCAGGAGTTCCCTGTCTGGTGATGAGCAGGGTGTGGGTGGGTTGGACCTCTGGGAGATGGAATGGCCTCCTCTCCTTGGGTTGACAGTAGCTCGTTAGAAGTATGGATAAGGAACTTAGGGTCTTTGCTCCTTCATTAGTCTGAGGGTAGCAAGGGCAGTTCCACAACAGACGCAGTGGCAGAGAGATTTTCAGTTGCCCCTGGGGGCTCTGTCCAGGGAGTTACAGAGCTGCTACTGGCTCCATAGCTCTGGTGGATGGTGGCTGGAGGCCCAGGCCTGGAGAACCTGCACGGTGAGGAGATATGGGAATGGGCACCCACATAACAGTCCGGACACTTGTCCATAAGGCTGCTGTGGTATGCTGGGGGCCCACTCTTTTCCCTAGTCACCTCCGATTTTTTAGTAACTGGAGGTATCAATAGTGAAGGCTGCAAAACAGCACAGATGGTGGCCTTTTCCTCCCTCTGGGAACTCCATCCCAGGGAGGTACGGACCTGTTGCCATTCAGAACACACTTGTAGGAGGTGGCTGGAGACCCCAGTCAGAAGGTGTCAACAGTGAGGAGGAATGGGATCAGAGATCTGCTTTAAAAACAAGTTTGGCCACATTTTCATGGAGCAGCAGTCCTGTGCTCCTTTAGCCCCTGGTCACCTCGAACACTTCAAAGCCCGAAGGCCTGAGCAGCTGAGTTGCCCAAACAGCAAAGATGGTGGCTCACCCCTCCCATCTCAGAGAAGTTGGAAAACTTTGTCAGTTGGAGAACACCGATGGGGATAGCTGGAGACCCCAGTTAGGAAGTCTCACCCAGAGAGGAGGAATGGGATTGAATACCCTCTTTAAAAAGCAATCTGGCCACATTTTCATAGAGCAGCTGTGCTGTGCTGGGGGACTGCTTCAGCCCCCAATTACCTTGGACTCTCCAAAGCCCAAAGGCTGGAAGAGCTAGGTCACCCAAACAGCAAAGATGATGGCCTGCCCCTCCTTCTGGGAGCTCTGTCCCAGGGAGGTTTGAAGTCTCTGTTGGCCAGAGAGCACTGACAGGGGTGGCTGGAGACATCAGTTGGGAAGTCCCACCCAGTGAAGAGGAATGGGATTGGGGGCCCGCTTATAAAAGCAGTCTGACCATTTTTCTTTTTTCTTTTCTTTTTCTTTCTTTCTTTCTTTTTTTTTTTTTGTTTTTTTTTTTTGTTTGTTTGTTTGTTTGTTTTTTGACAGTCTCCCTATGTCACGAGGCTGGAGTGCAGTGGCGCGATCTCGGCTCACTGCAACCTCCGCCTCCCGGGTTCACGCGATTCTCCTGCCTCAGCCTCCTGAGTAGCTGGGACAGTCTGACCATTGTTCATAGAGCAGCTGTGTTGTGCTGGGGTACCGCTTCTGCCCCCAATCAGCTGGTGCTCTTCAAAGCCCAGAAGCTGGAATGGCTAAGTCACCGAAATCGCAAAGATGGCAGCCCATCCATCCTTCTGGGATCTTTATCCCCAGGAGGTTTCAAATCTTTGTCAGCTGGAGAACATCAATAGGGGTGGCTGGAGATCCCAATTGGGAGGTCCTTCCCAGTGAGTAGGAAGAAGATTGGAGACCCACTTTAAAAAGCAGTCTGACCTTGTTTTCATAGATCAAATGTGCTGTGCTGGGGAATCGCTTCAGCCCTGGTTGGCTTGGACTCCCCAAAGCCTTAAAGCTGGAATGGCTAAGTCAGCCAAACAGCAATGATGGCGGCAAACTCCCTCCCTGTGGGAGCTCCGTCTCAGGGAGGTGCAATGCTGCTACCTGTGGCTGGCTGGAATTCCAAACCAGTGGGTCTTATCCTGTGGGGTGTCACGGAAGCTGAGTCTACAGACTGTTGCTGCTCAGCCCGCTGGATGCAGCTCCTTTCCTACAAGTATGTATGGGGGCCTAACCACTCAGTTTGTTAGAGTTGCAGCTACTTTTGCTGGGAAGCCTGGAAAGCCTGTGTATCCAAGGCTTTTGGGTCTCTGCGTGTGCCAGAGCAGCTGCTCTGTCAAGACTCCATGTAGCTCTTATGTGAGATCGAAGGCCCTGGAGGAGTGGGCTCACAAGGGGGAATCTCCTGACCTGAGAATTGCAAAGATCGATGGGTGAAGTGTGGGTTCCCAGGGTCTCACATTCACTCACTGGTTCCCTGGATGGGGGAGGTTCTCTGGGTTTGGGAGGTTCCCTGGCTCCATGTCACTCCGGGTGGGTTGTCTTCTTGCCTTCTTGCCTTGCTTTTCTCCATTCTCCGTGGGTTGGGTTGTTTCCTTGATTAGTACCAATAATGCATGTACCTGAATGTTTCAGCTGAGGGTGCTGTATTTACTCATTCCTTCCATTCCTCTCCATGAGAGATGCACACACTAGTTGCTTCTCTTAATAGTCATCCATCTTTCTTTAATTGTTCTTTTTTGATTTTTATTCTTTTTTCTTTTGCCTCCTCTGACTGTACGTTTTTTATGAAACAGAATTTTTATACTGGTATGATTTGTAAGACTATTGATTTGATTATTTAAAAGATGAGATATAAAATAATTATCTTTAAAGTAATTTTAATTTTCATACTGAGCCTAACACTCCAGACTATAAATTATCAAATTAGTTGTAGCTCTCTTACTTTCATTTGTGCATTAGTTTCATGCAAGCCAATTAGCTATGGAATAACAAGAGGGTACCTTGAATAAAGTTCAAATTTAAAGAAGATATTTTGCAGGAGATAATTTTTTTCTTTCATTTGCACGCACTTTTATAAGAAGTGAAGATACTGAAACATTTAAATCTATTTTTTAATAAATAAGATTTCCCCATTACCCACTTTATCTCAGGATAAAATAATTTGAAAGTATGGTAAATTCTTTTTATGGTTAGTATTAAATTTTATGTACTAACGATTTACAAGGAGATTTAAAATTTCCACTATTGCTACCTTAATACTTTAGTTCATCAGCATGTGGGTGTTTTGTTAACTGAATTTTTTGGTTTCTTTTTAAGTTCAGCAACAAAACTCCCCAAATATTAGAAATGTTTTGACTTTTGTCTCAGCTAGTTATTTTCAGAAAGAGATGTTATCTATTGTAAATCTACCATTAGAACCAACCAATTAATAATGGGGTCAGTGTACACTGAAGACTTCATGACACACTAGTTGAAAGCTATTACTGATGTTAGCCAAACAGAAAAAAAATCTAGTGACAAAAGAAATTTCATTCCTCACATACAGAAACCTTTAAAACATTAGCATGCTATGAAAAATAGGGTTTAAAAAATTGAAAATCAGCTAAAATATACTTATTTAACAAAAATCCCTGATAAAATTTGCTGCACTTGTCACAAAAAAGTAACTAAAGGAGAGAATAGATGTCTCAATGTGCTTCATATTCATCTATTTTACTATATTTTACTATCTATATGTATCCTATAACATCATGTTGTAAACTTCAAATATATAAAATAAAATTTACTTAAAAAATTTAAAACTAACATAATTCCTAAAATCAACAAAAATAGAAATTATTTAATATTAAAGAACTCTTTATATTACTTAATAAATAAAATTTATTCTCACCCTGAAATAGAAAGCTGACAGGCCACTATATTAATTAAAATACATGGTTATCTTAGTTAGAAGAGTCCTGAAAAAATGATTTTCGTAGACTTGCCTATCTTTCAATAAGTTTCCACCTCTGCCTCATCCTGTCACGCATGACTCTAACACAAGCAACCTGTGTCAAAGTGGTGCATAAACGGCTTCAGAGAAGCAACTTTAGAGGGCAGAATTATCCTCTCAGTAATTATATTGAGCCTCTTGGCTGAGCCTCAAGGATTGCTTTGGGACACCATTTCACTAGCATGTCCTGGGACTTATAACCCAATACAAAAGTCAAACATGGCACTATTGTGTCATGTACCCATTGTTAATTGAGGTTGAGATTGGTGAGGGATATTCTTATGTGTCAAATAAAAATTTGTTTAATTATATGATTTTCCAGATTGTTATGGTAAGAATTTAGAAATTTGATTCTTTTAAACTCCAAGATCCTATCTACTATTTGACTCTATGTTATCAAATAGCAATCTGGAAAATCATATAATTAAACAAATTTTTATTTGACACATAAGGCTTGCCAGAGTTCCAATTCTGATTGCTGGAATGGGCAATTCTCTTTTGGGTACGGTTGGTTTGAGAACTCCGTCCATGGGTGCATGTCAGCGAATTTCAGCACGGTTTTACTTTCTGCTGTGAGTTCAGTGCAATGTCTCAATTGCTGTGCTGTCCCTCTCCCAAATGCACAGATTCTCTCTATTCATCATGTGGCCACTACCCACTACCAAGGCATAGTGGAAAAGTGGCATCAGTTATTCAAGACTCTCTTTCCTACCCTCATCAGTGCCTCTTTTTGCAATATGAAGTCAAAATCAGGTACTGTGAGTGCTCACCTGATTTTTCGTTATTATAAAGGTGCTTTTTGTGTGTAGATAGTTGTTAAATTTGGTGTTCTTGTTGTGGGGGTGGTGATAATCCATGGAGCTTTTTATTTGGCCACCTTGTTCTGACCCTCCTAGACTAGTTTTAGACATACGGAAAAATTGAGCAGAAAGTACAGGGTTCTCATATTATATCCCCCCCACCCATAATTTCTCCTATTATTAATATCTTATGTTAGTATGAGACATTTGGTACAACTAATGAAACAATATTGACGCATTATTATTAATTAAAGTTCATACATTTTTTTCAGATCGCCTTTGTTTTTGTCTATTGTTCTATTTCTATTTAAGATCCCAACCAGTATACTACATCACTTTTCATTATCAGGTATTCTTAGCCTCCTCTTGGCTGTGGCAGGTTCTCAGACTTCTGGTTTTTGATGGCCTTGACAGTGTTGAGGAATACTGGTCGGGTTTATTGTAGCATGCCCCTTCTTGGGAATTTGTCTGATGTTTTTCTTATAATTAGACTGGGTTCTGGAATTTGGGGAGGAATATCACAGAGGTAAATTGCATGAGTTTACATTGACTTACAATCACCTAGACAAAACAGATTTCTCCATGTGAAGTTATTCTACCACCTCTACTCCCATTTTTCATACTATTGTCTTTGGAAAGATGGCACTATGCACAGCACCTACTTAAGGTGTGGAGCGTCTACATACAGTCATTTCTTGGTATCTATCTATTGGAGATTGCTTCCAGTATCCCCATTATACCAAAATTTGGATGCTCAATTATCTTATATAAGTGGTGTAGTATTTTCATATATCCTATATACATTTTCCTGTATACTTTAAATCATCTCTAGATTACTTAAAATACCTAATGCAGAGTAAATGATGTGTAAATAGTTGTTCTATTATATCGTTTTTATTTGTTCTTTATTTTTATATTATTATCATTCTAGGCTTTTTTTCATCCATGGTTAGTTGAATTAATTGATGCAGACCCTGTGATATGGAGGGCCAACTGTAATTTATTTGGAATTCTGTATGATTCTTCTTGATCACATTTTAAATTCTTCCATACACATTTTAAAATCAGATTACCAATTTCCACAAAAATTTCTGCTGAGATTTTTGTTACACTGAGCTGAATTTATAGATCAGTGAGAAGAAAACAGACATCTTAAGTGTTGAGCTTTCCAATGCATGAACATAATATATATTTCCATTTATTTGTTTTCATTGACTTCTTTCATCGGTGTCTTACACTTTCCAGCCTATAGATCTTATACATGTTTTAGAAAGTTTATACTTAAGAATTTTATACCTTTAGTCATATTGTACATGGAACTGAATTTAAAATTTTGCTTACAATTGTATGTTGCTTATATATAGAAATACACTAGATTTCTGTGAATTGACCTTATACCCTTTAACACTGCTAAATTCACTTATTTCTAGTAGCTTTTTGAAGATTCCTTGGGATTTTTTACCTGAGCATTCATATTGTCTGGTGATAGGAACAGATTTACTTCTTTTTCTATTCAGTTGCCTTTTATCCCTTTTCTTGCCTTATCAAATTGCTAGATCTTCCTATATAATGCTGATTAAGAGTGTTGAGAGTAGATGTTCTTACATTCTTAGGGTAATATTAGGGGGAAATCATTCACTCTTTCACCAAAGTATGATGTTAGCTTCAAGTTTTTTGTAGGTGCTCTTTATCATGTTGAGGAAATTTCCTTCTATTACTAGTTTGCATAGAGCTTTTATCAGGAACTGGTGCTGGTTTTTGTCAAATTCTTCTTCTGTATCTATTGAGATGGTCATGTGGTTTTGCTTTTGCGATCTGAGAAGATGGTGAATTGTAATACATTTTTTGCTTTCTAAATGTTTGTTGTACTAAACTTTTATTCCTGAGACAAACTCCACTTGGTCACATTGTCCCTTTTGTATATTGTTGGATCAGATTTTCTTTCTTTCTTTTTTTTTTTTTTTTTTTTTGAGACAGAGTCTCCCTCTGTCGCCCAGGCTGGAGTGCAGTGGTGTGATCTCAGCTCACTGCAAGCTCCACTTTCCTGGTTCACGCCATTCTCCTGCCTCAGCCTCCCAAGTAGCTGGGACCACAGGCGCCTGCCACCACACTCGGCTAATTTTTTGTATTTTTAGTAGAGACGGGTTTTCACCATGTTAGCCAGGATGGTCTCGATTTCCTGACGTCGTGATCCGCCCGCCTCGGCCTCCCAAAGTGCTGGGATTACAGGCGTGAGCCACCGCACCTGGCCTGTTGGATCAGATTTTCTAAAATGTTGTTAACTTTTTTTGTTTCTATCTTCATGAAGGATATTGAATAGTAGTTTTCTTTTCTTGTAAAGCCTTTGTTTTTGATATCAGAGTAATGCTAGCCTCATAGGCTAATTAGAGAACAAGTCTCACCTCTTCAGTTTTAGGGATGAGTTATAGAATTGTTATTATTTCTTTTTTAAATATTTCGTAGAATTTCCCAATAAAGCTATCTGGACCAAAAGATGTCTTTGTGGTAAAGTTTCAAAGTGTGAAGTTAATTCCTTTAAATAATGACAGGCTATTGAGATTTTCTATGTCTTCTTGGTTGAACCTTGATAGTTTGTGTCTTTCAAGGAATTCATTCATTTCATTTAGGTTGTTGGATTTAGCAGCATAAAAATGTTCATTATAGTTCCTCATTTTTATAACTATAGAATCTTTAGTAATGTTGCCACTCTCATTTCTGATATTGATTGTGTAAGTCTCTGCTCTCTTTCTGCCTTCAACCCTCTTTTTTATTTGCTGAAGAATCTGGCTAAAGGTTTACCTATTTTATTGATATTCTCAGTGAGTCAGCTTTTGATTTCATTGATTTTCTCTATTGTTTTTCTATTTTATAGGTTTCAGCTCTGGCCTCTATTATAGCTTTTCTTTGTATTTTGGTGTGTGTTTGCTCTTTTTTTCTAGTTTTTTAAGGTGGACTCTGAAGTTGTTGATTTGATTTATTTCTTTTCTAATGTAAAAGAAATCATAATGCTGTAAATTTCCCTCTAATTACTGCTTTAGCTGCATCCCTTGAATTTTGATATAGTGTGTCTTGATTTTGATGCAGCTCAAAATAATTTCCAATTTGGTTTCTTCCTTGACCCGTGTTTTTTAAAGAATGTTGTTATCTAGTTTCCAATTTTTTTTCTTCAAACAGTTGATTATCTTTAAAAGTGAGTTAGGCGATAAGAAAAGTGTATATTTACCCATGTTGTTGCTATTCTTGGGGCTCTTCATTCATTTTGATCAATCTAGATTTCCATGTAGTATCAGTTTTCTTCTCTACAAAAGACTTCCTTTTACATTTCTTAGAGAATGGGTCTGTTGGAGGGGAATTATTTCAGCTTTTATATAGCTCAAAAAGCCTTGATATCTTTTTTGTTTTGGGAAGATATTTTCTCTGGGTAAAGTGTTGTAGTTTGACAGGTTATTTCATTCTTCATTTTATAATATTAAAAAGCTACTACTCTACTGTATTCTTCTGGTTTTGAAGAGATATCTGCTGTCATTTTTATAATATCTTCATTCCTCTGTAATTAATGTGTCCTTTTTCCCTGCTTGTGAGATTTTCTCTTTATCAGTTGCTTTGGTATAATTTTCTTAATATTTATTGTTCTTAGGGTTTTTGAGCTTCTTATATCTACTGATTTATAGTTTTCATCAAACATAGAAAAATTTTGGAAATTATTTCTTCAAATATATTTTCTATCCCTCTGCTTTCTCCTCTACTTCAGAGACCCCCAGTTATACTTACAGCAATTATTTGAGGTGATTTCACAGCTCTGTCTGATGCTCTATTTTCCCGAATATTATCTCTATTATGTTTCGTTTGGGATCATTTTTATTGCTATTTATTCAAGTTCACCAATCTTTTCTTCTGTAATATCCGCTCTGACATTAATTAAGTTTACATATCTAGAACTTCATTGTGTTCTTTTTTATTTTTCAAATCTTTTTTAGCATGTCCAATCCTTCTTCTAGTTTCTTGAACATATGGAATACAGTTAACTTTAAATGTCACTGTCTACTAATTCTGCCATCTGTGTCATTTCTGTGTCAGTTTTGATTAACTGTCTTCTTCTCTTAATATATATATTTACCTCCTTTTTTGTCTGCCTAGTAATTTTTGTTTGGAAGACAGACATTGTTAATTTTATTTTACTGGATGCTGGATATTTCTCTATTTTGATAGTCTTGAGCTTTGTTCTTGGACATGTACTTTAAAACAGAATAATCTTTCTGGGCTTGCTTTAAAGATTTAATAGGTGGAATATTGCAGCAGTGTTTAGTCTAGGGCTAATTATTTCCATTACTAAGGTAAGTACTCAGTTGAATACCTGAAGGGACACTGTGCAAATCTCTATAGTTCTCCTTTTGTGAAGCTCTCCCTTCTTTGGTACTCTCTTCTGCAAACTCAAGCTGCCTTGGTCTCCCTAGACTCTCAGCTCTGTCTCTTCAACTCAAGGAGATGATCAAAATTGACTCAGGTTCCCACTCCTTGTACTGGGGCTTGGAAACACTCTCAAGGCAGCAAGATGAGCCAATAATAGGGCTCCCCTTGTTTTTCGTCCATCTGTCAGGGATCACTGTATTTCATTGTCTGACGTCAAATATCTTGGTAATTGTTATTTCATATATTTTGTTCATTGTTTTCATTGTTTCAGTCCAGAGGGCAAATCTAGACTTGGTTATTCCATCTTAGCCCAAAGTAGAAGTTTTCTATCCTTTACTTTTGAAACTCTCCTTTCTCTTAGTTCCTGTGACATGATTTCCTCTTGATTATCCCCTTGTTTTTTGTAATTACCCTTCCTCCACTCACCCCATAATCTATATGTCTCTATTCTTATCTGTACATTTTCCCCTCTTAAGGCTCATCCACCATTGTGGGTCCAGGTACCATCCCATCTGTGTATCTATATCCTATCTACTGCTGCCTGAAAGGATTTTCATTTCAACATCTTGCTCTCATTTCAATTCAACAGCTTGGTGTGTTGTATTGCAAAGTGCACTTTTTAAGGTGTCAAAATGCCTGGATTCTAGTCCATGCTGTGCCACTAACTACCCAGTTAGGTAATCTTAGAGAGAAATAACTTATACATTCTTGGCTTCAATGTAACCTATATAGTGAATACCCTCTTTAGAAAAATTCTAGACTTTTTTTTTACATTAACACCCTTTAATTCTAAGTAACTCTGATTTAAACTGTTAAATTTTCATTACCTTACCCACTTCCTGTCTCTGAAAACTAGCTGCCTTCACCTCAAATTTGCATTAATGCTATAGCCTAACAAACTTCATTTCTTTCTTCCCACTCTGTTGGATGTTACTGCCAGATATTCTTCCTTAAATACTTTAATCAACTCAGATCCCTGTGCAAGAAATTTCAATAGCTCCCTATTGCCAGACACATTAAACATCAACCCTTCTGCCTTACTTTTAGGACACTTATTCCATGTTTCTATACAATTTTCTATCCCACTACTCACCTACGTGAATATTCAGCCTCATTCTGGACCGGTTTTTCCCTATTGTCCATCCTACTATTTCTGCCCCCATACCTGCTGTTCTTCTAGCTTAGTGTACCTTCTTCTCCATCCATCCAAGTCCTATCTATCTCTCAAGAACCAACTCAAGCCTCTCTTCTTCCATGAAGCTTTTGCTTAATGCTTCAGAATATGCGGATGTCTTTATTTTATAAGTTCTTATTGTACTTCCTCAGGATACCTCATACTCTAACTGCTAAGTATCTATCTGATTATTTCATGCCTGGTAAGTTTTTGGCTCCTCATATACAATTTAAGGTTCTTGGAGATGCAAATCACACGTTTTCCTTCTCTCAGTATCTTGCAAGCACATGGTGTTTATCAATAAATCCTCACTGACTAGTGAAAAGCCATTCAACTGAGGTTTAGCTCATTTCTTTGCGGAATTATTATTGTGTGTGTGTGTGTGTGTGTGTGTGTGTGTGTGTGTGTGTGTGTAAAAATGCTGTTTTCTAAGACAGTTTGAGACCATGTTTATCCATGTTATGCTGAAATTCACTTGTGCTTTCTGACCACTGCTCATTCCTAAGTTTTCAGAAGCAAATCCTTGATTAGTGAGTCTGAGCTGGGAATTTGGAATACAGACCTGTCTTGATGGCAGGAGCTGTGCTTGCATCACTTCACTCATTCCTTAGTGAATTTAGCAGCTCCTTCTTGGGAAATCTGTAAGTGAATCATTGTGATAAAGAAGTTGAGAAAAGCTCAGAGCTCTAGACCTTGATGGCTTAGGAATAAACATCCATCTATAGAAAAGGAAGAGAGAAAGCGAAAGATGACACAACTATGTCATGGTACCTCTAGGATGAGCAATCAGGTACTGGCCAAAATCTGAAGAACCAGACAGCTTTAAGGAAGGACAGAGAAAAAAAATTTGTCAGCCGACTTTCTTGGAAATGAAAGTGTGCTAAATAAAGGAAAGAAAGCAGGGAACTGTGAAAGGATTTCACAGAAGCGAACGTCTTGAATTTGTTTTGAGTAATTTAGTATGCGGTATGAATAGTATTTTAAGGCTTCTGAAATCACACTTTGCCCTGTTAAACTCAGAATTCATTCTTAGGCTTCTGAAGTAGTGAAATGGAAACAACACAGCTTCTTGGTTTTATGTACATGTGGTTGGAATAAATGCATCCCCCCCAACCTTTGCAACCATTGCCCGTTTCCCTACCAAAAGAAAATGCTCACAGTTTGGCCCTTCTTTCTTTTTCATTTACTTGCCCCACCAAATTGGCTTTAGTAAACAGACTATAATCCACAAAGCTGTTTGTTGTGCGTAGGAACCACAAATTTCACCCACAATCAGGTGTTTCACAGCCAGCTACAAGGAGAAAAATAATCAAAGGCATGTCAATTGAATTGCTAGAAGGTATTGGTCATCTCTTTTTTCACAGATGCTTCATTAGTGAGTTCACTGAACTGACCCCTACAGAAAGCTTTGTCTAGTGGAATGACTGAGCATCATGAGACTAAGGCCCTAACTGGCTATTTGACTTTGAGAAACCCACTTAACCCCTGTGCTTTAGGTGTCTCATCTGTAAAATTAGAGGGCTGAACTATACAATCTCTGAGGTACCATCCAGGATTGACAAATGATTTGTGACCACTCTGCTGCCTCCAGTGCTCCTGATATTTATCGCTCCTGATATTTATCTCTGCCTTCATGTTCTATCTACTCTTAGATTCTGAGGAAACTCTTCTTTTCTCACCTGCTAGACAAATTCTTGGTTTTATCACCTGGCTCTTCTTTTTGTTAGTTTATTTTTTCTTGATGGTTGAAAACTATAAATGGGTTAAATATTCCTCAGTTCAGAAGTCAGAAACAGTCAGCCCTGACAAACACAGTGTTTAGTTTAATTTGTTTCTTTTTGAACTTTTTTTGAAACATGGAATTAGTTACCAGCATTTAAAAATCAAGAGATCACACATAAATATCCAGATTTTTAACTTTTCTGAATGAATCATAAAATCAAGAAACAAAAGGTGCTCATTTCTTAAGGGATCAGCTAGAGGAGTGATACTCCCTTTTAGCCTGATCTCTCCAGTTTACACCCCCCATTTCTCCCTTCTGATTGTCTTCCTGGCACTGAGGCCAAGTGTAGTTGCCATTTATTATTATGCCTTGTGTTGCTGGTTCACTGTTTATGTGGGGCATGGGCTCCTCCAGTTTACTACAAACCCCACCACTTCTTATGACATTGAGGATGAATTTCAGTTACTGTTTATTAGCACAATTACATTGTCGTATTCATATGCTGTATTGAAAATGAAACTGATATTTTATACCTGCATCTCTATCAAAAGTAAGAAAACATATTAAACTAAAAGAGCCGAGTGTTTTATTTGTCCAACTCAGTGTACAGTTTTCTTTTCCCTTCCTGACTTCATTTGTGTTTGTAACCTCTACTCTAAGTTGAATATATTCTCAATATATTCCACCTTCACAAAATATATTTATCCCAGAGTCTCCGTTTTTTCTCTTTGCGTCCCCTTCTTATGCCTGCCTGCTCCACATAAAGTAGTTGGGGAAGTTTGTTGGTGGCTGTAACAGAAGAAGCCAGCTAGAAGATTTGAAGTTTTATAGTAAAAAAGAAAGTACTAACCTGGTATTGTTTCAAGACAGAATATTTGTTTGAACTCACCTAAATCTGCCACATCACTTCCAAAGGGACCATGAAGAAATATTGCAGATTTGCTGCAAAGGCAGAAAAAGTGCTTTAATAGCATTCTAGTCATAGCTTTGCACCATGGGAGTTTCTGTTCCCAGTTGTCATAGCTGAAGTATGCTGATTTTCCGTGACATTTTTTGGGTCTATTTCCCTGGAACACACATTTAAAGAGTTTAAGAAAGTATAATACCTGGACAGATGCTTCCTTCTAATAGTAATCTTGACATAGTTGCTAACTTCTTTTTGCGTCAAAATCACCCAGGTGATGCAGATTCCAAGGCCTCATCCTCAGAAATTCTGATTGTGCAGGTCAGGGTGGAGTATATGTGTCTGCATATGTCAGTGGAGGTACTGATCCAGGTGATCGGTGGCTCACACTTTAAGAAACGATCATCTATGAAGGGTTAGCCATGCTGCCTCAGCATGGAAAGGCAAACCTTGCCTTTTTCTTTAAGTTTATCTGGACAAACATTTAAACAGTTTCTCAGTAACTCACTTTAGGGCCACACACTCAAAAAAAGAGTCAGAAACCAGATTAACACAATACTACTACAATTTGAGAACTTCAACAAGAAAATAAAAACCCTAGACACAGAGCAGAGCTTCCTATCTCCATTTTCTGGCCACTAATAGGCATAGATCAGAAAAAAGCATCACTTACTTTTCTCCATATTATACAACCCCAACACATAAAGGTGTCTAAAGGACAAGGATATGGGGAAATCACACTCCAAACCTCAAATGAACTATTTTCCCATTTACAAATGCAGGGCAAATATTATAACACAATTCCTGTGGTGTTATTTCTTCTGGTGTGGGTGTTCTTTAAGTGAATGAAGTAGCTTGCTTCTCTTTCCAGGACATGCTTTGCTTTTCTCTGAACAAAGTTCAGAAGTTTGTAGCAGCTTGTGCTTGGAAAAATTAGCTGCTTGAGGTAGTAGATGGAGGCTATGCATTCTAAATGCTTATTAACAATACAGGTTCTGGAGGCGGAGCAAGATAGTGGAAGAGAAGACTCTACCAATTGTCCTCCCCCTGCAAGGACAGCAATTTAACAGCTATCTACACAAAAAAAGCACCTTTATAAGAACCAAAATACAGGTGACCACTAACGCTCCTTGGTTTTAACTTCATATCACTGAAAGAGGCACTAAAGAGGCAGGAAAAAAAGACTTGAATCACCAACACCACCCCTCCTCCACCTCCCAGCAGCAATGGCATAGTGAAGAGAGTGTTTTTGTCCCCTGGGGAGGGGAGAATTCAGCAACTGTGAGGCATTGAACTCAGTGCTCTCCTGTTATCGCAGAATGAAAAACCATACTTAACTCAGCTGACCCTCCATGTGGAGGGAGCATTTAAACCACCCCTAGCCAGAGGGAAATTTCTGATCCCAACAGTTGGAACTTGAGTTCCTGTAACACTTGCCACCGTGAGCCAAAGTGCTCTAGGGACCTAAATAAACTTGAAAGGAAGTCTAAGCCACAATGACTGCAACTTCTAGGCAAGTCCTAGTGCTGAACTGGCCTCAGAACCTATATTAGTCTGTTCTCACATTGCTATAAAGAAATATCTGAAACTGGATCATTTGTAAAGAAAAGTGGTTTAATTGATTCATGGTTCCACAGGCTGTACAGAAAGCACTGTGCTGGCATCTGTTGAGTTTCTGGGGAGGCCTCAAGAAACATAAAATATGGCAGGAGGCAAAGTGGGAGCAGGCACTTCACATGGCCAGAGCAGGAGGAAGAGAGAGCGAGGGGAGAGGTGTCACAGTTTTAAATTACCAAATCTCATGAGAATGAACTCACTATCATGAGGACAGTATAAGGGGACGGTGCTAAACCATTCATGAGAAACCACCCCTATAATCCAGTCACCTCCCACCATGCCCCCCCTCCAACACTGGGAATTACATATTGACATGTGATTTGGTGGGAAAACATCTAAACTATATCAGAGCCAGAGAACTGGGGGAAATGCAACCTACTGAGACACCAACTGAAGTGGCTAAAGGAGTGATGGCATCACCTCTACCCTAACCCCAGGCTGCACAGCTTGCAGCTGCAAAAGAGACTCCTTCCATCTGCTTGAGGAGAGGAGAGGACAGAGTGGGGAACACATTGTCCTGCATCTTGGATAGCAGCTCAGCCACAGCAAGTTAGAATACTAGTCAGTCTTCGGGCCCCCTTTCCAGGCCCTAGCTCCCAGATGACATTTCCAGATATATGCTGGGACAGAAGGGTACCTGCTTCCTTGAAGGGAAGGACCCAGTTCTGGCAGACTTTATTACCTGCTAACTGAAGAGCCCTGTGTCCCTGAATAATCAGCAGTGATACCCAGATACTACATCGAGGGCCTTGGGTGAGATACACAGACTTGCTGGCTTCAGATGAGACTCTGCACATCCCCAGATATGATGGCTATGAGGCAAGACTTCTGCTTGAGAAAAGCAAAGGCAAAGGTAAAGTGGACTTTGTCTTATACCTAAGGAACCAGCTCAGCCACAGGAGAGTAAAGCACCAAGTGGGCTCTTGGGGTCCCCGATTCCAGGACTTGACCTTTGGACAGCAGTTTTGGACCTTGCCTGAACCAAAGGGAAGCCCAGTGCTCTGAAGGGGAGTCCCAGGCCAGGCAGAATTCACCACAGCTGACTGCAGGGGCCTTGGACCTCAAGGGAACATTGGTGGTAGTCTGGTAGTACTCCCTGTGGGCCTGTGGTGGCAGTAACCATGGAGTGAGGCTCCTCTACCTTTGGAAATGGTAGCAAAGAGCAGGAAGGACTGCATCTTGTAGTTCGAGTGCCACTTCAGCCACCATATACTAGAACACCAGGTAGACTACTAAGGTTTTTGACTGCAGTCCCTGGCCCCTGGATGGCAACTCTTGACACACCTGGGGCCTGGAGGCACTCATCACCCTGAAGGCAAGGAAACAAGCCTTACTGTCTTTGCCACCTGCTGATTGTACAGCCCCAGGGCCTTGAGTGAACACAAGTGGTAGGCAAAGAGTGGTTATAGCAAGCCTTGTATGAGACACAGGGCTGTGATGGCATCAGATGTGATCCAGCACAGTCCTAGTAGTGATGGCCACAGTGGTGCTTGTGTTACTCTACCCCCAGCTCCAGGAAGCTCAGAACGGACAGAGAGACTCTGTTTGGGAGAAAGTGAGAGAAGAGAACAATAGTTTCTGCCTGCTAAACCCAATAATTCTTCCAAATTTTGTCCGAGCATGAAAGCAGTACCTTAGTGAGTCTGCAGGAACAACAGCATTACTGGGCTGGAGGTTCCCCATAAAGTAATTACAGCTTAGGTGATAGCACCAAAGTCCTTTTGAATTTCTGGAAAGCCTTCCCAAGAAGGATGGGTAGAAACAAGCCCAGACTGCAAAGAGTAAAATCAATATGTAACTCTTCAATGACTAGAAACTAACAAATATCCACAAGCATCAAGACCATCCATCGAAACATGACCTCACAGAACAAACTAAATAAGGCACCAAGGACCAATTCTAAAAAGACAGAGATATGTGACCTTTCAGATAGATAATTTAAAATAGCTGTGTTGAGGAAACTCAAAGAAATTCCAGGTAACACAGAGAAGGAATTCAGAATCTTATAAGATAAATTTAATGAAGAGATTGAAATAATTAAAAAAGAGTCAAACAGAAATTCTGGAGTTGAAAAAATGCAATTGACATACTGAATAATGCATTAGAGTCTATTAATAGCTGGATTGATCAAGCAGAAGAAAGAATTAGTGAGCGTGGAGACAGGCTATTTGAAAATGAACAGTCAGCAGGGATAAAATAAAAAAAAGAATTAAAAAAATGAAGCACACCTACAAGATTAGGAAAATAGTCTCAAAAGGGCAAATATAAAATTTATTGACCTTATGAAGTAGGTAGAGAAAGAGATGGGGTAGAAAGTTTATTCAAAGGGATAATATCAGAGGCATTCCCAAACTTTGAGAAATATATCAATATGCAAGTACAAAAAGATGATAGAACACCAAGCAGATTTAACCTAAAGAAGATTACCTCAAGGCATTTAATATTCAAACTCCCAAAGGTAAAAGATAAAGAAAAGATTCTAAAAGCAGCAGGAGAAAAGGAACAAATAAGATACAATGGAGCGCCAGTATGTCTGGCAGCAGACTTTTCAGTGGAAACCTTACAGGAAACCTTTCCGTGGAGAAAGTGGCATGACATAGTTAAAGTGCTGAAGGAAAAATCTTTCAGCCTAGCATAGTATATCCAGTGAAAGTATCCTTCAAAAATGAAGAGAAATAAAGACTTTCCCCGACAAACAAAAGCTGAGAGATATCATCAACACCAGATATTACCTACAAGAAATGCTAAAGGGCATTTTTAAGTCTGAAAGAAAAGGATGATAATGAGCAAGAAGCAATTGTCTGAAGTTATAAAACTGACTGTTAATTGTAAGTGCACAGAGAAACACAGAATATTATAACACTGTATCTGTGGTGTGTAAACTACTATTAAGTAGAAAGACTAAACCAGGAAACAATCAAAATAATAACTACAACTTTTGAAGACATAAGCCATACAATAAAAACAAATAGAAACAACCAAAAGTTAAAAAGCTTGGAGACAAAGTTAAGGTGTAGAATTTTTATGTTTTTGCTTTGTTTATTTATTCAGTGTTAAGTTGTTATCAGTTTAAAATAATGGGTTATAAGGTGTTATTTGCAAGCCTCATGGTAACCTCAAATCAAAAAACATACAATGGAGACTTAAAAATTAAAAGCAACAGGGCCAGGTGCAGTGGCTCACGCGTGTAATCCCCAGCACTTTGGGAGGCCGAGGTGGGTGGATCACGAGGTCGGGAGTTCGAGACCAGCTTGATCAACATGGTGAAACCCCGTCTCTACTAAAAATACAAAAAATTACCTGGGTGTGATGGCAGGCACCTGTAATCCCAGCTACTCAGGAGGCTGAGGCAGGAGAATCACTTGAACCCGGGAGGTGGAGGTTGCAGTGAACCAAGACAGCACCACTGCACTCCAGCCTGGGCGACAGAGTGAGGCTCCATCTCGAAAAAAAAAAAAAATTAAAAGCAATAAATTAAAACATACCACCAGGGAAAACCATCTTCACTAAAAAGAAGACAGGAAAGAAGGGAAGAAGGAAGAGAAGACCCAAACCACAGGAAAATAAATAACAAAAAAGCAAGTGTAAGTTCTTACTTATCAATAATTACATTGAATGTAAATGGACTAAAATCTCCAATCAAAAGACATAAAGTGGATGAATGAATTAAAAAAAAAACAAGACTCAACAATGTATTGTCTACAAGAATAACACTGTACCTGTAAAGACACATGTAGATTAAACATAAAGGAATGGCAAAAGATATTCCATGCAAATAGAAATTTAAAAAATCGGGAATAGCTATAGTTATATCAGACAAAATAGACTTTAGAACAAAAAACTATAAAAAGAGACAAGGAAGTTTATATAGTGATAAAGGGGTCGATTCAGCAAGAGGATATAACAATTGTTAATGTATATGCACCCAACACTGGAGTACACAGATATATAAAGATATGAAGCAAATATTATTAAACTAGAGAGAGATAGACCCCAGTACAATAATTTCTGTGGAATTCAACAACCCACTTTCAGTATTGGACAGCTTATCCAGATAGAAAATCAATAAAGAAACATTGAACTTAATCTGCACTGTAGACCAAGTGGACCTAATAGATATTTATAGAACATTTCATCCATTGGCTGCAGAATACACATTATTCTCCTCATCACATAGATCATTCTCAAGGACAGACTATATGTTACTTCACAAAACTAGTCTTAAATCTTTTTAAAAAATAAAATTATATCAAGTATCTTCTCTGAAGAAAAGTGAATAAAATGAGGAATCAATAACAAGAGGAATTTTGGAAACTATAAAAACACATGGAAATTAAACAATATGCTCCAGAATGACAGGTTGGTGTATGAAGAAATAAACAAGGAAATTTAAAAATTTATTGAAACAAATGATAATGGAAACACAATATGCCAAAACCTGTGGGATACAGCAAAAGTAGTACTAAGAAGAAAGTTTATAGCTAGAAGTGCCTACATCAAAAAATAAGAAAAACTTCAAATAAACAACATAATGATGTATCTTAAAGAATGAGAAATGCAAGGACAAACCAAAATCATTATTAGTAGAATAAAATAAATAAAGATCAGAGCAGAAATAAATAAAATTAAAACACAGAACACAGAAGATATACAAAATGAAAAGTTGGTTTTTTTGAAAGAGCAGCAAAATCAACAAAACTTTAACCAGAATGAAAAAGGAGAGGTCTCAAATAAATAAAATCAGCGATGAAAATGGAGAGATTACAGCTGATACTGCAGAAATGCAAAGGATCATTGGAAGCTACTATATGCCAATAAACTAGAAAACAGAATAAATAAATGAATTCCTAGACACATACAACTTACCAGAATTGAACCATGAAGAAATCCAAAATGGGAACAGACCAATAACAAGGAACAACATCAAAGCTGTAATAAAAAGTCTCCTAGCAAACAGAAGCCAGGGAACTGATGGATTCCCTGCTGAATTTTACCAAACATTTAAAAGACTTATACCAATCCTAAGTAAACTATTCCAAAAAATTGAGGAGGAGAGAATCCTTCATAACTCATTCTATGAGGCCAGTATTACCCTGATAACAAAACCAGACAAAGACACATCAAAGAAAGGAAACTATATGCCAATATCCCTGATGAACATTGATGCAAAAATCCTCATCAAAATACTAGCAAATGAAATTCCATAATACATTAAAGAGATCATTCAGAATGACCAAGTGGGGTTTATCTCAGGAACACAAGGATGGCTCAACATATGCAAATCAATCAGTGTGATACATCATGTCAAGAGAATGAAGGACAAATACCATATTATCATTTCAATTGATACTTAGAAAGCATATGATAAAATTCGGTATCTCTCCATAATAAAAACCCTCAATAAACTGGGTATAGAAGGAATATACTTCAACATAATAAAAGACATATATGATGGACACACAGTTAGCATCATACTAAATGGGGAAAATCTGAAAGCCTTTCTTCTGAGAACTAGAAAATGATAAGGATGCCCACTGTCAACACTAGTATTCAACATAGTACCGGAACTCCTAGCTAGTACAATTAAACAAGAGAAAGAAATAAAGGATATCTAAATTGGAAAGGAAGAAGCCAAATTATCTTCATTTGTAGATGATATGATCTTCTATTTGTAAAAACCTAAAGACTCCACCAAGAAACTATTAGAATTTATCAACAAATTCAGTAAGGTTGCAGGATACAAAATCAACATATAAAAATCAGTAACATTTCTATATGCCAACAGTGAACAATCTGAAAAAGAAATAAGAAAGTAATGCCATTTACAATAGCTACAAACAAAATTAAATACTAGGAATCAACATAACTAAAGTAGTGAAAGATCTTTGCAATGAAAACTATAAAACACTGGTGAAAAAAATTGAAGAGGACACACAAAGAAATAGAAATATATTTTATGTTTATGGATTGGAAGAATCAATATTGTTAAAATCTCCATAATACCCAAAACAATCTACAAGTTCAACAGAATATCTATTAAAATAACAATGATATTCTTCACAGGAATGGAAATAACAATTGTCAAATTTATATAAAAACGCAAAAGACCCAGAATAGCCAAAGCTATCATGAGCAAAAAGAACAGAACTGGAAGAATCACATTACCTGACTTCAAATTATACTACAAAGCTATATTAACCAAAACAGCATGGTACCAGCATAACAACAGACACCTGGACCAATCAAGCAGAGTAGAAAAGTCAGAAACAAATTCATACATGTACATTAAACTCATTTTAAACAGAGGTGCCAAGAACATACATTAAGGAAAGGTCAGTCTCTTCAATAAATGGTGGTGGGAAAACTGGATATCCATATGCAGAAGAATGAAACTAGACCTCTATCTCTCACCATATACAAACACCAAATCAAAATGGATTTGAATCTTAAATCTAAGACCTCAAGCTATCAAACTATTAAAGGAAAATCTTGAGGAGACTCTTCAAGACATTGGGTGGGGCAAATATATTTTGAGTAATACTCCACAAACACAGGTAACCAAAGCAAAGACGGTTAAATGGTATCACAGTAAGTTACAAAGCTTCTGCACAGTAAAGGAAACAATCAACAAAGTGAAGAGACAACCCACATAATAGGAGAAAATACATGTAAACTATCCATCTGACAAGGGATTAATAACTAGAATATATAAGGAGCTCAAACAACTCAATATGAAAAAGTATAAATAATCATATAAAAATGGGCAAAAGATTTGAATAAACATTTCTCAAAGGAAGACATGCAAATGGCAAACAGGCATATGAAAAGATGCTCAGCATCACTGACCATCAGAGAAATGCAAATCAAAACTATGATGAGATATCATCTCACCCCAGTTAAAATGGCTTACATCCAAAAAGTGAGGGAATAGCAACTGCTAGCAGGGATGTGGAGAAAAGAGAACCCATGCACCTGTTGGTGGGGATGTAAATTAATACAACTGTGGAGAATAGTTTGGAAGTTCCTCAAAAACCTGAAAATTGAGCTATCATGTGATCTACCAATTCCACTGCTAGATATATACCCCCAAAAAGGAAATCAGTATATTGAGGAGAGATCTGCACTCCAATGTTTATTGCTGCACTATTTACAATAGCCAAGACTTGGAAGCAACCTAAGTGTCCATCAACAGATGACTGGATAAAGAAAATATGGTACATATACAAGTGGAGTACTATTCAGCTTAAAAAGGAATGAGATCTTATTTGTAACAACATAGAAGGAACTGGAACTCATTATGTTAAGTAAAATAAGTCAGGCACAGAAAGGCAAACTTTGCATGTTCTCATTTATTTTGGGGAGCTAAAAATTAAAACAAATGAACTCATGGGGATAGAGGGTAGAAGGATGGTGACAAGAGGCTGGGAAGGGTAGTGACAGGTGGGGAGAAAGTGAGAGTGGATATTGGGTAGAAAAAATTAGAGTTACTAAGATCTAGTGTTTGGTAGCACAACAGGGTGAGTATAATCAAAAAATTTAATTGCACATATTTAAATAACTAAAAGAGTAGAATTGGATTGTTTGTAACACAAACGATAAATGCTTGAGGTGATAGATATCCCATTTACCCTGATGTGATCATTACACATTGCATGCCTGTATCAAAGTGTCTCACGAACCCCATAAATATATATACCTACTATGTACCCACAAAAATTAAAAATTTAGTTAAAAAATAGTAACTACCTCATAGTATTGTTTGAGTAATAAATAAGAATTTAAATTTCAGTATTTGGTACATAGTAGGAACTCAATAATTTGTAACAGTTATATGTAAGGTTAGCTCTTTTCAGGTACTATTTATATTTTTCTGTGAACTGCTTGTTCATTTCCTTTCCCCACTTTTTTTTGTTGTTGGGTTATGGCTGTTTTCTTCAGATTTGTAAAGTATTTTTGTGTATTAAGAAAAGTTTTTCTTTGTCATGTTTTGAAAACTTTTTTCTCAGCTTGTTATTTGTCTACAAATTATTTTCCATAGCATTACTTTTTTCATGAATACATTTTAAACTTTGCGTAGTCTTTTCCTTTTTGGGTTTCAGAGGTTTAAGTCTCGTTTAGAAAGGCCTTTCCATTTCAAAATCACTTTTTGAAAAGGCTCTAATGCTCTCTTGTATTGCTTTTACAGTTATTCCCTTTGGTCCATCTGGACATTATTTTGGTATAAGAAGAAAATTGTGATCTACCTTTCTTTCTTTTTGAAATGTCTAGCCACCTGCTCCAGTATTAATGATTGAATATCCTATGTAAGGTGAAATCCTTGCCATCTAACAGATGACTGATGTTCTATTGTTCTTCAAACCCAAATAGTGTGTGGCCCAATCCTAATTCTTCTCACTCTCATTTTTCTTCTGTATTTGACATGAAGAGAAGGTGACTTGAGCAGACATATTACTTAGGCAAGTCACTTTCCTTTTTTATAAGTGAAAAATACAGAGGCACAATGTGACAGGTTTGGCCTAACTGTAAGGTCCCTTAAGAGCCTGTGAGAGTTGTTCAAAGAAATAAAAGTTTCCTGTTGAAGGATAGATATAAAGCCCTTTCCACATCTCATATTCCATTATATGTGTATATAATAAATAATTATACCATGCCTCCCCTGTTGGATATTTGCATAGATTTTTCCGCACTAGCTATTATATACATCATTATGCTATTCTCAGACATACATTTTATTTTCCCTTAGGTCATAGTTTTAGATATGAAATTGCTAGGTCAAATGGTACAAATTTTTAAAACTTTTTATTGAAATAAAATGTACATAAAAAGAAATGCACATATAAGTATATAGCTTGAAAAATTTTCAAAATGAACACACTCATATAACCAACCACCATATCTAGAAACAGAAGCTTCACTCATGCCCTTCTCAATTACTTTTTCCTCTCAAGGGTAAGGCCCATCAGGACTTCTAATAGTATATATTAGTTTTGCCTGATTTTTGAATTTTATATATGTTTTGAATCATAGAGTGGGTTGTTGTTTTATTTCTGGCTTCTTTCATTCAAAATTGTTTGGGATATTTATCCTCTTTGTTGTATATATTACAGATCAATTCATTTTTAATAGCTATGTAGTATTTTATTGTGTGAATGTACCATAATTTATTTATTCATTTTACTGTAAATGGATATATGACATTTTTTTTACAATCATGAACGATGCTGCTGTGAACACTGCAGGGTATGCATTTCTATTGGATATATACTTAGAAGTTGTTGTATACGTTAGAAATTACTATTGTGTATATACCTTAGAAATTACTGGATCGCAGGGTATGCATGTGTGAAGCTATTGTGGATTTTTGCTTTCCAGAAATGTATCTTTATGACAATTGAAAAAAAACTCCACTCTTATGTGATAGACACTTTTTATTAAAGATTTTATTTAATGCTCTTAGTAACCCTGTGGGATAACTGGTATTATTTCTATTTTATTAATGAAGAAATTGAGGCTCAGAGATGTTAAATAATATGCCCAAGGCCACGGTTAGAAAATGACAGAACCAGGATTTGAACCCAGATTTGTCTGACTTCCAAGGGCATGCTTCTTCTACTATACATCCTATATTAGTTTCCTAGGACCATGGTAACAAAGCACAACAAACTGTGCAGCTTAAAACAACAGAAATTTATTGTCTTACAGTTCTGGAGGCCAAAAGTCTGAAATCAAGGTGTTGACAGAGTCAGGCTCACTTTCCTAGCTTCTAGTTGTTACTGGCAATCCTTGATGTTCCTTAGTTTGTAACTGCGTAACTCCAATATCTCCCTCCCTCATTGCATGACCACCTTTCCTCTATGCGACTGTGTCTTCGTGTAACTGCCTCCCCTCTGTGTTTGTCTGTGCATATGTCTCTTCTGGTCTTACACCTGTCATATTGGACCAAGGACCCACCCTACTCCAGTATGATCTCATCTTAACTTAATTGCATGTGTAAAGACTGTATTTCCAAATCAGTTTACATTAACAGTTACCAGGAGTTAGGACTTCAATATAGCTTTCTGGGGGACACAATGTAACTCACACTCCTTCTTATATCATTTCAACCCATGCATCATAGTGGATAAAAAGTTACTATGTTGTTTAAAATTGTGGTTTTCATTACCTAGAGCCAATGCCTGTGAGATACGCACCTGCAAGAACAGCACTTTTATGTGACTTGCTAGGAGAATGCAGTGGTTGTGCTGAGTTTAGTGCAAGACTAATGTTTTTTCTACTTGACCGGCTTAGCAAACCAAACATCCATAACACTGGCTAGTATTCTAATTGGAGCCTTGCATTCTCGTGTACAATGGAACAAAGTGATATAGAAATCAGGCAAGGCTTAGGTTGAGGAAGGCTATGTCTATTTATTTCTGCAGATAGGCTGCAGTATTTCAAAAACCTTGAATTTCTATTGTTGGCAAGGTGAACTTGTCAAGTGCTGCTATTTTTTCTCTCACCAGGAATCTTTGTTTCCTCTATAACTCCAGAAGAAGAATAATCAGTACCTGTGTTTTGTAATGAGCACCTGCCAGGGGCCACACAGTATCCAAGAGATTTGGTGCATATCATTTCTAATTCTTAACACAACTTTTAAGGTAGTTATTCATACAAATACAGCCCTTAGAATTAGCCCTAATGATGAAAGGCAAGCCATAGCACCTGGTGGACAATGTAATCCAAAGGAGGAGGGTACATATCAGTGATGGATGCTCTGTGGCATCATCAATCTTGATGTTAGGGATATAATTAGAGACCGAAAGAGCTTGACTCACTTTGCTTCAGATGGCACATCTTGAGTCTAGGCTTCAGGCTTGGATGCCCAGTAGGATAAATCTGCTAGGTGCAGTCGCTCTTGAAAGTTATGAGGGACATATCATTCAGGTCTGTCTTCAGAAGTGGGCACAGATTGAAGATGGACCAGTATGAAGAGAGAGGTATTGTTGTGCCCGTCAAGAAGCTACCCAGTCCATGTTCTTATATTGTGGCAAAACTATACTCAAATCAAAGCCCTAAGGGCAGATAACTTAAATTCCAGTTAGGTAGATGGGCAAGTGGTAGGGGAGGATAATGTCCAAAAAAACTTAGAGAGTTTCCTTGTTTCTTCAATGCAAGGGTCACAAACTAGTGACCCAAGTTTTGAATCCATTCCACAGACATTATTTTCTTACCCCACATAGTTTTTTGTTTTTGAAGAAATTCAGTTGCTATCACCCAAAAAATCCAGGGAATTTCTTATAAAAGCCTGTATTTCTGGCTTATTTTAAAAGGCAATTGGGACTACGTTCCAACATGGCTCAGTTGCAGGGGCTCCCTCTCAAAGGGCAGACTCCTGATTTGCCATGGTCTACTTCAGAGTTGATGATTGGTCACTCTTTGGTGTTATCTACTTGACCCCTGCACAACTTGAGTCTGTGATCTCTGCTCTAGATCTTTGACTAGAAAAGATCTGGAATCAGGCCAGATCCAACTCCACAAAATTAAAACCAAACAAAACAAAACACCATCAAAATAGAGATCAGTTCTTTAGGGAGTGACGAAAATGTTCTAAAATTGATTGTGGTGGCTCACGCCTGTAATCCCAGCACTTTAGGAGGCCAAGGAGGGCAGATCACTTGAGGCCAGGAGATTGAGACCAGCCATGTTAACATAGTTAAACCCTGTCTCTAATAAAAATACAAAAATTAGCCGGGCGTGGTGGCATGTGCGTGTAGTCCTAGCTACTCGGGAGGCTGAGGCATGATGATCACTTGAACCCAGGAGGTGGAGGTTGCAGTGAGCTGAGATCTCACCATTACAGTCCAGCCTGGGCCACAGAGCGAGACTCTGTCTCAAAAAAACAAATAAACAAATAAAATAAAATTTGGTTGTTGTGATTGTTACACAAGTATGTGAATGTACCGAAAACATTGAATTATACACGTCAAATGGCTGAATTATGTGGTGTGACATATCTCCAAAAGCTGTTAAAAATAGGCATCGGACATAGATTTAGGGAAGGAAACACGAATGACAAATCAACTCCTCAACACTAGTCTCTGTCATTAAACTCTTTAGAAGGTCTCTAGTATTGCAGTATTGGGGTGGAAGCAAATTTGAATGGTTAAGAGCTTGAAAAATTAAGATTAAAAAATAGTATCTACTCCATAGGGTTGTTAGAAGTAAACAAGACAATCCCTGCAAAGCACACAGCACTCTTCCTGGTACATAGAAAACAATGGAAGAATGTTAGGTATTATTGATTACTATGACACAGAAGAGACCTAACAAAACTTAGCCTAATAACACTGAGATTGTACACTCAGCCAGCACCCTGAATCTGGAGCAGGTCTTCCCAGGGCCTCTCCAAATGTCTGGTCAGTTCTAGGTGGCTACATATCCTCAACCAGAACATTAAGAGCTTCAGAGGCTCTTAAGTCATGAAGGAAAAAATTAGCATGCAAATACTGGAGTGTGTAGGGAAGTGGGGAAAACCTGTTTATGCCTTATTTAAGCAAAGTGATATAGTAGAGTCTCCACAATGCTGAGAGTAGAAGACCTCCATTCTAATTTTACTTCCACTCCAAATTGGATTCCCCTTTAAAAAATACTGATTTTGTTACATTTGAATTTCCTCATATATTGAAGGACAATGGTATTTATCTTGCCTACCTCACAGACCAAGTAAGAAAGAAAGCATGGGAGATACTTGGAATGGCAAAAAAAATTTCACATAAGATATATATATATATATATATATATCTTATATATATATCTGGTGGTATTGGTGGGGACAGTCTCCTTGCATAAGGATCCACAGGGGCTACTCCAGAGATCACAGGCATCACCTATCTGACCACAGATTTTAGATCTAAAACCAAGCCCCAGAAAGAACTGGGACTTGGGAAATGGGGCAGTTACCTGGGAGGGAGTCTGTCCCTTTGGAGTCCTCATTTCTATAGAGAGATACATAGGGCAATTTAGATAGAGTTGTTTCAGAAACCTGGGAGACAGATTTAATGATCTCTGGAGCTTCCATTCAGCTTTTTTTTTTTTTTTTTTTTTTTTTTTTTTTTTTTTTTTTTGAGACGGAGTCTCACTCTGTCACCCAGGCTAGAGTGTAATGGCGCAATCTCAGCTCACTGCAACCTCCACCTCCGAGTTCAAGAGATTCTCCTGCCTCAGCCTCCCGGGTAGCTGGGAATACAGGCATGCATCACCACCCATGGCTAATTTTTGTCTTTTTGGTAGAGGCAGGGTTTCACTATGTTGGCCAAGGTAGTATATATATATATATATATTTTTACATATGTATATGTATATATATATATTTAAGTATGTAAATCTGACTCTAATTGGGTGACAGGTGTGGCCCCAATCAGGTGACAGGCATACCCTCACAGAAATGGTAAGGGGGCTAAGACTCTTGTAACAATAGAGGGGATGGATTTATGGTTTTTGACCCATTGTCTTTGTAAAGACTCCCTAGAAAATGGTGAAGCTCTTGGCAATCAGAACAGATGCAGCCAGGGCTACCATATGCCATGAAAGAAAAAGAGCTTCTGGCAAAGGAAAATCATCAAACCAATGTCCTTACCCTATTACAGAATGGAAAATGTCAGCTTCCCTAGATTACAGGGTAGGGCTCCAAAGCAGAGAAAATTACATTCACACCAGAAATGGGAAATTTCTTCTCTGAGAAGATCTAAGCTGTCATTAGGAGAGTGGGTGGGTGGCTGTGACTTTTTTTTTTCTTCTGACATTCTTGATGAATCTCCTAAAATTCTAAGAGAGGTTTAGAAATGGATTAACCCTGTTATATCTTCTTCCCCAGAGATGTCCAGATAACTTCAGATAATTCATCCAATGACTGTGGAATAGGTAGGGGCATTTTGCCAGTGAAACAGTTAGTAGGTTGCACTAATGAACCAAGCACAGGTGTATTTACCTCAGGTAGGGTCTGGAAGTACCAAGGCTTGAGGAGCAGCTAATTCTTAATGTTCCCCAAAACAGCCTTCCAGTTGGAACTGGTGGAAGTAGTCAGCAGCCCCTCCTTCTAACTCATTTTGTTGTGTCAAGAGATGTTTTACTATAAAAGAGTTAAAGGAGGGAGCTGAAAGAGGGGAAATAAGGTGAGAATATTCCTGGGACACAAGAGGCGGATCAGCGAGCCCTGCCAACAGAGACGTAATATGTTAGGCAGTGCACAGAGGGATTAAGACCATGGGCTGTGGCACCAAACAGACCTGATTTATATCCTGGCTCTGCCACTTAGGTCCTGGGCCAATTTTAAATGGAATTAAAACAATACTGATTTCATGCAGTCTTTGTGAGGAGAAAAATGAGAATGCATACTTAAAGCAGGTAGCACATTGCTTGGCACATAGGAAGTGCTAAAAGTAGCAGTAGTTATTATGGGCTCTTCAGCAGACCATTCAAAGCCCTTCCCAATTCAACCCAAGTTTATTTTTCTAGCTTTATTTCCCGTTACTGAATAGCCACATATCATATGCCTGGCCACATAGGGCCCACAGAACTGTTCACCAGCCCCAGGTTTCATCATACTTATCTACATCTTACATTCTTTGCTTATGCTCATCTTTCTGCCTAGTATACCCTTCCTTTTTTTCTGCCGGGTAAAAACCATTTACGCATCAGGGCCCAGTTAAAGTTCCACCACTACTGTAAGGCTTTCACCTTTTTTTTAATCCAGGTGAGATTAACACTTCCCTTTTTGTATTCCTGTTGCATTTTTTATCATAATGTGTTAAGTGCCATACTAGCATTATCAACAGCTGTACCGGTGTTAGTAATCTAAATGAATTTGTGAGAACAAGGGCTCTGTTGTATTTTTATATCACTAGCACAGTAACTGGCATGTAGTAAGCATTCATTAGAGTTTATTGACTAAAACTGGATTTGTCAAGACTATTGACACCTATTCCACCTATTTCACAATAGGCTACCATAAAGAAAAATTGTGGGAATAAATGTGAAAACACTAAAAATAGGATAATTTGTACAAATGTAAGGTCTTCATTACCCAGAATTCATGCTGGAGAATCTAAATAAACAGAATTTTTCTCTAGTCCTGGCAAATGATAATCTATATGCATATTAATGATCCCAGTGCATTTACAGCTCATGAAGTGCCTTCTGAATTATCATGAACTTTTACGAAAAGAAAACTGTTCTGGTTCTTTGGTATTTGGGAATTTGTGGACAACGTAAATGATACAGATTTTTATGTCACTGAAACATTTACTACACCAAGATACCTCAATCCCAAACTACTCTGGAGAAATGGGACTTTGACGTCTACAGGAATGAGTGGGAAAATTAGCAACCTAACTAGCCTCCACAGTGAACGCTGATATGAGTGAGGCCAGGACACCCCTTCTTGAGCACACACCATCATTCTTGTGTATAGTACACAGAGTTGATGATGTTCTTCAGTTTGGAATTTGGTTCCACACATTTATTCTTAATGGTTTTGTGTTTGAGTCTGATTTTGACTTCTACTACATAAGCTCTGTAATAAGGAACTTGGTCTTCTATTTACGTGTTATCCACAACAGTGCTTAGCAGAATTGCTGGATGCATTGGAACTCTTGATAAGTAGTGGTTGAACATAACTGAATTGAGGGAAATATGTAAAGCAGTTAATGCATACAATAAAGAGACAGTTTAGCCCAACAAAAATATTGAAGAAACAGATGGATCAACCTGAGAATCAATTTTGTCCAATTTGGTAATAATATTTTAATAATTCTATTGCTAACAATATTTGTATAAGGTTTGTTATTTATGAAGTGTTTTCATAATCTCTTTCTCTGAAAATAACAAATCTGAGTGAAAACAGATAGTCAAGTGTCTAGCTGTCCAATAAATAATTAAAGTGAAAAATATTATTTCTAAGAAATAGAGGAGCAAAAATTAACATTTATAGAGTGACTACTATAAAATAGGCATGCTTCTAAGTACTTTCTAGGTACTCTCTTATTTAATCCTTTCAACAACCCTGTGAAAGAGGTATGCAGCACTGCAGATGGCCACTACCAATTGACAAGATTTGGCATGTGAAATGAAACCTATTTGCTATCTATGACCCAGAAAACAGGGATTATTTGCAAGCTGAGAGATAGCTGGCATCATAGATAGCAAACTCTAATAATCACTGTGTCTGTAGTATTCTGATGCTAGTCAGCAAAGGGGGGGTTCCTTCCCTGGTCTTATCTTTTATTGTTGCTCTGGTCGTCTCTGACCCACCACCAGCAATTTTTTTTCTAAGTAAAAGAAAATAAATTTACTAGGCATGAGGCACCTTAAAGAGGGCCTCAGGGATAAAGATCAGTGTTGTCCACTGACTTCTTGTACATCCAAGCCCTCAAAAGCCTTAAGAATATAATGTTGACTATAAACTCTTAAGAGTCTAGATTCTGCTTGTAAATTGCTCCTTTAGTTTCAGTTCTCCCCTGCAAGCTAAGATGTAGCTGGAAAAGAATTGGATTATGATTAAGATGGACCTGGCTTCTAGTGCTGTGTTTGCATCCTTGGTTATAGTTTTCCTCCCTGAGCCTCAGCTTTCCCATCTGAATAATGGAGATAGTAATACCTACCTCAACTACCAAGTGGCTTGTTATGAAAGTGTTAAGCTATTTGTTTTCTTTTTTGATTATTTTATTTTATTCTATGTCACTGTTACTCAAATATTTTGTCCCACATTGCTGGGTGGAATTATGTTTGGCTCAAAATAATATTTAAATTGAGTGATTAATTTACAAGCATGTCTTTGTGTTGTTTTATTTCATTGTGTGTGGGGGGGGGATGGGATTCCTATGATTTTTATGCCAAAATGTAAATGACAGGAGAATCAATTGACTCACTCCTTAACCATGTGTCTGGTGATAGATCAATTCCTTTCAGGTATAGATAAAGGGACTTGGTCGATGCATGTGGATTATGGATGTATGAAGGCAAAGCAACTTACCGATCTCCCCAAGTACTTAGCTGTCAACTCAAACTAGTCTTTGACAGGAAAGGAAGTGGAGGTTCATAGATTCTATTGGTCAATAGCACCCCCTGCCCCCCGCCCAAGTGCCCTGGTTATATAGCATGAGCTTACATACAAAGATCAAATAATACTCCAGTTTTATGGAAGACTCAATCCACTCAGACCATTAGGCTGTACTAAAAATGGATTCTTTTATAAAGAAGTTCTGGGCTGTCACCTGAAAATTGTATCTTTACCTCTATGTGAAACTCTCATTGCAAGGAACCTAGAAGTTTGTGCTTGATAAATCCCATACTGACCAACTGTACTCAACATTTTGTGCTGTATTGACTTCTTGTTTTGGCCACCTTGTGTTCTTGATTCTTGTTTTAGGGGATGTTTCTAGTTTCCTAGGGCTCCACAAGGATGTCTCATGAGCTTCCTTATGTGATTTTAAAAGTGGTCTTGCTACAAATGAATTAATGCAAAATTTGAAAAATATACTATGTGGTTTATCTTCCCTGGCTTCAAATCCCTATTTCATTCAAACTAGTACATTTGTCAATTGACATCTTGCCCAGGTCCTGGGGCTGTACTTACTTAACATCCTACCTATCTAATATCCTAAAACCCAGAATTTGGTCATAACTTACATGGGTTGTACTTTCCCATGTTTTCTCTCTCTGCCAGTTTCATTTTCCAATCAGGATACTCAGTCCCGATTGCTGAAACCAGTCTTTAGTTCGTGTACCTGATGTCTGGGATGATTTTGTAAACTCCCCTCATAGAGTAATCAGAATCAACCATATAAATCCAAAAGGACAGTTTTTTCCAGTTGGAACTTAATACTTGTAGACTTAATATAAATGAAAGAACATAAATTAATTCAAATACAGTTATAACAACCCCAGGACATGCCGGGAAGAGTGTTGATGAAAAATCTTTAATAAATATGCTATTTACAAGGCAGCAAATGCACAGATGTTGTTAATATCTTTGGGGAGCTTTGGCTTTAACAGAATTATTTCCACTTACAGATTCTCTTTGGTCTAGCTAAACACAATCTGATTAACCTTCTGGACTTTGAGTTGTAGAAAAGTTCACAGGCATTGCAAACCACTCATTGAAAACATAAAGTCTGATTATCATTGTGTGAGGAGGTTGAAAATAAATCTTCTGGTAACTGCTACATCTGAGGTTGTAGTGAATGATCTTCTTGGATTAGTACCCAAGACATGAATCTTTCATGTGCACAGTTCTGCTAAGGTTGCAACTAATCTGAAGCATACTGGGTAGCAATTTAATAAATGGCCCCATGTGAGAAGCAGGTTAAAAGCACTAATGTCATAATGTCTACCTAGGAAAAAGGCTTTCGATTGCCTGGATTTTCTTTTTTTCTAACATATGGGAAAGGTATAGAAAGAGTAGGGCTGGGAATTTAAGAAATATTTTACTGAAGTTGGTTTTTTTACATTAATATATTTTATTTTTAGAGCAGTTTTAGGCTCATAACAAAATTGAGCAGAAAGTACAGAGAGTTCTCATATATTCTCTGACCCCCTCGCCTCCCACAAACTCCCCCATTATCAACATCCTGCACCATAGTGGTACATTTTTTATGATGGATGAAGCTACATTGATGCATTATTATCATCCAAAGTCCATGGTTGACATTAGGATTCACTCTTGCTGTTGTACATTCTATGTGTTTTGATAAATGTATAATAGCATGTATCTATTGTTGTACTATTGTACAGTATAGTTTCACTGCCCTAAAATCCTCTGTGCGCTGCCTATTCATCCCTCCCTTTCCTCTAGCCCCTGGCAATCACTGATCTGTCTACTTTCTCTGTACCTTTGCCTTTTCCAGAAGGTCATATAGTTGGAACTATACAGTAATAACCTTTTTAGATTGACTTCTTGCACTTTGTAATATGCATTTAAGTTTCCTTTATGTGTTTTCATGGCTTCGTTGCTCATTTCTTTTAGTGCTGAATAATATTACATTATCTGGATGTACCCCAGTTTATTAATTGAGTCGCTTTTATTAATCTTGGTTACTTCCAAGTTTTGGTAATTATGAATAAAGCTACTGTAAACATCAGTGTGCAAATTTTTGTAAGGACTTAAGTTTTCAATTCCTTTAGGTAAGTACCAAGGAGTGTAATTGCTGGATCATATGGTAAGAGGACGATTAGTTTTGTAATAAACCACCAAACTGCCTTCCATAGGGGTTGTACTGTTTTGCATTCTCACCAGCAATGAATAAGAGTTCCTGTTGTCCACATCCTGTCCAGCATTTGGTGTCGTCAGTGTTTGGGATTTTTGGCTACTCTAATAGATATGCAGTAATAACTCACTGTTATTTTAATTTGCAATTCTCTAATGACATATGATGTTGAATACCCTTTTATATGCTTTCCTACCATCTATATATCTTCTTTGGTGAGATATCTGTTCAGATATTTTGCTTACTTTTTAATCAGGTTTTTAAAAATTTCCTTATTGTTGAGTTTTAAAGATTCTTGGTATATTTTGGACAACAGTCCTTTATCAGCTGTGCCTTTTATAAATATTTTTCCCAATCTTCAGCTTATCTTCCCACTCTCTTAACATTGTCTTTCACAGAGCAGAAGGTTTTTATTTTAATGAAGTCCAGCTTCTCAATTATTTATTTCTTGGTTTGCACATATGATGTTGTATCTAAAGTCATCGCCATATCCAAGGTCATAAAGGTTTTCTCCTATATTGTCTTCTGGGAGTTTTATTGTTTTTCATTTTTAATTTAGGTCTATGATACATTTAGTGTTAATTTTTTGACATGTATAAGGTCTGTGTTTAGATTCATGATTTTTGCATGTGGATGTCCAGTTGTTCTAGCACCATTTGTTGAAAAGACTGTCTTTACTCCAGTGTATTGCCTTTGTGCTTTTATCAAAGATCAGTAGGCTATATAGGTCTATTTCTGAGATCTCTATTCTATTTCATTAATTTATTCATTTATTCTTTCACCAATACCACATTGTTATCTTTATATTAAAATTTGAAATCCAGTAGTATCAGTCCTCTGATTTTGTTCTTCTCCATATACATTTTAGAATTAGTCTGATGATAGCCACTAAACAGCTTGCTATGATTTTTGATTTGGGATTGTGTTGAATACATAGATCAAGTTGGAAAGAACTGACATCTCGAACATATTGAATCTTCCTATCCTTGAATCTGGAATAGCTCTTTATTTATTTAGTTCTTCTTTTACATATTTTATCAGAGTTCTGTAGTGCTTCTATAAGGATCTTGTACATGTTTTTAAAGATTTATACCTAAGTATTTTATTTTGGGGGTGCCAGTGTAAACGGCAATGTGTTTTTAATCTCAAATTCCACTTGTTAATTGCTGTTATATAGGAAAGCAGTCAGATTTTTCTACATAGATGATCATATCACCTGCAAAAAAAGAAGTTTTATTTTTTATTCCCTATCTATCTATATTTATTTCATTTTCTTGTCTTGTTATATTAGGTAGGGCTTTCAGTACAACGTTGAACAAACCTACATGTTCTGCACTTGCATCCCGGAACTTAAAGTAAAACAAAACAAAATGAAATGAAATAAAATCAGAATAGGCCTGTATCTGTTAAAAAAATCAAATAAACAAGTAATTACCTCCAAAAAACAGAAGGCACCAGGCCCAGATGAGTTTAGCAGTGAATTCTACAAAACATTAAAGAAAGAAATTATACCAATTCTCTACAATATCTTCTAGAAGATATAAGCAAGGGAAATACTTCCTAACTCTTACATGAGAACAGCATTACTCTAATATTAAAACCAGATAAAGTCATTACAAGCAAAGAAAACTGAGGCCCAATATTTCTTATAAGCACAAATGCAATAATCTTTGACAAAATATTAGGGAACAAAATCCAACAATGTATAAAAATCATTACACACTATGACCAACTGGGATGTATGCCAGGTACCCAAGGCTGGTTCAACATTCAAAAATCAATTAATGTAATCCTTCACATCCATAGGCTAATAAAGAAAAACATCACATGATCATATCAAGAGATGCAGAAAAGCAGGTTGACAAAATCGAACATCTATTCCTGGGAAAAATTCTCAGCCAACTAGGAATAGAGAAAAAAACCTCTCAATTTGATAAAGAACATCCTTATCTATTGCTTACCTAGAGCTAACATCATACTTAATATGAGAAACTCAAAGTTGTCCTGCTAAGATCAGGAACAAAGCAAGGTGTCATCTCTCACTACTAGTTTTCAACGTTGTACTGAATAATTTTTACTATTTATTTTCTCCTACTTTGGATTTTTTTCTTATTTTTCTAGTTTCCTAATTAATAATTTAAAATTTTTCTTCTTTTCTAATATATGCATTTAATGTTATAAATTTCCCTTTAAGAACTGCTTTTGCTGCATTCCACAACTTCTGATAAAATGTGTTTTAATTTTTTTATTTTGTTATTTTATTATTATTTCAGTAGTTTCTGTGGTACAGGTGGTTTTGGGTTACATGGATCAATTCTTTAGTGGTGATTTCTGGGATTTTGGTGTACCTATCACCCGAGCAGTGTATACAGTACCCAATATGTAGTCTTTTATCCCTCATCCCCCTCCCACCCTTCCCCTCTGAGTCCCCGAAGTCCATTATATTATTCTCACACATTTGCATCCTCATAGCTTAGCTCCCACTTGTAAGTGAGAACATGTGATATTTGGTTTTCCATTCCTGAGTTACTTTACTGAGAATAATGGCCTCCAGTTCCATCCAAGTTGCTGCAAAATACATTATTTTGTTCTTTTTCATGGCTGAGTAGTATTCCATGGTGTATATATACCACATTTTCTTTATCCATTCATTGGTCAGTGAGCACTTAAGTTGGTTCCATATCTTTGCAATTGCAAATTGTGCTTTTATAAACGTGTGCACATTCATCTTTTTCATATAATGACTTCTTTCCCTTTGGGTAGATACCCAGTAGTGGAATTGCTGGATCAAATGGTAGTTCTATTTTTAGTTCTTTAAGAAATCTCCATACTGTATTTTCATTTTTATTTAGTTTAAAATATTTTTAAAATTTCTCTGAAGATGTCCTCTTTGACCCATGTATTTTTTAGAACTGGGTTGTTTAATCTCCAAGTATTTGGGATTTTCCAGCTACCTTTCTGTTATTTATTTTTGGTTTAATTGTACTGTGGTCTTAAAGCAGACATTGCATGATTTCCATAACTTTAAATTTGTCAAGGGGTATTTTCTGACCCACAGTGTAGTCTATCTTGATGAATGTTCCATGTGATCTTAAGAAGAATGTAGATCCTGCTGTCAGGTGAATTTTTCTATAGATGTCAATTGTATAGAGTCGTTTGATGGTGCTTTTGAGTTCAACTATGTCCTTGCTGATTTTCTGCCTGCAAGGTCTGTCCTTTTCTAAGATAGAAATGTTAAAGTCTCCAACTATAACAGTGGATTCATCTATTTCTTCTTGCAATTCTATCAGTTTTTGCCACAGGTATTTGGAGACTCTCTCATTAGGCACATATACACTAAAGATTGCTAGGTTTTCTTGTGTTGTCCCTGTATTTTTCTGTAATTCCCCTTTACCCCTAATAACTTTCCTTGCCCTGAAGTCTGCTGTGTCTTAAATTAATATAGCTACTCCTACTTTTAAAATGAGTGCTAGAATGGTATGTCTTTCTTCTTCCCTTTACTTTTAATCTAAATGTGTCTTTATATTTAAAGTGGATTTCTTGTAGACAACATATACTTGGGTCTTGTTTTTCGATACACTCTGACAGTCTGTCTTTAAATTGAGGTAATGAGACCATTGATGTTTAAGGTGATCATTGACATGGTTGGATTAATATCTACTATATTGTTACTGTTTTCTTTTTATTGCCCGTGTTCTTTGTTTCCTCTTTTATCTTCCACAGATTTTCAGCCTTTTTTTGGTTTTAATTAAACATCTTATGAGATTCCCTTTTCTCTCCTTTCTTAGAATATTAATTTTATTTCCTTTTATAATTTTTACCCTTTTATAATTTTTAATGGTTGCCTTAGTGTTTGCAATATACATTTATAACTAACCCAAGTTGACTTTTAAATAACACCATACCATTTCATGGATAACACAAGTACCTTATAATAACGAAATATTCCTAATTCCTCCCTCATTTCCCTTGTATCATTGTTGTCATGTATTTCACTTATACCTAGGCATACATAAGCAAATTTATGTTGCCATTATTATTTAAAACAAACTGTTGTCAGTTAGATCAGTTAAGCCAAAAAAAAAATAAAAATTTTTATTTCACCTTTACCTATTACTTTTCTAATACTCTTCCTTATTTTATGTAGATCTGGGTTTCTGACGAATACCATTCTGCTCTCTACAACACTTAGCATTTGTTGCAAGGCATGTCTACTGGCAACAAATTTCCTCAATTTTTTTTTCATCTGAGAAATTATTTTTTTCCTTCACTTTCAAAGGATAATTTTACAGTGTATAGAATTCTATGTTGGGAGAGGAGTTTTCTGTTAACATCTTAACTATTTCACTCTACTCTCTTCTTGCTAGCATGGTGTCTGAATAGAAATGTGATGTAATTCTTATTTTTGTTTCTCTATAGATAAGACTTTTTTTATCTCTTGCTTCTTTGAGGATATTTATTTATCTTTGATTTTCTCAAGTTTAAATATAATATGCCTAGGTGTATTTTCTGGCGTTTATCATGCTTAATGTTCTCTGAGATCACTGGATCTGTGGTTTGGTGTCTGCCATTAATTTGAGGAAAATTCTCAGTCATTATTGTTTCAAATGTTGCATTTGTTCTTTTCTCTTTTTCCTCTCCTTCTGGTATTCTCATTACATAGGTGTTATGCATTTTTCATTTTCCCACAGTTTTTGGATATTCTGTTCTGGAGAGTTTTTTCTCGGTCTTTTTTCTTTATTCTTTTTTCAAATTGAGAAGTTTCTATTATGATTTTTTTAAGCTCATAGATTCCATCCTCTGCTATGTCCAGTATATTAATTAGGTCATCAAAGGCATTCTTCATTTCTGTTCCAGCGTTTTTTATATATGGCATTTCTTTTTCTTTCTTAGAATTTTCATCTCTCTGCTGACATTATCCATCTGTTCTTGAACGTTACCTGCTTTTCCAATTAAAGCCTTTAGCATATTTATCATGGTTTTAAAAATTTATTGTTCTGATAATTCCAACATTACTGCCATATCTGACTCTGGCTCTGATGCTTGTCTGTTTTCTTCACGATGTGTTATTTTTTTATCATTTTTTCTTGAGACGGATTCTCACTCTGTCACCCAGGCTGGAGTGCAGTGGCACAATCTCGGCTCACTGCACTGGGCACTTTCTGGGCACAAGCAATCCTCCCACATCAGATTCTGGGATTACAGCTGGGATTACAGGTGCAAGCCATCATGCCCTGCTCATTTTTTTGTATTTTTTGTAGCGATGGAGTTTCACCATGTTGCCCACGCTCTTCTAGAACTTCTGGACTCAAACAATCCACCTGCCTCAACCTCCCATAGTGTTGGGATTACAGGCATGAGCCACCATGCCCATATCTTTTAGTATGCCTTGTAATTTTTTGTTGAAAGATAGATATGATGTATTGGGCAAAAAGATCTGTGTCAAAAAGGCCTTTAGTAATGTAGCAGTAAGGTGGAGGGGAAGAGTTAGCATTCCATAGTCCTATGATTAGGTATCAGCCCTTTAATAAGCATATGCCCCTGGACTGTGAACTTCACCAGTGTTTCTGTTTTCTTTTTTCTCTCTCTCTCTTTAGGTACCACAGGATGACTGAAGGGGTTTGGATTTGTATATTTCCCTTCTCCTACATGGTAGGTTGGAGGGGGCTGGATTTGCATATTTCCTTTCATCCAGGAAGATTAGGCTTTGGTACAACCCTAGCTTGTTAGGCTCTGGTGAAAAAAAAAAGTTTTTGTTAAAGGCAGGCATTGTTAAGAAGAACAGAATGCTCTGGCTTATTTTAAAATGTTTCATATTTCTTCTCTACCAGAAGAATAAAGGGAATTTTCTACAGTATTCACTGTGAGGACCTAGTAGAGCTCCTGGTAATAAAACTTACAAAAATGTGGAAGCCCCATGACAGAGTCGCCCTGGAGTTTTTAACCCTTGCTTGTCCACATTAAGCCTCCAGCAATTTGTCAATTACAATTCAGGTTTTCCTACTGCAGCACTGGTTCCTATGGAAATTTCTGCTCCTGGGTTTCTGCTTTTGTATGTTGGAATTCTCTCCATCTGCCTGTCTGTCTCTCTAATTTAGGGGGCAGCAGTTTGCCCTGTGACCTCACTTCTCTGACACATTTAAGAAGAGTTGTTTGTCTTTTTCAGTTTGTTTAGCTTTTTATTTGTTGTTAGGCCTGAGTGGTTCTTTTTTTTTATTTTATTATTATTGTATGTTAAGTTTTAGGGTACATGTGCACAATGTGCAGGTTAGTTACATTTGTATACATGTGCCATGCTGGTGTGCTGCACCCATTAACTCGTCATTTAGCATTAGGTATATCTCCTAATGCTATCCCTCCCCCCTCCCCCCACCCCACAACAGTCCCCAGAGTGTGATGTTCCCCTTCCTGTGTCCATGTGTTCTCATTGTTCAATTCCCACCTATGAGTGAGAATATGCGGTGTTTGTTTTTTTGTTCTTGCGATAGTTTACTGAGAATGATGATTTCCAATTTCATCCATGTCCCTACAAAGGACATGAACTCATCATTTTTTATGGCTGCATAGTATTCCATGGTGTGTATGTGCCACATTTTCTTAATCCAGTCTATCATTGTTGGACATTTGGGTTGGTTCCAAGTCTTTGCTATTGTGAATAGTGCCACAATAAACATATGTGTGCATGTGTCTTTATAGCAGCATGATTTATAGTCCTTTGGGTATATACCCAGTAATGGGATGGCTGGGTCAAATGGTATTTCTAATTCTAGATCCCTGAGGAATCACCACACTGACTTCCACAATGGTCGAACTAGTTTACAGTCCCACCAACAGTGTAAAAGTGTTCCTATTTCTCCACATCCTCTCCAGCACCTGTTGTTTCCTGACTTTTTAATGATTGCCATTCTAACTGGTGTGAGATGGTATCTCATTGTGGTTTTGATTTGCATTTCTCTGATGGCCAGTGATGGTGAGCATTTTTTCTTGTGTTTTTTGGCTGCATAAATGTCTTCTTTTGAGAAGTGTCTGTTCATGTCCTTTGCCCACTTTTTGATGGGGTTGTTTGTTTTTTTCTTGTAAATTTGTTTGAGTTCATTGTAGATTCTGGATATTAGCCCTTTGTCAGATGAGTAGGTTGCGAAAATTTTCTCCCATTTTGTAGGTTGCCTGTTCACTCTGATGGTAGTTTCTTTTGCTGTGCAGAAGCTCTTTAGTTTAATTAGATCCCATTTGTCAATTTTGTCTTTTGTTGCCATTGCTTTTGGTGTTTTAGACATGAAGTCCTTGCCCATGCCTATGGCCTGAATGATATTGCCTAGGTTTTCTTCTAGGGTTTTTATGGTTTTAAGTCGAATGTTTAAGTCTTTAATCCATCTTGAATTAATTTTTGTATAAGGTGTAAGGAAGGAATCCAGTTTCAGCTTTCTACATATGGCTAGCCAGTTTTCCCAGCACCATTTATTAAATAGGGAATCCTTTCCCCATTTCTTGTTTTTCTCAGGTTTGTCAAAGATCAGATAGTTGTAGATATGCGGCATTATTTCTGAGGGCTCTGTTCTGTTCCATTGATCTATATCTCTGTTTTGGTACCAGTACCATGCTCTTTTGGTTACTGTTGCCTTGTAGTATAGTTTGAAGTCAGGTAGTGTGATGCCTCCAGCTTTGTTCTTTTGGCTTAGAATTGACTTGGCGATGCGGGCTGTTTTTTGGTTCCATATGAACTTTAAAGTATTTTTTTCCAATTCTGTGAAGAAAGTCATTGGTAGCTTGATGGGGATGGCATTGAATCTATAAATTACCTTGGGCAGTATGGCCATTTTCATGATATTGATTCTTCCTACCCATGAGCATGGAATGTTCTTCCATTTGTTTGTATCCTCTTTTATTTCCTTGAGCAGTGGTTTGTAGTTCTCCTTGAAGAGGTCCTTCACATCCCTTGTAAGTTGGATTCCTAGGTATTTTATTCTCTTTGAAGCAATTGTGAATGGGAGTTCACTCATGATTTGGCTCTCTGTTTGTCTGTTATTGGTGTATAAGAATGCTTGTGATTTTTGTACATTAATTTTGTATCCTGAGACTTTGCTGAAGTTGCTTATCAGCTTAAGGAGATTTTGGGCTGAGACAATGGGGTTTTCTAGATATACAATCATGTCATCTGCAAACAGGGACAATTTGACTTCCTCTTTTCCTAATTGAATACCCTTTATTTCCTTCTCCTGCCTAATTGCCCTGGCCAGAACTTCCAACACTATGTTGAATAGGAGTGGTGAGAGAGGGCATCCCTGTCTTGTGCCAGTTTTCAAAGGGAATGCTTCCAGTTTTTGCCCATTCAGTATGATATTGGCTGTGGGTTTGTCATAGATAGCTCTTATTATTTTGAAATACGTCCCATCAATGCCTAATTTATTGAGAGTTTTTAGCATGAAGAGTTGTTGAATTTTGTCAAAGGCCTTTTCTGCATCTATTGAGATAATCATGTGGTTTTTGTCTTTGGCTCTGTTTATATGCTGGATTACATTTATTGATTTGCGTATATTGAACCAGCCTTTCATCCCAGGGATGAAGCCCACTTGATCATGGTGGATAAGCTTTTTGATGTGCTGCTGGATTCAGTTTGCCAGTATTTTATTGAGGATTTTTGCATCAATGTTCATCAAGGATATTGGTCTAAAATTCTCTTTTTTGGTTGTGTCTCTGCCCGGCTTTGGTATCAGGATGATGCTGGCCTCATCAAATGAGTTAGGGAGGATTCCCTCTTTTTCTATTGATTGGAATAGTTTCAGAAGGAATGGTACCAGTTCCTCCTTGTACCTCTGGTAGAATTCGGCTGTGAATCCATCTGGTCCTGGACTCATTTTGGTTGGTAAGCTATTGATTATTGCCACAATTTCAGAGCCTGTTATTGGTCTATTTAGAGATTCAACTTCTTCCTGGTTTAGTCTTGGGAGGGTGTATGTGTCGAGGAATTTATCCATTTCGTCTAGATTTTCTAGTTTATTTGCATAGAGGTGTTTGTAGTATTCTCTGATGGTAGTTTGTATTTCTGTGGGATCGGTGGTGATATCCCCCTTATCATTTTTATTGTGTCTATTTGATTCTTCTCTCTTTTCTTCTTTATTAGTCTTGCTAGCGGTCTATCAATTTTGTTGATCCTTTCAAAAAACCCGAGTGGTTATTTCTAAAGCTTCTTACCTGCTGGACCAGAAACCAGAAGTAAAGCTTGGAATTTTAGAAACAAATTATTGTTATCTTCTGGGCACTTTGTTTACCATGGATCTCTTCGGCATCAGCTTAGTGAGTCTTGGGTATATTAGTCTGTTCTCACACTGCTGTGAGGAAATATCCGAAACTGGGTAATTTATAAAGGAAAAGGGATTAATTGACTCACAGTTCTGCATTGCTGGGAAGGCCTCAGGAAGCTTACGTCAGGTGGGAGGCAAAGGAGAAGCAGGCACCTTCTTCATATGGCAGCAGTATGGAATGAGTGCAAGCAGGGGGAAATGCTGTAAATGCTTATAAAACCATCAGATCTCATGAGACTCACTCATTGTCATGAGAACAGCATGGGGGAAACTGCCTCCATGATCCAATTACCTCCACCTGGTCCCATCCTTAATACTTGGGGATTATGAGAATTACAATTCAAGGTGAGATTTCGGTTGGGACACAGAGCCAAAACCATATTACTGGGTAAAGTCACACTAATATTAGTCCACCACCCCACCACCAACCAACACTACCAAGCATCCTTGTATACTGACAACCCCTTGCACATGTTTCAATTCTTCAGAACATGCTCAGATTGAATGTCCACTGTGTATTCATTCAGTTTTCTCAAGGAGATAGCTGCATGTTTTTGGAGTGCCTGTGTGATTATTTATAATTTATGGTACAACCTTTTTTGCAGTTACTATTAGTATCTTCTTGAGAGTTCTAAAAAATAACATTACTGTCTTTGGGGAGAATTTGTTTTCATTGTAGGAAAATACATTTCGTAAAGGCAATAAATTTGAAAGAAGTAATTGCTAACAAACTCCCATGCCCTCATGATACATCTCCAAGTAATTGGATTCCCTTGAATTTGAGCTCATTCTCAGTAGGAGAGATGGAGGTAAAAGGAAAGTGGAAAGTTCAGAAGGTAAAGCTCAAGAAAAACTCAGTGTTAGAAGGAAGCTAGAAAAAGTCCGAAAAGAGACAAGTGATATTATCTTGAGAACTATTGACAAAGCATAAACAAAAAACTTTTAAAATTTGTTTTTTAAGCTTCATTTTTGCCTAAGGATATAATTCATTAGGTTATTAAATCCATACATGCATGCTTTACTTCTCCCTTCTGTTCCTTTAAGAAAAATATTTATCAGATGGTCATGTTCAAACTTCACAGTTTTGCTTATTGATTGATTCTAAATGCCATACTAGGCCCAGCGCGGTAGCTCACACCTCTAATTCTAGCATTCCGGGAGGCCGAGGCGGGCAGATCACCTGAGGTCAGGAGTTCGAGACCTGTCTGACCAACATGGTGAAACCCCCTCTCTACCTAAAATACAAAAATTAGCCTGGCATGGTGGTGTATGCCTGTAATCCCAGCTACTCAGGAGGTGGAGGCAGTAGGATTGCTTGAACCTGGGTGATGGAGGTTACAGTGAGCCGAGATCGTGCCACTGCACTCCAGTCTGGACAACAGAGACTCCATCTCAAACATAACAAAACAAAAAAAAAAAACTACCATACTAGAGGTTTCTTCCTAACGAACTTTGTTTCATTTCTCCTTTATCAAACCTAAGGATTTTTAATAAGAAAATGTAAAAGTGGAGTTGAATGGGTAGGATGGAGAAGGCATAGACACTTGGGGAAAAAACTTCAAACTCCTTCTTACAATAAAAAAAAAATCAATAATTTAAAGTTCCAGCGCCTCGCCTTCTGAGCTGTTGGTGTGGGAGTTCAAAACTAAATCATGTTATTTTAGGAAAAATCAATAGATCTCATAAAATTACCAGTCTCTTTATGAACAGAAAACAATGTTTCTGAAAGCAAATATGATTTATTCTTTTATACATGTGTATTTGCACAAATCGATAGGAGATATGAATAACCAGAACATTCCATGGCAGCCCCTGATAAATCACTTTTTCTCCAATTATGAGAGAAGGACATTTTTTTTTTTTGTATCATGGAACTTTCGGAGTAAATTTCTACTGGCTTCTCCAGCGCCCCAGATGTGAGAACTATAACCCAAAGCCTGTTGTTCACCATAACTTTCAGTCTGACTCTTCAGTCTGCTAAACACAAAACAGTCCTTAAACATTAATTCTGCTGGCTGGAGGAGTTCCTTACCAACCAGAAAAAGTCAGTAGTCACCCAGGAGCCTCAGTGGCAGTCACAGGATAGCCTGTGAAATGAGAAACACTGGGCTGGTGTTTAGGGCATTTTGGCTCCGTGATGGAGGATACTTTATCCTTTGGATTTGCCATCTGTAAAATAGGAACAACCAGTGTCTTTCATATACCAATGATAGTAAATGGAGATGATGAACACATTTGCAGAAAAGCCTCCAAATTTATTAAATTGAAACATACAGGCCTTATTCCTTCTGGGCCATTAGCTTCTACCTACTTTCCTGTCTCAGTCACGACTTGGCAGACAATAGATGGAAAAGATGAAGAGGGAATAAGTTAGGAGCTCAAGGGAATCTACCAATTAAGAAGCTGATGCTTCTATCAACACCAGCATATTTTTGACCAGATCATCTCTACAAGACAGTCCAGCATAATTAGTTAAGAATATAGAGCTTTTCTTAGCTAGACAAGAAGAATAAATTTGATTTTTAGATCAATTGCACATCATGGTGAATATAGCTAATAATTTAGTTCTGTACATTTCAATATCACTAAGATAAATTTCTAATTTTCTCATCACAAAAATGTTAAATATTTGAGGTGATGGATGTTAATTAGTTTAATTTAATCTTTCTATATTGTATTTGAAAATTGTAACACTACTTTGTACCCAATATATATATATATACAACAACAGTTTGTCAATATATAATAAAAATAGTTTAAAAAAGAATGTAGGGCTTTGAGTCAAATAGACTTGGGTTTGAATCTCATGGAGGGATCTGCAGCAAGCCACTAACCTTTCAGAATCATTTTCTCCCTCTGTAAAATGAGGATAAGAATGATCTTATTCGATTGTTTTCATGATTACATGAAATTTCAGATGTAAAAGAAATACAGTATTAGGCCCAAAATAAACACTCTGTAAGTCATGGTAGTGGTGGTGGTGATGGTGGTGGTGGTGGTGGTGGTGGTGGTGGTGGTGGTGGTGGTGGTGGTGGTGGTAGAGGTTGTTATGTCTTGCCTCTTTTTTGACATCCATATCCATCAGATGTTTGGTTTCTTTTAGCGCTGTTGTAGGTGGGCTTAGTGTCCATTTTGTAAGCTGGTACAAAATGCCATGGGTCTTCAGCAGTTAGGTGCCCATTTTGGTCATTTTTTAAAGATGACTTCTGTCTTTGTAAAACTTCTACTCATCTTTTACTGTGTGTGGAGGGGAGGTAAAACAACAACCAACATTTGTTTTCTCACATAGTTTCTGTGGGTAAAAGATTCAGGAGTGGCTTAGCTGGGTGGTTCTAGCTCAGGGTCTCTAATGAGGCTGTAGTCAAAATATCATCTGTGGCTGTAGTCATCTGATGGCTTGACTGAGGCCAGGGATTCACTTCTAAGATGGCTTCCTCCCATGGTAGGCAAGTTGATGCTGGCTATTGTCAGGAGGCCTTGGCTCCTTACCCTGTGGACCTCTCCATAAGGCTGCTTGAGTATCCTGATGCATTGCAGCTGGCTCCAATGAACTTCGAGGCAACAGTACTACAGTTCCCAGCATGGCTTTCTTCCCACCACTGCTCTCCTCTGCCCCCACTTCTAGACTCTCCCAGACTGAGACTTGTAGTTCTAGCCCATGGGTGGCAGCAGTGGCATGGAAGCATTCCTGAAATCTGCTTTTCCTTGATCGTACGCAGTGAGACTGCAAGTTCCAACTCAAGTCCTACTCTGACCCACTAGGGTTTGCCCTGCTCAGAATCACTTTCCCTTCTCCAGGGGAACAAACTCTTCTTCCAGTACTCCCTATACCTCAGATCTCCCCTGTCCTACTCATCTCTATGAAGACAAGTTTATTTTAGGTCATGATTCTGGATCCTAGAGATTTTTCAGGTGGTCAATAAATAGATTTATTTTAAGTCACGATTAGTTGGTTGTCATACTAATTACCCAGAGCTTTAAGCAAAAGTTCCTTCCTAATATGCACATGAGACCAGAGGAGCCATTCAACTAAGCTGAATTGAGAGCTTGTTTTATGCCACTCATCCTTAACTAAGTGATAAGGCCTGTAATAGGGAGTGTTAAACTCGGAAGCCCTAACCCAGCAAAGTTCAGTCACTTCGAAAATCGTCGAAGCTAGTAAGCTTTAAAATAATAAACTCTGGGGGAAACCAATGTCTTTATGTAGTCCAGAAGCAGGGAAGTAAACATACTAGCTTTCTCCAGTTCCTCATAGCTCTATTTCCTTATGGCCATCACCAGTAGGCCTCAACTCCACCAGTTCTTGAGCCAGCACTCATAAGGTCGTGAGGGCTTTTGGCAGATTAACTCCTCATCTACATGACTATCAGAGGTAGGGTATATGGGGAGCTGGAACACAGTCTTGCTGCCAGAAAATTCCATATCAATGGTGACAGTAATGGCCAATTTTCAGCATTCCTCTATCTTCTGCAGTAATGGCCAACCCTGAGTTACTCAAAATCATGACTTATACCACTGTTGATATGTGAACTCTCAGTCCTCACTCTCTCTGAGGCTTGGAGTTGGATGTAATAAAGAGTTTAGAGTTTTACTCCTTTCTCCTTGAATTACACAGAGTCCATCACTTGCCCTCTCTGAGTCTTAAACATCTTCCTGGAATGACCTAGAAACAAGAGGACTTTATGTTTTGAGATGATACTACCCACATGCTAGATACTTCTCCCATGATTTTTGTAAAGAAAAATCTGCCAATACCCCTTGGTATAGTTTGGATATTTGTCCCTTCCAAATCTCATGTTGATCCCCAATGTTGGAGGTGGAGCCTGGTTGGAAGGTGTTAGGTCATGGGGATGGATTCCTCATGAACATCTTCATGTTGCCCTCTGGATAATGAGTGACTTCTTGCTCTGTTAGTTCCTGTGAGATCTAATTGTTAAAAAGAGTCTGGCACCTCTGTCCTCTCTCTCTTGCTCTCTCTCTTTCCATGTGACATGCTGGCTCCCCTTCTCTTTCTGCCATGATTGGAAGCTTCCTGGGGCCCTCATCAGATGTAAATGCTTACACCATGCTTCTTGTACAGTTTGCAGAACCATGAGCCAAATAAACTTTTCTTTTTAGAAATTACCCAGCCCGAGGCATTCCTATATAGCAACACAAATGGACTAAAACACACCTGGAAAAGATATTTGCAAATGAGAATGATTAAAAGCCATTTGGACAGAAAAAAAGATGGAAGAAAGAGGAACACAAATGTCCTCTATAAGGTTGCTACTACGGGTGACAAATACATTTGAGGATGCCTAGCTCAATGCACTGCCTCCACTATAAAGTCAACTCAAACCCATTTGATGGCTGGTTCTTTAGCCATCCCTAGAGATATTGATTCCATTTTTTATTCACTTATAATGCAAGTTAAATGAACATTTCCTTGATGCAATTCCATTCTGTTTCCTTCTTGGATTATTTTTTATGAAGGAGATCAGATGGCTTGGGAACAAGTTTCTCTGGCGCAGCTCTGCAGGGCCTCCCTGCAGACTGAATCTCTGAGGCCTGGTGGCAGGTCACAACCAGTTTTCTTTGTGATGATACATCCTTGCAGAAGACAGGAAGACTTGACAGCCTGACAGACACTTAAAGTGTGAAGATGAATAAAAGATACATCACTCCTGATGGGTATATTTTAAAAAGCTGTCAGTTGATGTAAGCAGTATTCTAAAAACATACAGTACCATATCAGGGCTAGAGGGTGTTGGATACAAAAATGGGTTGGCAGATGGACAATTTTTGATAGTCAGGTCTATGCGGATGTGAAAACCAAGCTGAGAAGAAGTTTGTTAGTCCTCATCTGTTGCCCTGCTTTGCAAATCATATTTAGGAGCTTTGCTTTCTGTCTCTTTGATTTCTTTTTAAGGCCTACATTATTAGCCAGTAGGTAGACTAGATGATTTAGCTGCTATATCTAATATGAGTGGTGACAGGCATGAAATTCTAGCCAAAACATCTTATTCACTGATTGTTGCTTTGCCTGAAATTTCACCATTACACCTTCTTATTTGGGAAATGTACTGCAACTCAGAAACTCTGGGAAAGGAAAATCTTCAAATTACTTTAATGGGGATTGATTTCCAGACATTTGTTGTACTAAAGCATTAGGAATTGGAGGTCAGCCAGAAGTCAGGTGAAAGGGCAGAGAACAGAAAGGAAAAGTCAGAAGTCACAAAATTTTGATATTATGAGCTTCACATTCTCATAGAAACATTTGAGCACATGCAACCAGAATTTATCTGGTGCATGAATCTGCTTTGAAACATTCCCATGAAGCGTTAATCCAATCTCTGTTTGAATACCTCCAGTAATAGGAACCTCTTTTTTTTAATGAAGAAACTCATTCTATTGTTAGGCAGTTCTAAAATTAGAAGGTTCTATATTGTAGGATTCCCAAATATGCTACCTTGCAGCTTCCATACTACTAATGTTTGCTTTTCATGGAATTAGACTGCCTCCTTTTACCCATGAAGGCTCTCTGATATGTAAAGACAGCTTTCCTGATCCCTACCCCCGATTAAGCTTTTCCTACCATTTCTTAAAATATTTTTCAAAAGACAGCGGGATAGAGATTATAGTGAGCAGCCAATAGGGGAGAGAGCAAATGGCTCATGGCCCTTCAAGAGCATCTGTGACAACACACACAAATAAATTTTAAATGACTTAAAATGCCACATGTTGGCAAGGGTGTATGATTATAACACTCATACACTGCTGGTGAGAATGCAAAAGGGTAAAGCCACTTTGGGAAACAGTTTGCAGTATCTTATAAAGTTAAGCACAGACTTACCTCATCACCCACTCCTAGATATCTAAACAAAGATAAATGATTGTGGTAATTATTTCACAATGTATATGTATGTCAAAATATCATGATGTACACCTTAAATATATACAATTTTATTTGTCAATCATATCTTAGTAAAGCTAGAGGAAAAAAGAAAATTTATGTAGACATGCAGACTTGTACAAATGCAGCTTTATTTGTAATGGCCTCACACTGGAAATAACTCAGCTGTCCATCAGCAAGTAAAACAAGAGGTGGTATATCCATACAATTGAATATTTTTGGCAACAAAAAGAAATGAAGTACTGAGACATGCCACAACATGGATAAACCTTAAAAACATACTAAGTGAAAGAAGCCAGACACAAAAGCCCAAATATTATATGATTCCCTTTATATAAGATGCCTAGAAAAGGCAGATCAATGTGAACAAAAAGTAGATTAGTGGTTGCCTGGGGCTGGGTGTGGAGGTACTTACTGCAAAGGAACATGATAAAATTTGGGGAGTAGTGAAAGAGTCTATATCTTGAATGTGGTGTCGGTCACCCAGATGTATACATTTGTCAAAAACTCATTGCTGTACATTTACATTTCTTTTTTTTTTTTTTGAGATGGAGTCTTGCTCTGTTGTCTAGGATGGAGTGCAGTGGCACAGTCTCGGCTCACTGCAACCTCCACCGCCTGAGTTCAAGTGATTCTCCCATCTCAGCCTCACGAGTAGCTAGGATTACAGGTGCCCACCACCACATCCAGTTAATTTTTGTATTTTTTTTTTTTTAGTATAGATGGAGTTTCACCATGTTGGCCAGGCTGGTCTCCAACTCCTGGTCTCAAGTGATCTACCCGCCTCAGCCTCCCATAGTGCTGGGATTACTGGCATGAGCCACTGTGCCTGGCCTCTTTGCTGTACATTTCAAATGAATGAATTTTATTGTATGTAAAGTATACCACCAATAAAATAGGATTTTAAAAGCTAATGTTCTGCACAGAGTCATGTCCCATTGCAACCCCAGCTATTGTTTTGACACCCCAAGTGCCAATGACAATAGCATCCTGAATACAGAGGTCATCAAAGACACAGAAACACAAGAAGGGAGGAAGAGCTAAATCTTATTTTTTTAATAATTTTTTATTTTTTATATTTGTGGGTATATAGTAGGTGTACATATTTATGGGATACATGAGATGTACTGCATAATAAACACATCATGGAACATGGGGTATCCCTCCCCTCAAGCCTTTATCCTTTGTGTTACAAACAATGCAATTATACTCTTTTAGTTATTTTTAAATGTACAATTAAATTATTATTGACTTACAGTCACACCGTGTGCTATCAAATATTATTTATTCTAACTTATTCATTTATTCTAACTACTCTTTTATACTCATTACCATCCTCACCTCCACCAACAACACCCAACCCCACCCTGCTACCCTTCCCAAACTCTGGTAACCATCCTTCTACTCTCTATCTCTGCAGATTCAATTGTTTTGATTTTTATATCCAACAAATAGGTAAGAACGTGAGATGTTTGTCTTTCTGTGCCTGGCTTATTTCACTTAACATAATGACCTCCAGTTCATCCATGTTGTTGCAAATGACTGAATTTCATCATTTTTTATTGCTGAATAGTACTCCATTGTGTATAAGTACCACATTTTCTTTATCTAGTCCTCTGTTCATGGACACTTAGCTTGCTTCCAATTCTTGGCTATTGTGAACAGAGCTACAACAAACATGGGAGTGCAGATATCTCCTCCTCCTTATACTGATTCTTTTTCTTTTGGGTATATACCCAGCAGTGAGATTGCTGAATCATATGGTAGCTCAATTTTTAGTTTCTTGAAGAACCCCCAAGCTGTTCTCCACAGTGGTTGTACTAATTTACAATCCCATCAACAGTGCACAAGGTTCCCTTTCCTCCATATCTTCACCAACATTTGTTATTGCACGATTTTTTTAGTATAAGCCATTTTAACTCACATGAAATGATATCTCATTGTAGTTTTGATTTGCATTTCTCTGATGATCAATGATGTTGAGCACCTTTTCACATGTTTATTTTTCATTTGTATGTCTTCTTTTAAGAGACATCTATTCGAATCTTTTGCCTATTTTTAAATCAGATTATTAGATTTTTTTCGTAGAGTTGTTGGAGCTCCTTATATATTCTTGTTATTAATTGCTTGTCAAATGGGTAGTTTGCAAATATTTTATTTATCCCATTCTGTGGGTTGTCTCTCCAGTTCGTTGATTGTATCCTTTGCTGTGCAGAAGCTTTTTAGCTTAATGTGATCCACACTTGTCCATTTTTGCTTCGGTCGCCTATGCTTGTGGAGTATTACTCAATAAATTTTTGCCCAGTCCAATGTCCTAAAGAGTCTCCACAATGTTTTCTTTTAGTGGTTTCATAGTTTGAGGTCTTAGATTTAAGTCTTTAATCCATTTTTATTTAATTTTTATATATGGAGAGAGATAGGAGTCTAGTTTCATTATTCTGCATATGAATATCCAGGTTTCCCAGCACCATTTATTTAAGAGACTATTTTTTTCCCCAGTGTATGTTCCTGGCACATTTGTGAAAAATGAACTCACTGTAGGTGTGTGGATTTGTTTCTGGTTTCTCTATTCTGTTCCATTGGCCAACGTTTCTGTTTTTATGCCAGTACCATGCTATATTGGTTACTATAGCTCTGTAGCATAATTTGAAGTTGGGTAATGTAATTCCTCAATTTTTGTTCTTTTTGCTCAGGATAGCCTTGGCTATTCTGGGTCTTTTGTGGTTTCATGTAAAATTTAGGATTACTATTTCCATTTCTATGAAGAATGTCATTGGTATTTTGATGGGGATTGCATTGAATCTATACATTGCTTTGGGTAGTATGGACATTTGGAAGTATTACATCCTCCTTTCTTTTCTGGAATAGTTTGAGTACACTTAATATTACTTCTTCTTTAAATGTTTGGTTTAAATTCAGCAGTAAAGTCATTGAGTTCTAGGCTTTTCTTTATTGGGAGAATTTTTATTATGGCTTTGATTTCATTGCTTGTTATTGGTTTGTTCAGGTTTTGGATTTCTTCATAGGTTGTATGTGTCTACAAATTTTTCCATTTCTTCTATATTTTCCAATTTATTGACAGATAGTTGTTCATAGTAGGAAATAATGTTCCTTTGAATTTCCACGATATCAGTTGTAATGTCTCCTTTTTCATTTCTGATTTTATTTATTTAGGTATTCTCTCTTTTTTTCTTAGTTTCACTAAAGGTTTATCTATTTTGTTTAACTTTTCAAAAAACCAACTTTTGGTTTTATTGATGTTTTGTATTGTTGTTTTCTTCATTTCAATTTAATTTACTTGAGCTAAGCCTTATTGAAAATATGAACTATTAGCAAGATGAGAGAAGGAGACATGGCCTTGCTGAAATCTGGGGCTCAGGACAGAAGGGCTTTACAAAGGGGTCATTTTGAGTCTATTATAAGCAAAGGTATTAAGTATGGTGACTGTTTCCTCACCTGTGACGGGTGTGAAGGGAGCTGTTTACTTGTCACCTACAAATTGTCTTTCCCTGCAATATCTGTACTTAGAATTCCAACAGAGTTATCTGTCCTTCTAACAATAGTTCTTCCGTTTACTTTCCTTTTTGCTGTAGACAAATTTTAAGCAACTCAAGAGACATGTTCCTTGAAAAGCTTTTTGTTTTTGTTCCAACTGAACCTGTTTCAAACTAGAGTTGTTAGCCCTTTGAGGAGAGACTTGCTGGAAGTTTCACATCTACTCTTATTTGTTCTTCCCAAACTTATAAGAAAGTTATGATTATTAATAGTTATTTTGTAGGTGAGAAAATTAAGGTATGTGAGGTTAAAAAACTTGGCCAAGTTCTTATGGATCTAATGTTCTAAATAAGAACTTAAATCCAGATCTGACTCCAGATCATAGGACTGTAATCAACACATTCTTATATCTCGGACTAATAAAATGACAGCTATTGTTTGTTAAATAGCTGCAATGAGCCAGGTACTGAGATAAGGAGTTTCCATATGTTGCTTCAGCTTCAGTAATTCCAGAATATCCATGCTCAGTGAGGGCTCATTATTGTTTCCCAGTGCTCAAAAAAGTGTCTAACATAAAACAGATATTCAATAAAAATTTATTATATAAATAAATGAACAACCTTCTGTGGTGAATATTATTGGCCACATTTTATGGATAAAGAAAATAAAGCTTGTGAAGGTTAACTTGCCTCAGGTTACACAGCTAGCAACTAGCAGAGCTCAAAGCTCTACCAACCTGTATCTGTCCCAATGTCAAGGGGTTGAGAAATGTCAGACAATGAAAAGGAAGAGTTCTAATAGTAACGGTGCAGAAGGAAGGTTGCAGCAGCTGCTGCTATTTGGGCTGCTAGAGAAGCCCACCCATTCCTACTTTGTCTTTTTACACTCCCCAGAATCTGCTCTGTTTTTCAAACTTGTGGGCCAGTTATGCATAGGGCACAACACATGAGATGTAGGTAATTATTCTGTCTTCATTAAGGGTGGTTGAAAATACCATTATCTTTAGACAATTGTTATCTGGATTATTTTGCATTTGTTTTATTCTAAATTCTTCTAGATAATATTGACATAGGCCCTGGGCTAATTTGAAACTGTTTGAAGAGGAGAGTAGCCACAAACTAAATGACCCATTCATCCAAACAGAACACATTCTCAAGGGTCTCCAAGGCTACTGTTTCTCACTATTCTGGCTAAACCCACTGAAGTCCACAGCTTGGACATCTGCCTCCTGAGCATTTTTCCCACTGCCACCAGTCTTGTTCTATATTTCTATCTGGTTAACTTGGGCATCTGTAATATGAAAACATACTGAGGTACACTGGAGCAGGGCTGGGTTTTCCATTTACATCAAGGAATAGGCCGGGCTCAGTGGTTCATACCTGTAATCCCAGCATTTTGGGAAGCCAAGGCGAGTGGATCACTTGAGGCCAGGAGTTTGAGACCAGCCTGGCCAACATGGCAAAACTCCATCTCTACTAAAAATACAAAAATTAGCCCAGCATGGTGGTGCATGCCTGTAATCCCAGCTACTTGGGAGGCTGAGGCAGGAGAATTACTTGAACCCGGGAAGCGAAGGTTACAGTGAGTCAAGATCGCTCCATTGCACTTCACCTAGGCAACAGAGTGAGACTCCATCTCCAAAATTAAAAAAAGGAATAATAAAAGAAGAGATAGTGAATGGGGAACAGTAAAACCACCTCTGCTAAAATCTAGTTCTAACTATGGCTGTTATGGACAGATCGTATAAATTCGAGAAAGAATCTCTGAGTGCCTCTATGTATAAGGAAGTAAGCTAGTGCTAGGCCCTGGGAATACAGAAATAAATAATTCCCATATTTAAATATTTCCATATTGAATTAATAGGGACAACAGGACTGCAATAACTAATTGCAAGTGATATGAGAGTGCAAAGGAGAAACACTAGAGCAAGTAATATGCTAAGTGGCTTAGTTTAAGTCACTTGCTCCATACCAACAAATTCAGGTAGAATCACCTTCCCCAGAAAAACATGGTTTCTCAGATAGAAACTGGAGCTACTGACAAAGATGTTTGGTAGGCAACCTTCCAGTGGCTCTAGAAAATAGTGGCTTCTATTGTTGATATCTGCTGGATGCCAGGAAATTTACATATATTATCTCAACTATGTGTAAATACATATAGTGTCTTGCAACACAGATGTGAAAACTAAGTCTCAGAGAAGTAATTCACCCAAGGTCTCATAGGTTGGAATTTGAATCTAGACTGGGATTTTAATCCAACATCCGTCTAACTCCGAAGCCCATGAGTTTTTTCTACTGTTTGAAACTATTTCCAGAACATAGTGGTGTTAGCATCAAATGTGGAGAATTCTAGTCCCAAATTTAATACTAAGTAACTGTATGTCCTTAGACAACTCTTTTTTTATCTTCTGGGAGGGAGTGTTGAATACATGCCTTGCCTATATCACATTTTATTAAAAGGATACATGGAACAGTAGGAAAATATTCAGATCACATGAAATGCTCTGCACATGTGTGGAATGTTACCAATTATTAAGTGACATTATAAGGTTGCTTCTGCCCCATACTCTATAATGCCTGTATTCCTCATTCACTCATAGTCAAGACTTAGAGAGGAGAGAAAGGCTAAGAGTTTCAGGTTGGAACATTAATACAGAGAGTCTTAAACATGGCCCAAATAACTTTTATTTCCTGAGCCTCAGATTCTTCATCTGTAAATCTGAAAGAGGATTCTCATAGTCAAAAAACATGATGTATCCTAAGTTGCTTATATTAAGCTTTCTCCACCTTGACCAGGGGCACAGATTGCCTGTGTACCACAGGGACCTGGAAATCCAAAAAAAAGTTTGAATATAAGTAGGCTAGGTTCTGTCATCTCATCAGTTGCAAGTGGTGTTCAGCAGTAAGTGAACTGCACTTAATGAATTAAAGACGAAAGAGACAGGAGGGAGCATGAAGGCAGGAAAAGACCTTTTATTTCAAATTTATGGGCTGATTATATGACAATTTGGAATCTGCAGATCAAAATTTTTCCACTCTTTCTGTAATTGTTTACTTGAAACAGCATGTACTCTTTGAAACGATGGTCACATTGGGAATGGACAGAGAAACCAAACTAAGCCCTCATATTGGTAAACCACCATTGCTGTATCTTAACCATTGAGTCTACTCCAGGAACAGGAACAGAGGGATGATGAGCATAGTGGGTAAGATTAAGGTTGGCTGTGGGTCTGAGGGTCATATTCCAGATTGCAGAAAACCAGCAGCCAGTTTCTCACCTGCTTTTTAGCTGTGTGCTCAGGCAAGTTATAGAATCTATGGGTTTGAAAGGACCAGATTCTCTTCATGATGCTCCCTCTTCTCTGATTCTTGGAGCCCCCTACTCCAACTCCCAACTAGGTGGTAATCCTAGCTCTGCTTATTCCCCAGTGATATAGAACTGGTAACTTACTTCATGGAGAGACTCGTCCCATCCCCATCCCCATCCTCCCAACTGCATCTTTGGATAGCTTCTTCCTTGTCTCTGAGAACAATGAGAGTCCTTTGGAGCCAGTTATTTACATACCAAGCTTCCCTTCCTCTTTCACTTGACTTAATATCTCAGTGTTTTGTTTTCTGAACTGGAAAATTGCAGTAAAGATGGGATGAAATGATGAATATAAGGTGGGTTTTTTGAGATTTAAATCTCTGTACACACAGACCATGAAGCCCATGGGCAGAAAGGGTGATGGATCAAGTGTGGTTCCTTAATAGAATTAAGTATGTTAAAAAGGAAAACTGGGGAAATGTAACAGGAAATTCTATTGAGAGTGTTCATGACACTTTTAACTTCATAAGAAGCTAGGCCATGGGTCCAGCTGAGCCAGAAGGAAGATTGAAGCTTAAAGGAAGTTCTGAGGTCTGAGACATAGCAATGGCCAAATTGACCCTCAGCTGGGCTGCTCCAGCTCTGACAGGGATATGGGGATGGCTTTTTAATCTCATTCCCAGGCAGAGAAGAAGAGAGTGGTGCATACTTTCCAGAAGGACCCACAGAGCCCTAAGAGCAGATTCAGCTCAATTGCTACCCTCTCTCTTGCCCCTAAGCCAGCTGCATGTGATGTGCCTGAGACAGCCTGCACCAGTCCACTGTTTACAGGGGCCTATGGAGGCTCAGATAAAGCCATGAAAAGAAGCAATGCACATATCATGCACCTTAGGGGCTCCTGTTGGAGCCAAATATTTTCTACTTTCAAAAATGTAGATAATGAAACAGAAAGGACCTTTTGAGGGTATTCAACCTAGAATTTCTTGAAAGTGTCATCAAGGGAACTTTTACTGCATCATCTGCAGAGATTGATTAAAATGGAGATCAAATTCAGACCCACTGAATCACACTTTCCAGGAGTGAGCCCAAGAATCTGCATGTTAAAATCCCAGGGGATTCTGATGTACCCTGAAATTTGAGAACCTCTGAGAAATGTTGGTGCTCTGAGTGGTCAGTCACCCGATATTCACAAGGTAAAATCTGAAGGCCTCTTACTTCAATATCATCTGGAGGGATGATTGATAGTCAATGTTGGGGTCTCCTGCTAACCCTCTTGAATCAGAATTTTGTATGTGTGCTAAAGTTTGGGAAGCCCGATGCCTTCATTGTACAAGTAAGGAAACAAGCCCAGAGAGAGCGAGTGACTTGCCCATGTGGCCATTGATCTGAATGGTGGCAGAGCTAGGCCCACACTGAGGTCTCCAGACAAATCCAAACAGTTTGCCCTTCTGGTCACCCCTTGAGAGTTATTTATGTCTCAATTTAGCTTCTGTGGCCACAGCATTCCTCAGAAAGTTTGGAGATCAAGAGTAAAATATACAACTGCTCTGGGTAGTTGCATGACTTTAGGTCAAAGCTCCTCTTCCAAGGGATTATGTAGAACAGTTTGAAATTAAAGCAGTGTAAAGTCAAAAAGCTCTCTTATAAGCAGCAGGGTACTGCTGACTCTTCTCCAAATGGGATCTCAAGGGACTCCAGAGTAAAGTAGTTTTATGTTCGAGGAAACTGTTAACTATGGCTTTGAGCCAGACCAAATACAAACACTAAAATGACCTGTAATAATTTACCAAACCCATTTTTTGTTTTTGTAGTTGAAACACATACCTAGTAAATAAAAGCTTAAATGTATGCAGTTGTGTTAGACCTTGTCCGAGCTCACAAGTCTGATCCCTCAAGCCTGTGTATTTCAGGTTTTGGCTCTATCTCTGCTTTTTCTCTTCAAGGCTGTGGTCTGAAACACCTCTGAACTGGCAAGCTTTGTCCCAGGATCCTCTGGGGCAATACAATATAAGGCCACTGACCTTTAAAGGAGAACAATTTCCAAAATGAAGAGGCAAGGTAGATTTTTTTTTTGGAGGGATTAAGCAATTGCCACTGACAACAGTGTCATTGTATGATTTGCATTTGGACTAATGCTTATAATCTTAGCAAGTGTTTCACCAGTGCTACATAATTAGGAAAATTGAATGCTGTGCCACCTTGAATACATAATTCTGTAAAGAAACAGAACTCAACAGAGATTCTGGAACTTCTGAGAGTGGAGGAAAGAGAAGGCAAGGAAAGGAAGGAAAATTTAAAATCTCACATTTCCAATCAAAGGACATTGTTATAATAATGTAAAGGTCCGTGTAATCTCTTATCTCAATTGTGAAATCATAAACCTCTGTAAAATGGAAGCAATTTTTTTTCATTAATTTGGTGCCAAAACTCATTTGACAGCAAAACTTGACCTGAATTGTCATGCACTTAGTCTTTATCCTTTTTAGTATGACTATTCAGACATTTTTTTTCCCTACAGGAATGTTAATGGCTTAATTATGGGATGTTTCCCAGACATTGCTGAAGGTATTATGTAATAAGCAGTAGATACTCCATGTTACCTTTCTAAAAACCTGAAAAAATTTAAATTCTAAAACACAGTCAGATAACAGCTTGCGGACCTACAATAATAATAGCTAACATTTATGGATGCTGAGTGCAGTGACTCACACCTGTAATCCCAGCATTTTGGGAGGCCAAAGTGGGTGAATTTGGGAAGGTGGATTGCTTGAGCCCAGGAGTTCAAGACCAGCTTGGGCAACATGTTGAAACCTCACCTCCAAACAACAACAAAAAATAGCCAGGCGAGGTGGTATGTGCCTGTAGTCCTAGCTACCAGGGAGGCTGGGGTGGGAAGATTACCAGAGCCTGAAAGATCGAGGCTGCAATGAACTGTGAACATGCCACTGCACTTCAGCCTAGGCAATAGAGTGAGGTTCTGTCTCAAAAAAAAAATGTATGGAGAACTTGCTATGTGTATGAAGCCATGCTAATCTCTCTTCATCTCATTTAATTTTCATAACATTATGAGGCAGGTATTATAATCATGTCTATTTTAAAATTTGGAAACTGATTCTCAAAGAGGCTAAATAACTTGCTCAGAATCACACAGTTCATAGATCAAACCAAGTCGCTTTGAGTTTAGAAGTGACATCCTTACCTGTTGAATTCTACCACGTGGGAGAGATGAGCAGTAGTGAAGGACAATGTGGGCTCTTTGTGTGCTTTATGTGGAGGTAGAATAGTGTACCACCCATTTTATGTTATTTGAGAGCCAATCTTCTACCTGCAAATATGTGCCCTCCCCATCCCTACTTCTCTGTGATATTGCTAATAATGTTTTATTCTTTGAGATTTATCTGGACAGTGTTTTGCACAAGAGCCACCGGCATCAGAAATCAACAGGCCAGCTTGTTAAAATACAGATTCCTGGGATTCATCCCAGACTTATTGAATCAGAATTGCTAGGGATTGGGTCTGAGTTGATTCTTATGACATTAAAGCTGGAGTGAACAGCAAATGCCCTGGGAAAGACCTTTTTTTTTTTTTTTTTTGTAGACAGAATCTCACTCTGTCACCCAGGCTGTAATGCAGTGGAATGGTCTTGGCTCACTGCAACCTCTGCCTGCCAGGTTCAAGCGATTCTCCTGCCCCAGACTCCCGAGTAGCTGGGACTACAGGCACGTGCCACCACGCGCAGCTAATTTTTTTTTTTTTTTTTTTTTTTTTAGTAGAGATGAGGTTTCACCATGTTAGCCAAGATGGTCTTGATCTCCTGACTTCATGATCCACCCACCTCGGCCTCCCAAAGTGCTGGGATTACAGGCGTGAGCCACCATGCCCTGCCTGGAAAGGCCAATCATTAACCCTTATTGAAGAACATCTTAGCTATCAGTTGACACCTAGCTGGAATGGCAGTAATGAACTCATTGATGGACATCTGGGAAGTGGTAGATGTCTGGAAGACAGATCAGGAAATTAGAAGGGTGAGATATGGAAAGGAAGAAAAAAAGGAGGGTATGATAGTATCTCCCTACTTTGACAATATGTGATAAAGGCAGAGCCTCTCCACCGGGCATTTTTCATCTACATTGGAAATATTTTGGAAGTAAATCTTTCATTTTTTGCCACTCAGAGCACCAATCTGTTATCTCATTGATATAACCACCTTCTGAGGTAAGTAAAATAGTAATCCTGGCCAGGTGCGGTGGCTCACACCTGTAATCCCAGCACTTCGGGAGACCGAGGCAGGCGGATCACCTGAGGTCAGGAGTTTGAGACCAGCCTGGCCAACATGGTGAAACTGTGTCTCTACTAAAAATACGAGAATTAGCCGGGCATGGTGGCAGGCGCCTATAATCTCAGCTACTTGGGAGGCTGAGGCAGGAGAATCGCTTGAACCCGGCAGGCGGAGGTTGCAGTGAGCTGAGATTGCACCATTGCACTCCAGCCTGGGGGACAAGAGCGAGACTCTGTCTCAAAAAAAAAAAAAGTAATCCTCATTAGGTAAAAAAGGAAACCGAGACCTAAATGAGTTCTTCAGGATCATCCAACTGATTAATGCTGGTGGTTGGATTCATGTTTCTGGCCTCCAATCTTATACTATTTGTCTTCCAATAATTTTTTCATAGGTCTAGAGAAAATGAGCCATCAAATAAAACCTAGGGAAATCAAGTCTTACATTTAAAAAGATTCAATGATACATCATTTTTTCCCACCAGTGGACAATTTAAATATATTTAAATAGCATGCTACACAAGGAAAGGGCAATGAGAGGAATTGAAGTGCAGAATAGTTCAACTGCTATGCCATATGTTTGGGGTTGTTTTTAACTTTTACTGGTTGCTTTATTTTTGTTATCAATGCTGGAAAGACTGCTGAACATTTTGATCTTTTTAATTTTAAGAATATTCAGTTCTTGTTTGCTAGATTCTCAACCTTACCTCTTAGTCTTGCCTGTGATATCTTAATCATTTCCATGGCAAGAAATTGTGACCTCAGACAGGGACTAGAAAGATAGAAAACATGGATTAACTGCCATCACAGGAATCATATCCCCACAGCAATGCAGGCTAGTCTTGGGGCACTTATGGTCAAGTCCAACCAGTGATTATTCCAATTCAAACTAAGTGCTCTTTAGAGCAGCATTTCTCAAACTTTAACACATATTCTAGTCACCTTGGGAATCTTATTAAAGTGTGAAAAATGATTTAGTAGTTCTGGGGTGAGACCCAAGATTCTGCATTTCTAACAACCTTTCTGGTAGTGCCAATGCCATTTGTTCACAGATCACATTCTGAGGAGCCAGGTGCACGAACCATCATCATGTCCAAGCAGTATATGCAAATGAGCACATTTACGGTCTTGGGGGAAGTGCCATTTGGACAACAACCCTGATGAGCATGCCAGCTGTGATATTAACTATCTGTGTGACCTTGGGAAAACATCTTTACCTCTCTGGGTCTCTGTTTTCTTATTTGCAAAATTATGAATTTGGCCTGGATAATCACCTGAGATCACTTTGGGTTTTCAAATTCTTTGACTCTCTGATGGAAAAAAGATACTTTAGAACAGGGATGTCTAATCTTTTGGCTTCCATGGGCCACATTGGAAGAAGAAGAATTGTCTTGGGCCACACATAAAATACACTAACACTAATGATACGTAATGAGCTTAAAAAAACAATCACAAAAAATCTCATAATGTTTTAAGAAAGTTTACAAATTTGTGTTGGGCTGCATTCAAAGCCATCCTGGGCTGCATGTGGCCCACCAGCCACAGGTTGACCAAGCTTGCTTTAGAACAAAGGTTTAGTCAGAGGGCAAATTGCCCTTATATTACAAGGAAAAGGAGGGAGGAGAGAAAGGTACTGTGACTGTTGTATATATCTTCTTAATCCCAAGTCCTTTATGTGTTCTAAGGTAACTTATTTCTTCCAAATTGCAGACCATTGGCCTTTTCCATGAAGAAGAGGCAACATTGAGTGGCGGACAACACTTTTTGGCATCTCTCCAATTCAGCTGTTAGCATCTCCTAGTGTCTTCTTCACAGCTAACAGCTTTGGCTACTTGCTCATGACACTCCGTCTCTGATCACAGAGCAAATCCACTGTCTCCATTGGTTTCCAGTACTAGTACTCAATTCTACTCAATCCCACCTGATTCCAGGAGACATAATGGAGAAGTGCACGAAATCATCATCTACCATGCAGGTAGAGCCTTCCTTTCTTCAGGCAGAGAATCTGATTCTGCGGCTTCAAATGCAGCATCCAACCACGGAGAACACTGCTAAAAGGGGCCAAGTCATGCCTGCCCTGGCCACCACAGTGATGCCTGTACCATACTCACTTGAGCATCTCACCCAGTTTCATGGTGACCCTGCCAATTGCTCAGAGTTCCTCACTCAGGTGACTACCTACTTGACAGCTCTCCAAATCTCTAATCCTGCAAATGATGCCCAGATCAAACTCTTTTTTGATTACCTATCTCAGCAGTTAGAAAGTTGTGGGATCATATCTGGGCCTGACAAGAGTACCTTACTGAAGCAATATGAGAATCTTATTCTTGAGTTCCAGCAGTCATTTGGTAAACCCACAAAACAGGAAATCAATCCTCTGATGAATGCTAAGTTTGACAAAGGAGACAACTCCTCTCAGCAGGACCCTGCTACTTTCCACCTCCTCGCTCAAAATCTGATCTGTAATGAAACCAATCAGAGTGGTCAGTTCGAAAAGGCACTAGCTGATCCCAACCAGGATGAAGAGAGTGTCACTGATATGATGGACAATCTTCCAGACCTGATCACTCAGTGCATTCAGTTGGACAAGAAACATAGTGACAGGCCAGAGCTCCTACAGTCAGAGACCCAGCTCCCATTGTTGGCTTCCTTGATCCAACACCAAGCCCTCTTTAGCCCCACAGATCCACCACCCAAGAAAGGGCCTATACAGCTGCGAGAAGGCCAGCTGCCTCTCACCCCAGCCAAACGAGCCCGCCAGCAAGAAACTCAGTTGTGCCTCTACTGCAGCCAATCTGGTCACTTCACAAGAGATTGCCTTGCCAAACGTTCTCGAGCTCCGGCAACGACAAATAACACAGCTCACCAGTAAGAGGAGACCAGGAAAGTCACTTTTTAAACTTACATCCCAGCCTTACTGATTTATAACCTGCATTAACTTTTAAAATACAGATGGGGAACTGTGACACCACTTTATAGGCAGTTATGAACTGACACGCTTTGGGGGAATTTAAACAATCAGATCTTGTTCATTGGCAAATTACCCCTCACGAAACCTAACCCGAGAATGATGAAAACAATTCACAGGCACTTTCTGCAGTTGGGATTAATTCTCCAAGAGCACCAAAAACCTGCAGGCAAAACTTTGCCCAGTCTGAGCCAATGAAAATAACCGTGGAAGCACATTGGGAACCTTATCCTGACCAATGGGTGACATCTGGGTTGAGTTTGTGTCCCAAATCCTGAATCTTGTGTGCCTAGAAATGAGCCCAAGACTTTTACCTTCACCTTTATTGGTCTGTATCCTAGTTTCCTGTTGGCTTAGGACCTTTGGCTGAAGTCCAAATGACATTCCTATAATCTGCTTATATTCTCCTCCTAGAGTTTGGACCATGCTTCACCTATTGACTACGATCTACCTTCAGCATAAATCAACCTTCCTGGAACCACAGCTCTGCCACCCTTCCATAGAGCTATATGTTTTGTTTCCATCTAAAGACTCATGCTTTCCCAACAAACAGAACCTCCTGGCTATTTACAAACCAGATTGAATGGGCATTTGAATACTGCTTGGAACTGTTGGTCCCTTTTTCTTTGCAGGCTAGCCCATCAGGCAGGTGTATGCTTTTAGCCAAGCCCACCAATTCCAACTTATTCCTCTCTTCTCCAACAACCCTACTTGAGGTTCCAGCATGTCTTATAGCCAAGTCAATATGCTCTAGGATAAGGATTTCTGAAAGGTATTTAGTGAGAGTTGGGGATGGTGTGTCATAATTACTGTATCTGTAGCATGTCCTTGCTGCCTTGGACAAGGGACCTGGCCAAATAAATCTCCACTGAAGACTGACAGCCAGACCCTGCAGTAGTTTCTAACTCTAGAAGCCTCAATGTAGTCACCATCTAGGATTACTACTCATTGCTATTGAGCTCTACCTTTATGGACCACCTCTGAAGTCCTTCATCTAATTGAGGATCTTAAAAAACAATGAATGGCAAAAAACTTCCTACACTATCTCATCTGAAAAATCCTGGGGCACATACATTAAAACCATTTGTGCACAAAACTCAGGAAGTCGGGATTTTATTGCTTATGTTTTACTCTTGGTACACACCAGCTTTGTGTAGATTCCTGATGCTTCTGAACAAAAGTAGTGTTATGCTAGAAAGGCAAAACTCCCTAAAATGTTAAAACTGTTCAGCAATGATCACTGCTGGTAATTACCAGCCCTCTGTTCCCTGCTTCTTGTTTCTGATGTATGTCCCCAAAATGGATATCCTGGAGAAATATCAGTAATCACATATTCCCTAGCAACCATCAAGGCCTCTCAGAACATGAAATCCCATTGTACTTTGGCTTTGTTTCTGGAGAATTATGCTAACTTTGACAATACTTAAACCTAACTAGGACCTTACTACTCTGATTCTGTAGCACCAATAAATAGATATTTTCACCTTGTGCCTTGCTAGCCACTGTAACAATTCTTATTTGCATTCACGAATGGTTTCTTTTAACAACGGCTCGCTGCACAACCACATTACTCTATATGCTCCCACAACAGAGACCTGAGTTAACATATTCCAGTTATGCTAAGAAATTCCGACTATAGTACTGGGATTGTATGAGATCCTCTAACAAGTAGAGCTATTGAACGTAGAGTGACTCTGAAATTACCTGGAAGTATCTTGTTCTACCTCCATCAATTCTATAATAAAGGACTAACCTCATGGCCTCTAGTCACTTTCCTTACCAAACCCAGTATGGTCTTGGAATGCTGATAGGAGCATTCAGTTGGCTTAATCAACAATCTTTCCTTATTTTAGGGCCACAATTCATCATTTTGGGTTCTTTCCCAAAGATATATCATTTTATTCCCTGTTTGGATTTTCTCTTTGCAGCAACATTACCTTCTTTCCTTAGAAATCTTCAAACTTAGCCTCTCAGAAAATATAACCAATCCAGGGCTATGAACTTCAGTTCACCCTCCACTTCTGGGGGTCCCTTGTTGAGGTGCTCCAAATCAAAGACCTCTTGTACACTGTGCAATACAATCCAGCAGCCAGACTGAGCATATGAATGGGATGCTGGAATAATGCTTTACTGCCTACTAGCTAGCAAGCATTTTACCAATTCAAAATTTTTGTTATAGTGACACCATCCATTATATGCCATCCACTTCAACTAGAATGACTCATGATTTAGCATAAAGAGAGTTACAAGGGTGTGTCCTAAGAAATCATAGCTATGTGAATTTCTCTGAGAGTGAAACTACTTAGAATCTACAGAGAACAGATGAGATATAACCTACTCAAAGATGGAATCAGCAACTGCAAAGGCTTGGGGAACCACCAGATTCAAACAAGGTTGTAGCTTTAAGGAAGCAGATCTGCTACATATTGATGCCCCAAGCAAGATAGAATCTAATCATTTAATGATAAGTCTGAAGAATAATTTGTCAACAAGAAAATAGTATTCATGGAGCACAGAAAAGCAAGAAGTTAAACAGAACGTTGGTAATCCCCCTAGATTCAGAGGTGAGTTGTTGACCAGCAGACTGTTTGGCGTGTCCACCCCTGCAATGGCCATCCCAATTTGTGTCAGCCATCTGGTCACCTAACTCCATTGCTCTGATTCCATGCTCTCAAAGTAACTTGATTGTAATTAGTTTCCCTTATAAACTTTGTTAGGGAGAGAAAATTTGCTAACCAGCTGACATGCGTGTTCTAGCCTATTTCAGAGTTAATTCTTATTATAATTGAATAAATTGGTGTTTGGCTTATACATCAGTTTTTGTGGGTTTAAATAGTACCAGTCCTCCTGATTCTAATTACCTCTGAGTACACTGAAAAAAATAAGATTCTCACTCTGCAAAGTCAGCACCATAGTGTGAATCATAGCGAGTCTACTGAACATTGGCCTCCTTGGGAACTTCGCCTCAACGGTCAGCCAGTTTCCCTTATCTCCCTCATTTGTCTACAGCTGTAATAAAATTTCTAAATACCTACGGTTTTCACTTTCTGCATTTACCTTCACTTGCATGCAGAAGCATGGTACCTGCCATAAGCAATTGCCTTTTACAGTATTTCAGAGTTCATTCTACCTGTCAGAATAATCTGGCATGGATGAAACATAACACATGACTGTAGATATGAGCCACTGAAATGCACCGTTAGACAGGGAGAACTGCATGATTGGCCTCATTCTCATCACCTCCATTCTGTCCAGATGACAACGCACAAGACCCATACTGTCACTGTCCTTATTTTATCCAGGATGACACAACAAACATCACCTTTTTTTTGAATTCTAGAAGATAATCTCTAGAATAATCTCTAGAATGATGATTGTCACACCTTCTTGCCTATGACCACGATAGTCATCTCTGAAGCAAAATAAATAATTTAGGATACACATAATTTCTACCACCATCTGGGCAAAAGCTAACATCTCATGCCCTTAAAAGGGCTCTGGGTGCTTGTTTCATATCCGTAAAGCCCTGTCACATTGGTATCACATCGGTGGCCATTTCATTGCCTCCCTATGATGGCCCAAACTTCATTTGGGTTGTGGGGTGGGGGGAGGGGGGAGGGATAGCATTAGGTTATAGCATTTAACATAACTAATGTTAAAAGACGAGTTAATGGGTGCAGCACACCAACATGGCACATGTATACATATGTAACTAACCTGCACGTTGTGCACATGCACCCTAAAACTTAAAGTATAATGAAAAAAAAAAGAAAAATCTTCGAGAGAATTTAGTGTCATGGATCTTCAGTGTCATCTTGCGGCAAGAGTCACTGACCACATTTCAAAAACAAGAGTCCCAGAAGTGAGTTACACCATTTAGTAGAGTCAGGAGAACTATCTTGGTCAACTTGTCTTAGCACCCAGACCACACTGTCCCGTCATTTATAGCCACTATGGTTTTGAGCATTCATGCTTATTGGTATAACTTCCTGTTATCAGCTGTGATTCTTAGATCTGTTTGGACTTGCTTCCTGCTCATTGATTTCTAGCATTTACTCTACATGGCCCTGGTTCTCTTATCTAGCCAGTTCAGTGATAAGTCAGTTGTGACTGTATTCCAAAAACCCCATTTGCTTCACAGTAACCCAGTGAAGGACTATGTAGAATTTCAGCCTTCCCTATACATAGAAGACTCATCCCTTTACACATAAAATGTGGGTTGGGGACATCTAGGGAAAGGAAACTAATAGTTGGTGAATGCCTACTTTATGCCAGGCACTGTGCTGAAAGCTTTATTAATAATGAGTATTTAAATATCATATCACTGAAAGATGGAATATCCATTTCTGGCATTTAATGCTCACCACACCTTTATGAGATAAGTGTTATAAATTCAATTTAAAGATGATGAAACTAAGGTTTAGAACAGTTTGGCAACCTTCCCAAATTCATCAAGCAGTAAGTGGTTGAACTAGAATTTTAAAGCATATCTTTTTGATGCCAGAGCATTGTGATCTCAGAAGAGGGAAACTCTAACTCACACCCCTCCTGATTACCATAACTTACTCAATTACACATCCCATAACCACTTCATGAAGACAGGCTACTCTAGTAACTGGTATTCACATAGCCACTGATTGAAACTCTTGTTCTAAACAACAGCCTACAAAGGAAGCATGAAACAAATCAATGCCTTCTAGGAATTTGTAATTTCATTTGTGTTTCTAATGAGTTGGAGAAAATTCCTTGAAATCCCTAAAAATACACTGAATCTACATTATCTGATTGGGTAGGCTCTTGCTTTTTGAGGCAGGATTTTAACAAAGGTTTCTGACTAACATAAAGGCTTTATATTTCAGTAGCTCTTCATACAAAGCCATTGAGTCTTTTTGAAAAACGATGTTTATAGTGGCTGCAGGAATGCCAGGAGACAATTTCAATGTCTTCTGATTACTGTTATCTGCTATGGTCATTAGAAAATCAATATTAAAATAGGAGTTTGGTTAATTCAGAGAGCAGTTAGCCATTTAAATTTGAGAACTCCCTTCATGGTGTCAACCTCAGGGAATATCCAGTCTAACAATCTGACTCTGAAGAGAATTTATGAGAAGATAGCCTTGTTCTCTTTGACATTAACCACGAGTTTGGGAACGACTATCAAACATCATTTTTCCCTTAATTGCCTATGATAATTCTATCATCCATGACTTTTTTATTAAATCTACTTGTTTTCAGCCTGTAACGTCTCATGGGGCAATGGAGACCACATGTTTAATACCTGCCATTTAAATCAGACTTCCCTTTACATGCATTAACTTCACCTATGTATAATGTAAAGGCATCCCCCATTCCATTCAATTATTCCAGGATATGAAGGAGTCTGTGTTAATGCTGTCACCTTATACTTGGTTTTAGAGGCATTAAATAATAAGTTACTGAGCATTTATTATATGCCAAGCATAAGAGCGGTGGAATTATGTGCATAATTTCCACAATAGCCTCATGAGAAATGCACTATCAGTATTCTCATTTTACAGGTGAAAACAAGTAAACTCACAGAGTTTAAGTAACATGTCCAAGGTCACTAGCTAATAGGTCATAGAGCCAGGATTCATATTTGGGTCTCTCTAACAGAAAAAGCCGTGTTCTTCACTACTATACTACCTGTCCTTCCCAGGTTAGTGTACTAGGCTGAAACGTCCTCATCTTTTTGGTGTATGCTCATGTATTCACCCATTTAGACCAGTAAACATCCATCATGCCCTTTCCAAACTTTCACCCGCTCTGCTGTCTTTAGCAGAGGACAATCATTACAAATGTACCCAGCATTCCAGATGTGGGCACTAAATACATTTGAACAAGATACAATTTACTTTTTTATTACTATTGCTTCCTAAAAATGATTCCAAAAACTTCTTGGCCTTTCTGGGTTTTGTCCATACCTTGAGAAAAAAAGTCATTGTAGATTCTTCCTTGAGAGCCACAAGTCTCTTCACTGAGTTGAAATTGATGACACAAAGCATATTACTTTAAAAATGTAGTTGGGGATTCGCTTCCAAGATGGCTGAATAGGAACAGCTCCAGCCTACAGCTCCCAGCGAGATCAATGCAGAAGACAGGTGATATCTGCATTTCCAACTGAGGTACATGGTTCATCTCAGTGGGACTTGTTGGACAGTGGTTGCAGCCCACAGAGGGCGAGCCAAAGCAGGGTGGGGCATCACCTCAGCCAGGAAGTGCAAGGGGTCAGGGGATTTCCCTTTCCTAGCCAAGGGAAGCCATGAGTGACTGTACCTGGAGGAGCGGTACACTCTGCCCAAATACTGCACTTTTTCCACTGTCTGCACAACTGGTAGACCAGGAGATCCCCTCCCATACCTGACTCAGCAGGTCACACGCCCATGGAGCCTTGCTTGCTGCTGGCGCAGCAGTCTGACATCAATCTGGGACGTGGAAGCTTGGCGAAGGGAGGGGCATCTGCCATTGCTGAGGCTTAATTAGGTGGTTCCATGCTCACAGTGTAAACAAAGCAGCAGGGAAGCTCGAACTGGGTGGAGCAACTGCAGCTCAGCAAGGCCTACTGCCTCTCTAGATTCCACCTCTGGGGGCAGGGCATATCTGAACAAAAGGCAGCAGACAGCTTCTCCAGACTTAAACGTCCCTGCCTGACAGCTCTGAAGAGAGCAGTGGTTCTCCCAGCAGGGCATTTGAGCTCCAATAACAGACAGACTGCCTGCTCAAGTGTGTCCCTGACCCCCATGTAGCCTGACTGGGAGACACCTCCC